>NC_000015.10:58901874-59526874 GCF_000001405.40 Homo sapiens
AGTAAATCCCTGTCTCAAAAAAAAAAAAAAGTTCATAGTTGTCACACATATACCGATGGCAAAGCCAATTTTAAAATGGTATTTGTGTGACAAGTAATTAAAACAAGTTAACCCTCACATTTTTAAAATATGACTTTAATTTTAACATATTTGACAGTTTGGCTAAAATTAAAATTAAGAATGTGCTAGCTTAAAAACAGAAGAGTCATAAAGGGAAGGGAGAAGCTTAATTTGTTCTACCAAGCAAATAATGCAAACATCACTGAAGTAATCAAACCAACATAGAACCAACATTTTCCCAAATATAAGACTATAAAGAATAAAGTAATATGCATTATAATCTCAATAACTGAAAAAATTAAAGAATCATTTTATTTTTTAGAGACAAGTCTTGCTATTGATGCTCAGGCGGTCTCGAACTCCTGGCCTCAAGCTGATTCTCCCACCTTATCCTCCCAAGTAGCTGGGATTACAGATGCAAACCACTACGCTTGGCTTAAGAAATGTTTTGATTGTTTTTTTTTTTTTTTAAACAGGTTCCTTACTCTGTCGTCCAGGCTAGAGTGCAGCAGCATAATCATAGCTCACTGCAGCCTCAACCCCTGGGCTCAAGTGATCCTCCTGCCACAGCCTCCTGAGTAGCTGGGACTACAGATGTGTGCCACCATGTCCAGCGAATTTTTTTTTTTTAATTCTAAGTGGAGACGAGGTCTTGCTATGTTGCCCGGGCTGGTCTGGAACTCCCAGACTCAAGCGTTCCTCCTGCCTCAGCCTCCCAAAGTTCTAGGATTTACAGGTGTGAGCCACTGTGCCCTACCAAATGTTTTAATAACTTGTTTTGTATGTTTTGTCTTGTTTTTTTTTTTTGAGACAGAGTTTTGCTCTGTCCACCAGGCTGGAGTGCAGTGGCATGATCTCAGCTCACTGCAACCTCCGCCTCCTGTGTTCAAGCAATTCTCCTGCCTCAGCCTCCCAAGGAGCTAGGATTACAGGCACCTGCCACCACACCCAGCTAATTTTTTATTATTATTATTTTTTATTTTTTGAGACAGAGTCTCCCTCTATCACCCAGGCTGGAGTGCAGTGGTGCGATCTTGGCTCACTGCAACTTCCGCCTCCCGGGTTCAAGCGATTCTCCTGCTTCAGCCTCCCAAGTAGCTGGGACTACAGGCGTGTGCCACTACACCCAGTTAATTTTTGTATTTTTAGTAGAGATGGGGTTTCACCATGTTAGCCAAGACAGTCTCGATCTCCTGACCTCGTGATCCACCCGCCTCAGCCTCCCAAAGTGCTTGGATTACAAGCTGAGCCACCGTACACAGCCTAATTTTTCTATTTTTAGTAGAGACGGGGTTTCACCATGTTGGCCAGGCTGGTCTTGAACTCCTGACCTCAGGTGATCCACCCACCTCGGCCTCCCAAAGTGCTGGGATTACAGGCATGGGCCAGCGTGCCTGGCCTTTAATAACTTCTGCTTAGAAAACTAAGCAGAAGTACGCTGTTTAAAGTCAGGTGATGTGAAGCTTGTTGTAAAATTACCACATACAAAGCCTTAGAGCAGTGGTTCTCAAACTTGAGCATGCATCAGAATCCCCTGGAGGGCTTGTTAAAACAAAACACAGATTTTGATTCAGAAGGTCTGGAATGAGGCTTAAGAATGTGCATCTGACGGGGAGGGGGGAGGGATAGCATTAGGAGATATACCTGACGCTAAATGATGAGTTAACGGGTGCAGCACACCAACATGGCACATGTATACATATGTAACAAACCTGCACGTTGTGCACATGTACCCTAAAACTTAAAGTATAATAATAATAATAATAAAAAGATTAAAATGGAAAAAAAAAAAGAATGTGCATCTCTAACAAGGTTCCAGGTGAAACTAATGCTGCTGGTACAGCGCAAACACTGAGCATTGCTGCCTTTACAGAGTGACAACCTTAGTGAAAAAAGACGAAAAAAATGGAAATGTACGTAGAACTGTAAACAGCTTATTTATAATACAATTTTAGATTCATATAAAAGCATGCACTTCTTAAAATGTCAAATATTTTACAATGTGCTCAAAAGTACATTTGGATAATAATTTCTTTTTTTAAGTATTTTCTCTCTCTCTTTCTTTTTCAAACTTGTGTCTGTGTGAGAGACAGGGTCTCACTCTGTTACCCAGGCTGAAGTGCAGTGGTGTGATCTCAGCTCACTGCAACCTCTGCCTCCCAGGCTCAAGTTGATCCTCCGGCCTCGGCCTCCCGAGTAGCTGGAACCACAGGTGTATGCCACCACACCTGGCTAATTTTTTTGATATTTTTTTTTGGCAAAGACAGGGTTTCACCATGTTGCCCAGGCTGGTCTCGAACTCCTGAGCCCAGGTGCTCTACCTGCCTCGGCCTCCCAAAGTGCTGGGATTACAGGCATGAGCTGCCACGCCCGGCCAACAATAATTTCTATGAAGTCATTTTATTAATAAATGATATTTGGACTAAGTTAAAGTGTGCCAATTAGGGAATGACTAACTATTTTACAACTAAAGTAACATGAAGGAAACTAAAAATACTAAAAAGCTCGGCCATAAGCTAAGAAGTAAAATAGTCCAGAACAAGTAAATGATCAATTGATAACAGTGTAAATTCGATCACTATCTAAGACCATTATACTGTGCTCTAAGAATTTTTTTTTTTTTTTTTTGAGGCAGAGTCTCACTCCGTCAGCCCAGGCTGGAGTGCAGTGGCACGATCTCAGCTCTCTGCAAACCTCTGCCTCCCGGGTTCCAGGGATTCTCATGCCTCAGCCTTCCCAGTATGCACCACCACACCCGGCCAATTTTTTTTTGTCTGTTTTGTTTCGTTTTTCTGAGACTGAGTGTCGCTCTGCTTCCCAGGCTGGAGTGCAGTGGTGCGATCTCGGCTAACTGAACCCTCCGACTCCCTGGTTCAAGCAATTCTCCTGCCTCAGCCTCCCAAGTAGCTGGGATTACAGGTGCGTACCACTACGCCCAGCTAATTTTTGTATTTTTAGTAGAGATGGGGTTTCACCTTGTTGGCCAAGATGGTCTCTAACTCCCAACCTCATGATCCGCCTGCCTCGGCCTCCCAAAGTCCTGGGATTACAGGCGTGAGCCACCATGCCCGGCCAATTTTTGTATTTTTAGTAGAGATGGTGTTTCACCATGTTGGCCAGGCTGGTCTTGAACTCCTGGCCTCAAGTGATCCTTTTGCCTCGGCTTCCCAAAGTGCTGAGATTACAGGCAGGAGCCATTGCACCCAGCCTGTAAGAATGTCTTAATAAATTGTTTTACTAGAATATTACTTTTAAGCATTATGTGTCCAATTTGCAATATTTGGAAAGGAAAGAAAAACGCTTTAACTTGGGTGGAATGGTAGACAGAGACAGCAAGGAAAGAATGAGTTATGCTTGAATTATGGATAAATCTTTTTCTTTCACATTCTCTTTTAGTTTAGTAATTTTTGTTGAAGGAATAAATAAACTGAGACACCTGAGCTTGTATTTAAAGCAGACTAAATTAACTTAAAGAATGCAACATGTGGCCAGGCGTGGTGGCTCATGCCTGTAATCTCAGCACTTTAGGAGGCTGAGGCAGGAGGTTTGCTTGAGGCCACGAGTTTGAGACCAGCCTGGGCAACCTAGTAAAACCCTATCTCTATTTTAGAAAAATATATTTTAAAAAAATAAATAATTTTTTAAAAAAGAATGCAGTTTGACTCCCCTTATCTACCTCAGATGCGAAGAGCACACCACTTCCAAGTTATTGTTTTAGAGATGCAAAACTGATAGCTTCAAGAAAAAAACATAACATGTCCAAATTATTGGCTATTTTAAAAAGTAAAATAGTAAAAATACTATGATGTAAAAAAAAAAACTGTATTCTATTGTAGTTCCTGTCAATTATAATGTTATTTCTAGTTGCTAAAGTAACTAGTAAGGTTTGTCTTACTTGCTGGAGAATTTTTAGATATTTATCTTAATAATTCAGCATGTCTTCTGAAGGGTTTCATAATTTAAAGGCAAACTTTATGACATACATTTATATGCCGGTAGGAAATGGTCTGACCCAGCTTCTAGAAAACAAAACTGATTACAATGTGGTTGGAGCACAAAAACAACTTGGGTAAAGTAGAAAAGATGAACCACACGTAAATGCCTATTGATTTTACTGTGCAGTATGTGCAGCAAGCATAGCACTAACCATAAGTCCTAAATAAGAATCCAAAATACTTGCAATAAGGAAACAAACCAAGAAATACAATGGGAAACTTTCCCTGTCTAAATGGTATATATGCACAGACATGATATGCAACTATTTGAAAACAATTTCTCCCACTGAAAACAGATTTTTTTTCCAAATGAGGAATATAGCAAGTAAATGTAAAACATTTATTTGTCAAATGTAAAGCATCTTTTTAAATTAACCACTCAAGTTTGTCTTGAAAAAAAAATTTCACATATGAAGATGAAGCAAATGTCTACAAGGTAAGTACTCATGTTGTTTATCTTCACAGTGGGATGTGCAATCCTTAGTCAAATGCTAAAATACATAAAGCTCCTTTATTTACTTTCATTTCATCCTAGAAGCAGCAATGACTACTAAGAGACAAAGACAAGCCTAGGACTTATTTTTCAGTGAACCAAGTATTTACTACATATCCAATTCTACTACTCCCCATAGGTTATCTTATGATATCTGTACATGTATAGGCTAAGCAAGAAGACCTCCTTTCCCCTGGCTTGAAATGTAAACACTGTATTCAGACTGACATTTAAAACAAACTTTCAAAATAACTTTTAAACCACTACTTACCTATCGGGGAATATGCTAAACATCATGGGAAATACAAAATGCTTGGCACATAAGTACTCAAAAAATACTTGTTGAATGAATTTACTAAATAAATGTAGTGTAAGACTGCTGTTTTTAGCTGGAAAGACTGAACTAACTGCTTGATTTTCATGTATCTGAAGCACTTAACTTTGGCACTATGTTAAGTACGATAGAACTCAGAAAACATTTCCTAGTGTGGAGTTATTTAGTGAAAAGAATATCAGACTAGGCATCATCACACCTAGGTATTTACCCTGTCGTTATCACTGAAATAGTTTTACTCTGTGATATGTCATCTATCTAGATGAATTTACCTATAAAATGGAGTTCACATGTGAACCATATAAGATATATCAAGGATTGAGTAAGGTAATGGATATAAAAAGCTCTCTGTGAATAGTAAAGCACTACATAAAAGAGAGAGATGAAAGAAAGCTTTGTGGAGGAGATAAGAGGTGAATCTGGCTGTGAGAGGTATACAGATTTTTATATAACAAAAAGTAAGATTTTTCATGTTAGTGAAACATTAGGTGCAAAGGCAAATAGAAAAAGGAATATACATGATGTTATAGACTGAAGAGGTTCTTGAAACTAGAGGAAATTTTTAAGAATAAAAGCATATTAAAGCCAGGCATGATGGCTCACACCTGTAATCCAAATACTTTGGGAGGCCGAGATGGGTGGACTGCTTGGGCTCAGGAGTTTGAGACCAGACTGGGCAACAAGGCGAACCCCCATCTCTACAAAAAATACAAAAGTCAGACGGGTGTGGTGGCGCACGCCTGTAGTCCCAGCTACCAGGAGACTGAGGTGCGGTGATCACTTGAGCCCAGGAGGTCAAGGCTGCAGTCAGGGGAGATCGCGTCGCCACACTCCAGCCTGGACGACAGAGCAAGACCAGGTCTCAACAACAACAACAACAACAAAATTAAAGTATTAGCAAACAAGATTTTAGAGAAAAAGCTCCAGAAACTTCTCAAGTAAGCAGTATATTCAAGCTAGTAAAACAACACTACAAATGACTACTAATTGCACATATACTACATCAGAATCTATGATTAATCCCTATATCAACTGAGTAAGAATTATAATCATTTTGTAGACATAGAAATTGACTAATAGAGAACCTGCCACAATCACAGTATTGTAATTAACTAATAGAAGTAGAATCTGAACTAAAGTCTACCTAGTATAACTTCCTAGAGGCTAATGCCTAAAGATTTTAACTTCTAGTCAAAGCCTGAGGACTGGCTCCTGAAATAGATATATCCCTATATAAACATGCTGCGTGTGTGTGTGTGTGTGTGTGTGTGTGTGTGTGTACATATACATAATTTCTTTTTCTTTCTTTTTTTTTTTTAAGACAGAGTCTTGCTCTGTTGCCCATGATTGAGTGCAGTGGCACAATCACGGCTCACTGCAGCCTCAACCTCCTGGACTCAAGCAATCCTCCCACCTCGGTCTACCTCCTGAGTAGCTAGGACCACAGGTGTGCACCACCACACCCAGCTAACTTTTGTATTTTTTGTAGAGATGGGGGTTTGCCTTGTTGCCCAGACTGGTCTTGAACTCTTGAGCTCAAGTGATCAGCCCGCCTCAGCCTCCCAAAGTACTGGGATTACAGGCATGAGCCACTGCATCCAGCCAGATTAAATTTTCTACTGTTTTTTGAGATAGGGTCTTGCTCTATTGCCCAGGTTGGAGTACAGTGGTGTGATCTTGGCTCACTGCAGCCTTGACCTCCTGGGGTCAAGTGATCTTCCAGCCTCAGCCTCCTGAGTAGCTGGGACTACAGGCACAGACCACCATACCCAGCTATTTAAAATTTTTTTTTTATAGAGACAGGGTCTTACTATGTTGCCCAGGCTGGTCTCGAACTCCTGGCCTTAAGCAATCCTTTCATCTCAACCTTCCAAAGTGCTGTGATTACAGGCAGGAGCCACCACACCCAGCCCAGACTAAACTTTCAAAAGCAATACCTAAATACTGAAAATAAATGAAACAAATCAACCTAGATATGTATCAGTGGGTGATACAACCACACAGAACGGAAAGAACTTAAAACACAGTGTTCATCCCCAGAGGGAAACACCCTTGCAAAAAATATGTCTTAAAAAAATCTTAAATTACTTTCAGTAACTACATTGGTGGTAGTGTTGGTATTATCATTCTAAAGTTGTTGTATGTGTACCGTGAGATAAATGGTTATCTTGGAACTAACGTATGAATTGAAGGTCTATTTTATCTTAAAAGTAAAAATAAGCAAAAACAAAGAAAACAACTCCAACATTTTCTCTAGCATTGTACATTGAAAAGACCTAGAAACAATGAACAATTCAGTAGTAGCGAACACCTCCACCACCTAGATTGTTGTCTTGAAATACCATTTACCACTATAAAGAAGAAATGCCTAATTATAGGTCTAGAGCAGGAAATGGCACATCTTTACATACCAGCAAGCAAGGAATCAATCAAAGTCTACTAGGATCATGTTGAGAAGACTCAAGAGCCAACTTGATGAGGCTCTCACTGTATGGAACAATTTAAGCATTAAGGATAATAACTGCGATGGACCAAAATACATTACATATATTCAAATCCATGAGTTCAAAATGAATCTAAAGGGGAAAAAAGGAAAAATTAAGAACTAACTGGCCACTGTCAGAGATGCCAGTGAAGCAGCTCAATATTCTGAAAATTGGTAAATAAAAAGGAAAGAATCAAACATATATCCTGGCTTTCCTGTGTAAATGATACCACTGGGTAACCAAATAGTAAATAAGGGAAAGTTTCTCTTTCTAGAAACAGTCCAACCAATAAAGAAGAATGATAGAATTAGAATAGCATCCCTCTGCAACCCCTAATTGGGTATGAATCATCAATGACTGGTACCATCACAAAAAGACAACCAGATATTATGTGCATCCAAATAGAAGAATACAGTACTACACCTATGAGGTGGCTGTGTGTGTGCTGGAGTGGGGTGTTAACGCTGAATCTGAGAGCAAGCCTCTAGATGCTACAACCACCTTAACAATTTACAAAAAATACAATAAACAAAGGAATATGTTGAACACCACCACAGGAATGTAATCAGCAAAATCCAGGCCTTGGAAGCTCTATAGCAGCAACTGGCAAACTACATGAGATGCCTGTTTTTGCCAACCCTTGCTCTATGGGATAAGCAAGTTGCTTTTTTCAACAAATAAAATAGTAAGAGGAAAACAGATGGAAGGGAAAACCTCCTAAAACATTTCAATCAATCACAACATACAGATCTTACTGGTATCTGGATTTAAACAGCATATAATAGAGAAAAATCTACAGAAAATTGAACATTTGAATCCTAACTGTATGTTTCATAATATTAAAATTTTTATTTTAGGAGTGCTAATATAAAAAATAAGAGTTCTCTTTTAGAGATACATATTGAAAATTTTCAAGGGAAATATGTTTGGATTTGTTTCAAAATAATGCAGAAGGGAGAAAGTAAACAGAGGCATAGGGGAAAATAAGACTGGCCATTATTTGAAAACAGCTGAAGCGAGGTGATTGTTACACTATGCAGTATCCCTGAATGCACATAGTAATATACTCAGTAAGCATGTTTAGAAGCATTAGATCATAATGGAACCTAGATACATTTATGTTTCTAGATGTTCCACTAGACATTATTTAGAAAGAGGAAAAAGGTCATTTTAAAGAAAACTTCTCTAAAAATGTAACCTCATCTTTTGATACAATATGGCAAAATCTTGCTCCCTGATAAGAAATACATAACTGTTCTTCCTTCAGATATATTTCCATCTGTTTAAAAATTGTTCGTAATGAAGTTTATTATTTAAGTGGGGATCCTTAGCTATGATGCCTTCATGCAACTCACAAAGTGCAAAACTATAGGAGTAGTCCTTGACAGAAGCTAATATCTAGCTGCCAAATAATATAAAGACCTCGACTTCCCCTTTTTGCAAATCAGTAATCTAGAAAAGGTACTCTCTCAATTTGAGAGTTAATTTTTCTCATAGATTCTTTTTTTTTTTTTTTTTTTCAAGACAAGTCTCGGTCTGTTGCCTAGGCTGGAGTGTAGTGGCACAATCTCGGCTCACTGCAACCTCCACCTCCCAGGTTCAAGCCATTCTCCTGCCTCAGCCTCCTGAGCAGCTGGAACTACAGGTGTCCAACACTAGGCCTGGCTAATTT
The DNA here is from genome assembly GCF_000001405.40 of Homo sapiens. Taxonomy (NCBI): domain Eukaryota; kingdom Metazoa; phylum Chordata; class Mammalia; order Primates; family Hominidae; genus Homo; species Homo sapiens. The sequence continues at coordinate 58,910,915 of NC_000015.10, forward strand.
TTTGTATTTTTAGTAGAGACCAGGTTTCACCATATTGGCCAGGCTTGTCTCCAACTCCTGACCTTGTGATCTGCCTGCCTCGGCCTCCCAAAGTGCTGGGATGACAGGTGTGAGCCACCATGCCTGGCCCCTCATAGATTCTTTATCACTAGGAAATCAATGTACTTAGGGACAGGCCTACAGACTTTCACCATTCTAATATTTCCTTCCCGAATATTCCAAATGATCAGCAACATTTCTCCCAGAAATGCAATTTTTCTCCAAAATACAACTTCTCCTCCACTGTGACAGAGAGGCAATATATAGCCTCAGAAGCATTTGTGGCTCACTAGCATTTCAAAGGCAAGAGTGTTGCAGAAAAGAAAGCATGCTGAGACAATCAACTAAGTAGTCCACAAACACAAGCCCAAGTACTCTTCTAGGAAATACTACCCAGAGGAAATAACTGACCTCCTCATTATTTTTTCTGAATCTAGTAAACAAAGGAACCCATATCTCTATTTGAAAGTACACCATTTAAAGAGGACATAATCCTGTCCTACTTGGGTAACTGTGCTAATTCTAGAGCTAACACATACCAATGGGCGCTGACTCCCTTCACGGGGGATGCATGCATTTATCAGATGAAAACCAACTCAGATCAAAACCACCAAACCCTCTCTGGTTTTTATAAGATTAAAAATAAAAATAAAAAATTAAGGACACAAAAACAAAGGGTTCTTTAGTCACAGATATGAGAAAAAGACAATGGATAATTTTTATGTAGAAACTGATCTATAGATGTCTGCTTACAGCATCTGTAAGTCACTTTAAAATGTACACTATGTGTATCACATATAGCAGCAACACGTTGTTACACAGTGAAGTGCAGTCATTTTCAATACACACACACCCCAAGTAAATTTCTAGAAATTTTTAATCATTTTTAGACTATGCCTGTTGTAGGAGTGTTACATTAACAAAATTTCAAATAAAGCTTTGAAAAGGATATTAGTACTTTTAAATGACTTATTTTATATCAAGTGACAAGAAAAAAATCAAGAAGAATGTAGACTTCTCAAAAGACTAGTAACCAGAGTTAGGTTTTACAGAAAGGATGGACTTTTTTCTAAAACTCTGAAAATGACAGGAAACTCATAGTAACTCCAATTATTTTTCTGGCAACAAAAATTTCAGCTGCCAATAGTTTTTTTTTTTTTTTTTGAGACAGAGTCTCACTCTGTCGCCCAGGCTGGAGTGCAGTGGTGCAATCTCGGCTCACTGCAAGCTCCACCTCCTGCGTTCATGCCATTCTCCTGCCTCAGCCTCCTGAGTAGCTGTGATTACAGGTGCCCGCCACCACGCCTAGCTAATTTTTTGTATTTTCAGTAGAGACGGGGTTTCGCCATCTTAGCCAGGATGGTCTCGATCTCCTGACCTCGTGAACCGCCCGCCTCGGCCTCCCAAAGTGCTGGGATTACAGGCGTGAGCTACCTAGCGCGCCCGACCTTGCCAATAGTTTTAAGTACTTTGTGTACATCACGTAAATAACTCAGTATTAAATTTAAGACAGTTATATGAATTAAAGAATTATGAAGTCAAAATAAGATTCCTTTTCCAAGCCCGTCCACCCACAATATCGAATTCATAGGACTAAATGTAAACTTACTTGGGCTGTTAGAAAGGTATCATCTTCACCTTCTTGAGCTTCAATTTCCTAAGTAAAAGGGTATACAATAGCTTTGCTTTATAAAATATCGGGGTAACGTGAGAATGCTTTTATGCTTACACCTGATTATCATTTGCCTTGTGTTCTGTATAATATCTGCGATACCATGGGTACTAAATCAATGCTTAATATTCAGACTATATTTTTTATGCCAAAAAAAATTAGCCATGTCGCTAGAGAATTAGAAATATTTCTCTTGAGCCCCTCATTTATTAGGGTAGGTAGAAGGGAAGTGTTTTAAGCATGAATACTAACAGCACTGACTCCTTAACCCACTGACTTTCTTAAAATGTACTAACATACTTCAAGGCAGGACAAATGGTCTATTTCAAAGAAAATATTTGAAATATTATCTGCTTTAAAATTAAACTTTCATAAGTAATTCCCCACCCTTGATATAACCAAAGAAATGTAAATTAAAGTAACCTTTTATACTTGCTAAGGTAGCAGAAAGGGGAAAAAACCCTACCACCAAGTAATGTTGGCAATGCCAGAATGAAATTGGTACATTCATTCATCGTGGAGTAGGAAAAAAGCCTTAAAACTTAAAATGTCCAAAATTAAAGGAGTGTCTATTAGATATGTAGAAAGCAGTCTAATAAATTATGGGGAAATTATGAAATTATACGTCATGTGAAAATACAGAATAAATAGGAACTTACTCTATAACAACTATGTATAAATATATATTATATGAAATAAGCAAAAATTTAAAAGGTTGCCTAAGGTGGTAGGATTTTAGATGACTTATAAGTAGCTTTAGTAACACATCTTTTAAAAATTCTGAGACTTCCAAATTGAACTAGAAAAAAATACTTTTTATTATTTAAAACTTAATTTATCTGTGTCATGTTTTAAAAAAAACTGGCTAAAGACCTGACTTTCGATGTCCTCTTTTTCTATATCTTCTATTCCTTCTGCCTCTATTAATTCATGAGCTCTCTTGTTTTCTTCTGCAGAGAGTAACTCCTTGGAATGCACATTTTCTTCTTCATTTTCACCAAATTCTTCAGAGTCCTTTAGTTCATCATTTCCATCTTGCTCATGTGCCTCTTGATTCTCCAATTCACAGTCCTTTTAATGGTAAGAAAATTTGGTACAACTAGAGGCAAAGTAGTGTGGGCTATCCACCAAACGTTTTTGGTAATTTACACCTTTAAATGTGTCAAATTTGATCATATTTTAATATTCCCAAAGTTCATTCATTTTACCTTATATATTTACTGTGTCTTTAAAAATAGGTCTAATACCAAGATCATCAAACACGAATCTGAGTTCTCAAATTTCTCACACTAAAATGCACACTAATCAAATTGCTGCTAGAGATGCTCTAAATTCCAGTTATTTAATATTTACCAAGCCAGCTTCTAGAAGCTGTCCAAAAAATACGGCTTCATTTTTCCATGTGCCATATGTTGATTTAACTTCAAAGACTTCGGAAGTCTTATACATTAAAACAAAGTTTATTTCTAATAATAAAGAACTCCCAACTGCTGCATCAATGTCTGTTCTTGAAAAATATGCAAATAACTAATTGAAATGTATTTGTTTTGAAATCTACCACTGTGCCAAATGTCAATTAGGAAGAGGAACATAGGTTGGGATTGGATCTGTTTGTCCTTCAAAGTTTATGAATATATGGTACTTCAGTGAAAACAAAATCAGCAATCTGCTTAATTTCCTGATTAAATGAAGAGAAAAGGGGTGAAAGCAATAAACATTACTTCCTTTTTTCCTGTTCTTACGGTAAATCCAGCAGATTTAAGAAAAGGTTTCTGGGTTAAAAGGTGAAAGAGGCAGAGGCATGACTACTAATCATTCACAGCCAAACTGCAGTGAGGAAATGGAAATTTCTATCGAGAGGTGGGCATAGAGAATATGACTGTTTTGGAAGGTGGAGTCCTTGGGGAGCAGGGGATCTCTTGTTTGACCAAATGTACTACAGCATGAGTAGGGGAGCGTGAGGGGATGAAAATGGAGTACATGGCTGTATTATGGCAGAAGAATAGGTGCAAGAAAGATCAAGGGAAGTTACCAAGGAAACTTCACCTATTCTAAGGTGCCAACTTTGACCAATCTCCTCACTTATTTACAGAAGCAATTTCTATACTATTCTGGTATTTAGGCAATAGGTGATATTTACCAACCATTACTGTATAAATTCCAAAATTATCAACTGTGGGAGATGAGAAAATATATTCACTTAATTTCTATCAAATACATCACATATGTTGATACTTCCAAAAATAAACTGAAGATATCTTTACACAGAATTTTTAAAAAGCTCCTAGGGCTGGGCATGGTGGCTCACACCTGTATTCCTAGCATCTTAGGAGGCCGACGGGTGGATCATGAGGTCAGGAGTTCGAGGCCAGCCTGGCCAACATGGTGAAACCCCGTCTCTACTAAAATACGAAAATTAGCCGGGCCTGGTGCGGTAAGCCGGTAATCCCAGCTACTTGGGAGGCTGAGGCAGGAGACTCTCTTGAACCTGGGAGGTGGAGGTTGCAGCGAGCTGACATCGCACCACTGCACTCCAGCCTGGGCAACAGGGCGAGACTCCATCTCAAAAAACAAAAACAAAAACAAAAACAAAAACAAAAACAAAAAAAAAGTTCCCTTGTTCTTTTAGACATTATGACCAGGTTTATTTAATCATAACACAAAAGCATCCTTTGTGGCACATATAAGAGACAGTACTATTGTTCGTCTCAATAGACGTATATATCTCCTTAGGCCATTTCAAATGACTGTAACATTTTTATAAACTGAAGAGCTGAAAGAAACAAATTTGAAAAGTAAAAGATTTTTTACTGAGTCACAATGTTTTTACAGCTTATGGATAATCTTTGCTTAATCATACACTTACTGGTGAAGACAACTGGAGAAAATAGGAACAAAGGAACAAACCTGATGGAAGATATATAGTAAGGGTAACAGAATACCAAAACTTAAAGGCTCAAACACAAGCTGATTACAGGCATGCAATCATCAATTTTAACGGATCCCTGGGCAAACAGTTCCTAAAATTAACTGATTTCAGGGCTAACTCCTCAACAAAACATCTTTTGGGGGTGGGGTTGTGTCTGTGTGTGTGTGTGCAGCGTGGAGAGTGAAGAGAGCTAGGAGGCAGGAGAGATGGGTGGGTAAATGAACATGAGCTGACTCTATGGAAAACACAAACATCGAGAGACATGATGACAATATGGACTAGTTTTACCCAGAAAACAGAATATATGGGGACATAAATGTATATAATTCAAGAGGAACTATACTCATGAAATAATTCCTGCAAATACCACAATACTTAAGACCTAATAAGCAGTAGATCACTTTTCATTAAAATAAAAAAAAAATTAAAAAACCCTAACTACAATTAAAAATAGCTTGTTCTATAGCTGTAGTATATAGAACTGCCACAACCCCAATTAAAATTACATCCATAATTTTTCTGGCCAGCCAGTTTTGAAATACACTCATTTTCGGCCCCAAAAGGCCTAGCTTATTTATCTTTAAAGGGCAAAATAAATTTCTTAATTTGATCTCTCTCTCTCTCTTTTTTTTTTTTTTTGAGACGGAGTCTTGCTGTTACCCAGGCTGGAATGCACTGGCACAATTTCGGCTCACTGCACCCTCCACCTCCCGAGTTCAAGCGATTCTCCTGCCTCAGCCTCTCAAGTAGTTGGGATTACAGGCATGCGCCACCACACCTGGCTAATTTTTGTATTTTTAGTAGAGATGGGGTTTTACTATGTTGGCCAGGCTGGTCTCAAACTCCTGACCTCAAGTGATCCGCCCGCCTAGACCTCCCAAAGTGCTGGGATTACAGGCGTAAGCCACGGCGCCTGGCCCTTAATTTGATCTTTACCAAGTAGTAACACATCAGCAATTTTCTCTGTGTATTTTAAGGTCTACATTAATCTAAGTTCTGTATATTATATACAAAAGCTAAATGCAATGGCAGATAAAAAACAAATTACCAATATCCTTCCCTGTGATATCTCATCCAGGAACTAACATGTATATCAATTGTCTCGTAGCTATTCCCCTGGCCAGCTTTCTACCTAAAGGCCTGGAGAGATTATTAATTTTAGCTTTTGTATCTCATTTAACTAAAGAAAAAGTTATTTACTATATTTCTCAATTATGAGAGTTAATGAGATTGACAATATTAAACGTTGTCAATATTACATAGGTCTTTATCTTTAACCTACATACTTCAGTGACCATTGTTCAACAAAAAGCACAAAATTCATGATGCAAAATACTAGGCTTAAAATAAGCATCTTAACCTGAGTAATTAACACTTTACCTTGATAAAAGCATCATCTTCCACAGAAGCATCTCCACTCAACTCATCTGCTTCATGTTTTTTACCTGCGAAAGAAGGAAAATGGGCTAACAACCAATATTTTATTACTTTAAGAACAAAAAATATTCAGAGTTTACCCTGCAATAGCACTCTCCACTCCCAAACTATCTGACAAAGCTAATGTCAACTGCTTCTAAACCACCTGCTCAGAGCTGTCCCAAACAAAAAAAGCTTTCCTATGTCATGCTGCTTCATTGAAATACACCGTGCACAGAATCCTACATATGAACCCATCAGCTTAACTGACTTGACATATATGGTGCATTTTTCTTTACACCAGTTGAATTTTCTATCCTCAGTTATCTGAGAAGCTGTGATACCTTTCAATGGCATTCTACTAACTATATATATAGACACCTGATAGCTAAGTACAAGATCTGTACCTCCCACAAAGCCTTTCCTATGTTCTTCTCTTCAACAAGCATTCTCTGAAATAAAAATCCTCACACTTTAATCTTCATCTTACAATCCATCAGGTGGTTGATTACATATTGCCTTGTACTCTGTCTCTAGTACACCTTGCCTCTTCATAGAGAAGAAATTCTTTAAATACAGTGACTACTTTTATGCTAATTATTTATTTCTCCAAAAGCCTAAATATAAAGAGTGCTGGCCACTTAACATAATAACTGATTTAAGGCATGCAGAAATTACTGCAGAGTGAAAACTGTTAATAGCTTTCCGACAAACTACAGACCTTCTTTGCCCATCTTCAAAACTTTGCAACCTGGTAGTTAGAAATTTTTTTTAAGAATATTTATTTATTTATTCTTGAGACAGAGTCGCACTCTGTCGCCCAGGCTGGAATGCAGTGGCGCAATCTCGGCTCACTGTAACTTCCCCCTCCTGGGTTCAAGAGATTCTCCTACCTCAGCCTCCCAAGTAGCTGGAATTACAGGCACGAGGCACCATGCCTGGCTAATTTTTGTATTTTTAGTAGAGACAGATGGAGTTTCACCACGTTGGCCAGGCTGGTTTCGAACTCCTGACCTCAAGTGATCTGCCCGCCTTAGCCTCCCAAAGTGCTAGGATTACAGGCACTGAGCCATTGCGCCCAGCTGGTAGTTGGAACTTTAAAATAATTTTCCACATTAAAAAAAAAAAAAAGTTTTCCACAGAGGCAATGCTAAAACATTATTATGTTTTCAGGCTAGTCCACAAAATCCTACTTAAAAATCCTTAATGTACTAGAAATGCCATAAAAAAAAGACATCTGCTGGAAGTTTATTAAAAAAAATTTTTTTTTTCATTTCTTTTGAAACATGAATGGATGTTCTTTCCTAAGACCAACGAATGAACTTTTTTCCCTTTGCCTACAACTGGCACAGACAGTGCTACTACCTAGTTCAAGCTTCAGTAATCAGGGTAGAGGTTTAGCCGTTGGAATAAATATTTTAAAGGTTAGTAAACCTGCATTTCCCTAGTCTCCTCGGTAGCTCCTATCTGTCATCTACTCCCAATTCTAAGTCATTTCCGCAAATGAGTGATAAAAGGGGAAAAGATATGCTAGTCCTTCCAAGTATGTAAAAAACAAGATTAGGAGTGGGGATTTTTCTTTTACTCAATTAGTAGCTGAAGGCTTGTGAGAACCAAACAAGAAATGAAGTGTGGCGCTTGGTGTTGTGTTAACTTTCTATTTACAATGTTGACGTTTGCATTTTGGGGAAAACATAACTTTTTGGTTTAACTTTTTGGTTTACTATTCCCTTTGTAGATTAATGCTTTGCATATAATTTTATAATTACTGTCATCATTCTCTTTATCACTAAACTTAATTTGTACATGAGAATTTCACATAACAACAAGTCTATCTGATTATGTTGCCCTAAAATCTAAAATTAGAAGTTACTAAAAGGGCAATCACTAAGAAAGAAAAAAAACTAAAGATGTCCTTTTCCTGAAAAAGAAAACTACTAAATTCTTTTTTTTTTTTTCCTGAGACAAGAGTCTTGCTCTGTCGCCCAGGGTGGAAGGCAGTGGCGCAATCTCGGCTCACTGCAACCTCTGCCTCCCGAGTTCAAGCGATTCTCCTGCCTCAGCCTCCTGTAGTAGGACTACAGGCGCGTGCTACCATACATGGCTAATGTTTTGTATTTTTAGTAGAGACGGGGTTTCACCGTGTTAGCCAGGATGGTCTCGATCCCCTGACCTTAGGTGATCCACCCACCTCGGCCTCCCAAAGTGTTGGGATAACAGGCGTGAGCCACCACGCCCAGATAATTAAATTCTTCTATTACATTTAGAGAAAGTTCCATAATACAAAAACCTTAAAGAGGCTACTTTTTGGGAGAAAAATGCTTTTTTAAAATATCAAATCCTGCTGGAAGCGGTGGCTACTGCCTGTAATCCCAGCATTTTGGGAGGCTGGAGGGGGAGAATCGCTTGAGCCCATGAGTTGAGACCAGCCCAGGCAACACAGTGAGATCCCTATCTCTTCAAAAAAAAATTTTTTAAACACAGCTGGGTGTCGCGGTGTATGCCGGTAGTCCCAGCTATTCGGGAGGCTGAGGTGGGAGGACTGCTTGAACCCAGGAGGTGGGAGAACTGCTTGAACCCAGGAGGGCAAGGCTGCAGTGAGCTGTAATTATACCAACCACTGCACTCCAGCCTGGGCAACAGAGCGAGACCCTACCTCAGAAGCAAAATAAACCAAAACATCAAATCCTCTCCCATACACACTCACCACCAAATAGCCTATAGAGCAGAACTTTTGGGGGAATTCCTGTAGATCATTTATAAATGCTATTTATTCCTTATAATCACAAACTGCCTTATAATTTGCAAAGCACTTAAAAAAAATTTCAGTTGATTTGTCCAAGCACCCTATGATGGTACATAGGTCCATTATCACAATTTTACAAAAGAGAAAATGAGCCTGAGAGGTTAAATACCTTGCCTAAAACTTGAAAATGGTGCTGTCAGAACTGAAGCCAGGATTTCGTGACCAATCTTGTCCTGCCACTATATCTTATTATGACCTGTATAAAACACATTATTCTAATAAGGAGTGGTGAATTAATTCAACTTAATTATCTTTGAGGCCGGGCGCAGTGCCTCATGCCTGTAAACCCAGCAATTTGGGAGGCCAAGGAGGGCAGATTGCTTGAAGCCCGGAGTTTGAGAGCAGCCTGGCCAACTAGCAAAACCCCACCTCTACTAAAAAATACAAAAAAGTAGCTGGGCATGGTGGTGCACGCCTGTAATCCCAGCTACTCAGGAGGCTGAGGCACTGGGTTCAATCACTTGAACCGGGGAAGTGGAGGTTGCGGTAAGCTGAGATCGCCCCACTGCACTCATGCCTGAGAGACAGAGCGACACTCTGTCTTGAAAGTAAAATAAATAAATAAGGCTGGGCACAGCAGCTCATGCCTGTAATCCCAGCACTTTGGGAGGCCAAGGTAGGTGGATCATCTGAGGTTAGGAGTTTGAGACCAGCCTGGCCAACACAGTGAAACCCCATCTCTACTAAAAATATAAAATTAGCTGGGCATGGTGGCACATGCCTGTAATCCCAGCTAATTGGGAGGCTGAGACAGGAGAATCACCTGAACCCGGGAGGTGGAGGCTGCAGTGAGCCAAGATAGCAACGCAGCACTCCAGCCTGGGCAATGGAATGGGACTCCATCTCAAAATAATAAATAAATAAATAAATAAATAAATAAATAAATAAAAATTTTTTGGCTGGGCGTGGTGGCTCACACCTGTAATCCCAACACTTTGGGAGGCAGAGGTGGGCAGATCACGTGAGGTCAGGAGTTCGAGACCAGCCTGGCCAACACAGTGAACCCATTCTTTACTAAAAACACAAAAATTAGCCGGGTGTGGTGATGGGCGCCTGTAATCCCAGCTACTCGGGAGGCTGAGGCAGAATAATCCTTTGAACCCGGGAGGTGAAGGTTGCAGTGAGCCGAGATTGCACCAGTGCACTCTAGCCTTGGCAACACAGTGAGACTCCATCTCAAAAAAATAAAAAATAAAAAATTTTTAAAATAAAGGTATTATCTTTGAAATGGCAGTCCTCAGCATAATGACAAATTGCATAGTATGCACACTCTGTGTCGAATTTCTCTTCTTTTAGTGAAAAACAGGAAAATCAAATTACACTTCAGCAACAAAAACAGCAGTCATTACCACTGAAGTGGCATCTATGGTCCAGGTGCTAGGATAAATTCTTCATATGCATTTATGTACTTGTATTTTAAAATTTTATCCTCACAACTCCTCTGAAACAATTATGCCCCTTTTACAAAAGAGACACTAAGTCTGAAAAATTAGATTACAAAGCTAGTAAATGGCAGTGCTTCAATTTAAATGCAGCCCAATTTCCATTCCTCAAAACCATTCGATCTCTGAGGAGTTACAATGTGCCAGTTGTTTAAAATATTATCTCTTTTAGTGTAAACAGAAGTTCCAAAATCCACATGTATGAAATTTTAAAATGTGAGACTCACTTGCCCAATGACGATGACGCACAGGCAACAAGAGGCAGCACTGGGGTATGTAAAAATGGTCTAACTTTGCTGTCCCATACTGTTTCCAACAGCTGTTACAATACAATCACACTGGACATTTAATGTTTCAGCTTGTAATCTTAAAAGACATTAGGACAAGATTGTCAAACAGTGATGAAACTGGAGTAACAACCTGATAGATACATAGTATTCAAAAAAAATGAAATCTCACATTAGCTTTGGACTGCTTTCATAATTGGCAACTTTTGGCTTGTTTTACACATCGTAAATTACAAACTTTACACATGGTAAATATTGTTAACTTCTTTTTTTCTTTTTTTCTTTTTGGAGACAGACTCTTACTCTGTCATGCAGGCTGAAGTGTAGTGGCATGATCTCAACTCACTGCAACCTCCGCCTCCCAGGTTCAAGCGATTCTCATGCCTCAGCCTCACAAGGAGCTGGGATTACAGGCGCATGCCACCACCCCAGCTAATTTTTGTATTTTTAGTAGAGACAGGGTTTCAGCATGTTGACCAGGCTAGTCTCGAACTCCTGACTCCAGCCGACTATATTGTAATTTCTTATTTTGTGAAAAAACACTTCCCCTCCATACAAAATATAACTCATTTTAAAAAGCTATAATGTTGCTAGGTGAGGTGGCTCACGCCTGTAATCCCAGCACTTTGGGAGGCCGAGGTGGGTGGACCACTTGAGGTCAGGAGTGTGCAACTAGCCTGGCCAACATGGTGAAACCCTGTCTCTACTAAAAACACAAAAAAGTAGCCGGGTGTGGTGACTCATGGTTGTAATCCCAGCTATTTGGGAGGCTGAGGCAGAAGAATTGCTTGAACCCGGGTGGTGGAGGTTGCAGTGAGCCGAGATCATGCCACTGCACTCCAGTCTGGGTGACAAGAGCAAAACTCTGCCTCAAAAAAAAAAAAAAAAAAAAAAGCTATAATGTTTATCAGCCAGCTCAGAACCTAGTACAACACTATATATATATTTATATAATATATAATATGTATAGTACATAATATACAATATGCATATTATATATTATATACGTATAAAATTTATACGTATATAATATATTTTATATGTATATAATATGTATATAATATATATTATATACGTATAAAATATATATTATATACGTATAAAATATATTATATACATGTATAAAATATATATTATATATTATATGCGTATATAAAAAATATATAAAATATATAATATAAAACCGATATTCAAGCATTGTATCTTTCTTTTTTCTTTTTTTTTTGAGATGGAGTCTCACTCTGTCACCCAGGCTGGAGTGCAGTGGTGTGATCTTGGCTCACTGCCACCTCCATCTTGTGGGTTCGAGCGATTCTCCCGCTTCAGCCTCCCAAGTAGCTGGGATTACAGGCACGTGCTGCCACCACATCCAGCTAATTTTTGTATTTTTAGTAGAGATGGGGTTTCACCAAGTTGGCCAGACTGGTCTCGAACTCCTGACCTCTAGTGATCAGCCCACCTCAGCCTCCCAAAGTGCTGGGATTACAGAGGTGAGCCACTGCACCTAGCCGCATTATATATTTTCTGACTGATAATGGAGTAAGTCCTATGCTGGACACATGGAAAACAGGTCGGGCATGGTAGCTTGAACCTGTAATCTCAAACCCTTTGGGAGGCCAAGGCAGGAGGATTAACTGAGGTCAGAAGTTCAAGACTAGTATGGACAACATGGTGGAGCCCCGTATCTACAAAAAAACACACAAATTGGCCAGGCGTGGTGGTGTGCACCTGCCATCCAGCTACTAGGGGGGCCGATGTGGGAGGATACCATAAGCCCAGGAGGTCAAGAATGCAGTGAGCCAAGATTGTGCCACTCAATTTCAATCTGGGTGACAGAGTGAGACTCCTCAAAAACAAACAAATAAATAAAATAATCTCTAAAAGTTAAAAACAAGAAAACAAGGTCTGGATTTCTATTTGGCCCAACTGGGAGAAAGGGGTGACATGGCAGTTCAACTAACTTTGTGTGTAACCCCATCCTGTCAATACATCCTGTCACTACCTCTGCAGGTCCCTAACTTTTGTAATATCACACACGAGAAAGAATTTTAAAGACCAAATCACCCTTAAATTCCGACAAGCGGCACTATCTTCAGCACATTTTTGTAGAGTCAAGTAACCATTTATGTCTACCCGATTTAAACCTTTGCTATTAAAGCTCCTACAGCAAATCAACTAAATAGTTTCACCTCTTTTGTCCTACAGGGAATCTAGCAACTGCCGCAAAACTGTGAAAGTGGCATGACCAGGATAAAGGAACTAACTGAAAGTGTAAGGCAGATTGAAGCCAAACCTTTTTTTTTTTTTTTTTTTTTTTTTTGGAGACACTGTCTCGCTCTTCTTGCCCAGGCTGGAGTGCAGTGCAGAGGCGCTATCTTGGCTCACTGCAACCTCTGCCTTCCGAGTTCAAGCAATTCTCCTGACTCAGCCTCCTGAGTAGCTGGGATTATAGCCTCATGCCACCACACCCAGCTAATTTTTGTATTTTTAATAGAGACAGGGTTTCATCATGTTGGCCAGGCTGGTCTCGAACTCCTGGCCTCAAGTGATCCACCGGCCTCGGCCTCCCAAGGTGCTGGGATTAGAGGCGTGAGCCACCACGCCTGGCCTGAAGCCAAACTTTTACGCTTTGAGGAAAAAACTACAAAATAAATTGGGCAGTAAACATAATCTGAATAACAAAATAAAAAATGAAAGCAAGATTAACCTATCACATCCTAAACTATCATAGTAGTAACATAGCTATTTTGAAATGACAAAAACAAAATCTAAAATATAACTTGCATGATTTGAGGGCCTAAAGTAAAATGGCAAAGTAAAAACGTATATACCAGAGAAAGACAAGACTATAAACATTTATGTAGCATAAATTTGTATAAGCCCAAAAATTCTTAATGAAACCCTCTGAGATATGTTTCAGAATTCACAATTTTCAGATTTTAGAAGAGTAAAACGTTGCATATACTATTTATTAAGTTAAACCTCCCAGTGGCTTCTGGAACAGTATTTCACAATCACAGAAACATTTTGTGCAATGAAATGTAAGCAGATTCACATCAAATGGGATAAGTCAAGACTATAAATAACTTTTGCCACCAAACTTAAGAAGAAACTTTCAGTTTTCAGAACTTTTTGTATTTGAGAATTCTGAGGATTTTGGATGATAAATTGGCTTTCTCCTCCAAAGGCAAATTGGTCTTTATAAGGGTTTGCAATTTTCCTTTTCCTCCAAAGGCAAACTAGTCCCTATAATGGTTTGCAATTTTCCTTTTTAAGTTCAGAAATACCTCCCAAACAAAAACAAATCCCACTTAATAATTAGTTTCTTTTCTTTGAGACAAGGTCTTGCTCTATCGCCCAGGGTGGAGTGCAGGGGCAGTCATGGTTCACTGCAGCCTCAACCACCTGGGTCCAAGCAATCTTCCTGCCTTGGCCTCCCAAAGTGCTGGGATTACAGGCGTGAGCCACTGCTCCCAGCCTAAGGAAATTTTAAAATCATTTTGCCAAAATACTTTATGGCTGAGTAACTTTTCCCCTTAAACATTCACAAGAGCTACGATAAAATGTTAAAAAAAAAAAAAAAAAAAGCTTAGTTATAAAATTTCTGTTGCAAGGGAGGGGAAGATTAAGAAGATATGCCAAACTGAAATGTTTCCAGCAACAACCTCTTCCCAATTGCATGGAGTATCTTAATCACAGGCCATGCCTTGTATTGTTTGCAAGTGTTTTAGCTTCTCTTCTATTAAACTGACATTTTACTAACAAAATCATTTTTCTGAAAGGCCTTGCACATTGTCTTAAACACAACAGTCATACAATAGGTCACTCTGAGTTTTTTGTTTCTGTTTTTGTGGCAGGGTCTTACTCTATTGCCCAGGCTGGAGTGCAGTGGCACAATCTCAGCTCAGTGCAACCTCTGCATCCTGGGTTCAAGTGACTCTCCTGCCTCAGCCTCCTGAGTAGCTAAGGTTACACGTGCCCAACACCATGCCCAGCTAGTTTTTGTATTTTTAGTAGAGATGGGGTTTCACCATGTTGGCCATGCTGGTCTCGAACTCCTGACCTCAAGTGATCCACCCGCCTCCACCTCCCAAAGTGCTGGGTTTACAAGAGTGAGCCATCCCACCTGGCCCAATAGGTCACTTTGAAAAATTACTACAAAGATAATTCACATTCATTATAATAAACCTAGAATATGCCAAAGGTATATTTTTCAAATATCTTACATTAATTATCTAAAGATGAACAGAATAAACAATTCCGGCACACTCCTTCAGGCAGGTGTGCCTACAAACACAAGACTGTCAAAGGTAATTTAACTGGGTTCTTAATGAATTACCTTTCTATTCTACCAGTAAAAAGAAAATAGTCCTGCTTAACTCTCAGCACCGTTGTGAGAATCAAATAAAGCAATGTAGAAGTTTTCCGAAAACTGAAAAGTATATAAAATAATCTAGAAACTGACCAGCAGAGAGATGAATAAAAATGATGCTAAATTTCAAGCTTTAGTTTAGATTAGTTAGTTCTTAACTTCAGGTGTATGTAAGAATCACCTGGGGAGCTTTTAGAAAATACATACTGATGCCTGGGCCCCCAACATAACAACCCAAACCAACTCTATGGGGAGTGAAAGCCTGCTATCTGTATTTTTTAAAATTCAAATGACTAACGCAGAGTGCAGATCATGAGCCACTAAGACAAGTGAATCTATTTACAGAAGCTGTTGAGAAGAATATAGACGGAAGGTTATTGTTTTTTGATTCTCCAGACTACAGAAATATTTAAGTTCTATCTACCTTCAACAAAACACCATGTATGGTGTGAATCTATTTTAGTTGTTGAAAAGGGGGGAAAAAACCTTTAAACATAAACCTCCTGTAAGTACTTGCACATACACCTACACAACTTAGATCAACATGTGTTGTAATATGAAATGTGCTTTATGTGGTTGATTACTATATTAGATTAACTTTTAGAAAGCTTTACAGAGTAAACATGTACTTAATTATAAACATGTATATATATCATATGTAAAATGCTACATATGATAAATTCAGGGTGGTGGGATTACGGGTAATCTTCACTTTTTTGTACTTTTCTGGATTACCTTTTTTTTTTTTTTTCTTTGAGTCAGGGTCTTGTTCTGTCACCCAGGCTGGAGTGCAGCAGCACCATTTCGGCTCACTGCAACCTCCTCCTCCCAAGTTCAAGTGATTCTCCTGCCTGAGCCTCCAGAGTAGCTGGGATTACAGAACATGCTACCACACCTGGCTAATTTTTGTATTTTTAGTAGAGAGGGGGTTTCACCATGTTGGCCAGGCTAGTCTCGAACTCCTGACCTTGTGATCCACCCACCTCGGCCTCCCAAAGTGCTGAGATTATAGGTGTGAGCCACCGCGCCTGGCCAAATGTATGTTTTAATGGCTGCGATAAAAGGGCTAATTTTGTGAAATGAAAATGACATATACAACCTCTGAGGTTGGACAGTATTCCAGCAAGGTTCAGAGGCTTTTCAACACAGCATCAATGTGGTAAAGAATAAAAGGATGATGCAATGATTCATGTGTTCTAAAAGTAAGTATATTTTACATATCAATGTGTAAGGAGAAGCCATTATGCTCTTGAGAGAGGCACCTTTAAAAAAAAGATAAAAACTATTAATCCCTGATATACCTGCTTCTTACAAAGAAATATGCAATTAAAATAGGCACCAAAAGAGATATTTCTTTTTTTTGTTTGTTTTCTGTTTTTTGAGACCAAGTTTCTAAAGATGAACAGATTATCTAAAGATGATGATCTTGTTGCCCAAGCTGGAGTGCAATGGCGCAATCTCAGCTCACTGCAACCTCTGCCTCCCAGGTTCAAGAGATTCTCCTGCCTCGGCCTCCCAAGTAGCGAGGATTACAGATGCGAAACACCATGCCCAGCTAATTTTTTGTATTTTTAGTAAAAACGGGGTTTCACCATGTTAGCCAGTCTGGTCTCAAACTCCTGACATCAGGTGATCCGCCCACCTCAGCTTCCCAAAGTACTGGGATTACAGGCGTGAGCCATGCGCCTGGCCCAAAAGAGGTATTTCTAAAAGCAGTTAAGAAAGCCCCAAAAAGGCCCTCAGTATTCATTCAACAAATATTTTTTGAGCACTTATTACGTGCCATGCTCTACACCAGGCATTACAGAGACAGAGGTAAATGAAAAACTATGTCCTGGCCTTCAGAGCTTTCAGCCTTTCAGGTACCTAAGAAATATCTATAACAATTATACGCCCAAAGTCCTCCTCAATGCCACAGTTCTGATTAAAGTGTTACTTAACATCTGAACATACTACAGCTGGAGGAAAAAAGCTAATTACAGTACACTATGATACTGTGTTATATGAAATGTGCTTTATATGGCTGATTACTACATTTAATTGATACCAGTTTTAGAAAGCTTTACAGAGTAAACATGTACTTAATTATAAATATGTAGTCTGTGGTATTTTCCACAAAAAATTATACATTAGATGTTTGGCCAAACCTATAACCTCAAAATATATTTGTTTCTATAGAAGAAAAATCAGATTGTACACATCATTTTTAGTCTTTTTAAAGCTGCCAGGTATTGCAAATTAGTTTTAATGTCGGTAAGTATTGCATTACATATAGTTCTAAATACTGTACTGATTAACCACATCACTTTTGCTGAAGTTAATTGGTGACTTTAAAGGTTGAAATTTTAAAAGAAAAGGATATGCCAGCATCAGGTAAACCAAAAGTCTTTAAATCTATAATCTCTAAAACAACCTAATGAGAAGTTAGCTCTACCTGTTTAACTACTTTTTAAACACACACCCAATTAATATAACCGTAAACTTCAATGGGTGAAGCTTTCTCCTAAGTTACTTATTTAAAAGTTCATAACAAAGAGAGTGTGAAGACTCAGGAAAGCCATTCTAAGATACAAACATCTACTCTATTAACTACATGTAAAGGAATTTTATAAATATGTTGATATAAATGTCAGAGCCCACTATAACATTATCAACATTGTTTGTGCTTGTAATAGCTGCATTTAAAAAATATTCTAGGAGAAACTTAAAAATGTAGGTTCCTTTCCCTCTAACCTCTCTAAATAGAATCATTTTAACATACATTTTTAAAAGAAAGTTACCCTATAGTTATTTTATAAAAGAATAAGCTCAATGTTTCACCAAAGTATTTTTTCCATACCTATGAAGCTTCTCGTCATTTAACTTTTATTCACTACCTTAATATTGTCATAAGAATCATTTCTTTTCCTGACCAGCTATTATATATTATGTCTCGCTGATGTCTACATAATTACCTCTACGTAATCCCCTTCTTGGCACTTTTCGTTTTCTAATAATTTGTGCTGAAGAAAAACGATACTGATTTCCTATGAGCTTACCTGTTGCTTCCTTAAACATCATTTTAGTTAAACAGAAAGCATTTTCTTCTCATTTTTGTCTATATAATTATTAAATTTCAGAACTAAAAGAGCCTTACAGGGGACCTAGTAAAATTTCCAGTTTTACAAAAGAGAAAACAGGCGCACTGAAGGAAAAGTGGCATAACCAAGATGAAATTATTTTCAATGTAGATACCAGTAAGTAAAACAAGATCTGGCAAAAAGAATTGAATGTAGTAATTCAGCAACTTGATTGAAAAACTGATTATCAGCCAGGTGCGGTGGCTCACTTTGGGAGGCCGAGGCGGGAGGATTACCTGAGGTTGGGAGTTCAAGACAAGCCTGACCAACTGGAGAAACCCGTCTCTACTAAAAATACAAAATTAGTTTGGAGTGGTGGCGCATGCCTGTAATCTCAGCTACTCGGGAGGCTGAGGCAGGAGAATCGCTTGAAACCGGGAGGCGGAGGTTGCAGTGAGCCGAGATCACACCATTGCACTCTAGCCTGGGTGACAAGAGCGAAACTCCATCTCAAAAAAAAGAAAAGAAAAGAAAAACGGACATCACATTAAAACAATATTTAATATATCCTTGGTTTTCAAATCTGTTCATTATTGATATTTTAATAAGTTTCCCTATACAAATTTGGTTTCTAAAAGTTATTATTTAAACATCTTAATTCTTTTTTAAAATAGAGATAGGGTCTCACTATGTTGCTCAGGCTGGTCTTGAACTACTGGACTCAAGCGATCCTCCCACCTTGGCCTTTTGGGATTATAGGCATGAGCCACTGCACCCGGCCTAAAATAATCTTATCACTTTGTAAAATGGCAGAGAAAACATCTCTGCCATTTTAGAACTCTGCCATTTTAGAAGGCTAGAACTGAGTTGGTATGACGCATTTAAGCAAAACTGGCTCTAAAGATGATCAGTAGCGCTTGGAATTTGAGACAAGAGCATTCTTTAATAAGTAAACTGGGTTCAAAATCTCTCATATTAAAAATAATAAAAATAAAATAATTGAATCAATAAGCATCTTTATTGTAAATTAATTCAAACTGTTTGGAGTTGGAGATTTACATTATATTCTTTGTAATTCACAAGATTTTCATAACAATGATAGCCGGATTTCAAGAAGACTAGAGCTTTTTGTCATGCATCTCTTAGAATGAGGCCTGCTACAAACAAATGATTGAATGTTACAACTTCTTTTTTTTTTGAGATGGGGTCTCATGCTGGACTGCAGTGGAGTGACCTTAGCTCACTGCAACCTCCACCTCCTGGGTTCAAGCGATTCTCCTGTCTCAGCCTCCCCAGCCTCCCGAGTAGCTGGGACTACAGGCACGCGCGCCACCATGCCCAGCTATTTTTTTTTTTTTTTTTTTTGTATTTTTAGTAGAGATGGGGTTTGGCCATGTTGGCCAGGCTGCTCTCGAATTCCCGACCGCAGGTGATCCACCCGCCTCAGCCTCTCAAACTGCTGGGATTACAGGCGTGAGCCACTGCACCCGGCCCCCAAATGTTACAACTTCTAACTGAATACCTTAAGACCTCTTAACATCAGAGTTATGGAATAAAGTTCAAGTATAACCCATACAAAGAAAAAAATTAGCAAACATACTGATAAAAATAAATAATGTTTACTTATTTAAAATGTTGTGGTGGCACATGCCTGTAGTCCCAGCTACCAGGGAGGCTAAGGTGGGAGGGATCACTTAAGCCCAGGAGTTTGAGGCTGCAAAGAGCTAGGCACCACTGCACTCTAGCCTGGGCAACAGAGCAATACCCTATTAAAAAATATATATATATATCATATATGATATATATACACCTATATATAATCTATATATCATATATATAGATATATATACCTGTCATAAAATGTATTGAAAAAACCCTTAAAATTTTATATTGCTGAAATTATTTCTAATAATAAGAGATAAATGATGTTCCTAGTCAAAACTGAAAAAGGGATATACAGAGAAATTAAAAGTAGGTGAGAAAGGAATAAATCATGTTTATTTTCAATGCTAAAATAATAGTCAACTCAAACAACCTGGGACTATGATTAATACACAGTACCTGTCAAACTAGCACAGCATGCTAGGTAAAAGATATGAATCAAAACTACTGCAAGACACATGGTTAATTCCTGATATACTTATTTCTGAATTTCTATCGTTTTCCATTTTGAAATAGCCTCTGGTTTGTTGGCAGTCTTCTCATGACAAGCTTCTTTAAATACAGAAAATGTATCTCTCAAAGTGATACACTGAGTCAGAGTTATCTTAAAAGCTACCTTTAAGATAACTTTTTTACTTCTCTAAACTACATCCCCACCTCTCCCAGGGAATGCTTATTAGCCCTTTTCAATTTCCTTTGGCACAAACAGGGGACTCTCCTAACCTAGGAAGACTTAAAATAGTGAGTTGTCCTCATCTCTGATACCCAGGTGTGCTTAAGATCAAAATTTAATATTCCCTTTTCAATATTAATCCATTCATTTTATTTTAGTTGCAATCATTCAGTGGTTGGGAGTAACACTTGGATCACTTAAAGCAGTAAAGAAAATTAGATTACAAAAAATGCAGCAGCTGTTCATGACAAACTCTGCATGAAAATTGTAGGTAAAGACCAGAATCCAGATATATCATGTCCACCCTCTGCCACTGTCCTTATAGGAGGGAGAAATTTGCAGTTATTCAAATAAAGGTTTCATTTACCAAGAAGCTTTAAAAAATACCTAAGTTCCATTCATACTGCAAAACGTTCATTTAAAACCACTTTTAGCTAGTCACTAAATCATTATATCCTAGAAATAAATATATTTTGCTCTAGCTTAAAAGTTAAAAATAAGAATCTTTAACATCCCTATAATTTAAAACTTTTTTAAGCTAATTAATCATGGATTTTTCCCTCTACCTTGTTAGTATGATTGGTGAGGTCTTTTTGAATTTCACTAAAAATTAGGAGGTATAATGGCATAAATGCAAATTAAGTTCACCAAGTCAAACAAAGTACTAAACATAAAGGTTATAGAATTTTAATATACTAAAGAAAACAGCAAGGAGGCAAGGTAAAAGATTTGGTAGGAATTCCATCAAAACTCTGCCAATTGTGGGGCAAGGTAGACATGTGTTAAACTGTATTTTATTCAGGTCTTCACACTATGAAGCATCATTACACAACTTGACTTTGTAATTTTTTCCGGAAGCAATAAAGAACTGTTCTCACTTTCTAATCAGCTTCAGCCGAATCTTAAGGGCTACAAGTCACCCAAAGCCTGGCAACAGTAACTTTTCTTCCTTGACCCAAGAAGGCAGACTGCCAGAGGGAAATAGCAAAGAGTAGCACTATATAAACAGGGCAAGAGGCACAAGAGCAGAGGCAAGTTATATAACCAAAATATATTTTAAAACATGTTCATAACTCGTAACAACCTTTGCCTTTAGTTGGTTTCTTGTTTGGAGTATCAGTTGAAACAGTTAATTCAATATTATCTGGATCGCCTCCTTCCTCTTCAATAGCCTACATTAGAAAGAGAAGTTAATATGCTACACAATCTATCTAAACTTATTTTATAAAAACGAAATGAAAAAAAATTTAGCAAACCTCAAGCCTCAAGACATTAGAATTGCCAGTCATTTCATCAACCGACTTCAAAAATGAGCAATTAAACTACACGAAAGAGTGAGAGAAACTTTCAGGGGAAAAAAATCATTAGGTATCAAAATCGCAAGGAGTTTTAAATTCTACCGTGTCAAGATAATTAAATATCACATCATACTGGCCAAAAATCCAAATATGTTCTATTGCAGAAAAGTTGCTAGCTACTAAAGTAAATAACTAAAAAGAGTTTTCCTAGTTTCTGTAATGCAAACTTACTGCTCCTCTGCTACAATTCCAACGCTCACTCAAACCAGAAAGCTAATCAGGAAAGAAAAAGTAATTATTGCGCTGATGCAAAAACTAAAAGCCTAGTGGAAAACAAAAACTCTGTCACCCACCCATCAACTCCCACTACCAATTCCCCCTCAAGATGGGGAAGAAACGGTTGGGCACAATTAAACGGTAACTTCGCAGAAGTCACCAAAGTAACCATTCCCTCTGAGGCCAAGAAATGCACACGCTCACCATGGCTAAAGGCTGGGGAGCCAGCGCCTCCCAGGTCTCCGCGATCGCCCTTGGGAGGCCGCGCCGGCCGGCCGCAACCCTCGCAGCCTGGCGGGGACGTCCCGGGGAGGCGGAGGCACGCTGGGCTGCGGTGGCCGGTCCCTCGCAGGCCCGGCCCGGCCCGGGGCGCGGGGCGGGGGCACCGCGGAAGGGTCCCCGTCCTCCACGCTCGCGGGAGCCGCCCCTGGCCTCCCTACCATGCCGTTCCGCAGGTCCCAGCGGCTGCGGGCAGCCGGAGGCTGCGGCGGAAGCGGGGCGCCGAGGCGCGGCCTAAGTTCCCCTTCCCGGTCCTTTCCGGTCCTCGCCGGGCCTCACCTGCTTGAGTCGGGAGATGAGCACGGTCTTGACTCCGGTGATGTCTAAGTTCCGCCGCTTCAGCTCGGACTTCAGATCGATGACCCGCAGATCGGTGATCTTTTTACCTTCCGCCTGACCCGAGGCGGCCGAGGCTGCCACCGCACCGGTAGCGGCAGCCATCTTAGAAGAGCAGCGCGCTGCCGAGGCAGCGAGTGGGCTGCAGGGCGGCGGCAGCAGCGCCAACTTCCACCCAGGCCTCGGCGGCCGCCGGCGCCGCGCAGCGCTGCGCACAATGAGCCGCTGGCCCCTCCCCCGGTCCGCCACCCTAGCGCAACCTGCAGCAGCAGCCGCCAGCACCCGGATGACGGCCGCGCGTGCGCGTTGGCGCAGGGACCGGCAGCGGCGCGCTCGGTCGAGCGGGCCGCGGCCACTTGGGCGGTGCGCTCCCTTGTGTGGACTGGGAGGTCGGGCACGTCCTACCGCAGCAACGTCCGCCGCGCCGCCGTTCTCTCGTCGCTTCGTTAGCCATTTTCTTGCAACGTCTTGAGTCTTGAGCAACAACGATGTGCGGGCACTGAATGACATAGTGCGCGCGTTACTCAACACAAACCGAGGGGGCGCGTGCGCGCGCTGAACCTCTCAAGGAAATACTTTATCAGTTCTGCTGAATAATCGAAAAATTGTCGCCGGTGTGCACCAACGAACTAGGTTCCCCGAGTTCCATTCAAAAGACCTCAAAGCAGTTCTAGGGCTGTTAGTCCAAAGAATAGGAAGGGCTGGCCTTTGACACATGGCTCATTGGCTGTCTCAGGAGAAAACATCATCGCCCTGCCCATGGCAGCTTAGGTTATTCTAGGGCTGCCCTTCCTCACTTGAAAAACAGGAAAACTTCTTTCTTGTTGGCCTCAGGTTTGCTATCCTCCCCGGTAGACCTGATGGCTCAACACGAAATTGTTCAATGAAAGAGAAAACTAGCTTATAAGTACTTGTTGCCGTTATCATATACTGTGTTCACTATTTTGCCCCCCAAAATTTGGGATTCCAAGAACAGTGAGCATCTTCTTATGGAGGATCGGCCTGTACAAGTGAGTACCTATTTGTAATTTTACCTTGTATTATTCATTATCAAAGTGCAAGCATTGATAAAATAAAACGATTCTATAAATTCCATAAGGTGATTATGATGCACAATTAACTATACTGTATTTCCTGGTTTTACAACTTAAATTCCTGAGATCTGACTCACTTTAGGTTACTTTTTCTGATTGGCTCAAAAAAAAGGAAGACTGGACATTATAAAAGAATACCTGACATTAGGGTAGTTCTTTACAGTTTATAAGGCACTTTGACGTACAGTAACCCCCTTAATCCTTCCCAAGTCTGTCAAGTAAATCTCCGTGAGGCTTAGAGAGATTAAATGACTTGCCCATGTTCACACAGCTGGTATGTGGCCGAGCTGTGCTCAAATCCCAGGCTCCTGATTCCAAATCCAGCTCTGTCTCTGCTACAACATTGGATTCACAATAATAGAAGTTTAGAATGCAAGACTCCTTAGAAATCTTCTGGCCCATCACTTGAGGTCAGGAGTTCAAGACCAAACTGGCCAAGATACAGGGTTTAGTAGAAACCCCGTCTCTACAAAAAATACAAAAATTAGCCGGGTGTGGTGGTGAGCACCTGTAATCCCCGCTACTCGGGAGACTGAGGCAGGAGAATCACCTGAACCCGGAAGGCAGGGGTTGCAGTGAGATCCGGCCGCTGCACTCCACCCTGGGCAACAGAGCAAGATCCTGTCTCAAAAAAAAAAAAAAAGTCTGGGTGCTGTGGCTCATGCCTGTAATCCCTGCACTTTGGGAGGCTGAGGTGGGTGGATCACTAGAGGTCAGAAGTTCAAGACCAGCCTGGCCAACATGGTGAATCCCCATCTCTACTAAAAATACAAAAAATTAGCCGGGCATGGTGGTGCATACCTGTAATCCCAGCTACTTGGGAGGCTGGGGCAGAAGAATCGCTTGAACCCAGGAGGCGGAGGTTGTAGTGAGCTGAGATCACGCCATTGCACTCCAGCCTGGGCAACAGAGCTAGACTCCGTCTCAAAAAGAAAAAAAGAAAAAAAAATCTTCTGGCCCAGCCCTCAAGATTTTAAGAGATTTATCTGGGAACTTACAGTTACACTCTCTCTTTTTTTTGTTTTTGTTTTTATTTTTATTCTTTTGACAGGGTCTCACTGTGTCACCCAGACTGGAGTGCAGTGGCGTGATCATGGCTCACTGCAGCCTCAACCTCCCAGGCTCAAGTGATCCTCCCACCTCAGCCTCCTGAATAGCTAGACTACAGGCGCCTGCCACTATGCCTGGCTAATTTTTGTATTTTTTGTAGAGACAGGGTTTCACCACGTTGTTGCCCAGTCTGGTCTCAAACTCCTGGGCTCAAGTGATCCTTCCCCCTCAGCCTCTCAAGTAGCATGCCAGCACACCCAGCTAATTTTTCTTTTCTTTTCTTTTTTTTTTTTTTTTTTTTGTAGAGACAGGGTCTCACTATGTTGCCCAGGCTGGTCTCAAATTCCTGGTCTTACACTATCCTCCTGCTTCAGCCTCCCAAAGTGCTGGGATTACAGACGTGAGCCATCACACCTAGCCCGAACAGGCTTTTAAACCTTTCCTACCTTGAAACATCTTCATTTGACTCAGCTATTTCCTTTTGACAATAGTTACATTATTGTGTACTTATCTTAATGAAAAGCACATAGGTTATATTAAATAGTGATGGGGAGATAAATCATATAGATGTCTCTCTGAAGATAATGAAGATGTTTGACAAAACACTTTGAAACTTTTTTTTTTTTTGAGATGGAGTCTCACTCAGTCGCCCAGGCTGGAGTGCATTGGCACAATCTCGGCTCACTGCAAGCTCCGCCTCCCGGGTTCACGCCATTCTCCTGCCTCAGCCTCCCGAGTAGCTGGGACTACAGGCACCTGCCACTATGCCTGGCTAATTTTTTTGCATTTTTAGTAGAGATAGGGTTTCACCGTGTTAGCCAGGATGGTCTCGATCTCCTGACCTCATGATCCGCCCGTCTCGGCCTCCCAAAGCGCTGGGATTACAGGCGTCAGCCTCTGCGCCCGGCCTACATTTTGAAACTTTTTAAAACATAAAAACCATAAAAGAAATAACAAGGTAATGAGAAATTACTGGGCCAAAATTTGAGAGAAGGCTGAAATCTAGAGAGATGAGACCACCATTTGGAATAAAAGAAGCTGTTTGCTAATGCTGAAAGACAGGTGAGATTTGAGCACCACTTTTGGGTGATTTAAGGGATAAAAGGTGGAGCCGAGTCTGCCAAAGGAAGGGGGCCTGATTTGCCATCCCAAACTTAGTTTTTTTGTTGTTGTTTTTTGGGGTATTTTTGTTTACTTTGTTTTTTTTGAGACGGAGCCTTGCTCTGTCACTCAGGCTGGAGTGTCGTGGCCCAATCTCAGCTCACTGCAACCTCCACCTCCCGGCTTCAAGTGATTATCCTGCCTCAGCCTCCTGAGCAGATGGGATTACAGTCATGCGCCACCGTGCCCAGCTAAATTTTTGTATTTTTGTAGAGACGAGGTTTCACCATGGTGGCCAGGCTGGTCTTATGCTCCTGACCTCGCTGTTCTCGAACTCCTGACCTCGAGTACTCTGCCTGCCTCGGCCTCCCAAAGTGTTGGGATTACAGGCATGAGCCACCGTGCCTGGCCCCAGACTTACTTTTGAGACACTAAAGGACTGCTCTCTAGAAGAAAACATGAACTTAGAGTAAGGAAAGCCTTGCAAAGACTGCAGCCATCTTGATGTCATGCTAATGACATGAAGTCATGTTGTAAGACCTAACGGTGTCATATTAATGCCACTGCTACCTAGCAGAAGCAAATGTAAATTATCCTTGAAGGGACATACAACAAATTACCTATGTTCACAAGTTGCTTTTACAAATATTTTTTAAATTACAGTGTCTAGGCCAGGCACGGTGGCTCACGCCTGTAATCCCAGCTCTTTGGGAGGCCGAGGCGGGAGGATCACCTGACGTCAGGAGTTCGAGACCAGCCTGGCCAACATGGTGAAACCCCGTCTCTACTAAAAATACCAAAAGTAGCCAAGCATGGTGACAGGCGCCTGTAGTTCCAGCTACTCAGGAGGCTGAGGCAGGAGAATCGCTTGAACCGGGTGGCAGAGGTTGCGATGAGTTGAGATTGCACCACTGCACTCCAGCCTAGGCAACAGAGCAAGACTCCATCTAAAACATAAATAAATAAATAAATATCTGCCTCTTAGGACACAGAATAGAGGATTGGAGAAGGGAGAAATTGGAGATATCCAGCACAGACAGTGAGGGACAGACAGAATTCAGAGAGAAATCCAAAATAATTGTAGTTGAAATTTCAGAAAGAAAAGAGAATGGGGTCAAACCAATCTCTGAAGAGATCATAGATGAAAATTTTCTAAAATTTAAGAAACATATCGATCCATAGATTCAAGAAGTTCAACAAAGCCCAAGTAGGATACATTTTAAAATCATGCAAGACACATCATAGTGAAACTACAGAAGAAGATCAAAGAGAAAATCTTAAAGGAGGCAGAGAAAAACATTAGATTGCCTTCATAGGAGCAAATATAAGATAAATGTTTACTTTTTTTTTTTTTTTTTGAGATGGAGTCTTGCCACTGGAGTGCAGTGGTGTGATCTTAGCTGACTGCAACCTCCGCCTTCCAGGTTCAAGCGATTCTCCTGCCTCAGCCTCCTGAGTAGCTGGGACTGCAGGTGTATGCCACCATGCCCAGCTAATTTTTGTATTTTTAGTAGAGACAGGGTTTCACCGTGTTGGCCAGGATGGTCTCTATCTCTTGATCTCGTGATCTCATGATCTCCTAGCCTCAGCCTCTCAAAGTGCTGGGATTATAGGCATGAGCCACTGCGCCTGGCTGAATGTTTACTTTTCTTTTTTCTTTTTTTGAGACAGAGTCTTGCTCTCTTGCCCAGGCTGGAGGGGAGTGGCACAATCTCGGCTCACTGCAAGCTCCGCCTCCCGGGCTCATGCCATTCTCCTGCCTCAGCCTCCCGAGTAGTTGGGACTAGAGGTGCCCGCCACCACGCCCAGATAATTTTTATATTTTTAGTAGAGATGGGGTTTCACCTTGTTAGCCAGAATGGTCTTGATCTCCTGACCTCATGATCCACCTGCCTCGGCCTCTCAAAGTGCTGGGATTACAGGTGTGAGCCACCGCGCCCGGGCCTTTTTTTTTTTTTTTTTTTTTTTTTTTAGAAGGAGTCTCACTCTGTCTCCCAGGCTGGAGTGCAGTGCTGCGATCTTGGCTCACTGCAACCTCCACCTTACGCATTCAGGTGATTCTCCTGCCTCAGCCTCCTGAGTAGCTGGGATTACAGGCGCACACCACGATGCCCAGTTAGTTGTATTTTTAGTAGAGATGGGGTTTTGCCATGTTGGCCAGACTGGTCCCGAACTCCTGACCTCGTGATCCACCCACCTGGGCCTCCCAAAGTGCTGGGATTACCGGCGTGAGCCACTGCACCCAGCGAATATTTACTTTTCAACAGCAAAAAAGGAAATCAGAAGATAGCAGGTTGATGTCTTACCCATACTTAAATAAAATTATAGCTAATAGCAAATAATAACTGAGGGAATTAACAATGGGTAGATCTTCATTAAAGGAAATACTAAATGATATCTTGAGAAAGAAGAAAATGATCACAGAAAGGTCAGAGATGCATGTCCTAATTTCTAGGGTAGTCACTAGTCAAATATTAAAAGACTCTATAACTTTCAAACTAAGATTAAAAAAATCCTCCAGAGAACAAGACAGAAGAGGGGACATAGAATCAGTGGGATAATAGAAAGCATGCTGTAAGATAAACATTTAAAAACAAACATAAAAGCAATTACATTAAAGATTAATGGGTTAACTATTCCAGGTAAAAGATAATTGTCAGTCCAGAAGTTTTTTAACTAGTTAGAAGAACACATTTAAGAAATATACAAAAATGGGCCAGGTGCAGTGGCTTACACCTGTAATCCC
This sequence comes from Homo sapiens, assembly GCF_000001405.40. Classification (NCBI taxonomy): domain Eukaryota; kingdom Metazoa; phylum Chordata; class Mammalia; order Primates; family Hominidae; genus Homo; species Homo sapiens. The sequence continues at coordinate 58,939,452 of NC_000015.10, forward strand.
AGCACTTTGGGAGGCCGAGGCAGGCGGATCACGAGGTCAGGAAATCGAGACCATCCTGGCTAAGATGGCGAAACCCCGTCTCTACTAAAAATACAAAAAATTAGCCGGTTGTGGTGGCACGCACCTGTAATCCCAGCTACTCCCAAGGCTGAGGCAGGAGAATCGCTGGAACCCGGGAGTCAGAGGTTGCAGTGAGCTGAGATTGCACCACTGCACTCCAGCCTGGGCTACAGAGCGAGACTCCATCCCAAAAAAAAAAAAAAAAAAAAAAAAAAAAAAAATATATATATATCTATCTTTAAAGCAAACGTTTGGAAAAGATGCACTTTGTAAACACTAGCCAAGACAAAGCTGGTACAGGTTGAGTATCCCTTATCAGAAATGCTTGGTACCAGAAATGTTTTGGATTTTGGATTTCTTTTTCCAGATCTTAGAATGTAATTGGCCCTTGAACAACTCAGGGTTAGGGGCACCAAGCCCCTGAGTCCAAGTATAATTTTTGACTCCCCCAAAATGTAACTACTAACAGCCTACTGTTGACCAGACGCCTTACCAATAACGTAAAGTCAATTAACATGTGTTTTGTATATTATATGTATCATATTCTATATTCTTATAATAAAGTAAGCTAGAGAAAAGAATGTTATTAGGAAAATCAGAAGGAAGAGAAAATACTATTCATCAAGTGGAAGTGGATGTTCATATAGGTCTTTGTCCTCATGATCTTCATACTGAAGGGAAGGAGGAATGAGCAGGTTGGTCTTACTGTCTTAGGAGTGGTGGCAGAGGCAGAAGAAAATCTGTGTATAAGTGAACTCCTGCAGTTCAAACCCATGTTGTGCAAGCATCAACTGTATTTACATTATACTTAGCAGCTGAGCATCCTTAATCCAAAAACCTGAAATCCAAAATGCTCCAATGAGCATTTCCTTTGAATATCATGCTGGTGCTCAAAAAGTTTTGAAAGTTGCTTTGGGCAAGGATTTCATGACCAAGAACCCAAAAGCAAATGCAATAAAAACAAAAATAAAGAGTTGAGACTTAATTAAACTAAAGAGCTTTTGCACAGCAAAAGGAACAGTCAGCAGAGTGAATAGACAACCCACAGAGTGGGAGAAAATCTTCATAATCTATACATCTGACAAAGGGCTAATATCCAGAATCTACAAAGAACTCAAACAAATCAGTAAGAAAAAAACAAACAATTCCATCAAAAAGTGGGCTAAGGACATGAATAGACAATTCTCAAAAGAAGATATACAATGGCCAACAAACATATGAGAAAATGCTCAACATCACTAATGATCAGGGAAATGCAAATCAAAACATCAATGCAATACCACCTTACTCCTGCAAGAATGACCATAATCAAAAAACGTCGGTGTTGGTGTGGATGTGGTGAACAGGGAACACTTTTACACTGCTGGTGGGAACGTAAACTATTACAACCACTATGGAAAACAGTGTGGAGATTTCTTAAAGAGCTAAAAGTAGAACTACCATTTGATCCAGCATTCCCAGTACTGGGTATCTACTCGGAAAAAAAGTCATCATATGAAAAAGATACTTGCACACACATATTTATAACAGCACAATTCACAATTGCAAAATCATGGAACCAACCCAAATGCCCATCAATCAGTGAATAAAGAAACTGCAGTATATTTATATGATGGTCTACTACTCAGCCATAAAAAGGAAAGAATTAACGGCATTTGCAGCAACCTGGATGAGATTGGAGACTATTATTTTAAGTGAATTAACTCAGGAATGGAAAACCAAACATCGTGTGTTTTCAGTGATATGTGGAAGCTAAGCTATGAGGATGCAAAGGCATATACAATGGATTTTGGGAACTTGGGGGGAAGGGTGGGAGGGGTGCGAGGGATAAAAGACTACGAATATGGTGCAGTGTATACTGCTCGGGTGATGGGTGCAAAGAAATCTCACAAGTCACCATTAAAGAACTTATTCATGTAACCACATACCACCTGTACCCCAATAACTTATGGGAAAGTAAAAGTTTTGAATTTTGAAGCATTTCAGATTTTTGGATTAGGAATACTCAACCTATGTAGCATTTGGGTGGGGAACCCACTAAAGATAGAAGACTCTCTTAATATTGAGGAGTAAATCCCCAGGAAGATGGAACAATTCTGTTTCTGTGCACCTAATAACAAAGCCTTAAAGTACATAACATTTGACAGTTCTACAAAGGAAATTGACAAATCTGCAATTTTTGTAGGAATTTTTTTTGTGGGAGATTTTTAATACACTTCTCACAGTAACTAATTTAACAAACAGGCAGAAGATCAGTAAGTACATAAGAGATTTGAACAATACAGTTCACAAATTTGACCTAGTAGACAAACAAATGTAGAATATATATTTTTAAAACCATTCCTGAGCAGTTAGAAATTTGATCTTGTACTACTCATAGAGCAAGCCTCAATATAATTTCAGAGGACTGAAATTACAGAATATGTTCTCTGACCACATTGCAATTTAACTGGAAGTAAAGGCAAAAAGATAATTGGAAAATCACCATACATTTGGAAATTAATAAATACACTTTGAAATAAACCAAGGGTCAAGAAGAAATCACAATAATGATGAAGATACAACATTTCACAACTGACGGAAAACAGCTAAAGAAGTAATTAGAGGGAAATTTATAGAATTAAATGCACTTATTGGGAAAGAAGTAAGATTAAAAATAAGCCAAGTATATATCTCATTAAGTTAGGAAAAGAATGGCAAAATAAAAGAAGTAGAAGGAAGGGGATAAAGATAAGAGTAGAAATAAATGAAATATAAAATAAAAATACAATAGAGTGATCCACAAAGCCAAAAACTGGCACTTTGATAAACTTATAAAATTTAAAAGATTGGCATTTAAAGAAAAAACAGAAAAGACACAAATAATTCATATCAAGAATAAGAAAAAATTTTACACATCATGCAGACATTAAAAATAAGAGAGAGGTATTAGGAAGCCAACTTCAGGCCACATATTTGAAAATTTACAGCCAGGCACGGTGGCTCACGCCTGTAATCCCAACACTTTGGGAGGCCGAGGCAGGTGGATCACAAGGTCATATCGAGACCATCCTGGCTAACACAGTGAAACCCCTTCTCTACTGAAAAATACAAAAAATTAGCCAGGCGTGGTGCTGGGCGCCTGTAGTCCCAGCTACTTAGGAGGCTGAGGCAGAAGAATGGCGTGAACCCAGGAGGCGGAGCTTGCAGTGAGCTGAGATCGCACCACTGCGCTCCAGCCTGGGTGACAGAGTGAGACTCCATCTCAAAAAAAAAAAAAAAAATTTAGATGAAATTTAAAATTCCTAGAAAAATTGCAATTTGGCCAAGTGCAGGGGCTCACACCTGTAATCCCAACACGTTGGGAGGCTGAGGGGGGTGGATCACTTGGGGCCAGGAGTTCAAGACCAGCCTGGCCAACTTGGGAAAACCCTGTCTCTACTAAAATTACAAAAATCAGCTGGGCATGGTGGCACACACCTGTAATCCCAGCTACTTGGGAGGCTGAGGCAGGAGAATCACTTGAACCCGGGAGACGGAAGTTGCAGTGAGCCGGGATTGCACCACTGCATTCCAATCTGAGTGACAAAGTGAGACATTGTCTCAAAAATAAATAAATACAATTTACCAAAAACAGATGCAAATATTAGCAAACTGAATATAGCAATATATTTAAAAAGGTAATGCATATGACCAAATTGGCATTATTTTAGGAATGGAAGGTTAGACATTTGAAAAATCAGCCAATGTCCTTCGACACATTAACAGATTAAAGAAAATCATATGATCGGCCGGGCACAGTGGCTCACGCCTGTAATCCCAGTACTTTGGGAGGTCGAGGCAGGTGGATCATGAGGTCAGGAGTTCGAAACCAGTTTGGCCAACATGGCGAAACCTCATCTCTACTAAAAATACAAGAATTAGCCGGGCATGGTGGCATCCGCCTGTAATGCCAGCTACTCAGGAGGCTGAGGCAGGAGAATTGCTTGAACCCGGGACGTGGAGGTTGCAATGAGCTGAGATTGCCCCACTGCACTCCAGCCTGGGCGACAGGGTGAGACTCTGTCTCAAAAAAAATAAATAAATAGAAAAGAAAATCATATGATGATCTCAGTAGATCAAGATAGTCTTTTATCAAATAGTCTTTGATAAAAGCCAATTCATTAAAGATTTTAACATCTCCTAGCAAAGTAAAAATAGAGGAAACTATTTTAACCTGATAAAGGATGTAAAAAAAAACTATAGTAAACATGGTGAAAATTATTATTTTTCCCTTTGATATTGGAAGCACATCGATACTGTCCTACAGTACAATGGAAGACCCTAGCCAGGCCAATGAGGCAAGGAAAGCAAAATATATGACTGAAAACAATAATCAAGTCATTATCTACAGATGATGTTATTACAAAAGGAATTATTAGAATTCATGAGAGTTTTGCTTTGTTTCTGAACACAATATCAGTGTACAGCAATGAATTGCATTACCATGTATCAGCCATAAATAAGATGAATTTTTTTTTAAGAGACAGAGTCTCACTATGTTGCCCAAGCTAAAGCATGGTGGCTATTTACAAGGATGAACATAACTCACTGTAACCTCAAACTCCTGGGGTCAAGTGATCTTCCTGCCTCATCCTCCCAAAGTACTGGCAGTAGCTGTGACTACAGGCTTACACCACCATGCCCAGCTAATTTTTTTTAATTTTAATTTTTCTTGTAGAGACAGGGTCTTGCTATGTTGCCTAGGCTGGTCTCAAACTCCTGGGCTTGAGTAATCCTTCTATCTCAGCCTCCCATAGCACTGGGATTATAGGTGTAAGGGACTGCACCCAGCCAACGAAATAAAATTTTAAAAAATACACTATTTAAAATTTTTTTCTTTACCTCACAAGTAGAATAAATAAGTGAAATTTATTTATTTATTTATTTATTTATTTATTTTTGAGATGGAGTCTTGCTCTGTCACCCAGGCTGGAGTGCAGTGGTGTGATCTCGGCTCACTGCAACCTACGCCTACGGGGTTCAAGCGATTTTCCTGCCTCAGCCTCCTGAGTAGCTGCGATTACAGGCGCCCGCCATCACACCCAGCTAATTATTGTATTTTTTAGTAGAGGTGGAATTTCACCATATTGGCCAGGCTGGTCTCGAACTCCTGACCTCAGGTGATCTGCCTGCCCCAGCCTCCCAAAGTGCTGAGATTACAGGTGTGAGTCACCGCGTCCAGCCAAATTTTTAATATTCAATCAAATGTAACCTGGTTATATATTTACAATAACATTTAAATAACATCAAAAATATCACGTCTCTAGGGACAAATCTAATAATATGTGGAAGACTCTACATGGAAAACACAAAACTTTATTGGGATTTTTTTTTTTTTTTTTTTTGAGACAGAGTCTTGCTCTGTCACCCAGGCTGGAATGCAGTGGAGCGATCTTGGCTCACTGCAAGCTCCACCTCCCGGGTTCACACCATTCTCCTGCCTCAGTCTCCCAAGTAGCTTGGACTACAGGCGCCCACCACTATGACCGGCTAATTTTTTTTTCTTTTTAATTTTTAGTAGAGACGGGGTTTCACCATGTTAGCCAGGATGGTCTTGATCTCTTGACCTCATGATCTGCCTGCCTCGGCCTCCCAAAGTGCTGGGATTACAGGCGAGAGCCACTGTCCCCGGCCCTTTTTTTTTTTTTTTTGAGATGGAGTCTTGCTCTGTTGCTCAGGCTGGAGTGCAGTGGCAGGATCTCGGCTCACTGCAACCTCTGCCTCCCAGATTCAAGCGATTTTCCTGCCTCAGTCTCTCAAGTAGTTGGGATTACAGCCACACGCCACCACACTCAGCTAATTTTTGTATTTTTAGTAGAGATGGGGTTTTGCCATATTGGCCAGGCTGATCTGGAACTCCTGACCTCAGGTGATCTGCTCCACCTTGGCCTCTGAAAGTGATGGGATTACAGGCGTGAGCCACCATGCCTGGAAGAAAATTTTTAAAGACTTAAATAAATGGAGAGGTATCAGGTTTATGAATTTTGAAAACTCAATATTGTAAAGATGTCGGTTCATCCTAAATCAATATATTTATCAATTCAGACTCAATCAAAATACTAACCATTTTTTTGGAGCGGAATTTGAGAAACTTTTTCAAATTTTACATGGGATGCAAATGACCAAGAATAAGCAAAAAGTTTTGAGGAAGGAAAATGATATCAGCATTTGTTCTATGGTACATCAAGCATTATTTTAAAATGTGGTGTTAGCAAAGAGATTGACAACTAGGCCAATGGAACAGAATAGAGGGACCCAAAACAGATCCATGCACCTGCTTTTAGACAAAAGTGGCGTTATAGAGTGGTAATGTGAGGACAACTTTTTCAACAGATTACATTGGGATTACTACTTTACACCAAATATGAAAAAAAATATCCATGTGGATTGGAGACATGAATATGAGGCAAAACAATAATACCACTAGTGTTCAGTGTGCAAGTATAAAATGGGAAATGTTAGCGGAAAAACATACAAGGTAAGAAGTAAAAAGGGCACACACAGTGAAGCATGGAAAGGAATCCAGTTGACAAGGACATCACCACCTTAATGCTCTACATTATTCTAGGGAAGTGGGGACAGCAGTCAGTCTACTGTGTAATAGTGGAGCTTCCTGGGCCAGAAAGTAGTCTTTTTTGCAAAGGAGGATCTTTTGGAGTTCAGTTTCTGCTGTCAGCTTGCTTGTATACTGAGCTAAGTTACCAGAGGGAGGAGGAAATCAGTCCTCAGATTTGTTTCTCCCCAAAGATAGTATTAGGAAAATATTATCAGGACCTTGGATTAGGAAAATATTTATAAGGACACAAAAAGCACCACCTACAACGAAAAAGATTGATATAAATAACTACACTAAAATTAATAATTTCTACTCATTAAAAGGTACCACTGAGAGAGTAGAAGACAAATTACAAAAGGGAGAGGTATTTAAAACACAGATAACAATAGGTTCATAACCACCATATTCAAAGAACACATAAAAAAAAAAAACCCAGTAGAATAAAAATGATCAAGGCCGGGCGTGGTGGCTCATGCCTGTAGTCCCAGCACTTTGGGACACCAAGGCCCGTGGACTGCTTAAGGCCAGGAGTTTGAGACCAGCCTGGCCAACATGGCAAAACCCTGTCTCTACTAAAAAAATACAAAAATCAGCTGGGCACGGTGGCATGTGTCTCTAGTCCCAGCTAATTGGGAGGCTGAGGCAGGAGAACTGCTTGAACCCGGGAGGCAGAGGCTGCAGTGAGCTGAGATCGAGCCACTGCACTCCAACCTTAGTGACAGGGCGAGACCCTGTCTTAAAAAAATATAAAAAATAAAATATAAAAAAAGAAAAGAAAAAAATGATCAAGACTTGAAAAGGCACTTCACCAAAGAGAAAATTCAATTCAAATGGTATATGTGTGTGTGTGTGTGTGTGTGTGTGTGCATATAACATTACATATATATACAGACATAATTTAAATAAATATATGAAAAAGTGATCAAACATTAGTAATCAAGATATTGCATATTAAAACTGCAATGTTATGTCTTTATACTCCAGCATAATGCCTAAATCAGAGAGAAGAACAATACTAGGTTTTGGCAAGAATATGGAATAATTGGAACTCTTTAATACTAGGAGAAAAAAATTGGATACAACACTTTAACAAATAGTTTAGACTTATCTAATAAAGTTATAGAACCATATATTCTTTATATTCTTTGAGTCAAAAATTCACTTCTTTTTTCTTGTGGTTTTTTTGTTTGTTTGTTTGTTTTTTGACTGGATCGCACTGTGTCACCCAGGCTGGGGTGCAGTGCAATGGTGCTGTAATGGCTCACTGTAGCCTCGACTTCCTGAACTCAAGGGATACTCCCACTTACATCTCCCAAAGTGCTGGTATTATAGGCATGAGCCATCACATCCGGCCCCAAATTCACTTCTAAGTATATGCTCTATAGAAAAACAAATACACATAGCAGCATTATTTGTAATAGTCACAACCTAGAAACCACCCAAATATCTATTAACAGCAGAATGGATAAATTAATTGTGGTATATTCATACAATGCAATACTGTACAATAATTAATATGAAGCAATTATAATGATGTTGAAATAAATTACCTTATGTAAGTACATGATGTAAATTCTTTTACATTATGTCAAATAATATATAATGTATCATATCATTTATATGACTGAAATACAAGAAAAAACAAATTGTAATATTTAGGGATATATACTGAAGTAGTAAGTCTGTAATGGAAAACAAGGATGTGGTTGCCATACAAGTCAGGATAGTGCTTAATATAGTTGGGAGGTATAGGGTAGGGACTGGGAAGAGTCATGTGCAAGGCTTCTGGAATGCTGAAAATATTTTATTTATTTATTTATTTATTTATTTTGAGATGGCATCTCGCTTTGTCATCCAGGCTACAGTGCGATGGCACGATCTCGGCTCACTACAACCTCCGTCTCCTGGGTTCAGGCGATTCTCCTGCCTCAGACTCCCAAGTAGCTGGGACTACAGGCACACGCCACCACACCTGGCTAATTTTTGTATTTTTAGTAGAGATGGGGTTTCACCATGTTGGCCAGGCTGGTCTCAAACTCCTGACCTCAGGTGATCCGCCTGCGTCAGCCTCCCAAAGTGCTGGGATTACAGGCTTGAGCCACTGCATTCAGCCTATTTGTGTTTTCTAAAATTTCTCTATGTATATTATACTCATAATAAAAAAGGTCAAAATGGAAAGCATAGGCTTTGGGGCCATATAATCATGAATTTAAATTCTACTTCTGAGGTGAACAGATGGTGCTATACTTTTGTTTTTAAAACTTAAACAATGTATGTGAAGTGTCTAACATGTAATGAATGCTCAACCTTTGTTAATCCTCAATTCCTTCTGGTATCTATTTTAAACCTACCAAAGAATAACTACTGGTATGCTAATCTTCAAAGTGGGTGTGATGGCCTTCAAGATGGCCCCCAATCATTCTTTCTCCCAACATTGACATCTTCAAGTAGCACTGTCCTATGTTGAATAGGGCTGACCTGTGCAACCAACAGGATGTTGAGAAAATGATAGATTTGAACTTTAACGTTAGGCCATAAAAGAGATTGTGGCCTCTATCTTTCCCTGTCTTGGGTCATTTGCTCTTGAAGAATCCATCTGCCATGTTGTGAGGATACTTAAGTAGCCCTAAGGCGAAGTCCACACAGCAAGGAACTGAGGCCTTTTGACAACAACCTGTACCAATTCACCATTCCTTTGAGTCAGCTATCTTGAAATGGGATCCTCCAGTCCCAACAAGCCTTAAGTGACTGCAGCCCCAGCTAATATCTTGACTATAGCCTTATAAGAGACCCTGAGCCAGAACACCCACTTTTCTGTTTCTTTTTCTTTTTCTTTTTTGAGACAGGGTTTTGCTGTGTTGCCCAGGCTTGAGTGCAGTGGTACAATCTTGGTCACTGCAACCTACGCTTCCCAGGCTCAAGCCACCCTCCCACCAGCCTCCCAAGTAGCTGGGACTACAGGTGCATGCCACCACACCCAGATAATTTTTTGTATTTTGTGTAGAGTTGGGGTTTCTCCATGTTGCTCATGTTGGTCTCAAACTCCTGGACTCAAGTGATACACCTGCCTTGGCCTCCCAAAGTGCTGGGATTACAGGTGTAAGCCACCGTGCCTGGCCCAGAAACATGCACTTAAGCTACTTTTAACTTCCTGACTCAGAAAAATTGTATATAGTAGTAAATGTTTATTTTTGTGTTACACTCCTAAGTAATTTGTTATGCAGCAATAGATAACCAGTACAAAGAAGCAAGAAAGTAGGAAACTGAGGAATCTGTGACTTAGTCTGAAAGTTGACTTTGGGGGAGAGGATTTCCAAAGGATAAACAAGGGAGCAAAAAGTAGGCTGAAATACTGAAGCGAAGAAGGAAAAGGAGATTGCTCAGAGCTGTACTGGGCTAAGAAAAGGCTGTGTATTGAGGAGAAGAGTGTATATGGGATTCTCCAACAAGACTTTATTAAGAACACAGCATTTGCTCTCAGTGTGTATCATTGGAATGCCCACTCCTTGCCAGGTATGGACCAACAATAAGGATACAGAAATGAATACAAAAGAGGCCCCGAAGGACAGTCTAGTGGAGAAATAAGCAAACTAACATTTATAATACAATCTAAATACTAAACTACCGTACGATGACCAAAATAGAAAAGATCTATCAGCCCTAAAATAAATTTGGGACACTTCCTAATGAAGGCGACATCTAAGCTGAGTTTTAAGAGATGAGACAAATGGAAGAAGTGGTAATGGAGGAGAGAGCAGAAGAACGTGGGGCAATAAGGAGACATGCGCAAGGATGCGGCAGTGAAGACTTTGCAGGTATGCTGCAAGGGGAGAGGAATGGGGAGGGATGAGACTGGAGAAGTAGCCTGCAGTTTCCCACGTGCATTGAAGTAAGAAAGGAGGCAGAGAGACCCGTTAGGAAGCTATTGGTGTGTTAAAAGAGGTGGAGTGGGAAGGGATGAATTCCAGAAGTAGAATCGACAGGTCTTAGTTATCAAATGGATACGGAATCATGACATTTCCTGAGATACAAAATACAAATCAAGAAAGAGATTCATGGTGAGGAAAGAAGTGAGTTGAGTTTAAAGTTAGGAACCTTAAAGTTCAGGATTATCCTAAGGAGAGAGCTGGATGCAGTGGTGAGCACCTTGAATCCCAGCGACACAGGAAGCTGAGGCAGGAGGATCACTTGAGATCAGGTATTTGAGACTACCCTAGGCAACATAGCAAGACCTAGTCTCAAAAAAACAAATGACAGAAGAAGAAAAGAACTGGCAGGGAGGGAAATTCTGAACTTCTTTTCCTATTCCTGTCTTTCCTTTTACAGTTAAACTTTCCAAACGAGGTGCCTACTTTTTTTTTTTTTTTCGAGACAGGGTTTTTCTGTGCTGCCCAGCTGGAGTGCAGTGGCAGGATCAGGGCTCACTGCAACTTCCACCTCCCTGGCTCAAGCAATCCTCCTGCCTCAGCACCCCACCCCCCACCGATAGCTGGGACTACAGACACATGCCACTACACCCGTTTAATTTTTGTATTTTTTGTAGAGACGGGGTTTCACCATGTTGCCCAGGCTGGTCTTGACCTTCTGAGCTCAAGCCATCCGCCTGCCTCGGCTTCCCAAAGTGCTGAGATTATAGGAATGAGCCACTGCGCCCCACTGATATATTTTCTTAAGCATAACATTTTAAATAATAAACATACAAGGCCATTTTCTAGACAAAGCATTAAATATTTAAGATCTAAATCTTAAATTTTAAGATTTTTAATTAATTATCTCCAAACTTACTCTAAGCCGTTTGATGGTTATAAAGTCACACAACAATGGATGCGGAGATTTGTCATCTCAAGGGAGCAGAGATTTCTAGGTTGAAGAATATATGATAGAATAGTTACTTACTGCCACAGGTTCAAACTGGGATGTGGAACCTGAAGGCTACGTGCTCCCAGGATGATTCTACCTGATGCCCAGAAGGGAAGACTGTCCTTTCTTATTATTGGTATTGAATAGGTAACTCTAAGTCAACAGATTTTAGCTGAGATTTTTAATCAGCTGTCTTCTTTTTTTTGGTCTAATTCTGCTACAACTCTATTGCCATTTTAGTAATGGTATATTATTTTTAAATATTTTAATTTAAAACATAAAAATGTTCACCAATCTTTTGATGTATGATTGAACTAGTCTGGACGGAAGGGCTTGTCTAGGCTAGGTTCAAAGATTGGTGAGAATGATCACGTAAGTGATTCCTTATTCACGACCGAACCTGTACGAAAGCAGTGAACAAAATATTTACACGACCAAAGATATGAATAAATGTGGTTCCCCAAAGCCTACCTTTATTCTTCATGGTGGTACACCCAAAGGCCGACAGTCTGAGATGCCCTTGGAAATGAAAAATCTGCTAGGTCAGGAGTGCTAGAGCAGTAGGCTAGCTGCCTTTTATATCATTTAAAGCTGGAGCGAGGCAAGTGAGGCAACCACAGCCCTGCTTAAGAGTCTACCCTATTATTATATGAGGAAATCCCTATGGTGCCATAATTTAATACTCTGGATTACAGTTCATATGGCTTCAACAAGCCTATTTGAAGTTTCAGAGCGTCAGACCCAGCCATGGGTTTTCAAAGGAGAAAAGCCTTTTCTTTGAATTTTGGAACTCATATTTCTGGGGCTTCAGGAATATTTAATTAAATTACATAATTAGAGTAACGTATAACATGTACGACTGGAAAAACAGGTTTTGGAGCAAATCCATATGACTAATAGCAAGCAGGATACAGCCCAACTTCTGGCAGCAGAAGTACATGATTATGCTGGAAAATAGCCTACTAGTTGAAAGTGTTCAGTATGTCATGACTTTAGCCTATTTTACAAAGGGAATAGTGAGAATGTAGCTTACTACCATGCATTAAGTAAAAGGATGCAGGTCAAGAACATTTCTACTCTATGTAGGCATGTAAACAATATGAATTTGTTCTGTGTTAGAGTTTGGGAGGATCCCTCCATCTGTTCATATTTTTGTAATTACTTTGTAGAGCTGCCACATCCTTAAGGAGAAGTTCCTCAATTGTTATGCATTCTCCATTAATAACTTTAAGTGGACACTCGTGGCACAGATAATGCTATATGTTCACTTTTCTCTTCCTGGGTGCCTAGGCAGTTAGGTTGCAACCTTTCTAGAAGTTTGGCTGGTGAGCTGTGGGTGGAACTGATATTAGCCATTTTCAGGCCCTGGCCCTTAAAAACTTCTTGGGCTGGCTAGGTGCAGTGGCTCACACCTGTAATCACAGCATTTGGGGAAGCTGAGATGAGAGGATTGCTTGACTCCAGGACTCTGAGAACAATCTGGGCAACAATGAGACCCTGTCTCTACAAAAATAAAAAATTAGCTTGGTATAGAGGCACTATAGTCCCAGCTACTTGAGGCCAAGGCAAGAGGATTCCTTGAGCCTGGGAGGTGGAGACTGCAGTGAGCTGTGATTGTGCCATTGCACTCCAGTCTGGGTGACAGAGTGAGACCCTGTCTCAAAATCAAAACAAAAATGAAACCAAAAAAACTTCTTGGGCAACCTTCCTGTCTTATCTTTACTCCTGTTACCTTAGAGGCTTCATGATTTGGATGGTATAGCTACAGCATGGTGGAAGTCTTCCCGAACCACGAGAAGTGTCACAGGACTGAGAAATAAACTTTTGTGATATAAAGTCACTACAATTTGGAGGTTTGTCATTTGTGGCAGATAGTGTTGATTACTCTGAAAAATACAGTAACATACAGCATAATGTGAAAGGGAAATAAAAACTCAGAACCCCAATTCACTAGGCCAAAGGGAGAACAAATTAAGCTGAAAGCTGAGTCATGCAAGAAGCTGCCTTTCCTTTTGTTCATAAGCAGAGAGCTACAGATGAAAGACTCAGCATCTCCACTGGTAGCTACTCTATGTTCACCTTATCTTATGTGAAGTGCCAATTTACTGAGCATGAGACCAGTACATAATTGACCCTTCCCCTACCTGCTTCTTTTCTCTTGCAACATGTGGATTACTATACCTTCCCTCTTTTCCCTCCAGTCCACTTTTCCCCATTAAGTAGTGAAGCCCTCAAATTCTTCTTTGGAGAAAGACACAGACCACAGACTTTTTATGATTCTGTGTTCTTGTCTTCTGAGAATGTCCTTAACCTTGGCAAAATAAACTTCTAAATTGATTGAGACCTGTTTCAGATACTTTTTGGTTTATAATAACATCTATGAAATTTGACCATATTGTTGCATATATCAGTAATTTGTTTTTTTTAATTACTATGTAATATTACATTGTTTGAATTTACCACACTGGTTTATTCATTTTGTTCTTAACGGACATTTGGGCTTGTGATATTGTGAAATATATACAGTATTTGGTCTTCCTCCCTGTTTTCTGGCATGTAACTCCGAAGTGATAAGTGACTTTTTGAGAGCTAACAAGTTGACTGATAGCTGGCCTCCCCTAGGTAACTTCAGGATGGGGGCTAGTCACTGGAAAGATTAAGCCATCATTAGAGAGTTGGTACTTTCAGTCCCACCTGACAAAAACTTGTCTCGGCAGAAAACTACAAACCAACCTCTTCTATGAATATGATGCATAAGTTTAAAATAAAATCTTGGTAAACAAAATTCAACAGCACTTTGCAAAGAGAATACATTGTGACCAAGAGTTTATTCCAGAAATTCAAGGGTGTTTTATTATTACAAAATTCATTAGTGTAATTCATCTTATTAATAGAACTAAGGCAAAAAAGCAGCCAGGTGCAGTGGCTCACGTCTGTAATCCCACATTTTGGGAGGTGAGGTGGGAGGATTGCTTTGAGACCAGCAGTCTGAGACCAGCCTGGGCAACATAGTGAGATTCCATCTCTTGAAAAAAAAAAAAATGCCTGGCATGGTGGTTCAAGTCCTAGTTACCCAGGAGGCTGAGGTGGGAGGATCGCTTGAGCCCAGGAGTTTGTGGTTGCAGTGAGCTATGATTGTGTCACTGCACTCCAGCCTGGACGACAGAGCGAGACACTGTCTAAACAAACAAACAAACAAAAAACAAAACAGAAAACCTAAAAGAACTAAGGAGAACAAGTATATCACGATCTCCATAAATGCAGGAGAGTTATCTGACAAAATTCAACATCCTTTAATATTAACTCTAAATAAGAATTGAAAGACGCTTCCTTAATATGACTATATTTATGTGTGTGTATACACACACACATACATACTTCAGCCCAAAAGACAGCATTTACTTATGAAAAGTGTTCCTTCTAAAGTCAGAAATAGAGAACGCTCACTAGCTTCTCTGTCTTTAACAGTGTATAGGTGTTAATAAGAGAAAGGGGGAGAAGCATTGTGAAAAAAGGAGGTTAAGCTATTTCTATTTGGATATGATATAACTGTGTATCCGGAAAACCCAAAAGAATCAACTGCTACAAACAATAAGATAATAGATAAAATAACATGTGTTAAAACTGATACACAAAACCCAATAGCTTCATATATATTACAAAGAAAAGCCAGTTAGAAGATAGAATAGAAGACCTTTGCCATAGCATAAATTAATAAATAAATGACTTATGTTTGAACTAAACAAAAAATATTTAATACACCCAAAAGGAAAATTATAAGCCACTTTGAAAGACTCACAGGTTGACATAAATAGAGATGTTCCTTGATTGAAAGGCTCAACATCATAAAGGCCATAGCTTACTAATCATCTCCTGTGCCAGTAAATCTTTTATCTCAGGCATGACAATCTGGTTATCAAGTTCATTTTGAAGATCATGGAGCTTTAGGTTGGCAAGGAGCTAAAAGTTTGTAAACTTGCTGTGTTGTCAAGAATATGTTGTCAATGTATTCTCATGCATTGTAAATTGAAGTATAAATTGACATAAATGAAGACCAATTTGAAAATGCATACTAAAATTATAATGTATAGACACTTTGACCCAGAAATCCCATTCATTCTTGTAGATAATAACATGTCTATGGGAAATATTATTTGAACTGATATTGCAGCATTGTTTATAACAGCAAAAGTGATGGGCACCTAAACATTTATCAATGGTATGGTCATGCAGTGGAATACATTGCACTTGTTAGTAAGAATGATGGATCAATACATATCTGCTATGGAAATGACTGCAAGATACTTTAGAAAAATTAAACAGAGCTAGACACCAGATTATACTGTATGTAGCTTGCTATTGTTTGAAAGGGGAAAATAATATGTATGATTATGTATTTAAGTATGTGGACTCATATCTGGAAGAATACATAAGAAACAGTTAATAGTGTTAATAGTATTGCCCTCTGAAGAGAGGAACTCAGAGGCTAAGGGGTATGGACAGAACAGAGGCTTTCATTTCAGGGAACAGTATTGTACCTTTTCAATTTTTTAACATACACATGCATTATCTATTAAATACATATTGGCCAGGCTCCATGGCTCACATCTATAATCCCAGGACTTTAGGAGGCTGAGGTGGGAGGACCACTTAAACCAAGGAGTTTGAGACCAGCCTGGGCAACATGGCAAGATCTCATCTCTACAAAAAAATTTTAAAAATTAGCTGGGTGTGGTGGTGCCCACCTGTGGTCCCAGCTACTTGGGAGGCAGAGGTGGGAGGATCCCTGGAGCTCATGAGGTCAAGGCTGCAGTAAGCCGCGATCATGCCAGTGCACCCCAGCCTGTGTGACAGAGCAAGACCCTGTCTCAAAATAAATAAATAAATACATACATACATCATAAATTAATACATAAATAAATATTTATGTCTTTTCTCAATAAATGCCAACTGCAAATACCTGCCAATATTGTGATTTCTGCCAATGTCTCTCTGTAGATCAGTCTTTGCTTTGTTTTATGTTTCAAGGCTGTTTTATAACTAATACAAATACATTTATTATTACGTGTTGTGTTCCTTTAATCTTTTTGTAGTTCCCCTTTTATTGCTGTTTTTGCCTTAAATTCTATTTTGTCTGATACTACTTACTATTAGCTTTCTGTTCATATGTATTTTCTGTAATTTGTAATTGCTTCTGTTTTATTTTCAATTTTTCTTCTCTTTTTGATATAGGGTCTCACTCTGTCACCCAGGCTGGAGTGAAGTGGTGCCATCGCAGCTCACCGCAACCTTCGCCTCCTGAGCTCAAGCCATTCTCCCTCCTCAAGTGATCCTCCCATCTCAGCCTCCCCAGTAGCTGAGACTACAGGTGTGTGCCACCATGCCTGGTTAATTTTTGTATTTTTTGTAGAGATGGAGTTTTGCCACGTTGCCCAGACTAGTCTCAAACTCCTGGACTCAAGGGATCCACTGACCTCATCCTCCTGAAGTGCTGGGTTTACAGGTGTGAGCCACTGCGCCTGGCCTATTTTCAATCTTTCTATGTTGTTTCAGGATTATCTTCTGTAAGAAGTATGTGGTTGGATATTTTTAATCCATTGTCTGAGTTTTTCCTCTTTAGTACATGAGTTTAATGCATTTGCATTTATTGTGATTACTAATACCTTTAACTTTATATGTGTATATTTTATGATTCTGGTACTTTTTTTTTTTTCTCTTTCTCTGCTTTATGTTGGATTATTAACATTTTTTATAGTTCCCCTTTGATTTTCCTTTGCTAGTTTGGGAACTATAAGCTATATTTCTCTTCTTTTAATCATATCCTTAAATCTTTAACTTCACTAATTTGTATCAGTTATCTATTGCTGTCTAATGAATTATCCCAATATTTAGAGGCTTAAAACAACAATAAACATTTGGCTGGGCACGGTGGCTCATGCCTGTAATCCCAGCACTTTGGGAGGCCGAAGTGGGCAGATCACTTGAGGTCAGGAGTTCAAGACCAGCCTGACCAGTATGGTGAAACCCCATCTCTACTAAAAATACAAAAATTAGCTGGGCGTGGTGGCAGGCACCTGTAGTCCCAGCTACTCGAGAGGCTGAGGCAGGAGAATCGCTTGAACCTGGGAAGCAGAGGTTGCAGTGAGCTGAGATTGTGCCACTGTACTCCAGCCTGGGAGACAGAACGAGACTCAGTCTCAAACAAACAAGAAAAAAACAATAAACATGTATTATCTCACCCAGCTTCTGTGGGTAATAAGTTCAGGAGGGGCTTAATTGGGGTGCTCTGGCTTGGGATCTCTCATGACTTGTCAAGATGTCAGCTGGCCTACAGTCATTTGAGGCTTCACTGGGCCTGGAGGACACTCTCAAGGACCCCTGTAGCTGGCAAGTTGTTGGGGCAGGAGGCCTTAGTTCCTTACCATGTGAACCTCTCGATACAGCTGTTGGATAATCCTCATGATATGGCGTCTGGTCTTCCCTAGAGGAAGGTTTCTCTACCTCAGTACTATTGACATTTTGTACTTCATAATTTGCTGCTGTAGGGGGCCAGAGGTACTGTTCTATTTAGGATGTTTAACAGCATCCTTGACCTCTACCCACTAGATGGCAGTAGTGCTCCCAGTTGTGACAATCAAAAACGTCTCTCCAGACATCTCCAAATGGTCCCTGGGGTGAGCGTGGGGGACAAAATCATCCACAATTGAGAATCATTGCCATAGAGCCAATGCTTCGAGAGAGAGAGAGAGAGAGAGACCAAGGTGGAAATTGCCACATCTTTGATGAAGTAGCCTCAGGAGTCAAAGCCGTCTCACTTCTGCTATATTTTATCTGGCACACTGGGAAGCCAAGGTTAAGTGACAATACCAGGAGGTGAGGATATTGGGAGCCATCATAGGAGGCTTGCTACCACGCTACTTAAATATAAAAACTTCCAAAGGCTAAAGCTTTTCACTATCTTTACCCTTCTACTGAACCTTTTCATGCTATAATTATCCACTGAACACTCCCTATCCCTATTTTCTTATTTTTGTCCAGGGTTTCAGTTTAGTTTTAGTTTTAGTTTTAGTTTCTTCTAAAAATTATTTTTAGAGTTCACATTTAATTAAATTTAACAACATATTTTATCAAGTTCTATGTTCTCTCATGCCTTATGTCCTGCTCCTTTAAAGTTCATTTCTCTTGCTAACTCACACCATTTGGTAGTTCTTTCAGTGAGGCTCAGAAGAGAATACTCTCTCCCATTCTTTATATGCTGTTTCTTCCTCACTTTTTTTTTGAAACAGAATCTCGCTCTGTCGCCAAGGCTGGAGTGTAGTGGTGCCATCTCGGTTCACTGCAACCTCCACCTCCCGGCTTCAAGTGATTATCCTGCCTCAGCCTCCTGAGTAGCTGGGATTACAGGTGTGCGCCACCATGCCTAGCTAATTTTTGTATTTTTAGTAGAGACAGGGTTTCACCATGTTGGCCAGGCTGGTCTCGAACTCCTGGCCTCAAGTGATCCACCCACCTCGGCCTCCCACAGTGCTGGGATTACAGGCGTGAGGCACTATGCCTGGCCCATCCTCACTCTTGAATGATAGTTTAGCTGCATATAGATTTTTAGGTTGACAATTACAGTTGACGCTTGAAAAACATGGGTTTGAACTGCATGGGTCCACTACTACAGGGATTTTTTCCAACCAAACACAGATGAAAATACAGCATTAGTGGGATGTGAAACCCACTTATATGGAGGGCTAACTTCCTATATGCAGGTTTTCAGGGTAGGCTGTGGGACTTGAGTATGTAAGGATTTTGGTATATACCCGGTGGGTGGTGGGGGATCTTGGCACCAATCCACTGTGTGTACTGAGAAAAGACTGTATTTACTTTCAGCAATTTGAAGCAATATTCCTATATGTATAATAATTTTTAATAGATAATTTATTAGAGAGACTTTTAGCAATTTATCTATATCTTTGATGTTTTTCAGTGTTACTTTTTTTTTTTTTTATTTGTCCAGGCTGGAGTGCAGTGGCGTGATCTCAGCTCACAGCAGCCTTGACCAACTTGGGCTCAAGCCATCCTCCCATCTCAGTCTCCTGAGTAGCTGGGACTACAGGCGCACACCATCATACGTGGCTAATTTTTGTAGTTTTTGTAGAAATGAGGTTTTGCCATGTTGCCCAGGCTGGTCTATAACTACTGAGCTCAAGCAATCCACCTGCCTCAGCCTCCCAAAGTGCTGGGATAACAGGCGTGAGCCTCCATGCCCAGCCTACGTGTTTGGATATAAAGGTGTGGATTTTTCTTTATCCTGCAGAAGTGGACTTTCAATCTGAAGATTCATATGTTCCTTTAGTTCTTGAGTCTACTCTGCTATTATCACTTTCAGTGCAATTTTTCAAGGCGGAATCTTGCTGTCTCCCAGGCTGGAGTGCAATGGCATGATTTCATTGCAACCTCCCCCTGCCAGGTTCAAGCGATTCTTCTTTGTCAGCCTCCTGAGTAGCGGGACTACAGGCACCTGCCACCATGCCCAGCTAATTTTTGTATTTTTAATAGAGATGGGATTTCACCACTTTGGCCAGGCTGGTCTCAAACTCCTGACCTCAGGTGATCCGGCCGCCTCAGCCTCCCAAAGTGTTGGGATTACAGGCGTGAGCCACCGCACATGGCCTTAATGCTGTTTTTCTATAATTCCTTTATAGTCTCTTCTTCTGGAACTCCAATTAATTGTACGTTATTTTTTCTGTCCTGTCTCATAGTTTTATCTCTTTTTGTGATGTGTTTTGAATGCATTTTTCAGTATTATCTTCCAAGTTCACTAATTACTCAGATTTGTCCAGTCTTACATTTACCCTATTATTATTGTTGTTGTTATTTAAAAAAAATAGCTTCACTGAGGTGGGAGATGGTGGCTCACACCTGTAATCCCAGCATTCTAGGAGGCTGAAGCGGGAGGATTGCTTGAGGCCAGGAGTTTGAGACCAGTCTCTATAATTTTTTTTTTTTTATAATTAGCTCAGCGTGGTGGTAGACACCTGTAGTCCTATCTACCTGGGAGGCTGAGGTGAGAGGATGGCTTGAGCCCAGGAGTTTATGACACTGGAGCCCAGCTTGGGGGACAGAGTGAGATCCTGTCTTGAAAAAATAAATAAATGGGCGGGGTGCCAGTGGCTCACGCCTGTAATCCCAGCACTTTGGGAGGCTGAGGTGGGTGGATCACTTGAGGTCAGAAGTTCAAGACCAGCCTGGCCAACATAGCAAAACCCCATCTCTACTAAAAATACAAAAATTAGCCAGGTTTAGTGGCATGTACCTGTAATCCCATCTACTAGGGAGGCTGAGGCAGGAGAATCACTTGAACCTGGGAGGCAGGGGTTGCAGTGAGACAGGATCGCGCCACTGCACTCCAGCCTGGGCAACAGAGCAAGACTCTGTCTCAAAAAAAAAAAAAAGAAAAAAAGAAAAAAAGAAAAGAAAAAATAAATAAATGAAAAGTTTCACGGAGGTGTAATTTACGTACCATTTAATTTTATTTCTTTTTTTTATTGAGGTAAAACATACATATATAATTTGCCATCTTTACCATTTTACATACAGTTTTAACGTACGATTCAATGGTTTTTGATCTATTTATGAAGTTGTACAACCATTATCACAATCCAGTTTTAGAAGATTTCTTTCACAACAAAATGATCCCTCATGCCCATTTGCAGTCCACCTTTGTCTCTACCTCTAGCCCCAGGCACCACTAATATACTTTCTGTTTCTATATATTTGCCTTTTCTGGACATTTGATATAAACATAATTATACAATATGTGTTATGCACTTGGTTTCTTTAAGGTTCATTCATTTTGTAGCCTGTATCCATTTTTTTGTTTCTTGATACTGCTGAAAGTATTCCATTATATAGATGTACCACATTGCATTTATCCCTTCACTAGTTGATGGACATTTGGATTGTTTCCACTTTTTGACAATTATGAATACTGCTGCTATTAACATGTACCAGTCTTTGTGTGAACATATGTTTTTATTTTCTTGGAAAGATGTCTAGGAGTGGAATTTCTTGGTATGACTGTAAATTGAAGTTTGATTGGTGACTGTAAATTTAAGTTTGTTTATTTATTTATTTATTTTCTGAGACAGAGTCTCACTCTGTCGCCCAGGTTGGAGTGCAGTGGCACAATCTCGGCTCACTGCAACCTCCGCCTCGCGGGTTCAAGCAATTCTCCCACCTCAGCCTCCCGAGTAGCTTGGACTACAGGCATGCACCACCATACCCAGCTAACATTTGTATTTTTAGTAGAGACAGGGTTTCACCATGTTGGCCAGGCTGGTCTTGAACTCTTGACATCAAGTGATTCAACCATCTGGGCCTCCCAAAGTGCTGGGATTACAGGCGTGAGCCACCGCATCTGGCCTATGTTTATTTTTAAAGACACTGCCAGTTTTCCATAGTAGCTGTACCATTTTGCATACTCCTCAGCAAAATTTGAGGGTTCTATTTCTTCACATCCTTTCCAACATTTGTTATTTTCTTTTTTATTATAGCCGTACTAGTAGATGTGAATGGTGTCTTACTGTGGCTTTAATTAGCATTTCCCTAATGTACCAATTCCAGCCATTCATATATCTTTTTTGGTAAAATGCCTGTTTAAATATTTTGCCTGTTTTTAATTGGGTTGCTTTTGAGTTTCCATTAAATTTTCACTGCTACTTTTTAATTTCTGAAATTTCTAATGGGCACGCTTTATATCCATCTACTCTTGTTTTATTTTTGTCTGCTTTTTATAATTGCTTATTTGTGATAAATGTTACTTCATTTATCTCTGAGGATCTTCAATATGATTATACTTTCTTTTTTTGTTTTTTGGGAGTTTTTTTGTTTGTTTTTGAAATGGGTTCTGTCTAAGTTGCTTAGGCTGGTCTCAAACTCCTGGGCTCTGAAAGGTGGAGGCTGCAGTAAGCCGTGATCATTCCACTGTACTGCAGCTGGGGTGACAGAGTGAGACCTTGTCTCAGGAAAAAAAAAAAAAAAAAAAAAAAAACTCCTGGGCTCAAACAGTCCTCCTGCTTCAGCCTCCCAAATAGCTGGGATTATAGGTACATGCCATCAAGCCCAGGTCTCAATTTTTTATTTTGGAAAATTTCAAATGTATTCAAAAGTGGAAAGAGAATGAAGTGGACCCTCATGAACTTATCACTCAGCTTAATGTATCTTCCACCTCTGAAGACTAATTCCCTTAAAAACCTTATCCTAGGCTACTTAGGAAAAACCTGTTGAAATCTTGCCCACATATTACAAGTTTCCCCATGTAGATGGTACTGTTGGAATAGCAGTGTTTATTTATGTCATACAAAAACTGGTCTCTGTATGACCAAGACAAGCTGTACCAGCAGGACAGGAGAGGATAGCATGCAGGAAATTATACCTGCAGAAGAACCCTTCTTGCAAAACTCCTTTCCTGACTTGGTAAGAAAGTAAATGGCCCTAAACCTTCTAGAAAGTTTTCATATGAAGAGATTATGGGAGGGTTTATTACCAGAGTCATACTTTGTCTTCGTTACCAGCCTCCTTTTTTTTTTTTTTTTTTTTTAAGATGGAGTTTTGCTCTTGTTGTCCAGGCTGGAGTGCAATGGCACAATCTTGGCTCACCACAACCTCTGCCTCCTAGGTTCAAGCGATTCTCCTGCCTCAGCCTCCTGAGTAGTTGGGATTATAGGCGCCTGCCACTACACCCAGCTAATTTTTGTATTTTTAGTAGAGATGGGATTTCACTGTATTGGTCAGGCTGGTTTTGAACTCTTGACCTCATGATCCACCCACCTCGGCCTCCCAAAGTGCTAGGATTACAGGTGTGAGCCAGCAGTGCCTGGCCTAACAGCCTCCTTCTTATATTGGGCTTATCTCCTTTCTTAAGGAGTTGTAAAAGGATCTCACTGTAATATGTCTCCTCAGGTTGCTTCCTTTCATGAAACACTGCGTAATAATTATTGCAGGGATGTTGTTCAGAATGTTGTTTACAGTCACACAGTGTCTCTATAATGATGATTGTTTTTAAGGTCTTGATGTAAGGAAAAGTTATGCTTCTTCTAAGACATATTCCCTTATTAACACTATGAATTCTTTAATTGATTGCATTTCCCTGTTGGCTCTGGCTGAAAGGAATCTAAAGCTAAATTTGTGACTCACGCCTAGAAATTGTCCAGGATTCTATGGTATGCATTTTTGCATCATATTAATAGTTACCTCTGTCTGAATTTTGCCATCCTATTTTTCTTGTTCTGCCCCTTAGGGTCTTAATCCATTTAGGTTTTCTACCCTACTGATTACATGTGTTCATGTAAGCTATCACAAACACTGTTAGAGAATAGGGCTGGGCATGTTTGCATAAATAAGTAAATATAATAAAAAATGATTCATTTAAAATGGCACTTGTGGGCCGGGCATGGTGGCTCAGGCCTGTAATCCCAGCATTTTGGGAGGCCGAGGTGATGGATCATCTGAGCTTAGGAGTTTGAGACCAGCCTGGGCAACGTGGGAAAACCCCGTCTCCAGCAAAATACAAAAAATTAGAAAGGTGTGTTGGCATGTGCCTGTGGTCCCAGCTACAGAGAGGCTCACATGGGAGGATCACTTGAGCCTGGGAGGTGGGGGTTGCAGTGAGCCAAGATCGTGCCACTGCATTCCAGCCTGGGTGACAGAGTGAGGCCCTGTCTCAAAAATAAAAAGAAAATTAAAAATAAAATAAAGTGGCACTTGTGACCAGGCATTGGTATGTCACATTTGAAAATACAGGTATAATTTCAGATCTTCAGATTGCATCCCTAAGCTCATTTTCTCTTATTTATTTATTTATTTATTTTTGAGACGGAGTCTCGCTCTGTCACCCAGGCTGGAGTGCAGTGGTGTGATGTTGGGTCACTGCCACCTCCACATCCTGGGTTCAAGCAATTCTCCTGCCTCAGCCTCCTGAGTAGCTTGGATTACAGGTGTGCACCACCACGCCTGGCTAATTTTTGTATTTTTAGTAGAGACGGGGTTTCCCATGTTGGCCAGGCTGGTCTCAAACTCCTGACCTCAGGTGATCTGCCCACCTGGGCCTCTCAAAGTGCTGGTATTACAGGTGTCAGTCACCATGCCACCTGGCCAATTTACTTTTATTTATTTTTAATTTTTATTTTATTTTTTTTTTGAGACAGTCTCGCTCCATCACCCAGGTTGGTGTGCAGTGGCACGATCTCGGCTCACTGCAACCTCTGCCTCCTGGGTTCAAGTGATTCTGCTGCCTCCCAAACAGCTGAGATTACAAGTTTGCCCCACCAAGCTTGGCTAATTATTATTTTTTTTTTTTTTAGTATTTTTTTTGTAGAGACAAGGTTTCACCATGTTGGACTGACTGATCATGAACTCCTGACCTCAAGTGATCTGCCCACCTCAGCCTCCCAAACTGCTGGGATTACAGGCATGAGCCACTGCACCCAACTCAATTTTTCATTTTTAAAACTTGGGTTTTTGTTGCACAAACCAAAAGTGAATCTGTGAAAAATATTCTTGCTACAAAGATGAAAACATTCTTTTATTTGTTATTTTATAGACATGGGGGTCTCTGTATGTTGGACAGGCTTGTCTCAAACTCCTGGCCACAAGCAATCTCCTTGCCTTGGCCTCTTAAAGCACTGGGCAAAGGGCCAGGTGGGGTGGTTCATGCCTGTAATTCCAGCACTTTAGGAGGCTAGGGCAGGAGGATTGTTTGAGCTTAGGAGTTCAAGACAAGCCTGGGCAACATACTGAGACCCCCATCCTCTACCAAAAAAACTTTGAAAAAATTAGCCAGGGCCAGATGCGGTGGCTCTTGCCTGTAATCCCAGCACTTTAGGGGGCCAAGGTGGGTGGATCACTTAAGGTCAGGAGTTCGAGACAAGCCTGGCCAACATGGTAAAACCCCATCTTTACTAAAAATACAAAAATTAGCAGGGCGTGGTGGCGCGGGCCTGTAGCCCCAGCTACCTGGGAGGCTGAGGCAGGAGAATTGCTTGGTCCTGGGAGGCAGAGGTTGCAGGGAGCCGAGATTGCACCACTGCACTCCAGCCTGGGTGATAGAACGACACTCCGTCTCTAAAAAATAAATAAATAGATAGATAGATAGATAATATCTAAAATTAGCCAGGTGTGGTGTTGCATGCCTGTAGACCCAGCTACTCGGGAGGCTGAAGCAGGAGGATCACTTGAGCCCAGGAGACTGAAGCTGATGGTGCCACTGCACTCCAGCCTAGGCAACAGAGTGAGACCCTATCTCTAAAAAAAAAAAAAAAGAAGAACAAAACAGAAGATAAAACAAAGCACTGGGCAAAGATACATATATGCGTGTGTGTGTGTGTGTGTGTGTATGTGTGTGTGTGTGTGTGTGTGTGTGTGTGTGTGTGTGTGTATTTTTTTTTTTTTTTTTTTTTTGAGAGAGAGTCTCACTTTATCACCCAGGCTGGAGTGCAGTGGTGCCATCACAGCTCACTGCAGCCTCGACCTCCCTGGGTTCAGGTGATCTTCCCACTTCAGCCTCCCTGGTAGCTGGGAGTAGAGGCACACACCACCATGCCCTGCTAATTTTTGTATTTTTTGTAGACACGAGGTTTTGTCATGCTGCTGAGGCTGGTCTTACTCCTGGGCTCAAGCAGTCCACCTGTCTCAGCCTCCCAAAGTGCTGAGATTAAAGGCATGAGCCACTGCGTCCAGCCTGAAAATATTTTTCTTTTCATTTTTTAATGAAAAAAAAAAAGATGTGGCCCAAAATGAGAGAAAATATTTTTAATGTGAAACTTTTTGTCTTTGTTTATGCCTCACTTTAACACTTAATATTGACCTTGGCAAGTAATTTAACCTTTCTCAGATATAGTTTTTTCATTTATAATGGGAATAAAGCCTATTTCATTTAATGGTCAGTTCAAGGAGATAATACCACTTTAATGAAAAGACATGCTAGATTATTATTGCCTACTAACTTGCTGTGGGATATTGAATAAGTTTCTAGACCTTTCTGGGGCTTACTTTTCTCTAGTGGAAAATAGGATGATTGACCTAGATGAACCTTAAGACACTTCATCAAGTTCAACAGAGTTTAAACGTTAAAAAAAAAAAGGCTTGGCACAGTGGCTCATTCCTGCAGTCCCAGCACTTTGAGAGGCTGAGGAACGCGGATCACTTGAGCTCAGGAGTTTGAGACCAACCTGGGCAATATGGGGAAACCATGTCTCTACCAAAAATACAAAAATTAGCCAGTAATGGTGGCTTGCACCTGTGGTCCTAGCTACTTGTGGAGCTGAGGTGGGAGGATCACTGATCACTTGAGCCAGGGCAGGTAGAGGTTACAGTGAGCCAAGTTTGTGCCACTGCACTCTAGCCTGGACAACCAAGCCAGACCCCATCTCAAAAATTTATTTATTTATTTATTTTTGTAGAGATGGATTTTCATGATGTTGCTCAGGCTGTCTTATCCTCCTGACCTCAAGCGATTCTCCCATCTTAGCCTCCCAAAATGCTGTGATTCCAGATGTGAGCCATCATATGGCCTGTCCTTGTTTTCTGTTCCATTGATTGCTACTTGTTTTTTTCTATCTGAAACTTTAAAATTTTACATTTGTTTCCAAAAGTAGAGTTCATATTATGTATAAGCATCATATAGAGGACATAAACATAATACAGACTTAGCAGCTGTTGGTCTGTATCAGTTTAACCCCTTCAAAATAAGTTTATCTATCAGCATGGTTGATGCCTCACAAACTTATTTTCTCTGTAAGAGAAAAGTTAACCTAATAACAAGTAACAAGTTAACGTTATTCTTTTCTATCACCTTCTTTCCCTGTCTCCAGTTCCTCTTCTCTGGTAATCCATATTCTTATTTCAATGTGCACTTCTCAAAGAATTACTCATCATCCAGATCATCATCACTCATTCTACATCTTGGGGTAATTCTTGAGAGAGTTGTCATCATCCACAAGTGGCTTTGCTTTCTTCTTTCTCTTTTTCATTTGCTTTGTCAACTCAGCCAATTGTTCTTGCTCTTCTTTTGGCCACGCTGGGCTTATATTTCTAAATCCTTTCTCTTCCTTTTGTATCCCATGATTTGCTTGTTGAGCACCCCGTGATTGATTCCACATAGACCTGAGTGCACAGCAGATTCCATGGCATCAGATGACAATGCACTGATCAGAGTCACAAGTTCCTTGAAATCATTTGGTATAAAGTCTTATTCATGTGATGGTCCACAGTCAACCATTGTCAGTAACTGATCAATCTCAGCTAGAGCTATATTTTGTTTGTCTTGAACAAACTGTATTGGCACCACATTACTCAAGATCTGTTGAGACATCAAAAGATGCTTCATTTGTACAGTGCTCTTCTGTAAGTTGGCTTCTGTGTGCTCATTCTGCTCAGCAAAAAGAGGTGTCTTCTAATATACATAGAAGGCTGAGAGGTCTAAAGTCAGAGATACCTTGGAAAGCTACAAATTCAGGTTATAGATATCTTGCTTCACATCGGAGGTGCACTGCAATTTGTGAATGCTTGACAGAGAAGGCCATCCAGGGTCCTTAAGCATATGTGGTCTTCCTTAATTTTCTTTGAGGTATTCTTCATCAGGACTTCCAACTTAGATGGTTTGTAAGTAAAGTGAGATCGTAGAGAAAGAGCTTCAGACCAAAACATTATTTCTGACTGCTACTTTTCAAACTGTCAAGGTCATCAAAAACAAGGAAGGTCTGAGAAACTACCACCACCAAGAGGAGTCTACAATAAGACATGACATTGAAATCTAATGTGGTATCTTGGATGGGATTTTGGTTTTTTGGCAAACTTCTTGAGCAAGTTCTTGTTGTCACAGGAGACAGAACGGCCATAGAGGCACCCAGCTTAGCTGCTGAGCAGTTGCCCAGGAACCAGTGGGAGTCCCCCTGCCCCTCAGTTGGGGACTACATACCTTATTTTTATTATTTTCT
The DNA here is from genome assembly GCF_000001405.40 of Homo sapiens. NCBI lineage: Eukaryota > Metazoa > Chordata > Mammalia > Primates > Hominidae > Homo > Homo sapiens. The sequence continues at coordinate 58,967,934 of NC_000015.10, forward strand.
TCCTTCTGCTTGCTTTCAGTTTAATTTGGTCTTCTGATTTCTTAAGATGGAAACTTAGGTCGTTGATTTTAAAGATTTCTCCTTTTCTAATATAAGTATTGTATGCTATAAGTTTCCCTGAAAACACTATATTAATGGCATCCCACAAATTTTTAATAATTGTGGTTTTATTTTTGTTCATTTAAAGTATTTTTAGGCCGGGCCAGTGGCTCACGCCTGTAATCCCAGCACTTTGGGAGGTCTAGGCGGGCAGGTCACTTGAGGTCAGGAGTTCGAGACCTGCCTGGCCAACATGGTGAAACCCTGTCTCTACTAAAATACAAAAACTAGCTGGGCATGGTGGTGCACACCTGTAATCCCAGCTACTCGGGAGGCTGAGGCAGGAGAATCACTTGAACTCAGGAGGCAGAGGTTGCGATGAGCCCAGATTAAGCCACTGCACTCCAGTTATGTATTTATTTATTTTGAGACGGAGTTTTGCTCTTGTTGCCCAGGCTGGAGTACAGTGGTGCAATCTCGGCTCACCACAGCAACCTCCGCCTCCCGGGGTCAAAAACAATTCTCCTGTCTCAGCCTCCAGAGTAGCTGGGATTACAGGTGCCCGCCACCATGCCTGGCTAATTTTTATATTTTTAGTAGGGACGGGGTTTCACCATATTGGTCAGGCTGGTCTCAAACTCCCGACCTCAGGTGATCCACTCACCTCAGCCTCCCAAAGTGCTGGGATTACAGGTATGAGCCACCACGCCCGGCCCAACCCATCAGTTGTTTTTTTGTTTTTGAGACGGAGCCTTGCACTGTCGCCAGGCTGGAGTGCAATGGCGTGATCTTAGCTCACTGCAACCTCTTGCCTCCCAGGTTCAAGCGATTCTCCTGCCTCAGCCTCCTGAGTAGCTGGGATTACAGGCGTGTGCCACCACGCCGGGCTAATTTTTGTATTTTTAGTAGAGGTGGAGTTTCACCATGTTGGCCAGGCTGGTCTCCAACTCATGACCTCAGGTGAACTGCCTGCCTCGGCCTCCCAAAATGCTGGAATTACAGGTGTGAGCCACCACGCCCTGCCCCCATCAATTATTTATAAGTGTATTCAGGAGAGATTTTCCAAATCTCTGTTACTAAATTTTAATTTAATTCTTTTATAGTGAGAAAATACTGTGTAAGAATTCAATCCTTCTAAACTTATTAAGACTTGTTTTATGGCTTAGAATATAGAACACATAACTTGGTAAATGCACCATCTAAACTTGATAAGAAAGTGTATTATCTTGTTCTTGGAGATAGATCAAATTGGTTGATACCATTCTTCAGGTTTTTATGTCCTCAGTCATTTAAAAAATTTCTTAGGCCGGGCGTGGTGGCTCACACCTGTAATCCTAGCACTTTAGGAGGCTGAGAGGGGGAGATCACCTGAGGTCAGGGGTTCGAGACCAGCCTGGACAACATGGTGAAACCCCATCTCTACTAAAAATACAAAAATTAGCCGGGCGTGGTGGCACATGCCTGTAAGCCCAGCCACTCGGGAGGCTGAGGCAGGAGAATTGCTTGAACCTGGAAGGCGGAGGTTGCAGTGAGCCAAGGTCATGCCACTGCACTCCAGCCTGGGTGACAGAGTGAGACTCCATATTAAAAAAAAAATAAAATAAAATTATTTGTCCTGTCAATTATTAACAGCCAAGTGTTAAAATTTCTGACATGGCCGGGCGTGGTGGCTCACACCTGTAATCCCAGCACTTTGGGAGGCCGAGGTGGGTGGATCACTTGAAGTCAGGAGTTCGAGACAAGTCTGGCCAATATGGTGAAACCCCGTCTCTACTAAAAATACAAAAATTAGCTAGGTGTGGTGGTGTGCACCTGTAATCCCTGCTACTCAGGAGGCTGAGGCAGGAGAATCGCTTGAACCTGGGAGGCGGAGGTTGCAGTAAGCCGAGATAGCACCACTGCACTCCAGCCTGGGCGACAAAGAGAGACTCTGTCTCAAAAATAATAATAATAATAATAAAACCTCTAACACTAATTATGTGAGCAATTCTTATTTAAGTTCTATCTTTTTTTTAGTAACATACTTCAAATATCTTATTAGTGCATACACATTTAGGATTGTTATCTATTGATGAATTTAATATCATGAAATGAACTTCATTTTATATAGTAACATTCATTTCTCTGAAATGTACTTTATCTCATATAACCATTTCAACTTTTTTTCTTTAGTATTAGCATAGTACATATTCTTCCATTCCTTTATTTTTATCATTTTTCTTTTTTTGAGATGGAGTCTTGCTCTATTGGCAGGCTGGAGTGCCATGGTATGATCTTGGCTCACTGCAACCTCCGCCTCCCAGATTCAAGCAATTCTCCTGCCTCAGCCTCTCAAGTGGCTGGGACTACAGGTGTGCGCCACCATGCCTGGCTAACTTTTGTAATTTTAGTAGAGATGGGGTTTCACCATGTTGGCCAGGATGGTCTCGTTCTCTTGACCTCGTGATCCACCCGCCTCGGCCTCCCAAAGTGCTAGGATTACAGATGTGAGCCACCGCTCCTGGCCATAGTTATATCATTTTTTTTCACTTTTATCATTTTTTTTTCCGCCTCCTTGGCTCAAGCCATCCTCCCACCTCAGCCTCCTGAGTAGCTGGGACTACAGGTGCACACCACCACACCAGGCTAATTTTTGTATTCTTTGTAGAGATGGGGTTTCACTGTGTTGCCCAGGTTGGTCTTGAACTTGTGAACTCAAGCAATTGTCCTACCTCGGCATCCCAAAGTGCTGGGATCACAAGTGTGAGCCACCGTGCCTGGCCCCGCCTTTACTCATATCTGTATCTTTAAATTTAGAGTAGGTTTTTCGTGGGCAGAATATGGTTGAGTCTTGATTTTTATCCATTGTGACGATTTCTGCCTTTTAATTAGAATATGTAGACTATAAACATTTAAACTGGATGCATTATGATTGAGTTTGAATACATCATTTTCTTTTTTGTTTATCCCATCTTGTCTTCTAGTTGGGGCATCTGTCTTTTGTTCTTTTTTTCCCTATTTTCCTGACCTTTTTTTGGATTAATTGAGAAATTTTAAATGATTCTATTTTCTCTTCTTTATTGGCTTAGTAGCTATTCTTATTTTTGTGTTTTTACTGATTGATATAGCGGTTACAGGACAAATATTTAGTCTACCATCAAATAATATTGAAACATTACATATACTGTTTAACAATTATACAACAGCATACTTCTACTTTTTCTCTCCCATTTTTGTCATACATTTAACTTGAATATGTAATTAATTACACAATATGTTGTTACTACTATTACTTTAGCCAGTAAATTATCTCTTAAAGGGAAAAAAATTAAAACAATCTTTTACATTTATCATCCTATTTACCACATATGATGTTATTCATCCGTTTATGTACACTCAGATTTCCTTCTAGTACCCTTTTCCTTCTCCCTGAAAGATTACTTGAACATTTCCAATACAGTCACTTTACAGGGGATGACTTATCTCATCTTACACATGTCAGAATTTCTTTTTTAAATTTTTCCTTCATTTTTTGAGAGGTATTTCTGCCGGATATAGAATTATTGGTTGACAGACTTTTTTCTTTTAGTACTTTGTCACCCCCCATTACTTGGCTTAAATTGTTTCTTTTCTTTCTTCTTCTTTTTTTCTTTTTCGTTTTGAGATACGGTCTCACCTGTCACCCAGGCTGGAGTGCAGCTCACTGCAGCCTTGACCTCCCCATGCTCAGGTGATCTTCCTACCTCAGCTTCCCAAATAGCTGGAACTACAGGTGTGAGACACCATGCTTGGCTAATTTTTAATTTTTTGTAGAGATGGGGTTTTGCCATGTTGCTCAGGCTAGTCTTGAACTCCTGAACTCAAGCAATCTGTCCGCCTCAGCCTTCCAGAGTGCTGGGATTATAGGCATGAGCCACTGTGCCTGCCCTTAAATTGTTTCTAATGAGTTATGGGCTGTCTTTCTTATATTTTTCTTCTGTATGTCATTTTTTTTTTCCTCTTCGTGCTTTAAAGGTTTGTTCATTGCTTTTGGCCAGGTGCAGTGGCTCATGTCTGTAACCCTAGCGCTTTGGGAGGCTAAGGCGGGTGGATCCCTTGAGGCCAGGAGTTTGAGACCAGCCTGGCCAACATGGTGAAACCCCGTCGCCACTAAAAATACAAAAGTTAGCCAGGATGGTGGCATGCACCTGTAGTCCCAGCTACTTGGGAGGCTGAGGCAGAATAATCTCTTGAAACTGGGAGGTGGAGGTTTCAGTGAGCTGAGATCGTACCACTGCACTCCAGCCTGGGCGACAGTGAGACTCCGTCTTAAAAAAAAAAAAAAAAAGGAAAGGATTTGTTCATTGGTTTTTAGCAATTTGATTATTGTGTGCCTTTGTGTGGTTTTTGTCATGTATCATTTGCTGAGGGTTCATTGAACTTGTTGGACCTATGAGTTTATATTTTTCATCAAATTAAAAAAATTTCTGGACCATTACTTCTTCTACTTCCTCCTCCTCATATCTCCATCTGGGACTCAAGTTGTATGTTTGCTAGGCTGTGTGATATTTTCTTACTGATCATTGATAGACTTTTTTTTTTTTTTTTTGAGATGGAGTCTTGCCCTGTCACCCAGGCTGGAGTGCAGTGGCGCAATATCAGCTCACTGCAACCTCCGCCTCCTGGGTTCAAATGATTCTCCTGCCTCAGCCTCCTGAGTAGCTGGGATTACAGGTGTGTGCCACCATGCCTGGCTAATTTTTTATATCTCTAGTAGAGACGGGGTTTCACTATGTCGGCCAGGCTGGTCTTGAACTCATGACCTCATGATCCGCCCGCCTCAGCCTCCTAAAGTGCTGGGATTATAGGCGTGAACCACTGCACCCTGCCTTGTTTTTGTTTTTATTTGTTTTTTCTCTGTGCTTATTTTGGATAGTTGTGGCTGTTTTGTCTTCAAGTTTACCAATCTTTTATTTGGTAGTGACTAAACTGTTGGTAATCCCATGTAGGTTATTTTATATTGCAGATATTATGTTTTTTATCTACAGAAATTTGAGTGGGTCTTTTAACCTTTTATTTTATTTTATTTTGAGACAGGATCTCATTTTGTTGCCCAGGCTGGAGTACAGTGGCATGATCACGGCTCACTGCAGCCTTGACCTCCTGGGCTCAATCAATCCTCCTGTGTCAGCCTCCTGAGGAGCTGGGACTATAGACATTAACCACCATGCCTGGCTAATTTTTGTATTTTTTTGTGGAGACAGAGTCCTGCCATGTTGCCCAGGCTGGTCTTGAATTCCTGGGCTCAAGCAATCTGCCCACCTAGGCCTCCCAAAATGCTGGGATTACAGGCATGAGCCACCATGTCCCGCCCTTTCATTTTATTATTTATGATGCTCATGATTTTCTTTATATTCTTGATCAAAAGGAGCACATTTATACTGTTTTAGTGTTCTCATCAACAACATCTGTGTTATTTCTGGAAGTTTCTCTTGATTAATTTTCCCTCTGCTAGATTATGGGTTCTATTTTCCTGCCTCTTTGCATGCATGGTAATCTTGTTTGAGCCCCAGGCATTGTGAATTTTACATGCTTGGGTGCTGGATTATTTTTATTGCTTCGTTTGGACTTTATTCTGGGACCTCATTAAGGTACTTGGAATAAGGGTCATCTTTTAAAAGTCTTGCTTTTATGCTTTGTGCACCTGGGTCCAGACAACCTTTATTTTGGAGCTAATTTGGCCTCACTGCTAAGGCAATACCTTTTTGACAACCTGACTCCATGCCCCCATGTTTGGAGGTCTTTCCTCCCTAGCTGATGGAGAAAAATTATTTACAGCATTGTTTAAGCTCTGGAGATGTTTTGCCTACTCTTTTCTAATGGTTCTTTCCCCTCCTCAGTAGTATACTCATACGTATGTGTAGATCAGTCCCCAGTCAAATCCTGAAGCAGCCCCTCTCCAGTTCTTGCGAGCTTTCCCTCTTTCTCTGTGCAGCTTCCTCTTTCCTGATTGTTTGACTTACAAATTCTAGCTGCCTGGGCATCTCTGAATCTCTGTCTTATCAACTCATTAAATCTTTGAGGTCCATTTGGATTCCCCTTCTCTATGGTGCAGTCCAGAAGCTCCCTCTGGGCAGTCGAAGGGCTCCTCTTGTTTGTATCCCTTCTTTCAGGATCACTGATTTGTCCTGTTGTCCTCTCTATTGTCCATTTTCTGAAAACTATTGTTTCAAAATATTTTGTCTGATCTTTTAAGGTAAAACAATAAATAATAAAATAAAATAATAAAATAAAACAATTGTTTAAGGTAAAACAATAATTCCCTATTATTTCATCATGGCAGAAAGCAGAAAAATTGAGACCTGGGTTTTTATTTTATTTTAATTTTTCTTTCAGACAGAGTCTCATTCTGTCACCCAGGCTGGAGTGCAGTGGTGTGATCTCAGCTCACTGCAACCTCCACCTCCTGGGTTCAAGCGATTCTACTGCCTCAACCTCCTGAGTAGCTGGGATTAGAGGCAACTGCCATCATGCCTGGCTAATTTTTGTATTTTTAGTAGAGATGGGGTTTCACCATGTTGGCCAGGCTGGTCTCGAACTCCTGAACTCAGGTGATCTGCCCACCTCAGCCTCCCAAAGTGCTGGGATTACAGGCGCGAGCCACCGTGCCCAGCTGAGAGCTGGGTTTTTAAAATACTAATTTTGACTTTGCAAAAATTACTTATACTCTCTGATTGTCTTTCCATAAATCTGGATGACAACAAATGAAAAGCATTCAATCTCACTAGGTATCAGGGAAATACAAACTAAAACTTTGGAAATAACGTTTACCTTAAAGATGTAGAAATTGAATGAAATAATATATGTAGAATCATTGACATATAGATGTAAATCCAATTCTATACATCTTAGGTTTGGGATTCCTATTAGACATTCAAGTGGAGATGTAGAATAGGCAGTTGAGCATATATATCTGGTGCACAGAAGAACGATCTGGGCAAAGAAATAAAGGAGAGCCTAAGACTAAACCTTGAGGGCAGGACATCCAAAGTTAAATTATAGTGGGGTAGATCATTTGTACCTACCTTCCCATTGAAGGTACTAAAAATTATAGACTACCTATAAATATGTCTTTTAAAAATCATAAAACAGCTAATCATTTAGTGAGGAATTACAAGGCAAGATATGGGACTTGGGGAGCATGTTTGTCCTAGGAATACGACACTCTGAGGAGGCAAATGAGAAACTAAACTGTAGTTTTAGAAGCCGTGCTGGACCGAAGGAATGAGGGTAGATCTATAGTTCCCACCAAGGATGGTGACCCACTCCCATCTTTGGGCAGGGCCAGGAATGTGTGTCCTCTAAGAGAAAGAATATGGATTATGAACCAGGTGTGGTGTTTCATGCCTTAATCTGAGCACTTTGAGAGGCCGAGGCAGGTGGATCACTTGAGGTCAGGAGTTTGAGACCAACATGGCCAACATGGTGAAACCCTGTCTCTACTAAAAATACAAAAAAATTAGACAGGTGTGGCAGCATGCACCTTTTAGTCCCAGCTACTCGGGAGGCTGAGGCAGGAGGTTGGTTTGAACCTGGGAGGTAGAGGTTGCAGTGAGCCAAGATAGTGCCATTGCACTCCAGCCTGGGCGACAGAGTGAGACTCTGTCTCAAAAAAAAAAAAAAGAATATGGATTATGGCCTTCCTTCACATCATGTGGCAGTGCAGAAAACCACACACCTTGGTCCTACACTGCTGACCACCTTGAGCACCTGGCAGATACATCTACAAACCAAGATCCTTTGCGGAGGAAGTTAACATCATAACAAATCTCAGATAATTTCTATAAATAATATTTCAACCACAGTTTCCTGAACACAGTGAAAGATAAAGAGGAACACAAAGACACAAGAAGCTGAGTCAGAGTCAGCAGGAAAAACAACAGAAAAAGAATCACAGGGACTCCAGAAAATTATAGACATGGGCTATAAAACAACTATGATTACTGTGTTCAAGGGACAAAATCAAGATAGAAAATTTCAGCAGGAAACTGTGAGCTATAAAAAACTGACATAGCAGATTTGGGTAAAAAAATTCCGGAAGCAAAAGAATATGAGACCAAATTTTTAAAAATTGGGCTAGTAGATTAGTTATAATTGAAGAGAGAATTAGGTGACTGGAATAAAGCTCAGAAGAAGCTATCCAGAATGAAGCAAGGAGTAATTAAACAATACAGTATAAAGGGTAAAAGTATACTAAATACAGTGGGAAGATCTAACATATGCAATTGAAGTTTTAGAAGAAAAAGAGAAAGAATGGATTATAGGTAATATTTTAGATATAATGGTTGATAGTCCACTGTCAAGAAGCCCTACGAAGCCCAAGCAGAATAAATAAAAGTATTAATAAATGCTCAACTGGACACATCAAAATGAAACTTTAATAATCAAGACAAAAAGAAAAATCTTAAAGTAGCCAGAAAAAAAATACATCAATTTAGAAGCTACACAAGGACTTCAGAAGACAGTGAAATGATATCTACAAGGTGCAGTGAGGAAATAACTATCACTCCGGAAATACTCCATTAATGAAGGTGAATCCATATATTTCCAAAAAAAAACAAAAGAGAGATATTATCAATAGCAGATAAGCACTTAAGGATATTCTAGGCTGGGCGTGGTGGCTCATGCCTGTAATCCCAGCACTTTGGGAGGCCAAGACAGGTGGATTACCTGATGTCAGGAGTTTGAGACCAGCCTGACCAACATGGAGAAACCCCGTCTCTACTAAAAATACAAAATTAGCAGGGCGTGGTAGCGCATGCCTGTAATCCCAGCTACTGGGGAGGCTGAGGCAGGGGAATCGCTTGAACCTGGGAGGCGGAGGTTGTAGTGAGCCGAGATCACACCATTGCACTCCAGCCTGGGCAACAAGAGCAAAACTCCATCTCAAAAAAAAAAAAAATATATATATATATATATATATATATACATATATATACACATGTATATGGATATTCTATAGATTATTCCTCATGTAAAAGGAAAATTATCTTGCATGAAAAATCAGAGATGCAGAAATCAATGAAGACCAAAGAAAATGATAATTATGAGGATAAATCTAAATCATATTGACCGCGGCGGGGCGCGGTGGCTCACGTCTGTAATCCCAGCACTTTGGGAGGCTGAGGCAGGTGGATCATAACGTCAGGAATTCGAGACCAGCCTGACCAATGTGGTGAAACCCTGTCTCTACTAAAAAAAAAATACAAAAAAAATTAGTTGGGCTTGGTGGTGTGAGCCTGTAATCCCAGCTACTCAGGAGGGCTGAGGCAGGAGAATCGCTTCAACCCGGGAGGTGGAGGTTGCAGTGGGCCAAGATCGCACCACTGCACTGCAGCCTGGGCGATAGAGCAAGACTCTGTGTCAAATAAAAAAAAAAAATCATATTGACTGCGAAAACAGGGGGTGTGAAAAACAATAATAAAGTCTTGTGGGGTTTAAATGTTATAGAATTTCAGTAAATGGCCAAAATATCACAAATGGTATGTGTGTGTGTGGAGGGAGTGTATATAGTAGATTTTTTTTTTGTTTATGTTTTTGAGACAGTAGTCTTACTCTGGAGTGCAGTGGCACAATCATTGCTCACTGCAACCTCCACATCCCAGGCTCAAATGCTCCTCCCACCTCAGCCTCCCAAGTAGCTGGGACTACAGTTATGCACCACCACACACAGCTAATTTTAAAATTATTTGTAGACACAGGATTTCACCATGTTGCCCAGGCTGATCTTGAACTCCTGGGCTCAAGTGATCCACTTGCCTTGGCCTCCCAAAGTGCTGGGATTACAGGCATGAGCCACTGTGCCCAGCTGGTAAATATTTTAAAGCAATTTATGGATTCTTGATCAAGAGGATATTAAATGTAACAATACTAGATTTTAATAGGTAAGGATGAATGTGGTAATTGCTAAGGCAATCATTAAAAGAATAAAACAGAATATAACTGCAATGAGATGCTACTTCACACCCACTAGGATGTCTATAATTAAACAGACACACAATAATAAGTGTTGACAAGGATAGGAGAAATTGGAATCCTCATATAATGCTGATGAGAATGTAAAATGGTGCAATGCAGCCACTGTGGATCAGTTTGGCAGTTCCTCAAAAAGATAGTCATAGAATTACCATTTGACCCAGCTATTCCACTCATAGGTATATACCCATAAGAAATGAAAACAGGAACTCACACAGATACCTGTACATGAATGCTCATAGCAGCATTATTTATGATCATCAAAATATGGAAGCTTGAGTGTCCATCAATGGGTGAATGAATACATGATTTTAGAATTTTAGAATTCCTTTTCAGTTTTGGGACATTTTTATTTCTTTTTTTTTTTAATTTCTTTTTTCCATTTTCTTTGTTCTCCCTTGGAAGAACTTTTATTAGACTTTTTTTTTTCTTTTAAATGAGATGGGGCTCTCTCTGTGTTGCCCAGGCTGGCATCAAACTCCTGGGCTCAAGGAATCCTCCTTGATTATAGGTGTGTGCCACCGTACCTTGCTTCTATTAGATATTTTACTTCTAGGGTTGGACTTCTATCTCTCTTATCCTTTCCTTCACATTTATTTTTCTTTTTGTCTTATATGCTGGAATATTGTCTTTCTTTTATCTTTTAACCCTTCTACTGAATTTTAATTTCAGGAATCGTATTTTAATCTCTAAAGATTCTTTCTTCCTTTTTAAAAAATAACATCATTTTCCTATTGTAAGAATGCAGTATCATTTTTAATTTCTGAGGATATTAGAGAGTTTAAAATATTTTCCCTCTTATGTTTTTTGAATTATCTCCATTCTCTATTGTCATTTAAAAACCGTTTATCGGCTGGGCACAGTGGCTCATGCCTGTAATCCCAGCACTTTGGGAGGCTAAGGCAGGCGAATCACCTGAAGTCAGGAGTTCAAGACCAGCTTGAAACCTGGACTTGAAACCCTGTCTCTACTAAAAATACAAAAATTAGCCAGGTGTGGTGGTGTGCACCCGTAGTCCTAGCTACTCAGGAGGCTGAGGCAGGAGAATCACTTGAACCTGGGAAGTAGAAGCTGCAATGGGCCAAGATCACGCCACTGCACTCCAGCCTGGCAACAGAGTGAGACTCCATGCCAACAGAGTGAGACTCCATCTCAAAAAACAAAAACAAAAACAAACAATAAAAAAAAGTTTATGAAAACTAAATGTGGCTGGGCGCAGTAGCTTACACCTGTAATCCCAATGCTTTAGGAGGCCAAGGTGGGTGGATCACTTGAGGCCAGGAGTTCAAGACCAGCCTTGGCAACATAGCGAAACCCCATCTCTACTAGAAATACAAAAATTAGCTGGGCATGGTGGTGCACACCTGTAATCCCAACTACCCGGAAGGCTGAGGCAGGAGAGTCGCTTGAACCTGGGAGGTGGAGGTTGCAGTGAGCCGAGATGGCGCCATTGCACTCCAGCCTGGGCGACAGAGCAAGACCTTGTCTCAAAAAAAAACCAAAACCAAAACCAAGAAAACCCTAAGTGTGATGTCTGTGTGGAAGGGTGCTGCCTACCACCAGGCATGTGTGGGCAGGTGGGGCCTATACATCTTAGAATGTGAAGTATTTATCACTGCTTGTCTCACCAGCTGTTCTGGTTCTTCTCAATTACTTCAATGTGTTTCTTTACAGAACTCCCTGCTCCTGTTTTTAGCCTAGGACTTAAAAGCCTAGATGCCACATTTTCTTTATGTGGTGAGAGAGAGGTGAAAAGGTTTCACGGGATTGTGCCCAGAGAGACTTATGATTAATCTCCTCTGGTTTCATTTCTACATTTTACTGTTGGCCTCCCTTGCCTTTGGCCTGAGTCCATAGCCTGTCTTGTATTCTGCAAAGCATAGCAGCTTGCTTGTTGGTGCAGCCTTCTTTGACAGTAGTTAATGGTGTAGCTTTTTTTTTTTTGAGACGGAGTCTCGCTCTTGTTGCCCAGGCTGGAGTGCAATGGCTCCATCTTGGCTCACCGCAACCTCTGCCTCCCGGGTTCAAGCGATTCTTCTGGCTCAGTCCCCTGAGTAGCTGGGACTATAGGTGTGCACCACTACGCCCGGCTAATTTTGTATTTTTAGTAGAGATGGGATTTCACCATGTTGGTCAGGCTGGTCTTGGACTTCCCACCTCAGGTGATCCGCCGGCCTTGGCTTCCCAAAGTGCTGGGATTACAGGCGTGAGCCACCCTGCCCGGTCTGGTGTAGCTTTGATACTTTGCTATAACAATCACTAGTCCTCTGATTTTTATCTTTCAGATATTAGGTGGAATAACTTGCTTGCTAATGACCTTCTCCCATTTTCATTTGTGTTTTGTACGTTTTTAATTCCTTTCTCGTTTGTCAGGGTGATGTTGGGATGATAAACACCTGTGGCCAGTCTAGTCTGTTATCTGCTACTGAAAAAGAAAATTTCATTAAATAAAACAATATTTGCTGTATGAAGATTATCTTAAACGTACATCTTTGAGGAAAAAAATGCTAGAGCTTTACAGGTTTTGCAAAATGAACTTAATGTTGAGATGTTTAAGCAATTTTGATTCAGTAGGTGGCACTCTTTCCTAGTTTAACTCAATTCTAAATTGTGAACGGTTTGAAAATAGATTTTTCTTATCGGTATAATTTAAATAGATTGGGTTTCAGAGTTTCGTGATTGTCAACCTTAATCACTTGATATTTTCAGAATTTAAAAATACTTAAGCAAATTTTAAAATTAAGATATTAAACTAAAATCTCTAATATTTACAAATTTCTGTTGCATAATAGTGATTTATGTTCTGTCAAAAGTCAAAAATAATTACAATCTTATCAGAAGCCCTGACTGCTAAAGGTGTTTGGATTCAAGTTATCGAATAAATTTTTAAAATTCCCTTTTAGCACATGGGCACTTTCATTTTATTCTCTTTCTTCTTCTTCTTCTATATCTTTATCTCTGAACAGTCCCCCAATATATCAGTGTTTTTAATGTACTGTATAATAATTTTTTTCTTTCTTTTTTTTTTTTTGAAACATGGTCTCACTGTGTTGCCCTGGCTGGAGTGTAGTGGCTATTCACAGTCACGTTCATAGCACATTGCAGCCCTGAGTACCTGGGCTCCAGTGATCCTCCTGCCTCAGCCTCCTGAGAACAATGTACTATATAATCTTTCAACTGAGCAAAGCACAGTCTCTGCAATCCTGTAACTTAAAATCATAATCAAGTATTAGTTTGTGCAATTAAAACTAATACTAATGTAGTTTAGAGAAACTTTTAAATGATTTTGGAAAACTTTGCATGATCTGTAAATAATAACAAGCAAATGCATCAAAGTGTCTTTACTTCCTGTTCTGAATTTGCAACTAAGTAGCCAGTATGTAAATCACACTTGAAATTGTAATATAGCGTTCTCATAAATCTAATTAGGTCTGAAGCAAAATATGAAATGTTAGAACTTTAAGGCACTTTGGAGGTTATCCAGTCTAACTTTTCAATGATCAGAAACTTTTGTTTTTTTTGAGATAGGTCCCACTCTGTCACCCAGGCTGGAGTGCAGTGACGTGTTCATAGTTCACTGCAGCCTAAATCTCCCAGGCTCAAGTGATTCTCCTGTCTCAGCCTCCTGAGTAGCTGGGACTACAGGCACATGCCATAATGTCCTGCTAATTTTTTTGGATTTTTAGTAGAGATGGAGCCTCACTATTTTGCCCAGGCCGGTCTTGAACTCCTAGGTTCAAGTGATTGTCCCAACTTAGCCTCCCAAAGCACTTAGATTACAGATGTGAGTCCCTGCACCTGGCCAGAAACTTGTAATTGTAAAAAAGATTGCTAATAGAGGTGAGCGCATTAAAAATTCTGAATTTTAAAAGCGACATTGCAAAAGCATTTCAAGAGTTAACAACAACTTAATGAAAATGCTCACTGGTAAACCTCTGACTAACTTTAACCAAGTGTGTAAAAATATTGGTAATTAAAAGACTAAACTATTTCTGAGAATGGTTATCAGTCAGTTGGAAATCCTTGCTTGTGGTTCTAGGCTTACATTACCAATGGTGAATGGCAGCTTTCACTTTCATTTTTCTACACTTTTATCTTAAAAATATACTTTCACAGAATGAGAGAGCCTCAGACATGCCCAGAATTTGGCCTGATAACCAGAAACATATCATGATATTTGAAGTTTTGCTCATCTGCAAAATTCCAGGCATTCTGTGTCCCCTGGTTAGTCCATAATTTGTTACCTCTGTTTTTTAGAAACAGAGTCACAGAGATAGTATTAGTTATTGAGTCGTCTTCTTCTTCTTCTTCTTCTTCTTCTTCTTCTTCTTCTTCTTCTTCTTCTTCTTCCTCTTCCTCTCCTTCTCCTTCTCCTTCTCCTTCTCCTTCTTCTTCTGACAGAGTCTTGCTCTGTTCGGCATGATCTTGGCTCACTGCAACCTCCGCCTCCTGGGTTCAAGCAATTCTCCTGTTTCAGCCTCCCAAGTAGCTGGGATTACAGGCGTGTGCCCAGCTAATTTCTTTGTGTTTTTAGTAGAGACGGGGTTTCACCATGTTGGCCAGCCAAGTCTCGAACTCCCAGCCTCAGGTGATCCAACCACCTCGGCCTCCCAAAATGCTGGGATTACAGGCATGAGCCACTGCGCCTGGCCTCTTGATATTTCAAATATATCTTGAAAGTTGCCTTCCAAAGAAAATTGTAAATTTATTAGTTGATAAGTACTCATCACAAAGGTATTGTCTTTTGAGGTTATCCTTCTGCTAAATAGCTCCTCAATTTTTCAGAATCTATGATTGCATTGATTGCAAAACAGTTTAGTAGGATAAAGGGCTGTGTCTAATTACTATCTATCTGTTTCTATGTACATATAATAAAGATTATATAGTACTATATGTAGTATATGCTACATATATAATCTTTAAAAATAGTCTCTTTCCAATCACATAGCCTGAAATCATTTTTTATCTAGATACGTATTTTTTGAGGTGAAGTCTTGTTCTGTTGCCCAGGCTGGAGTGCAGTGGCACGATCTTGGCTCACTGCAACCTCCACCTCCTGGGCTCAAGCAATTGCCTGCCTCAGCCTCTTGAGTAGCTGGGATTACAGGTGCCTGCCACCATGTGCGGCTAATTTTTGTATTTTTAGTAGAGATGGGGTTTCACTATGTTGGCCAGGCTGGTCTCCAACTCTTGTCCTCAGGTGATCACCCTTTTCTGCCTCCCAAAGCGCTGGGATTACAGGGATGAGCCGCCACACCCAGCCCATATAGAAAATTTTAATGAGAACTGTGCTACCTCAACTAAATCAGCAGTTATGGAGTCTATAGCACTTTTCTTTCAGTTTTAAGTTCCAGTGATATCTTCATATGCCAAGAAGAAAATAAAATATTCTGAATCACGAAGTGTTCTGATTAGTTCATCTCTGAGATCCTTTTAATTATTTCCAAAGCTTTACATCTGAGGAAATAGTTCACTAAATACTTTCAAGAATTTCCCAAGATCTTCTAACTCTTGCATTACATCTTCAAACTTTTCTCCATTTCTTCCAAAGAGCTCACGAAGCTGACCACATAATTAGTTACTCTCACTTGCAGACTTTATACAGTTGTGAACTATGCAATGGATGATGGGCATACCAGTCTTTCCTTCTGACTTTGATAGTTTGTAGAAATTTTCTTATTACCCTTGATTGCAGGTAACTCACTAATTCAGCCCAGTATTTCCATGTTTAGACCAAACTCCTCAAATTCCTGTCAGGCAGTAGTTAGATTCTGCTGGCCCATATATGCAGACTAATTTGGTAAACATTATTTGGCTGCAGTTTGAGGAAAGCAGAATTTGGTTTGGAGTGCATTTGGAAAAACTTGATCTCTCCACAAGTGAGTAAAATTAATTTTCAGATATTTAAAGTGATTTGATTAAGGATTTCTGGTTTCTTCTGGCAAAATTGAGATTAGAATCCCAATCTTCTTATTCAGTACAGTTCAATAAATATTTGAGTGCTATTTTTCTACTTAAGAGAGAAAGACATTTTCTCTGATTTTAAGTTTTGAGACAGGTATGTATGTAAACAATCATAATACTTAGATGTATGTATAAAGCTTGAAGAGAGTACTAAAACTGGAGTAAGTCCATTTCAAGGGGTGGGGAGAGCGGTAAGGAAATGCTTCATGGAAGACGGCTTGGAGGAATGGGTAAGAATTTGTTAAGCAGATAAAGCATGGGTGGGAAATGTGGAGAAAGGGGGTGAATTTTGAGACAGAAGGAACTGTGCAAAGGCAGAGAGATGGAAAAAGAGAGACATATATCTACAAGAATATGGAGTTAAGATCGGGTGAGTCTTGAACCTTGCTGGTATTCTGAAGGGTAAGAAACAGTAGAAAAAGAGAGAGGAAAGATAATGGAAATAAAAAGATGGTCAGTTGAAGAAAGTTCTTATGTAGGCAGAGGAAATGAGATCCAAATCTCACATGGAAGAATTAGCCTTGGATAGGAGAAAGGATAGCCTTTCCACTGAAACATGTGAGAGGGAAGAAGTGAGATTGTACTAATGCAATTAGGTTTGTTAGCTTCATGGGGAAAATTGATAGTTATATAGGAATAATATATATATATATTCTTTTACATATATATTATATATTCTTATATATAACATATATTCTTTTATATATATAATATATATTATATATTCTTTTATATATATATTATATATATATATATATATTTTTTTTTTTTTTCCTGGAGAATTACAAGAAGTTTGAGAAGTCCACCGAGGTCCAGGAAGGGTCAGGGGACAGGATGGGAACTAGGGCTGGTATGAAGTGATACTGAAGAATCTGGATTTTGAAGGGCTTTATTTGTCATGCTAAGGATTTTTAACTTGAAGGTGATGGAGGATCATTGAAAGATTTAAGCAATTTAATGTCTAATCAGTTTCTGCCATACTCTAACTGTGGCTTAAGGTTGAGTTTGGGGTGGTGTGGTGACAGTGGTGGAAGCAGAAGCATAGAAATCAGAAAATTGTTATGTGTAAATTAGGTGAGAGCCGCTTCTCACCCGAATCTACCATTATTCTTCTAAATACAACTGCGTAACACCTGTCCCTTCAACCTCACTCCTCTTCTGCTCTGGGCTTTGATTTGTTGCCCTTCTGCCATTATGGTAGTGACTATTCTGATTTTTAAAATCTCTTCTAGTCACTCTCCGCCCAGCATTTTCCAAAGCTCATATGTTTATAGATGGCCCTACCTCATGTTTCATAAGGAAGTCAAGGTCATTCAGTGAACAAGCCCTCAATTTGCCCCCTGAAGCTAACATACCTAAACTGCAGTCTTCTTCCTTCTCACCTGTTTCAGTGGAAAGGCCATCCCTTCTCCTATCCAAGGCTAAATTTCCATCTGAGCTTTAAATCTCATTTCCTCTGGCTCCATAGGTATTTTTCTCCATTGCGCATCCCTTTATTTTCTTTATCTTTCCACTCCTTTTTTCTACTGACTCTTTTCCTTCAGCATCCCAACAGGGTTGAAGCCCTCACCCTTTTATTTCATCTGGGGTTTCTCAACTGCATTATTAACATTTTCGGCCAAAGAATTCTTTGTTGTGGAGAGGCCAGCATCCCTAGCCTCTATCCTAGTGGATAGATGCCAGTAGCCACGCCCCTCCTCCCTGAGTTGTAACAAACAGCAATGTCTCCGGATGTTGCTAAATCATCCCAGCTTCAGAACCACTGATTTAACCCAATATATCCAAAATATTATTTCAACATATAATAAATATTAAAAAGTACTGAGATTTTTCAGTCTTTTTTTGTATTGTACCTTTGAAATTCGATGTGTATTTTTCACTTAAAGCACTTCTCAATTATTTTTATTTATTTATTTTTTTAGGGAGACGGAAAAGGAAAAGGGGAGGGGAGAGGGAGAAGAGGAGGGAGTCTAGCCACATTTTAAGTGCTCAGCAGCCACATATGGCTGGTGTCTACCTAATTGAAGAACACAGGTCAAAAGCTTCAGAAAAAAGGTTAGAGCTGGAAATACAGGTTTGAGAAGTCATGAGATAGTAACAGTTAAAATCAAGGGAGAAGATAAGATAGTCCGGGCAAAATTCTATGTTTAAGAGTGAGAAAATAGGAGGATTGAGGAAAATCCTAGTCGAATGCTCTTTTAGTTTTCCCACACAATCTGCTATCCTTGATCATTATTGTAATTTTAAAATCATTTGTGTGTGTGTGTGTGTGTGTGTTTTGTTTGTTTGTTTGTTTGTTTGTTTTGAGACGGAATCTCACTCTGTCGCCCAGGCTGGAGTGCAGTGGCACAATCTCGCACTCACTACAACCTCTGCCTCCCGGGTCCTAGCAATTCTCCTGTGTCAGCCTCCCGAGTAGCTGGGGTTACAGGCGCCCGCCACTACGCCCGGCTAATTTTTTGTATTTTTAGTAGAGACAGCGTTTCACCGTGTTAGCCAGGATGGTCTCCATCTCCTGACCTCATGATCCGCCCGCCTTGGCCTCCAAAAGTGCTGGGATTACAGGCGTGAGCCACCGCGCCCAGCCTTTTTTTTTTTTTTCTTGGAGACGGAGTCTCCCTGTCACCCGGGCTGGGGTGCAATGGCTTGATCATGGCTCACTGCAACCTCGGCCACCCTGGCTCAAGCGATTCTCCTGCCTCAGCCTGCCGAGTAGCTGGGATTACAGGCGTCCGCCACCACGCCCAGCTAGTTTTTGTATTTTTAGTGGAGAAGGAGTTTCACCATGTTGGCCAGGCTGGTCTTGAACTCCTGATCTCAGGTAGTCCACCCGCCTAGGCCTCCCAAAGTGCTGGGATTACAGGCGTGAGCCACCGTGCCCGGCCAAAATCATTTGCTTACTGAATGATACGGAAAATATGAGTGAACAAAAAAAGTATTGAAAAAGATGAGTTGATGGCAAAGGGAGGGAATTAATGTTTAGTGAACACTTAATTGGCAAGTAATGTTCAGAGCATTATATAAATTGTCTCATTTAATCTAACAAGAACCTTTTGAGGTAAATACGTTATCCCAATTTATAGAGGAGGAAACTAAGATTTATAAGGATCTCATCAATCAGAGAACTCTTAAGTGGCACCACTGGACTTTGAAAGGAAGTCTGCCTGATGGACTCTGAAGCTCATCCTCTCTCTATCCTCCTAATGCATATAATGACGCATTTGTTATCTACTGACTTTTATAAAATAAACAAGGAGGCTTATGCGATTGTACAGCCCGAGTTCGCAGGAGATATGTGACCACTTTTGATCTGATTCCGGAAGCAAATTCACTTTAACAGTGAGGTGCCGTGATCTTTATGTCATTAGCGCATATGATATGGGTATCATTTGTTGTGAAAGACACTAACCCATGATGTTTTTGTTTACGTATATCTGTAAATGTATCAATTCTGTAGTTGGTTAATTTTTAGTTACGAAAAAATGAACCAAGATGTAGTCAAGATTTGGCTTAAATGTTGAACGCATAATCACCAAAGAAAATTAAATAATGAGCTTTGTGACACCTTTCAGTTCGCCAACAGACTGATAAAACCAGTACAAAGGGGGAGGGCCGGGACCGAGGGGGCGGGACGGTGAGAAACGGGAATCGAGCAAGCGCAGAAACAAACAGATGTTAATGGAGGCGTGAAGGCTACTGCGCTCTCACTTTCCGAACTGTCGTAAAGAGCCCTAGTGTCGTGCTCTCCTCGGTAGGGGAGGAATTGGTTAGGCGGCGGCGGCGGCGAAGCGGCGGCGGCGGCTGTAGGGGAGCAGCGGCAGTGGCGGCGACGGCGAGGAGGTGTTCGGTTTGCGCAGCGTAGAAACGCCCGCAGCTTCAGAGAAGGAGTTCTTGTGGGACCAAATTAGGCATTCTGAACCCACGCCGGCTTAGCTGGGCCGAGTCCAGGCGCTGCCGCACGTACAGTTTTGGTGGCGGTGACAGACACTGTTCTTGACTCTAGGGGCCTATTAGGCCGACGTCTGAGGCGCAGATCGCTGGCTCTCGACGCATTACTCTTTACGCCTTACATTTCTGTCTTCCTTCCTGGGTCAGTGATTCCCGGACCCTGGAAGAGAAGAGGGTGGCTAATGATTAAGGTGAGGGGAACGGGGGGGGAGGGGATCCATTGGAGGCCGCGCGTGCGCGCAACGGGGGAGGGGCCGGCCTGGAGGGGAGAAAGAGGAAGGGCTGCGGCCGCGGAAGGCTGGGGTCGGTGACCGGCCGGTTATCTCTGGCTCGGTGGTGACTTAGGGTCTGGGTCTCCGCAGACGATTTGTGTTTGGGCAAGGCATTCGTCTACCGACACACCCACAGCCTACAGTGAGGGAGTGTGGGTGAGGGGATTTCTCTCCCACTTCCGACTCTCCCTAGAGTCTCAGGATGGGGGCTGAGGACCGAGGCGTGGGAGTGCGATTTGACAATGGAGTGATGAAGGTAACCCGGACCCGGGGAGTTGGAGGGCGCTAAGTCAGCCCTGACGGCTAGGGAGTCGCCTGCTGCTGCTGTGATCAAGGAAACGTAGTCCGCGGAACAGCTGAAATACAGACGCGTCAGATTTTGTATGGAGTTGGCTTGTTGGTCATTTAAAAAGAAACTGATGTTTTTACTATTGTCCTTCGATAATTTATCAGAGTCAGTGTCAGTGCTATAGTGGGAATATCTGTTCAGTGCAGCAGAAATAGATTTGTTACAACAGTTCTTAAATAGGTTATAGTAGATAGATCTTTACAGATGGGTATTTCTCAACCTAAGTTTTGATTATTCAAAAAATACCAGAAAGTATGAGGTATTCATTTAATTTGTTCGTGTGTGTGTTGTGGGGTGACTCCATTGTGTTGTTGTAAGCTTTCCTGTTTCTTGATTTATGTGCGGCATTAATTTAGAATTCTCTTGAATGGTAAGATGCCAGCTGACATAGACTACGTTTTGTAGGATTTCCTGTAGCTTTTGAATGTGACTTAATCTAAACTTTATTTCATTTGGTATTTTATCTATAATTTTCTTGTTTTAGGGGCCTCTTGAACTAAAAAGAACAAACTGGGAAAAACATAAGCTAAGGTTCCATTTCCTTTCCCATTTTTGTTGTGTGTGTGTGTGATGGTTGTAAATGCTTGAATGTGATTTTGAGATTACCATACACAACTTCTGTAACGCTGGACTTAGCTTTATTACAGTAAAGATACATCTTTTGATAGTTTATTACTATATGTATTTTTGTAAAAATCTTCATGTCAGTATAAGCCACATTGTTTCACCCTAGTCTGGTTATATTTGTGAGGTGAAACAGATGGATAAGAAGGAAGCCCTTTTACTTTTACAATCATTTTAAATTGATTGTTTCTAAAGCCTTGATTTATCTTATTTTGGACACTTTCTTGCCATTTAACCTTGGACAAATGACTTTATCATCTCTCTCCTGCTCATTTGTTTGTGACCAAAGATTCACAACAGTATTCTAAGAATTGGTGAGGGTGTTTATAAATCTAAATAATATTTTAGGAAAAAGTAGGAAGAATGAGTCTCCTTGTTTATCACGGGTGCTATATCATGTGCAGATCCTTCTGTCACTTCTTAACTTTTGTTTGGTGTCTGTTGGCCACTTGTTTGCTAGTTATTTCACCAGACATAGAACTGGTTTTTAAAGAAAGGTATAAACAAAGTGACTTCATTTTGGTGAAAAATGCATTACAGCAGAGGTTACATCTTAACGAATTTCACTTTGGTACTCCATTTCTACAGATTATTGAGAGAGAGCTGTTGTGATGTTTAAGAGAAAAGCACCTTGCTTGTATAAAGCTAAGGTGCAGTCATTTAGCAGATACTCCTAGTTATTTTACTTTAAAATAAAAAATATAAAGGAAACTAATTGAATCAAACCATTTAGATTTTTAGATGTTTCCTTCTTTTTTTTTTTGTTATAGTTTAAAGAGAGGTTTCTGTATCATGCTTTACTTGAGGCATACTTATGTGCCCTTCTTTTGACTTTTTCTCCCCTTTTGGGCCAAGACTTCAGTAGGAAATAAAAGAGACCATCTGAAAAATGATAGCAGTTAAAATATGTTATAACTTGACATTACCGTTCTATGGGTAACGTTATCTTATGAAATAATATAGGGCTAAGGACAGGAGATCTAGATTTTAGATCTATCTTTGCTTGCTATACATTAGATCTCCGAGTTTATTGTTAACCCTCCTTGGGCTTCAGGTCTCTCTGTTTAAATGAGAATTGTAGAATAGATAACTTTCGTTTTCTTTAGGTCCCAAATTTAATGGTTTGTATATCTAGTTAGGTTTTTGGTATTCATTGTTGTGTTTGTCGTAATTGAATCCCCAGAAAGAAATGCTGTACAAAAAGCATCAATTCCCTCATGAAATGTGTATGTGTAAAACCTGTCATGAAGCTGTGGGCCAGGCGTGGTGGCTCACCCCTGTAATCCCAGCACTTTGGGAGGCCAAGGCGGGCGAATCACTTGAGGTGACCAGTCTGGCCAAAATGGTGAAACCCCATCTCTACTGAAAATACAAAAAATTAGCCGAGCTTAGTGGTGTGCGCCTGTAGTCCCAGCTGCCTGGGAAGCTGAGGCAGGAGAATGGCTTGAACCTCGGAGGCGGAGGTTGCAGTAAGCGGAGATCGTGCCACTCACTGCACTCCAGCTTGGGCGACAGAGCGAGACTGTTTCTCAAAACAAACAAACAAAAAAACTATGATTGTTGTTCCACATATTATTGCTATTGTTGTCCCATTGTAGATATTAATTACTGAAGCTTTAATAGCTTTCAGATGGTACTAAAAATGAAATTTTTTATTACTCCTGGTAACATTTTAAAAATCATCTGGAATAATTTGTTTTTCTTTCAGAAACCTGTAATTATTGTTCAGTAAAAGTCCACAATTACATTTGAATGTCTTATACCTCTGTTTGTTTCTTTCCTACATCCTACAGATTCTTGGTAACAGCTGGCCCAGGTTTCTACAGGTACTCAATTTATATCATTACATGAGGAGTGAATTACAAATATTTAAAGACAAATACTTAGCTGAGGCTGGGTGCGCTTGCTCATACCTGTAATCCCAGCACTTTGGGAAGCCGAGGCGGGTAGATCATGAGGTCGGGTTCGAGAGCAGCCAGGCCAACATGGTGAAACCCCGTCTGTACTAAAAAAAAAATACAAAAATTAGCTGGGCATGGTGGTGGCATGCGCCTGTAATCCTGGCTGCTCAAGAGGGTAAGGCAGAATTGCTTGAACCCGGGAGGTGGAGGTTCCACTGAGCTGAGATCTGCACTCCAGCCTGGGTGACAGAGCAAGACTCCATCTTGAAAAAAAACAAAACAACAAAAAAGCCTCCAAATACTTAGCTGAGCTTACATTTTAAAGAGCGGTACTGCATTATTACGTAGATACATTTATTGAATGTCTCATGTTCTAGGCACAGTCACTGGTCTTCAGTGAAGGCACTCTGCCTTCATGGAGCTGACATTCTGTTCTGTGTGTGGGAACATAATAAACAGAATGGTTTCAGGTAGTGGTAAGTGCCATGAGGAAAATAGGACCATGTGATACGGCATGGATGGAAGTGGTTTTACTGTAGATTGAGTGGTTAGGGAGGGCCTTTTTAGAGGTGGTAATTTGACCTGTGACTTCAATGACTAGAAAAAATCAGCCATAGTGACGATTTGGAGGAAGACTGCTACAGATAGCAGGGGCGGCAAATGCATTAGGTGAGGTTTGATTCTAGAGAATCTACAAATGTAAATTAATTATTTGGTTTGTCTGTTAAGCTTTTCATATTTGCTGTCAGATGATGTAGACAGATTAAAATTATTTTATGTGTAGTAACCAAATACAATATGTTGGTGTTGTTTAAACCCTGACTCAAACCAATTGTAGAAAGTCATTTTTGAAACATTGGGGGAAATCTGAATATGGATGGGTATTAGATGATATCAAGGAGTTATTGTAACTTTGTTAGGGATGATAATGGCATTATGTTTATGTAAGAAAATGACCACTTTTTATTAGTGATAGAGACTGAGGAATGAGGGAGAAAACTTGCAAATGTCTGGTATTTTATTTTATTTTATTTTATTTTGAGATGGAGTTTCCCTCGTTGCCCAAGCTGGAGTGCAGTGGTGTGATCTCAGCTCACTGAAGCCTCCACCTCCCGGGTTCAAGCAATTCTTCTGCGTCAGTCTCCTGAGTAGCTGGGATTACAGGAGCGCGCCACCACGCCTGCTAACTTTTTGTATTTTTAGTAGAAACGGTTTTTCACCATGTTAGCCAGGCTGGTCTTGAACTCGTGATCTCAGGTGATTCGCCCGTCTCGGCCTCCCAAAGTGCTGGGATTACAGACGTGGGCCACCGTGCCCAGCAATGTCTGTTATTTTAAACAGATACCAGATAAAAACCAAAAAATGTGGTGGAGGGAGATAAGATAGATGAAGCAGGTCTGGCACAATCTGGATAATTGTTGGGTTGGGGTGATGGGTACATGGGTATTAATAATATTGTTCTCTGCTTTTGTGAGGTTTGAAAATTGTTCATATTTTAAAATATATTTTTTTGGCTGGGCCCAGTGGCTCATGCCTGTAATCATAGCACCTTGGGAGGCTGAGGAAGGTGGATTGCTTGAGCCCAGGAGTTTGAGACTAGGCTGGGCAATGTGACGAAATTCTGGCTGTACCAAAAAAATACAAAAATTAGACAGGCATAATGGCACATGCCTGTAGTCCCAGCTACTCGGGAGGCTGAGGTGAGAGGATGGCTTGAGCCCGGGAGGCAGAGGTTGCAATGAGCCGAGATTGTGCCACTGCATTCCAGCCTCGGTGACAAAGCCAGACCCTATCTCAAAATAAATAAGTAAATGAAATAAAATAAAATAATATATTTTTGAAAACGTTCATTCATGTTTAGGCTGGACATGGTGGTGCACACCTGTAGTAATCCTAGCACTTTGGGAGGCTGAGGCAGGCGGATCACCTGAGGTCAGGAGTTTGAGACCAGCCTGCCCAACGTGGCAAAACCCTGTCTCTACTAAAAAATACAAAAAGTAGCCGGGCATGGTGGCGGGTGCTTGTAATCCCAGCTACTTGGGAGGTTGAGGCAGGAGAATGACTTGAACCCAGGAGGCAGAGGTTGCAGTGAGCCAAGATTGCGCCACTGCCCTTCAGTCTGGGTGACAGAGCAAGATTCCATCTCAAAAAAAAGAAAATGTTCAATTGTAAATAAAAATGTTTTAAAATAATTAGTAAAAGTGGCCAGGTATAGTGGCTCACACCTGTAATCCCAGAACTTTGGGAGGCCAAGGCGAGTGGATCACCTGACATCAGGAGTTCGAGACCAGCCTGGCCAACATGGTGAAACCTTGTCTCTACTAAAAACACAAAAATAAAAAAAATATAACTGTAAATACAAAAATTAGCTGGGCGTGGTGGTGGGTGCCTGTAATCCCAGCTGCTTGGGAGGCTGAGACAGGAGAATTGCTTGAACCCAGGAGGTGGAGGTTGCAGTGAGCTGAGATTGCACCACTGCACTCCAACCTGAGTAACAGAGTGAGACTCCATCTCAAAATTTGTGAAAGTACCATATTTAAGTGTCTGTTCCCTTCCACGCTTCTTTTCATTTTGATAAAAATACAGTATTTCGTTTCTATTTGTAAATGTTCAGTATTTATTCAACAAACAGGAGTGTTGTATTTCAGGCACTGTGCCAGTGCTTGAGTTAAAACAAAGGGCAGGCTCTTAACACCTGCCTGAAGGGGCTTATGGCTTGCTGGTGGAAAGGAGAGTTTGGCAGTGTGGATTGTGTTAACATGGAGAAGATTTTTGTGTTTTCCTGAGGGCATACACGATTAGCATCTTAGTTTAGTTTGTATGTGATTGGATTCTTAAAAAATATTTTTCCTTTTCTACCAAATAGAAAATTTAAGAAATTCTATATATGGCTAGGTGTCAAGTCTGAATCAATGTTGTAGTCATTTCCCTTATTCATATGTACTATAGGGCACTCGAATAAATTACTTATTTTACTATCTTTTGACATCCCAATTTGTTGTTACTTAAATTTTTTTTTTTTTTTTTTTTTTTTAATGGAGTCTCACTCTGTGGCCCAGGCTGGAGTGCAGTGGCCCCATCTTGGCTCATTGTCACCTCCACCTTCCAGCTTCAAGTGATTTTCCTGACTCACCCTCCCAGGTAGCTGGGATTAGAGGTGCACGCTACCACGCTCAGGTTATTTTTTATATTTTTGGTAGAGATGGGGTTTCGCTATGTTGGCCAGGCTGGTCTCGAACTCCTGACCTCAAGTAATCCTCCCGCCTTGGCCTCCCAAAGTGCTGGGATTACAGGCGTGAGCCACCACGCCTGGCTACTTACATTTTTATTTTGACATAATTTCAAACTTACCGAAAGATTTAAAAAATAGTACTGAGAACTCTTGAATACTCATTATTCAGATTCACCAATTTTTAATGTTGTCACTCTTGCTTTCTTATTTTCTCTCTCTTTTTTTTTTTTTTTTTTTTTTGAGGTGGAGTCTCGCTGTGTTGCCCAGGCTGGAGTGCAGCAGTGTGATCTCGGCTCACTGTAACCTCCATCTCCCAGGTTCAAGCGATTCTCCTACCTCAGCCTCCTGAGTAGCTGAGATTATAGGTGCCCGCCACCACGTCCAGCTAATTTTTGTATTTTAGTTAGAGACGAGGTTTCACCCTCTTGGCCAGGCTGGTCTCAAACCCATGACTTTAAGTGATCAGCCTACTTCAGCCTCCCAAAGTGCTGGGGTGAGCCTTTGCGCCTGGCCCCTTATTCTCTCTTGAATCATTTAAAAGTAAATTGCTTACATTATGCCCATTACATTGCATTATGCCCATTTGTTTCTAAATATTCACTGTGTATTGTATTCTTTTGCGTTATCACTGCACCAGTTACAAAATTCAGAAAATTAAACTTTGATAATATTAATCTACAGCTCATTTTCCAGTTTTGTCGAATTGTCCTGATAATAGCATTTATCCCTTTACAGCATTTTCCTCATAGGACCCAGTTCAGGATCACAAAATGCATTTAGTTGTCATATCTCTTTAGTCTCCTGTAATGTGGAACAGTGCACCTAATAAGCAATCTGTGGGGATAACTTTGAGATAGTGCAGCTACTCTGCTCCTCATCAGATCATCCTGTTCCTCATCACTCCCCACATCCCCCAAGGCCCATGTAGCATCCATTGATGTTTCTTGCCTATGCTGATCTTTACTGATCTTTACTCTAATGGTTGGAAAGTGTTTATTTTGTAACTCATCCATTTTCTTCACTAATGGACATTCTTTTATAAGGAAGAGACATTCTTTTATCTGATTAATACAGAATTGTGTGTTTCCTGTTTTATTCAGTGGGTTAAATAACCCATTATAACCTTTATTTTGATGTTCAAATTGTCCCAGATTTGTCCATTAGGAGCCTTTCCAAGTGGGCTCCTGTGTCTTTTTAACATAACCTCTTGTTTTTTTTTTTTGACGGAGTCTCACTCTTGTCTCCCAGGCTGGAGTGCAGTGGCGCGATCTTGGCTCACTGCAACCTCTGCCTCCCGGGTTCAAGCAATTCTCTGCCTCAGCCTCCCAAATAGCTGGGATTATAGGCGCCTGCCACCATGCCCGGCTAATTTTTGTATTTTTAGTAGAGACGGGGTTTCACCATCTTGGACAGGCTGGTCTTGAACTCCTGACCTTGTGACCTCGTGATCCACCTGCCTCAGCCTCCCAAAGTGCTGGGATTACAGGCATGAGATGCCGTGCCCCGGCCTTTTTTTTTTTTTTTTTTTTTTTTAAGTATTTCCTGTCTTTCTGGCACAGCAAGATGTTGCAAGCACATCTTATTTCTTTCCTTTGTCAGTCTTGGAATGAGCCGTTTTCCATGGAACCCTGGTTCCTTTTAGTGAGCAATCCAATTTGCTGTTGTGTTATTTATATACAGGAATAATCTTTTTTTCATGCATCAGGACATCGCTAGGAAACTAAATTTAAATTAGATTTTTGATAGTAGGTTTATATTTCTTTGAAGATTTTATGAAGTAATCACGTAAGACTCAGCAACTTATTGTCATAAAGCAATTTTTTTCTTCTTTTCTTTTTCAAATACATAATGAGTTATGTTCTTAATTGTGATCATATGAAATGAGAAAAAATTGTGTGTGTATGTTTAGCCACTTAACTGTTTATTAAAAACCTGAAGTTTATACTTTTAACTATTTTTAACTAAGTCATCAAACATTCTAATCTGAAGAAAACTGTTGCTTTTTAAGAAACTTTAAAATGAGTTCAAAAAATTGGGCTGGGTGCGGTAGCTCATACCTATAATCCCAGCACTTCGGGAGGCCGAGGCATATGGATCCCTTGAGGCCAGGAGTTCAAGATCATCCTGGCCAACCTGATGAAACCCTGTCTCAACTGAAAAATGCAAAAAAAAAAAAGTAGCCAAGTGGGGTGGTGCATGCCTGTAATCCCAGCTACTTGGGTGGCTGGAGCAGGAGAATCGCTTGAACCTGGGAGGTGGAGGTTGCAGTGAGCCGAGATCATGCCACTGTACTCCAGCCTGGGCAGTAGAGCAAGACTCCATCTCAAGAAAAAAAAAATTAAAAAATTATGAAACAGAATTTTTGTATGTGATTGAAAACTCATCAGTACTTTCTTTTTTTTTTTTTTTTTTTTTTTTTTTTTACCCAGGCAGTTACTGTTACATCTTGGTATATTTCATAGCCAGTTTCTCACCTGTGTATGGATATTTGCTTTATTTACTTATTCAATCTAACTTAATGTGTGTTTTTTCAAAGTAATATTTTGAATATTTTAAATTTTCAACCAATTAATATCTGTACACGGTTTTAAAAGTCAGTTTCAAAAGACTTACAATGAAAAACAGTGGTTTCCTATGCAACTCTCCTAATCTCCTAGTTGTACTGCTTAAACAGAAACATTTTAGCTCTCAAAAATTATTTCTGTAGTCTATACCTTTATATTTATAAGTAGTATGCTTATATTTGTTTGTATTTACTTGTGTACTTATATTTCTACTAATATGCTTAATTTTTACTTAGTTTTCATGTCAGTTTAAGTGTCTTTTTTTAAGTTAATTTTTTCAGAGAAAAGTAATATATACAAAGTGTACCAAATTTATAAGGTACAAAGAATGTACAGGGAAAAAAAACAAGGCTCCTTGCCATTCTTATCTTCCTATGACCCAAGTCTTTTCTCTGAAGATGTATCTCTTTCCTCCTGTATTTTATATGTGCATCCAGAGTAGTGGTTCTCAGAGTGTGGTCTGTTGACTCTTGAGGTAGCTCTTCCAAGTGTTCAGGAGGTCTACCAGGTTGAAACTATTTCAGAATATTACCAAGTTCTCATTTTCTATGTAACTGATGTGAACACCAGTTGACATTTGCACTGATGGTGCAAAAAACAGTGGTGCATTAAACTAATGGCCCTGTAGCACAAATCAAGACAGTGGCCAAACTGCATTAGTAATCACTATGTTCTTCATGACTACACATTTGCAGTTAAAAAAAAAAAAAAAATCAGGGCTGGGTATGGTGTCTCACGCCTGTAATCCCAGCACTTTGGGAGGCTGAGGTGGCCACATCACGAGGTCAAGAGATCGAGACCATCCTGGGCAACATGGGGAAACTCCATCTCTACTAAAAATACAAAATTAGCAGGGCGTGGTGGCATATGTCTGTAATCCCAGCTACTCGGGAGGCTGAGGCAGGAGGATGGCTTGAACCCGGGAGGCAGAGGTTGCAGTGAGCCAAGATTGCGCCACTGCACTCCAGCCTGGCGACAGTGTGAGACTCCATCTCAAAAAAAAAAACAAAAACCCAAAAAATTTGTAAATTTATTTTGATTCTTGAGCACATGTGTGTATGTGTTTTTTTTGTTTTTCTTTTTGTTTGTTTTTTGTTTTTTTTGAAGCTGAGTCTCACTCCGTTGCCCAGGCTGGAGTGCAGTGGGGCGATCCTGGCTCACTGTAATCTCTGCCTCCCAGGTTGAATCAATTCTCCTGCCTCAGGCTCCCTAGTAGCTGGGATTACAGGCCCGTGCCACCACACCCGGCTAATTTTTGTATTTTTAGTAGAGACGTGGTTTCACTATGTTGGTGAGGCTGGTCTCGATCTCCTGACCTCGTGATCCGCCAGCCTCGGCCTCCCAAAGTGCTGGGATTACAGGCATGAGCCACCGTGTCTGGCCAAGCACATGTGTTTTTAATATTCCATGTGACAAAATGGGAAGTTTTTTTTTTTTTTTAAGTTTAAGTTCAGGGGTATAAATGCAGGTTTGTTACATAGGTAAACTTGTGTCATAGAGTTTGTTGTACAGATTATTTCACCACCCAGGTATTAAGCCTAGTACCTGTTAGTTATTTTTCCTTATCCTCTCCCTCCTCCCACCCTCCACACTCTGAAAGATTACAGTGAGTGTTCTTCCCCTCATTGTGTCCGTATGTTCTTGGGAAGGTTGTTACAGGGTCTTCCATTGCATACCAAAGTATGATGCTTATTTTGAGAAAAGAACTTGTTTGATTTAGTTATAAAATGGATTAGCAAACTAGTCACTTCTTTCATGGAACACATTTTTACTTGAAAGAAGCAAACTGTAGTTGTGTGAACTTGGATATTTGTACATATTTTCTCAAAAATAAATGAAGTGAGCCGTTCACTTCAAGAAAAACAAATGACAGAATTTATTGCCAAAATAAAATTCAAACTTTCAAGCAAAAATTAGAATTGTGGAAAACGCCTATCAGTCACTGTAATTTTGGCAGTTTCTCAGGACTTTGCAATGAGATTGGTTGTGTTATTAACAAAATTTATTTTTTTACTGTTACATAATGAAATGTGTCATGTTTGAAAGAGGTGCGTAACTTGGTGAAACAATATTTTTCAGATGACCATGATGTTACAAAGTCATGTCTGGGTGAAAGATCTATGTAAAGTGCAGTATCGAGCAGTTGTTTTTTCACTGATAGTATGAGGTTTCATTGATATGGTTTCAAATTCCACATTGCAATTAAGTTCAAACTGCCTTTGTAAAGTTTTGGGGTAGTATCAAAGAGGAATAACACCCACACTTACCTGAAAAGGTTATTAAATATACTACTCCCTTTTTCAACTACATATTTGTGTGAAACTGGATTTTCTTATAATTTAACCAGAACAGCATATCATGATAAATGGAATACAGATGCAGATGTGACAATCCAGTTTTCTTCTGTTAAGCTAGTCATTAGAGAGATTTGCAAAAAATGTATAGCATTACCGCTCTTATTAAAGTTTTGAAAATATTTTAATAAAAGTTACTTATATTAGATATAATGGGTTTGCAGTGGGGTTTGTTTGTTTTTGAGACGGAGTCACACTGTCACCCAGGCTGGAGTGCAGTGGTGCAATCTCAGTTCACTGCAATCTCCGCCCCCCAGGTTCAAGCAATTCTGCTGCCTCAGCCTCCCGAGTAGCTGGGATTACAGGCATGCACCATCACACCCGGCTAATTTTTGTATTTTTAGTAGAGACAGGGTTTCACTATGTTTCCCAGGCTGGTCTCGAACTCCTGACCTCAGGTGATCCGCCCACCTCAGCCTCCTCAAGTGCTGGGATTACAGGTGTCAGCCACTGTGCCCGGCCTATTACTGCAGTTTTAAAATAATACATTTTAAAGCATTTATGAGTTTTACTTTCTAATAGGGTAAGGGTATTAGTTCGTTCTCACACTGCTATAAATAACTGAGACTGGGTAATTTATAAAGAAAAGGGGTTTAATTGGCTCAAGGTTCCATAGGTTTTATAGGAAGCGTGGCAGCATCTGCTTCTGGGGAGGCCTCTGAGCTTTTACTCATGGTAGAGGGCAAAGCAAGAGTAGGTGTCTTACATGGCAGGAGCAGGAGAGAAGGGGGAAGTGCCACACAATTTTAAAAAACCACATCTCATGAGAACTCCATAATGAGAACAGCACCAAAGGGATGGTGCTGAACCATTAGAAATTGCCCAGATAATCCAGTCACCTCCAGGCAGGCCCCACCTCCAACAATGGGAATTACACTTTGACCTGAGATTTGGTTGAGGACACAGATCCAGACCATATCAATAAGTATCAGTAGATATAACCCATATAATAAAAGCTTTTTCAGATCTTCCAGTGATTTTTTTTTTCCCTTTTTTTTTTTTTTTTTTGAGACAGGGTCTCTCTCTGTTACCCAGGCTAGAGTGCAGTGGTGAGATCTTAGTTCACTACATTCTCTGCCTCCTGGGCTCAGGCAGTCCTCCCACTTCAGCCTCCCAAGTAGCTGGGACTACAGGCATGTACCACCACACTTGGCTCATTTTTCTATTTTTAGTAGAGACGGGTTTCACCATGTTGTCCAGGCTGATCTCAAACTGCTAGGCACCCGGCCCATTTTTAAGATTATGAAGGACCTCAGGACCGGGCCTGGTGGCTCACATCTGTAATTGCAGCACTTTGGGAGGCCGAGGCAGGCGGATCACCTGAGGTCAGGAATTTGAGACCAGCCTGGCCAACTTGGGGAAACCCTGTCTCTACGAAAAATACAAAACAGCCAGGTATGGTGGCGGGCGCCTATAATCCTAGCTATTCGGGAGGCTGAGGCACGAGAATTGCTTGAACTGGGAGGCAGATGTTTCAGTGAGCCAAGATGGCACCACTCCGCTCCATCCTGGGTGACAGAGCTGAACTCCGTCTCAAAAAAAAAAAAAAAAGATAACTGCTGCTGCAGAGAATTAACCAATTTTTGATGGTAGATGAGCCCACTATTCTCCTTTCATCCCATCTTTCAGTTATGTCAGAATTTTTGATTATTTTAAAGAACAATTCAGCAAATGCCTATTGAATGCCAAATATGTGTTCTAAGCTTTTGGGCACATAGTAGTGATCAAAACGAAATCTGCTCTGGTGGGGAAACAAAGTTGTAGATGGTCATTGTGGAAATAAGTGAGCTGGAAAAGGAAGATAGAGGGTGGGGTTAACTTTTTATTTTTTTGCCTTTCCACAAAAATTTTAATGTTGGTATTAACTACTAATGTGAGGTGGTCAGGGAAGGTATCATGGATAAGGAAACATTTGAACACAGATGTAAAGGAAGTGAATGAGTGAGCCTCGTGGTTATCTGGGGGAAGAGCATTCAAGGCAGCGTGACTAGCCATAGCATGGTTGACCTGCTTGAGAAATAGCCTAGAAACTACTGGGGCTTTAGTGGAGTAGGTGAGGAGGAGAATGGTGGTCTCTGAGAACAGAGGTATGAAGGGTTCATGTTCTTCAGTTATATGAAATATTTACATTGCCTTTGATAACTTCTTAGCCATTTTTTACCTCTCTTCTCTTTTCTGGATTTCCTGTCAATCAGGTAACAGGATTCTATTGCCATCTCTACTTTGCCTGCTATTAGTTCCTATTTTTGTTGTTGATTAAAAAAAAATTCTTTTTACTATCAGTTTAGTGGGGATTGGAGGGAGATTTGAAATAAAGGTCTTGTATAACTTACCATGTTTTTAAAAAATGTGAACTTTTGCTTTTGATAATCATGACAGTTTTACCAGGAAAAAGTTATATTAGTGACATGGAAATGGGCTCTCCACATTTGGCGAATAGGTTCACTTTAGGAAGACTAAGTCTATTTTGACAGCTAGGTTCTTTAATAGAAAATACTTAATACTTTTATTAAGTGAAGAAAATCATGTGATATAAGATTTGTTACAGAACACCTACAAAACATACATTATCATGGGATTTTATTTTATTTTTTATGAAATCATGTTTAAAGAACTAAGTACAGTAGTCCTCCCTTATCCATGAGGGATACAGTCCAAGACCCCCAGTAGATGCTTAACAGCCACAACATGCATACCTATTATAAAGTTTAATTTATACATTGGGCAGAGTAAGACATTAATAGCAATAACTAATAAAAAAATTTATAACTATATTTAATAAAAATTGTGTGAATGTCATCTCTCAAAATATTGTACTCACCTTTCTTGTGATGACGGAAAATGATGATAAAATGGCGAAATGAGGTTAATGACATGGGCACTGTGTAGGCATTCATAAGCGGTTAAAGCTTGTGAGCTGTTTATTTCTAGAGTTTTTTCTTTAATATTTTTGGACCATGGTTGACCATAGGTAACTGAAACCGTAGACAGTAAATTGTGGTTAAGGGGAGACTACTGTATAGTGTTGGTTAAAACTCACCATTCTATTTTCTTGACTATCTTCCCGCCATTTCTCTGATGTATCCTTATCCTTATTCTCCACTTGAAATTTTACTTTTAAAGATCAACTCTTAAACTTCTTTCAGGTTTTTCCTTTAGAATTAATAGCTGTCCCTTCCGTTTTCCCATGGTATTTGGTACTTTGTTATTTGTAGCAGTTACCATGCTTTATTAGAACATTCTTATGTGAGGGACAAGTTCCTGAAAATCTGCATGGTAAATACGGGAAGTACGGTTGAGTAACATATGTAATAATCTTATGTAAAAGTAGTCATGGGAACTGAAGTTCTGAGTGAAAGCCCTCATAACTGTGCATTTAATTAAAAAAAAAAAAAGAGAGAGAGTGACCAAACTCAACAACTTAGATAGTCATTTAGATCCAGGCTTTGCTATCAGGTCTTAGGCAAGTCACTTCTGTAATCTTCAGTTCCCTATAGTTCTTAGTAAAGATAAAATGAAATAAAAATGTGGCACACAGTTCCCTACAGGCTCTACCTGATCTGGCCCTGACTACTTCTGATGTCATTGTGTGCCATTTCCCTTTCCTTCCACTTCCCTTCTTTTAGTTCTTTGCACCTGTTAGGCATATTCCTGTCACATAGTCTTTCCTATTTTTTCTCTCCCAGGAATACTCTTCCTCTAGAATTGTGTGGCTTGACTGACTAGTGGCTAGTTTCTTGTCATGATTCATGTCTTTAGCTTCTTAGAGAGGATCCTGTTGATGGTCAACCTTTACATTTGTTTTGTTTTCTTTCTTCCTTTTTTGTGATAAGATCTCATTATGTTGCCAGCGCGGGATTGCAGTTGGCTATTCACAGGTGCTATTAAAGCTTACTGCAGCCTTGAACTCCTGGCCTCAAGTGATCCTACTGCCTGTTTAATTTTCTTTTTTCTTTTTTCGAGACAAGGTCTCACTCAGTTTCGCAGGCTGGAGTGCAGTGGCTCAATGTCAGCTCACTGCAACCTCTGCCTCCTGGGCTCAAGCGATCCTCCCACCTCAGCCTCCTGAGTAGCTGGGACAGGCATGTACCACCACACCCAGCTAAGTTTTTGTAGAGACATGCTTTTGCCCTGTGGCCCAGGCTGGTCTGGAACTCCTGAGCTCAAGCCATCTGCCCACCTTGACCTCCCAAAGTTATGGGATTACAGGTGTGAGCCGCCACACCCGGCCTTTTTCTTTTTTGAGACAGAGTCTGGCTCTGTTGCTCAGACTGGAGTGCAGTGGCATGATCCCTGCTTACTGCAACCTCCACCTCCTAGGCTCAAACCATCCTCCCACCTCAGCCTCTCCAGTAGCTGGGACTACAGGTGCGTGCTACCACACCCAGCTAATTTTTTTAAAATTTTTTGTAGAGACAGGGTTTTGCCGTGTTGCCCAGGCTGGTCTTGAACTCCTGAGCTCAAGCGATCTGCCTGCCTCAGCCTCCCAAACTGCTGGAATTACAGGTGTGAGCCACTGCACGTGGCGTATTTTCTTAATAGCACGTGTTTCGCTCTAAAATTATCTTGGTTTTTTGGTCTCATTTGCATGTAATTTCCATGAGAGCAAAGACTTTCTATGTCCTGTTCGTGGCTGATGCCAGTGCCTAAAACAAGTGCCTAGCTCATTATAGGCTTTCAATAAATATTTATTGAATGAGAACCATAAATGAATAAGTGATAGCTAATGTATTGTCAGTGATACTGTATCTTCTAAAATATTAATAAGCTACTGTAAAATTAATTTCTCTTTCCTGATTGACTTTTCTTGGTTTTGTTCTCATTCCAGATGCTTGGGATGGAAGAAGTTTGAGTGACCTATCCTGTGTTTATCCTCCTTGCCGTAGCTGAGTTGATCTTTTTGAAACCCTCTTCCCAGACTCTTGGATTTATTTATTTTATTCCAGTGTGAATGCATGTTTTTTCCCTCATAGATGGCAGTTCTGGATTAGCAGTTTTAAGGTCTCAACTTTGTTTTTAGTTATCTTCCTTTAACAAGCTTCAATTTAAAATACTCCTTCTTTTCTCTCCCAATTATCTTTACTGATCCTTAGTTGTCTCTTTTTATTATCTCCAACAGAAGGAACTTGCTGTTTAGGTTTACTGAAACTAAAATTCTGAAGATTGCAAAAAAGTATATAGGTAAATGTGTGTAGATGAGACTTAACGTGTACAAGAATTCACATTAGGATTAAGGTTACTATTTTTATCTAGAATATGAAATTTGTTAGGAAAGGGTAGCACCTTACTATCTTTTTATCACCTTGATCAGTGACGTACAGTAAAAATTCAAACCATAAAAGGTTTGTTAAATAAAGTAGCTGACATCAGTATGCAGGATAATGAATTCTTGGTTTCCCCAAACCAGTATTCTAGAGTTGTTTAATATCTTGGTGTTTTTTGTTTCTTGTAACAAGAATTTTCACTTCACTGTCTGAATATACTGATCCAAGGAAAGCAAAAATGGCATTTAGTCAAAGATAACCTTGGAAATCCCTAAAGTTGCCCAAATATACATTATAAATATGCAGTCTCTGGAAGTCTAGCACTTCCCGTTTTCCCTCCACTATTGGAATAAATCATGTTTTCATTGTTAAATATCAGAGAAAGAGTAGGTTTGTGTATATGGCCTATAATATGGGAAAAATAAATGGCTCTAAATATTAGAATCTGACAGCATAGTAAGATGCTCACATTCTGAGAGACACTTGGGAAGTGAGACCCAGTGGAGAGCAGCAAAATTTAATCTCCTATTTTGTGTTGATTCTAGGCATATAATCAGTGAGCAGAAGGGCAAGCATAATCTCCTACATGGTTTAAATTATTTTTTTCTTGTCAAGTTCACTTTATGGGCTTGATGTCTATCTAGAGGTGTTCTCCCAAATTCCAACTTTCAGTATGCCTATACTGTCAGCCATTAAAGTGTCAGTAAGTCTTCCTGGTTTTCCTCTTACAACTCAAGTTCTCTTTCTTTAGTACATACTGTTTGTTTATTTGTCGAGACAGTCTCACCTATGTTGCCTAGGCTGATCTCAAACTCCTGGGCACAAGCAGTCCTCCCTGCATGAAGTGCTGGGATTACAGGCACGAGCCACTGCACCCAGCCTCTAGAACATAGGCTTTCATTACTATTCTCCAGATTACATATTTTGACTGACCTAAATCATATATGTAGAGTAAAAACAAATTTTATCTAAATAAACTTATTGGACTTCATTCAAAGAGAAATTGTTTCCTTGGGCAGTTTTGCTCCCAACATTAGATCCCGCATTCTCAGGACAGCTGTCATCTTTTTAATTTAGTTTTCTGATTTTATTTTTATTTATTTTGTTACTCCAACCTTTGCTTTGGCCTTTAACAACTCAGTGTTTTGGTCTAATCTTCAAGAGGAATTTGAGGTTCACTTGAATAAGTTAGACTAGTTTGAGGTGGGTGTAGCTAGAGGATTGAAGTCGTACCAAAAAAAAAATGTATGTATATGTATATGTGGTGATCGTGGGTAGGGGGAAGAATTCAGAGGGAAGAAGCTTGTGGACGTCTTTGCCTGGACGATTTCTAAAAACTAGCTGACTCGTCATCTTTAAAACAACAACAATAAAAGCTATCATATGCATATGTTACTTTGTTTAATATTTACAACAACCCTTTGTGGTAAATATTTTCATTTTTCAGATGAGGAAATTCAGGCACAGAATGATTAATAATTTGCTAATGAGTCACAGCAGTGATGGGGATGTGGAGATTTAAATCAATGCATTTTGAGTTGCCTGAGCAAAGAATTCCAAAATTTAGGAAGTCACTATTTCTGTATTTCCTTCTAAGGAAAACCATCTAAAGTATATTTTTATCTCCAGTAGGCGTGGTCATTGTCAAGAGAAGGAAAGGTTGGTGATTTTATTAGGGTGATGGGATTGGGACTTAATTTCTCTTTGCTTTTTCTGTGTATTCCAGATTTTATATAGTGAACTTATTTTAAAAACCAACCAAGTTGATGTTTGATGTATAATTTATATACAATATGAGGCACACGTTTTATGTATAGTTGGATGAATTTTGGCAAATGTGTCTGTCCATGCAGTTAGCACCCCAATCAGGACATAAAACATTCCATCACTCTAGAAAGTTCCTTTGTGCTCTTTTGCCATCAGCCACCCACATCTCCTGCCTCAGGCAACTACTCATCTGATTTTTGACATCATAGATGAGTTTTCTTTGTTTTAGAATTTCATGTAAGTAGTAGTATTATTACTCTTGTGTTTGATACTCTGCTCATCAAATGTTTTCCCTTTAGCATTTTATTATGCAAAATTGCAAACAGAAAAGATGAAAGAATTGTACAGTGAACGCCCATCTCCCTGCCACCTAGATTCTATGATTAACAATTTGCTATTTTTTTGCTTTACATTTCTAGCCATCTATTTGTTCCTCCAACCGTCCATCAACCAAACCTGTTGCTTTTTATGCATTTTAAAGTTACAAAAATAAAAAAAATAAAGTTACAGACGCCAGTGCATTTTACCCGTAAAAAACTACAGTTTCATGTCACTAACTAGAGTCAAATATTTGTTTACAGTTATTTATTTTTTTTCTTTGAGATGGAGTCTTGCTCTGTCGCCCAGGCTGGAGTGCAATGGCATGATCTTGGCTCACTGCAACCTCCGCCTCCCGGGTTCAAGCAGTTCTCTGCCTCAGCCCCCCGAGTAGCTGGGATTGCAGGCGCCCGCTACCACGCCCAGCTAATTTTTTTGTATTTTTAGTAGAAATGGGGTTTCACCATCTTGGCCAGGCTGGTCTTGAACTCCTGACCTTGTGATCTGCCTGCCTCAGCCTCTTGAAGTGCTGGAATTCCAGGCTGTTTACAGTTTTTAAAGTAAACTTTACATACGGTGAAATGCACAAATCTTAAGTATACCATTTAAGTTTTGCCAAATGCATCTATTTATTGCCCAAATCCTTATGAAGGTATTGAACACGAACAACCATGACCTCAAAAAGTTACATGCTCCTTCCTTGTCAGTCCTTTCCCCATCCCTTGAAGACACAACCAATGTTCAATTTTTTTTTTTTTTTTACTTTAGGTTAGCTTTGCCTGTCTGGAATTTCAAATAAATAGAAGCATACCGATACTTTGTGTCTAGTTTTCCCTTAGCATGATATTTTTGAGATTAATCCGTATTGATACATGTATCAGTAGTTCCTTCTTTGTTGTTGCTGTTTGGTATCCCGTTGTAGCTGTATAACATAATTTATCCATTCACTTGGAGATTTATTTTTTCTCTAATTTTTGGCTATTATGAGTAAAGCGATGAACATTCATATACAAGTCTTTGTATTCACGTTTTCCAACTTAGGCATGGAATTACTGGATCATACGTTAGATGTGTGCATAACTAACATTATTAGAAGCTGCCAGAGAGTCATGTGTGGAGTTCCAGTTGTGGAATATCCTTGCCAGTGTTTGGTGGTTTTGGTCTTTTTAGTTTTAGTCTTATTGGGTGTGTAATGGTATATTACTATAGTTTTAATTTGCATTCCTCTGGTGACTAAAGATATTGAAGATTTTTAAATTTACTTATTGGGTATTTTTGTATGTTTTGTAAAATCTTTTGCCTATTTTTTGTGGGGTTGTGTTATTAGAATATAAGAGTTTTTTATATTCAGTATTCAAGTTACGTATATGTGTTTGTATACACACACAAACACATGTATATATAATTTTATCTGTCTTTAGCTTACCAGCTTGTCCTTTTGTTTTCTTAATGCTGTCTCTGAAGAGCGGAGGTTTTGATTTTGATAAAGTCAAGCTTACTAATTTTTTTAAGAAATGGTAGTACTTTCTGTATCCTGTGAAATCTTTGCCCATGATATAATCACATAAACTTTCTGCTGTGTTTTTTCTAGAAGCTTTATAGTTTTAGGTTGAGTTAGTTTTTGTATCTGGTGTGAGGTAGGTGTTGAGATTCCTTTTTTTCCTATCTGGCTCTCCAGTTGTTTCACGACCATTTTTGTTTGTTTGTTTTTGGAGACAAGAGTCTTTCTCTGTTGCCCAGGCTGCAGTGCAGTGGCACAGTCGTGGATCACTGCAGCCTCATCCTCCTGAGCTCAAGCGATCCTCCTGCCTCAGCCTCCTGAGTAGCTGAGACTGCAAGGACGCACCACCATGCCTGACTAGTTTTAAAATTTTTTTGTAGAGACAGGGTCTCACTTTATTGCCCAGGCTGGTCTCGACTCCTGAGCTCAAGCAATCCTCCTGCGTCAGCCTCCCAAAGTGCTGGTATTTACAGGCGTGAGCCACCGCACTCAGCCTACCACCATTTGTTGAAAAAACAGTTCCTTCCTCATTATCTTGGCACTTTTGTTGGAAAATCATTTGATGATATATTTAAGTCTGTTTCTGGACTCTCTAGTCTGTCCTTACACCAATAGCCCCAGTGTTGATACAATTGGATTTAAATCTGTCAGTTTGCTGTTTGTTTTCTGTTTGTCCCACCTGTCCCTTTTCTCTTTTCCTGCCTCCTTTTGGATTGAGGGTTTTTAAAAATCATATTACATTTATCACCACTTTTGGCTTATACTTTAAAAAAAATCTTTTGTGGTTCTTTTAGGGTTTACACTATGCATCTTTGTCACAGTCTTTCTTCAAGGAATAATAGACGGTTGTATGTATAATATGAGAAACTTAAAACAGTATACTTTCATTTGTTCCCCTCCTGTCCTTTGTGTTAATATTGTCACGTATTTTATTTTATTTTATTTTATTTTTTTGAGACAGAGTCCCATTCTGTCACCCAGGCTGGAATGCAGTGGCACAATCTTGGCTCACTGCAACCTCCACCTCCTGGGTTCAAGCGATTCTCTTGCCTCAGCCTCCCGAGCAGCTGGGATTATAGGTGCACCACCATGTCCAGCTAATTTTTTTGTATTTTTAGTAGAGATGGGGTTTCACCAAGTTGGCCAGGCTGGTCTTAAACTCTGACCTCAGGTGATCCGCCCACCTTGGCCTTTCAAAGTGCTGGGATTACAGGCGTGAGCCACTGCGCCTGGCCACGTATTTTACTTTTACATGTTATCAGCTTTGGGAGGATTTATTTTTCATATCTTGGGATATTTCATCTTAGCTAGAGCATAGTCTTTGTGAGGGTGACTATCTCTGTGAGGGAAGATGCTAGTAGAACCCACTTTATTCCATTGTGCTTTTTACAAGTGACCAAATGGTGATGACTTAATATCAAAGTCAGTATGACTTAATATCAAATATCAAAGTTTTCTGATCTGAAATTATCAAATTCTAAAGAAAAAGTCTTTAGAATTTGATAATTTCAGATCAGAAAACTTTGATATTTGAGTCTGAAGAAAGGTGATTAGATAATATAGAACGATACCAAAATTAGAACTTGGAGCATTTGTGAGTGAGTGTCCAGAATATTACCCAGTAATTTGACTCAAGGAAATTATTCAGTGGCCGGGCACAGTGGCTCATGCCTGTAATCTCAACACTTTGAGAAGTTGAGGCAGGTAGATCACTTGAAGCCAGGAGTTTGAGACCAGACTGGGCAACATGGCAAAACCTCGTCTCTGCAAAAAATTCAAAAAATTAGCTGGGCATGATGGCTCATGTCTCTAGTCCCAGTTACCTGGGAGGCTGAGGCGGGAGGATCACTTGAGCCCAGGAAGTCAAGGCTGCAGTGAGCTGTGATCCTGCCATTGTGCTCCAGCCTGGGCAAAAGCAAGACCTTATCTCAAAAACAAACAAACAAAAATTAAAATGATTTTGCTAAATTGTAAGTTAATTATTTTCAGGTTCTGATTTTGTCATTCAGTTTATATGCAATTTTTTTTTAGCTTTGTGTCATTTGAGAATGTGACATTTTGTTTATGCCCTCACATGAAATCATGGCTAAAAACAGATTTTGGAATACATGTTATCGGCAAATTTTTAATTGTGAACATTGTTTTATGCTGCTAATTATATATTTTTAGACAAGTTTTGGGATTGATTCTTTTTGTTTTAATTT
Source organism: Homo sapiens (assembly GCF_000001405.40). Lineage (NCBI taxonomy): Eukaryota > Metazoa > Chordata > Mammalia > Primates > Hominidae > Homo > Homo sapiens. The sequence continues at coordinate 59,010,228 of NC_000015.10, forward strand.
AAGAAAAATATTTATTTTGAAATTAATAAACCCATGACATGTAAATATAAATAGTATTTTATGAAAACTTTTTCAAAACAAAAACATTGAGAAGAGCAAATTTCATATTTTTGCAGCTGTGTCTGTCTTGATAGATGACAGATGGATTCCACATCTGTTTTATTTATTTATTTATTTTTTCTTTCTTTTTTTGAGATGGAGTCTCACTCTGTCGCCCAGGCTGGAGTGCAGTGGTGTGATCTCAGCTCACTCCAACCATTGCCTCCTAGGTTTAAGCGATTCTCCTGCCTCAGCCTCCCAAGTAGCTGGGATTACAGGTGCCCACCACCACACCTAACTAATTTTTATATTTTTAGTAGGGACAGGGTTTTACCATGTTGACCAGGCTGGTCTTGAACTCCTGACATCAGGTGATCTGCCCACTTTGGCCTCCCAGAGTGTTGGGATTACAGTCATAAGCCACCACATCTGACCTCCACATCTGTTTTAATCTTTGAAGTGTATTATAAGTTATAGTTCTCCCTGCTTGAAGGTAATGGAAAAGTTGAGACTGGGTTGCCTGATGAGAGATGTAGGGAGCTTAGTATTAATGTTGAAGATTAAAGGAGAGCCTGTGGTTTTAGGTCTAATACAGTAGATTCCTTCTCCTGTTATTTAATTGGAATGAATTCTGAGGGAAATTTTGTAATTCTGTGGGCTTTTGTCTAGTTTTTCATATGCTCAAAAGTGTCTGAAGAAGTCATCTAATTTCCCCTTTTCTCCCTAACGGTCATCGTTCTAGACAGATAGTTGTTTGAATTTGGCATCTTGAAGATGAAAAATTGTCTATCAGAAGATTGTATTTTGTCTTTCATATAACTTGTTTTATACATTTTTAGGTATACTTCATCATTAATTATATAGTTTATTCAGGGAAACTCTGCCATGAGAAATAGGGTAATTGGGTCTCTGTTCTTCGAATTTCACTGTCTTATCCTTCCTGGAAAACTTTTCCTGGTACACCCTACCCTTCAGAATCGGATTAGATTCTACTTCTATTAAGTTTCAGTGCATACCTCTATCATAACACTTATACTGCATTTTGATTACCTAGTGATATTTCTCACTAACTGCTAGACTATAACTTCCTCAGGACTGGTCTGTGTCTTTATTCATTCTTGTGTTTACAATACTTGGGGCATTCTAGCACATTTAAGGTACTCAGAAAGTGTTTATTCCACAGTGTATTAGTTTGCTTGGGCTGCGGTAATGAAATGCCACAGATGGAGTGGCTTAAACCACAAAACTTTACTTACTCCTAGTTCTGTAGAGTGTAAGTCCAGTATTAAGGTATCAGCAGGTTTGGTTTTTCCTGAGGCCCCTCTTCTTGGTTTATAAATGATCGCTTGCTGTGTTCTCACATAATCTTTTTTTCTGTGTGTTTGCATCCTGATGTTGCTTTGTGTGTTTAAATTTCCCCTTCTTTTAAGGACTCCAGTCAGATTGGATTAGGACCCATTCATATGACTTCATCTAACATTAATTACCTCTTTAAATGTCTTATCTCTAAATACAGACACATTTTGAAGTACTGGGTGTTAGGACTTCAACGTATGAATTTTGGGGAACACAAAGAAGTTCATAGCACATTGAAACTGACACTTGGCATATGTTCCAACTGAAGATAATGTCTTATGGTTCACTACCAAACTAGGATTGTCAAAGTTGGGACCAAAGATTCCTAGCTTATATAAGAATAAGTGGCTTAATTTTAGTGTTCTTTTTTGTTTGTTTGCCTTTTTTTTTTTTTTTTTTTTTTTTTTTTTGAGATGGAGTCTCGCTCTGTCACCCAGGCGGGAATGCAGTGAGTGGTGCGATCTTGCGTCACTGTAACCTCCGCCTCCTGAGTTCAGGTGATTCTCATGCCTCAGCCTTCTGAGTAGCTGGGATTACAGGCATGCATCTCCACACCCGGCTGATTTTTGTATTTTTAGTAGAGACACAGTTTCACTGTGTTGGCCAGGCTGGTCTCGAACTTCTGACCTCAGGTGGTCCACTTGCCTAGGCCTCCCAAAATGTTGAGATTACAGGCGTGAGCCACTGCACCTGGCCTGCTGTTCTGTCTTAATTTCCACTTAGGTAATTACAGTATTTGATAATTAAGACCCTTAGCCTTTAGTGCTTTGAAGTACTACTTATCTGTTCTCATTTAATAGTAGGTTTTCTTTACGCTTTATGTCACAAAAAGATAAAAGACAGGTATACACACTTGGGCATATGTATGCTTTGTGTACGTATTGACTATTAATGCATGATTGCTGAACATTTTAACACAAGAAATGTGTTTATTTGGAAAATTACCAGTGGTAATTTGAGAAGATGACATGATTGGATGTTTTAATAGAAAAATTACGTATAATTTTTTGACTTACACATAATTTCTCAGTGTATACAGATGTATGTCTTGCTATCCCAGTGGAGCAACTGGATGGTTTTAGGCCCTTTCTTTTCTCATGGTGGTTCCAACTCTTTTTTTCTTTTTTTTTTTTTGAGACAGAGTCTTGCTTTGTCACCTGGGCTGGAGTGCAGTGGCACAATCTCAGCTCACTGTAACCTGTGCCCCCCAGGTTCAAGCGATTCTCCCACCTCAGCCTCCCAAGTATCTGTGATTACAGGTGCCTGACACCACACCTGGCTAATTTTTGTATTTTTAGTTGAGACGGGGTTTCGCCATGTTGGCCAGGCTGGTCTTGAACTCCTGACCTCAGGTGATCCACCTGCCTTGGCCTCCCAAAGTGCTGAGATTATAGGCGTGAGCCACCGCGACCGGCCTGGTTCCAGCTTTAGATTTTTGGAGATTGGCAGTAGTGAGAGAATGGATGGTGAAGTTAGAGAGCAGGGTAAGCTCCATAGTCACTCATTTCTCTCCTGCCTTTCCTAGGGATCAGGGGAAGTTTGTAAATAATACCCTTGTTTTTAAAAAAATGAATTTATTTTGCAGTAGTTTTACATTTACATTGCAAAAATAGTACACAGAGTTCCCATATATCGCTCACTCAGTTACCCTTGTTGTTAACATCTTACCCATTACACGTTTGTCATGACTAAGAGACCCACATTGATACATCACTGTTAAATAAACTCCAGATAATATTTCATTGTAGACTCTGGTTTCACAGTTTCTCAGTCTTCCCTTATTTTTTCTAACAGTTTTGTGGGTTACCTGTCAAATATTTTATAGACCATCCCTGAATCTAGGTTAGTGGAATGTTTTTCTCATAGTTTGGGGTTTTGGGAAAGAATACCACAGAAGTAAAGTGCCCTGCCTTTCTCATCACATTGTATCAGGAGTACATGGTGTCAACATGACTTAGCACTGATTTGATCAATTGTGATCAGCTGGCTGAGTAGTGTTTGCCAGGTTTCTCCACTATAAAGTTACTCTTTTCTTGCCTACTTGAGATTGGTGGGGGAGGGGTTGTTAAGTTTCAACTCCTGAACGAGGGAGTGTCCACATAAATGTTTGGAATTCTTCTGTAAGGAAGATTTATTTATATCAGTATGGATTCATGGATATTCATTTTTTTTCTTTTTTTTTGGAGACAAGAGTCTCACTCTGTTGCCCAGGCTGGAGTATAGTGGTGCTTTCTTGGCTCACTGCAACCTCTGCCTCCCAGGTTCAAGTAATTCTTATGCCTCAGCGTCCCGAGTAGCTGGGGTTACAGGCACACGCCACCACGCCTGGCTAATTTTTGTATTTTTTAGTGGAGACAAAGGTTTCACTATATTGCCCAGGCTGGTCTTGAACTCCTGAGCTTAGGCAATCCGCCTTCCATGGCCTCCCAACATGCTAGGATTACAGGTGTGAGCCACTGCCGCCAGCCTCATTTTTAAATTTTGGAGTAGAATTAATACTACATTATTTATTTTGTTGTCAAAATTTTTCCAGCTTTGGCCTTTGGGAGCTCTTTCAGCTTGGTTCCAGTGTCCTGTTTGACATGCCCCTATTCTTTTGTGTGTTTCTTTACTTTCTGGCACTACCAGATGCTACAGGCTTGTATTTTCAATGCCCTGGTGAAATCAGCTGTTTTGCCAAGAAACCTTTGTTCTTTTTATTGGAGAATGGTATTACAAGTCAGAATCTGAGCACTAGGACTTAGTGCCCTTTTTGACTCCTCAGTTCCTATGCAGAATGCTTGGAGAATTTGAATCTGGATATTTGGAGGAATAGTGAAGGGTAAAAATACCTGCAGTATCACATTTGTATCATAATACTTGGCAGTATCTATGTGTTGACTTTTCTGCTGTGGAATTATAGAAAGCAGCTTTTCAAAAGCATTTTTCTGTTCTTAAGAAGTTAGAAAGCTTCAGAAGAAATGTATACTTGTTTTAGGGGCAAGCACATAGGGGAAAGTTGTTAGATTCTTCTGTTTTATTCTGAGTCTAAGAAAAAATGATCTCTCTTTGGGTGCAGAAAGAAAGCATGTTATCAGGAAAACTGCCATGAACAAAGAGGTGTATGTGAAAAATTGTATTAACAGGAATTGCAGACTTTTTTTTTTTTTTTTGAGACAGGGTCTTCCTCTATGGACCACCTGGAGTGCAGTGGCACCATCACGGCTCACTGCAGTCCTTACCTCCTGGGCTCAAGCGATTCTCCTACCTCAGCCTTCTGAATAGCTGGGACATGTGTGCGCCACCACTCTCCCCTAATTTTTGTATTTTTTTAGAGACAGAGTTTCACCATGTTGTCCAGGCTGGTCTTGTCCTGGCCTCAGGCCATCTGCCTGCCTTGGCCTCCGTAAGTGCTGGGATAATACGTGTGAGCCTGACCACTGTGCCTCGCCACCCAATTTCTTGTTATTTTAAAATTCTGTAGTTTGGCCTTTGCTATTTAGCCTTAGTTTTAGATCAGTACTTACTAGGACCAAAGTCGAATTTTTTAAATTCTGATATTTTTCTTCATAATTTTCTCAAAATAAAAGGGAAATAAAGAATAAAAATAAAATATGATGGATAAGATAGAAGTCACTTATGTTTTCCTTATCATTTTGAAGGCTTTCTTTGCATACTAGCATGTTAGAGATATTGTCATGTTTTGTGTTTTGTATGTTTCTAAATTTTTATTTTATCATTCTTATGAATTCACATATAGTTTTACAATAGTATTGAAATATTTTATGCATTTTAATAAAAATGGAGATAATATTGTTAGTCACAATTGGCATGTTAATGTGGTGAAACTGCTAAAACTACTCTTTGCCCCCATCACTGTAAGAGCTTCCTCCGTAGTCTTTCTGACTTTCCCTCTAGCCTGTTCCCTTCAGCTCCTCAGGTAAAGTCTTCCTAAAACTAGGTTAAACAGAAACCTATAATCCCTCACTCTGATAATTTGACCCTAGCTTATTCTCCCCTACTAAAAAAAAAAAAAGAACAAAAGAACCTACAGCCCCAAGCATTAGAGTATTTAGATGTTGCCATTTCTTAGCATTGTTTGAAGTGAATATTCTTCGCCCACCGTCACCCTGTGCATCCTTCATGGTTTGACTTGGATGTGACTTTCTTTATGAAGCCATTATCAGAGTCCTTAATTGCCTCGTTTTGTTCCTACAGAGTGCTTTTATTTATAGCATGTTTATAACGTATTCTGGTTATTTATTTATTTATTCGAGACAGGTTCTCACGCCCAGGTTGGAGTGCAGTGGCGTGATCTTGGCCCACTGCAACCTCTGCCCCTGGGCTCAAGTGATCCTCCCACCTCAGCCTCCTGAGTAGCTGGGACTCCAGGTGCACCCCACCACACCTAGATAACTTTTGTATTTTTAGTAGAGACAGGGTTTTGCCATGTTTTGACCTCCTAGCTCAAGCAGTCTGCCCACCTTGGCCTCCAAGAGTGCTAGGATTACAGGCATGAGTCACTGCTCCTGGCCAATTTTGGTTAAAAAATATATATATGTATATATATATAGTTTTTTTTTTTTAGAGATAGAGTCTTGCTCTGTTGCCAGGCTGGAGTGCAGTGGCATGATTTTGGCTCACTGCAACCTCCACCTCCTGGATTCAAGCGATTCTCCTGCCTCAGCCACTCGAGTAGCTGGGACTACAGGCACGCACCACCACGCCCAGCTGATTTCTGTATTTTTAGTAGAGATGGGGTTTCACCATGTTGGCCAGGATGGTCTTGATCTCTTGACTTCGTGATCTGCCCACTTTGGCCTAATTATTTATATTCTGTAATTCTTTCCATCATCCTAAATTGTGAGCTTCTTGAAGGATGGGAACCTGTATTTTCTCTCTCTGCCCACAGATCCAGCATATAAAGTAGTTATTCTGTAATTATTTGAATAATTGAGCATATACCATATTAGTCAACATTTTTCATCTTGCTCGGCCCACCATAATTTTGTTCTACCCTACCTATTTCAAACAGTATTTCCTGCCTCTCACAAGGATGTGCTCACTGCTTCAGTGACATTGTTTTCTCCAAAGAGTTCTGTATAGCAGGGTTCCCCAACCCCTGGGCCACGGACTGGTACCCATCTGTGGCCTATTAGGAACTAGGCCATGTACCAGTAGGTGAGTGGTGGATGAGTAGTGAAGCTTCATCTATATTTACAGCCAGTCCCTGTCACTTACATTACTGCTTGAGTTCTGCTTCCTGTCAGATCAGCAGCGGCATTCTTGTAGGAGCATGAACCCTATTGTGAACTGCATGTGAGGGATCTAGGTTGCTTGCTCCTTACGAGAATCTAATGCCTGATGATCTGTCACTGTCTCCCATCACCCCCAGTTGGGACCATCTAGTTGCAGGAGAGCAAGCTCAGGGCTCCCACTGATTCTATATTACGGTGAATTGTATAATATTATATATTGCAATGCAATGATAATAGAAACAAAGTGCACAATAAATGTACTCGGATCATCTCAAACCACACCCACCCACCCCCACCCTGGGTCTGTGGAAAAATTGTCTTCTACGAATCCGTTCCCTGGTGCCAAAAAGGTTGGAAACCGCTGCTGTGTAGGCCACGATAATTTTTATTTTTGTATTTTTAAGTTTGATTTTCCAGAGATCGTAAATGCGTCATTCAGCATATGTGACAATGCTTATTCATAAGAGAAACACCAAGCCATTTAATAGCATTGACAAAAAAATTAATAGTTCAGTATGTAAAATGTGCTGCTGTAAAGATTTAAGAGCTTATTTCGAAATATGGTTTAATTTTACATTTACCTGTTACAGATTGTTAAATTTTGAAGACATGTTGAAGCAGCCATCTTTTCTGTATATTTATAAAAACATCAATTGTCTTTAGGTTTGGCTTCTATCACTTTAAAAGAGAGAACTCTTCAGTTCCAATCTCCAAGGAAATCTGGAAGCCACTTAAAGTTCAGTTTTGGAAACAGGAAGTTAAAATAACAGAAATCTCTAAGAGTAGTTTGTAAGTTTGAAGCTTTGAAAGTTGACAGATTTATTACTTGAATTATCAAGAACAAAAGGTCCTGGAGGTTTGTCTTCCAGGTTTGTTACATTATTTGTTGAACTCTTTTTTTTTTTTTTTTTTTTTGAGATGGAGTTTCGCTCTTGTTGTCCAGGCTAGAGTGCAATGGCACAATCTCGGCTCTCTGCAACCTCCACTTCCTGGGTTCAAACGATTCTCCTGCTTCAGCCTCCCGAGTAGCTGGGATTACAGGCGCCTGCCATCATGCCCAGCTAATTTTTTGTATTTTTGGTAGAGACGGGGTTTCATCATGTTGGCCAGGCTGGTCTCGAACTCCTGACCTCAGGTGACCCACCTGCCTCAGCCTCCCAAAGCGCTGGGATTATAGGTATGAGGCACCACGCCCGGCCTATTTGTTGAGCTCTTATAGACTACTTTCCATTAATGCAGCAATCATAATTATTACACTTTTAATGAAGAAAGATTTTGTGAAATGGTTTGATAAATTATTATCATTTTCGAGCATTAAAATTTATTTGTAAAGATGGGTTCAAAAACAACATGCCTAGATTTGTAGACTAACATCAGTAACTAAAAATCATTTCTCACATTTGACAATTCCATTCAAATCTGCTAACGGTCACTGCCATTTCTGAGTTTCTGCCCTATTCTGTCATTAAGGTGTCCAGGATTGGTGGTCATTTCTGGTCACTTAAGAAATTTTATGCCTAGCCAAGATTCCTGTAAAAATTGTGCTTGCATATATTTGATTTGTTTGTGTAGAAATCTGTTGTCAACAAAGTTGTGTTCTAATATAGTGAAAAATTTAAATATATTATGTTCTCATAATTTATTTCCTTAAAAAATCTTTAATTTCAAAATTGGTAAATGGTTACTTTTTAGAAAAAAAACAAACTATATATACAGAAACTTATAAAGGGTAAAAGACCCCCACCCAGTGCTATAAATTTCTACCCTATTGTTTCACTCCCAAACTGTTAAGTGTGTATTTTACAAATGCATATATTAATATAAGTTGTTTTACGAAGAAGAATCCTATAATAGCAGACTTACTTGTAGTCCGTTTAAAGAAAATGATCCATACTTTCCATAACAGTTTGTACAAATCCTGCCTGATTTTAAAAGGCTGCTTAGCAGTTAATTTTATGTAATACTTTTTTTTAAATAAGAAAAGGATGAAAAAAAGTTTGAGTTCAGCTTTTCCCTTTTGTTTCTGCCCTCTTATTTGTGCATATAACTGTATATTTGTTTCTTTTCTTTTTTCTTTTTTTTGAGACAGCGCCATGCTCTGTCGCCCAGGTTGGAGTGCAGTGGTAAGACCTCAGCTCACTGCAGCCTCTGCCTTCCGGGCTTGAGTGATCCTCCCACCTCAGCCACCCGTGTAGGTGAGACTTCAGGCACGTGCCACCACCCTGGCTAATTTTTGTATTTTTGTATTTTTTTTTTTTTTTTTGTAGAGGTGAGGTTTCATGTTGCCCAGGGTGGTTTTGAACCCCTGGGCTCAAGTGATCCACCTGCCTTGGCCTCACAAAGTGCTGGGATTACAGGTGTGATCCATTTATTTATTTTATTAAATTAAGTTTTAATTATTTTAAAGTTCCACTGAACAAAATAATGAGAAAATGCAAACAATATTACTTTGAATGGATCCTTAGGTGTATATATTCAGGCCATTTGAAAAAATACAGTGTTTTTAAAGGCCTGATATGTCTGATGGTAATGTTTATGTTTTATAGTTTTAAAAAAAATTGGCTTTCTTCTAATTTGTGACGGAGCCAATTTGGAGTCCTTGTTCATCCAGAAATGAGGTCTCTCGCTCTTTACTAGGATTGTCTGTTACATCCTGTTGTACAGTTTTGTAGTGTTTTTCATATGGGTTTATACACCATTCTTGTCAGGCTTAATACCTTGGAATAACTATATAGCTATTTTTGTTGCTTTGGGGAAAGTGATCTTTTTTCCATTGTACTTTTAAACATGTTATTATTGGATATTTAAAAGTATTTAAGCCAGGCGTGGTGGCTTATGCCTGTAATCCCAGCACTTTGGGAAGCTGAGGTGGGTGGATCACCTGAGGTCAGGAATTCGAGACCGGCCTGGCCAACGTGGTAAAACCCTGTCTTTACTGAAAATACAAAAATTAGCCAGGTGTGGTGGTGTGTGCCTATAGTCCTAGCTGCTCGGGAGGCTGAGGCAGCAAAATTGCTTGAACCTGGGAGATGGAGGTTGCAGTGAGTCGAGATCGTGCCACTGCACTTCAGCCTGGGTGACAGACTGAGACTCCATCTCAAAAAAACAAAAAACACAAAAGTATTTATTGATAGGAAAATATAGCTACTGCACCGAAATGGGGTTAATGGATTTTTGAGTTTAGTTCTCTTAGATTTTATTTTATATATCATATAATTTTATATTTTGTGTTATATAAGATATAAATATATATTTCATATATAAAATACATATTTTATATATGTTAGATATATAAAATTTGTTAGATATGTAATATGCAAATATACTATATATTTTGTAAGATACTTAATTCTATATACAATAAAGATAATATGTATATACTGTACATAAATATAACAATATATGCATTATATATAGTAAATATGCATTATATATTGTAATATATAGTAATTAATTAGCAGTATCTTTATGTCTTATTTAGTATACATTTCAGGATCCAGGCTTCCTTACCAGAAATATTAGACACTTGTGCAGTATGCCCCTATGACTTGTAGTGCTGCCACCCTACCAAAAAAGAACTGACTCCCAGATACTGTTCAGGCTTGTGAGGTTAGATACACCCTTCATTTTGCTATTGGCTGTAATAATAACAGAGTCATTGCTAGAGCAGTAGACTCTGTAACATATTGAACTTCACCCAGTTTGTATTGACAGGAGATGTAAGTTGATGTTATGTTTCTCTTTGATGACTAATATTTAAGGATTTCAGAATACTTTAACAAGACAGATGAGAAAATCATTAAGTTCACTGAGAAATTGAAACCTATTAGTTGAGAGAGGTTTAACTTATCTGTTTCCAGAAGCAGAATATCTGGTATTAGAATTTAGGGGGCTGAAACATCCAGCTACCAAACTCCAGTCCTCCATAATAGAGGAAAGTCTGTAGAATTCTTGGCTTTGATAGGTTTTATGCTAAAGAAATTTGGTTCTTTGTTTCTATACTTCAAACTTTTGTGGGAACAGTTTTTTATGCCCTTCTTTTTTGTTGTTTTAATTTTTATTTTTTAAATCTCAGTAGGTTTTTGGGGAACAGGTGGTGTTTGGTTACATGAATAAGTTCTTTAGTGGTGATTTCTGAGATTTTGGTGCACCCATCACCTGAGCCATGTATACTGTACCTAATGTGTAGTCTTTTATCCCTGACCTCACTTTCCACCCTTTCCCCCAAAGTCCTTTGTATCATTCTTATGCCTCTGTGTCCTCATAGGTTAGATCCCAGATTTTATGCCCTGCCTTTTTTTGTTTGTTTGAGATGAAGTCTTGCTCTGTTGCCCAGGATGGAGTGCAGTGATGCGATCTCGGCTCACTGCAAACTCCGCCTCGTGAGTTCAAGTGATTCTCCTGTCTCAGCCTGGCCAGTAGCTGGGATTACAGGTGGGTGCCACCATGCCCGGCTAATTTTTGTATTTTTAGTAGAGACAGGGTTTTGTTATGTTGGCCAGGCTGGTCTCGAACTCCTGACCTCAATTCATCCGCCTGTCTCGGCCTCCCAAAGTGTTGGGATTATAGGTATGAACCACCATGCCTGGCCTATGCCCTTCTGGATCTCAAAGATTACATTTATTTTTAGGTGTAAGAGAAAGTCTTAAATGTTAAGTCTTATGTATGTACCTGCTCCTTTAGGAAAGTAATTAATAATAACAGCCACTATGCCATGTGCTTTGTTAGGTACTCTCATTTAACCGTTACGGAATTTTATGAGGTAAGTACTATTATTATTCCAATTTTATAGACTAAAAACAGTTTTAGAGAGTACTATGGCCAAGATTACATAGGGGCAGAGTCAAGACTGTAACTCAGTGATCCCTGGATCGAAAATCTACATCACTGTTCACTGTTTATCACTCAGTATTCATTGAATATTTCATTTTCCATAATTTCACTTGTTTCCTAGATTTACTATAGCTTTTTGGTTATTGCTATGCGTTCATTTTTTCTAGCTTCTTATAAATTTTTTTTTGAGTCAGAGTTTGCTCTGTCACCCAGGCTGAAGTACAGTGACGTGACCTCACCTCACTGCAACCTTGCCTCCCAGGTTCAAGCGATCCTCCCGCCTCAGCCTCCCGAGTAGCTGGAACTACAGGCGCGTGCCACCATGCCTGGCTAATTTTTGTATTTTTAGTTGAGACGGGGTATCACCATGTTGGCCAGGCTGGACTCGAACTCCTGACCTAAAGTGATCTCCCCGCCTTGGCCGCCCAAAGTGCTGGGATTACAAGCATGAGCCACCACGCCTGGCCAAGCTTCCTATAAAATATTTTGGAAATATTTTATAAGACTAATTAACCTTGAAATTTTCCTCTTAGTGGTTTTGTCTGTTAGCTAGTTCTCTACCCTAAGTGTTTTGAGGTCTTTGTACTTAGAGGCGACAGAGAATTTTACTTCATTCAGAGCAAGCCTTAGCTGAGATACTAAAATCATGTGAAAGTCTGTCTAAATGTAAGGGTGGTTCCATCTTTGCTTCTCAGTTCCTCTTTACCTGTCAGAGGAGATAGTTATCCTAGACAGACCTCCCAAAAGATAACTTTGACTTCCAGATTCTGACAGTTCTAATCTCCATTTAACTGTATTTTCTTTCCTTTTTATAGCATGAGCAGTAATATCCAGACCAACATGGAATGGAGGATGTCCCTTAATCTCCTCACATGGCTATCCCTTGTGCAGTCCTCTTTTAACAAGTAATTGTTTCTGTGGATATCTGTTAAGGTTAAGGAGTATAGTGAACGTCTTTGGGTTTAGGTTGTTTAACCTCTTCACACTCCATATAAATCATTCTTCCAATGTCTTTTAAATGCAACCAAAAGACTCACCAAAGTGACATTGGCAGATAATAGGAAACTTCTCATTATTAATATCAGCATAGACACATCCAGTAAGGAGATTGCCTGTCCTTCCTGCTCTCTACCTAGAGGGTGTCTAGGTTTTACTTTGGATCTGAGAAAAGTAAGGAGAAATTCTCAGCTGGTTAATGCAGAAGTATGAACAGATCTGCAGTGTTCTGGTGGATTCCCTGGATGACAGAGGATCTTTGAAAGTGAGGAAATTGGCTGGGCGCGGTGGCTTACGCCTGTAATCCCAGCACTTTGGGAGGCCGAGGCGGGAGGATCACCTGAGGTCAGGAGTTCGAGACCAGCCTGGCCAACGTGGTGAAACCCTGTCTCTACTAAAAATACAAAAAATTAACTGGGCATGGTGGTGCGTGTCTGTAATCCCAGCTACTCGGGAGGCTGAGGCAGGAGAATCGGTTGAATCCGGGAGGCGTAGGTTGCAGTGAGCTGAGATCACACCACTGCACTCCCGCCTGGGTGACAGAGCAAGACTCAATCTCAAAGAAAAAAAGAAAGTGAGGAAGTAGCATGCTGGTTTACCCTGTTTTATAACTGAATTTGCTATTATTTTGGCATGAAATTGAATTTCCCATAAATTTTTGCGTAACTGACATTGTTATAATTGTTTTCATGTAGGTCCTTTGTGTCTCTTGTTAAATTTCATACCAGATATTAAATATTTTCATTCCTCTTGTAAGTAGTATATTTTTGTTATTCTGTAGTATTTTCTAACTAGCTACTGTTTGTGTAAAGGAAAGTCATTGATTTTTGGAGTGTTATTTTTATTTATATATTTTTGGTAAATATATAAGTAACTGGCCTGTCTTACTGTTGCCAGTGGTTTTCTACTATTGAGCTCATTTGTCAGTGTCATCTGCCAATAATGAAAAAAATTACCTTCTTTTAAATATATATGCCCATTCCCTTGTTTAAATGAGTTTACTAGCCTTTCCAGAAGAATGTTTTATAACAGTGAATTCCTTTTTTTCTTCCAGATTTTAATGAGAATGCCTATAGTGTTTCACTATTAACCATCAGTTTTTTTCCCCCTGAATTATGTATGCCAAACAAACCATGTCTGTGAGCTGAATCCTGCCAGTCTAGTTTGAAGATTTACTTTATAACTTTGAGCCTTGAGACCCTAAGGGACATGAAGAGTGATCTTAATAGACTTTCTGGAAGGTGCAACCACTTTCCTATTTAATATTTCCTATTCTCCAAGAAGTAGCATGTAGATCAGTTTACCAATAATATATAGGAAAAAATCTTTTGGCTCCCTGCTGTTCTTTTCTATGGTCAGTTTCTCTCTTTTAAGGACCTGATTATCCCCAGTTATATGGTAAATATCTTGTGGCTACAGAATACCTGAAGAAGGAAATTGAGCAATAGTAAATTTTCAAGAAATCTTAGGTATTATTTTCCTAATTTTGTTATTATTATTCTCATTCTGCATATTTTCTTTTCTATCTCAGCTATTGGTGTCACCATATTCTTAGTTACCTAAGCTAGAAATATGGCAGTTGTGTTTTACTTCCTTCCTTTTACTCATTCTTTTACAGATTAATGCAATTAAAAAAAATACTAATTGAGTGCCTAGTATGTGCGAGTCAACTGTTTTCATTGCTAGAGATCTGCCTAGATGAGATTCCTGCTTCCTTGGAACTTATATTCTACTGAGACGCTTTGTGTAATAAATAGGCTAGCAAGATCTTTTCAGCAAGTACTTTAAGAAAGACAGAATATGAGTTTGAGTGATGAGGAAGAGAGGGTGATTTTTTAAAGTGTGTTTTAGTCCAGATTCTCTGAGAAGCAGATGCCAACATAGGATTACATGTTCTTTTACATATTTATGCGCATTCTCTTTTTTGAGTGACTTTACTAGCCTTTCCAGGATAATGTTTTATAACAATATCTCTTTTGAATTATTTTGGTCGTTTAAATGTACGTAACATAAAATTACCATTTTTAAGTTTATAATTTGGCATTAAGTACATTGACATTGTTGTGCAACATCTCCATCTATTTCCACAACTTTTTATCTTCCCCGACTGAAACTCAGTAACTGTTAAACACTAACTCCTATTCTCCCCCTCCCTCAGGTCCTCGCAACCACCATTTTATTTTCTGTCTATGAATTTGACTACTCTGGGTAATTCATATAAGTGGAATCATACAATATTTGTCTTGTTGTGTCTTCTTATTTCACTTAGCATAATGTCTTCAAGATTCATCCATGTTGTAATGCGTCAGGGTTTCCTTTTTAAGGCTGAATACTATTTCATTGTACGTGTATATCACATTTGTTTATCTATTCATCACTTCAGTGGACACTTGAGATGCTTCCACCTTTTGGTTTTTGCAAATAATGCTGTTACGATCCGCCCTCCTCCGCCTCCCAAAGTGCAGGGATTACAGGCGTGAGCCACTGCGCCCAGGCAGAAATCAAGTTTATCTTATAGTTTCATAGCAGTTATCGTGAGTATAACTTTCTCCTTTCTACTAGGAAAGGTAATAAGTTTATCAAGGGTCCCACTCTTCTTTTCATAATTGAGTACATTATTAGGTTGTGTACTCCTAGCAGAAATCTCTTGAGAAATTTTAGTACGAGCTAATGCACTTGAGGGTCCATAGTGATACTTTTGAGGGAAAATACCTTTCTTGCTAATGAAATTTTGGCTATTTAGAATATGTAACAAAGCATATTGTCTGTATTATCTAGATATGAGTAGTAGTAGTTATAGGTAGTAGAAGAGAATATTCTTTCAGGCATTTGATTTAATATACTTAAGCTGGCACATAGTAAAATAAATAAGAGAATTAAAAATTTAATACACACCCCAAGTGATATCCCTGTAGTACAGGTATTATTTTTTTCACTTAATTATATTAAAAAGATAGTTAAATGGTAGACATATTTCTAGTTGATTTTCTGATAATCTCTAAAACTTTTGTAGAAAAATGCCAAGTCATCTATGGCTTTTTTTTTTTCTTTTTTCTTTTGTGTCGGAATTTTGCTCTTGTCTCCCAGGCTGGAGTGCAATGGCGCGATCTCGGCTCACCGCAACCGCTGCCTTGCGGATTCAAGCGATTCTCCTGCCTCAGCCTCCCGAGTAGCTGGGATTACAGGCATGTGCCACCACGCCTGGCTAACTTTGCATTTTTGGTGGAGACGGGTTTTTTCCATGTTGGTCAGGCTGGTCTCGAACTCCCAACCTCAGGTGATCTGCCTGCCTTAGCCGCCCAAAGTGCTGGGATTACAGGCGTGAGCCACTGTGCCCGGCCGGCTTTTTTTTTTTCTTTTAAAATCTTATTTCTTTAGAGTCATGTAAGCAATCATTACATTTTTATTTAAAGTTGAAACAAGTATTCATATTTATAATTGGTGGTGAAGCATCATACCAATAATAGTGTATCACAGTTTAGAAGTAGAGTTCCTCAGAGTTGTATGGATAGTCTTAATGGGTTTTTCCTCCTTTTGCTCACATAAACTTGTTTATGATGTGAATTACTAAATCCCAACCCTAATTTTTAGTTTTGAAAGTTAGTATTTTTTTTTAGCTATCGTATTTTCTTAGTGCAAGGTTTACTAATAGTGGTGTATTCTACACTAGTATCAGGAGTAATTAGCATGCAGTCATCATGACATAGCAATGAAATGATTGGATCGATCTACACAAAGAGGGACTAGTATTATGGTTTCAGTATTGAAACAGTGTGTAACAGCAAGCCATTTATAATGTCACCAAGGAGATATATCTTGTACGCATTTGCCTCCTTTGTAAATTAGATCAGCCAATAATTTTTACAAAAATAAAAGACTAGAATATGGTTTTATCAAACAGCAAATAATTTAGAATATTATCTGTTATATTTGCTGCTTTTTAAGTTAAATGCAATACTTGTGTTTATTTCCTTTTGAACTTTCCTCTTCTAAGTTCAAAATACAGCCTGATACAATTACAGGGATGGATTTTAGAAAAAAAAATTTAGAACATGATACAATACAGCGATGGATTTTAGAAAAAAAAATAGTATGAATTACTCCCTGGGTGGGAACCTCTTAGTTATATGGGATATTAATTTTGCATTTAATGACTGCATGATATGTTAACTCAGAGAAGAGTTAACTGGTGTACAAACACACACCACAGCATACACCAAACCACCCCCCCTTGCTCTCCTCTACCCTTGTCTCATTGGACAGACTAAACTGATCAAAAATCAGAGCAGATTTAACCATAAAGAGTTGATTGCATTGTTTTGGCTTTGGGACATGAAATGATGGAAAAGAAATTGGGTTTAGTTAATTGTGCTGTGAATTGCTTCTTTGTAAATTAATGTATGGCTGCATGTTCTCAGAATTTGTCTGGTTTTTGGCAAGTTTTCATTGCTTCTCATGATCTCCATTATCAACATGAGGACTTAGTAATTACGGATGAGGAGTCTAATTTTTAAATCTTCAGCCCATAAAGACTCCAAGATCTCCTCCTCTGAAATCCACCAGAACATAACTCTGACATGGGTTTCTGGAAGAACCCCAGCTGTTTCCAACATACATCATGAGACTTCTGTTGCTGATGGAGTCTCTGATGCCTAGAAATCTTGATACTTTTCCTCTTGACTTTTTCACTTTTTTTAAACCTCTTGACTTTCTGGCAGGAGTTTTATTGAGATTTTATTTCACTGGGTTTTTAGTATATTCACAGAGTTGAATAGCTGGCACCACAATCAGTTGTAGAACATTTTCAGTTCACTGAAAATAAAAGAAATTCTATACCTTTTTTTCTTTTTTTTTTTGGGAGACAGAGTCTTGCTCTGTTGCCCAGGCTGGAGTGCAATGGCGCAATCTCGGCTCACTGCAACCTATGTCTCCTGGGTTCAAGCGATTCTGCTGCGTCAGCCTCCTGAGTAGCTGGGATTACAGGTGCCTGCCACCATGCCTGGCTAATTTTTGTATTTTTAGTAAGACAGGGTTTCTTTTCACCATGTTGGTCAGGCTGGTCTCAAACTCCTAACCTCAGGTGATCCACCCGCTTCAGCCTCCCAAAGTGGTGGGATTACAGGCGTGAGCCACTGCACCTGGCCCACCTTTTTTTTTTTTTTTCCCCACTCTTGTTGTCCAAGCTGGAGTGCAGTGGTGTGATCTCAGCTCACTACAACCTCTGCCTCCCTGGTTCAAGCAATTCTCCTGCCTCAGCCTCCTGAGTAGCTGGGATTACAGGTGCACGCCACCATGCCCGGATAATTTTTTGTATTTTTAGTAGAGATGGGGTTTCACCATGTTGGCCAGGCTGGCCTCGAACTCCTGACCTCAGGTGATCTGCCCGCCTCGGCCTCCCAAAGTGTAGGGTTTGGCCACCGCGCCTGGCCAGAAACTCCATGCTTTTCGGCCATCATAGTTGAATCCTCCGATGATCCCCAGCCCTAGGTAACCACATTCTATCTATGTAGATTTGCCTATTCCAGACATTCCATATAAAGGGAATCTTACATTATGTTATCTTTTTGACTGGTTTCTTTTACTTAGCATATTGTTTATCCATGTTGTAGCTTGAGTCAGTATGGTAGTCTGCGCCCCTGTCCAAGGGGAAACCATTCTGAGTCCCCCAGTGGATGCCTGAAACCATATAGTGTTTTTTTTTTCATATACCTACATGCCTATGATAAAGTTTAATTTATAAATTAGGCAGAATAAGAGACTAACAACAACAATAAAGTAGCAAAATTCTAACAACATACTGTGATAAAACTTATGTGAATGTGGTCTCTCTCTCATAGTGTGAGTAACTGAAGCTGTGGAAAGTTAAACTGGATAGTGAGGGACTACCGTACTTCATTTCTTTCTATTGCTGAGTAATAATCTTTTGTATGGATTTATTTATTCATCAGTTGATTGGCATTTGTGTTCCCACTTTTTTGGCTGTTATGACTAATGTTGCTGTTTATAAGTTTTTTTATGAATATGTGTTTTCATTTCTCTTGGGTACATACCTAGGAGTGGAAATGCTAGGTCACATAGCAATTTTGTGTTTAATTTTTTTTTTTTTCTTGAGATAGAGTCTTGCTCTGTTGCTCAAGCTGGACTGTAGCGGTGCAGTCCCAGCTCACTGTAACCTCTGCCTCCCAGGTTCAAGCGATTCTCATGCTTCAGCCTCCCAAGTAGCTGGGATTACAGTCAGTGCGCCACTATCCTGGCTAATTTTTGTATTTTTAGTAGAGATGGGGTTTCACCATGTTGGCCAGGCTGATCTCGAACTCCTGGCCTCCAGTGATCCGCCCGCCTTGGCCTCCCAAAGTGGTGGGATTACAGACATGAGCCACCGCGCCCAGCTTGTATTTAATTTTTGAGGATCTGCTAGACCGCTTCCCAAAGTAGCTTGTATCATTTTACATTTCCATCAGCAATATATGAGGGTTCCAATGTTTTTTTTTTATGCATCCTCTCTAACACTTGTTATTACCTGTGTTCTTTATTACAGCCATCCTGTTTGGCCCCATTCAACTCTTAGATCACATGTACCTGTGTTTTATCATTGTGACTTCTGTGTTCTTGCCTTTAATTAAAGTGATCCTTGTCTGACTGGCTGCCTTCTGTAATTTGCTCATTGCCATGCTCATGTTCACTCATCTTTGTATTCCTGGTTTATCACTGATCCTGCTGAACTACAGATAGCGCGTGATGGCTGATCTTGGATACAGCACTGCCTGTGCTTGTGAATAAGAATAAAAGAAGATAGTGGTTTTGATAGCTTTCTGTAGGAATAGGTCATTCTATGCCTTAATTATTGTCATTTGTTCTGATAGTAAAGTTATATACTATAGTAACATGGGAGACCTGTAAGATTATATATTTCTGTAACCCATTTGTAGAGAGGGAAAATACTTGCTTACTAAACAGCTGTTGTACTCGCTTTTTAGGAACTGGTTTCAAAATGTATTTTATGGGCAAAACAAATCTGTGGTGTCAGAAGTTACAATAGTGGTTAACAGTTTGGTGGGCTGTAGTAATGGGAAGAAGATTTCTAGGGTGCTGGTTATGTTGTTTATCTGTGTGCCAGTTACATAGAGGTGTTCATTTTTTTAGTGTTCATTCATCTATAAACTTAGAATATGTGTGTATGCTATACTTAATAAAAACTTGTTAAAAATATGTTAACATTGTTTATTCATGTTTTGCACTAGTAAAGCTCTTCATTTGTCACATTTACTGCCTTTCTGATTAATATATTTCATTTTGAGTCATGATATTTACTATTACATTATTTTCATATGTACATTGCATTGATGTAAATGCTTTAAATTCAGATCTCTTTTTGGCAGCTCGTAATTTAAGATGTTGAATGATTTAGATAGATTAGCTGTACAAAGTTTGATTTTATGTTCTGCTGTATTGTTTATTTAACTGAATGATCTTCAGCAGCCCACAGTCTTGGCTCTAATCTTTTTGTATTTAAAACTGAAATGCAGTAGTTGTGTCTACTATCAGGAGAATTCAGATTCTCATTAGAGAATTAATAGAGTAGTATGAAGGAAAAAAAATAGAAAAGAGAAGCTTATATTCATTAGCTCATTATTAATAATATCAATCTAATGTAGTAACCATCTAGATGTACAGAAACATTTAATAATAACCACTTAAAAATGTCATACCAGGAGTAAAACATGTTGACTAATTAGTCTTTTGAATTCGAATCCTTTTATTTATATTTCACTGAAATAGGTTTTGAAGTAATTGTTTGATTTGACCAAATATGTTTTGTTGCTGAAGGTAGTGAGATATGCAATAAGATCAGTTTTTGGTTAATAGAAGTTTTTAAGTAGGCTTATGCTCTATATCTACTGTATTTCTAAAAATTGGATGCATGAGTAGAGTGACCAGAGAAAAACGTTTTATAAGAATAGTAAAATAATTCATAACAGACATTTTGTGTACTGATGAGGAAAAGACAGTTCTGCCTTTATAAGGGATCTTCTTGGTGGAATTTGAGAACTCTTCAATTAAATAGTATAATAAAACACATTAAAAATCTTTTAAATATCTAATTTTGTCTTCTAGGCTTTCCTTAAAGTTTCCCATGTCTCAATGGACTCCTGAATATAACGAGCTCTACACCTTAAAAGTGGATATGAAGAGTGAGATTCCTTCTGATGCACCAAAGACACAGGAGAGTCTGAAAGGGATCCTTTTGCATCCAGAGCCCATTGGGGCAGCCAAAAGTTTTCCTGCAGGAGTTGAGATGATTAATAGTAAAGTGGGGAATGAATTCTCTCACCTGTGTGATGATTCTCAAAAGCAAGAGAAGGAAATGAATGGTAACCAGCAAGAACAAGAAAAAAGTCTCGTTGTGAGGAAAAAACGCAAAAGCCAGCAGGCTGGCCCTTCGTATGTGCAGAATTGTGTTAAAGAAAACCAGGGAATATTAGGACTGAGGCAACACCTAGGGACACCAAGTGATGAAGATAATGATTCCTCTTTTAGTGATTGTCTTTCTTCTCCTTCATCTAGTCTGCATTTTGGAGATTCTGATACTGTGACTTCAGATGAGGATAAAGAAGTCTCTGTAAGACATTCCCAGACCATTTTGAATGCTAAAAGTAGAAGCCATAGTGCACGGTCTCATAAGTGGCCTCGGACTGAGACAGAATCTGTATCGGGATTGTTAATGAAAAGACCCTGTTTACATGGCAGTTCGTTACGGAGACTTCCATGCAGAAAGAGATTTGTAAAAAATAATTCCTCACAGAGGACACAGAAACAAAAAGAGAGGATATTAATGCAGAGGAAGAAACGAGAAGTGTTAGCTCGAAGAAAATATGCCTTGCTACCTAGTTCTAGTAGTTCCAGTGAGAATGACCTCAGCAGTGAATCCTCTTCTAGCTCATCAACTGAAGGAGAAGAAGATTTGTTTGTTTCTGCCAGTGAAAACCACCAAAACAATCCAGCTGTTCCCTCAGGTAAAAATGTTTAAGCTGAGTAAAACATGGAACCTATTGCATTGCATTTGTGCTTAATTTTTTGTTTGTGTCTTACTGATTTTATTTAAAGGGACTATCAGGTTCTATTAACTTTTATTTTTAAGTCATATAAATTACCAATTGCAGTATTAAACCATGACTCTAATGCTAAGATAAAAATTTAAAAAATTTCTAGTGACAAAAATAAGTCAGAGTTTTTTGGGAGAATAACCCTTCATTACTTTTTTTTTTCTGAAACAGAGTCTCACTTTGTCACCCAGGCTGGAGTGCAGTGGCGCAATCTCGGCTCACTGCAACCTCCGCCTCCTGGGTTCAAGCAATTCTCCTGCGTCAGCCTCCCAAGTAGCCAGGATTACAGGTGCCCACCACCATGCCCAGCTAATTTTTGTATTTTTAGTGGAGACGGGGTTTCACTATGTTGAACAGGCTAGTCTTGAGCTCCTGATCTCAAATTATCTGCCCACCTCAGCCTCCCAAAGTGATGGGATTACAGGCATGAGCCACTGTACCTGGCCTCATTTATTACATTTTATACATATTAGATTATATTTTATGTATGTTCTTCATTTATGGTACACATTTTTTTCCTTGTGTTTCTTTAATATGCTTGACTGTTATGAATACTTTTTCAGCTACCTGTATGATGGATTCAGCCATAGTAAGAACAGTTCTAGTCACTAAAAAAGACTGGTTAATTTTTTTTCCTTTGTTTTTTTGAGGCAGCATCTGGCTTTGTTGCTCAGGCTGGAGTATAGTGATGCAGTCTTGGTTCACTGCAACCTTCACCTCCTGGGCTGAAGCCGTCCTCCCACGTCAGCGCCTCAAGTAGCTGGGACTACAGGCCCACACCACCACACCTGGCTTATTTTTGTATTTTTTGTAGAGATGGGTTTTGCCAAGTTGCCCAGGTTGGTCTTGAACTCCTTAGCTCAGGCGATCCACCTGCCTTGGGCTCTCAATATTTTTTCTTTAAGTACTATATTCTTGTTGTTTGCTGTTATCATGTTCTTTATAGCTGAAAAGTAATTTCAAGTAACTTTTATTCTAATACTAGGACCCAGAGACTTTTAGTCTCGACAGTGCATATGATACATCAATTAAAATTGGGTAGGGACTATTTCCTATCAGTGCTCTTGAGCCTGTGTGCTCTTGCTCATGCGTGCTGACTCTCTCTCTCTCTCTCACACACACAGTAAATGTGATATTTAAGTAGAATAAGTTTATTTGCAGACAGTCCTGAAATGTATGTTCCATGTATACAAACCATCCTAAGATAATGCATCACTTTTACAGTTGTAATTTAAAGGGAGTTGTTGAAGTGAGCATTGAAGAGCTGTCTGAACTGAGGGAAAAGATTAATTTCTTGTGAAATTAGGGAATAGGGTAATGGGCCTAGGGAGAGCTTTCTAAAGGGCTAGCTAGGTCATGGTTTCTAATACTAACATAAGCTTTCTCAGTTTTACCTTATGTCTTGCCTGTTAAGGTCAGGGCCTGCTAGTCTACTTTTGGATGTGCCATTTCTTCTTCTCTTCTTCTTCTTTATGAGTCCCTTTCTTTTCCAAGAATCTCTTTCCTTTTTCATCTGTATTTTTCTCTTTTTGCCAGAACCCTAAACCAGTAACCTTGTTATTAATCTTAGGCTTGGCCATGTTCAGATCAGTTTTACCTACACAAATACTTTTTTGAGAAGAGTTCATTTTGATCATGTACAGCCAGGTGAGAGGAGTGTAGAATAACCATTGCCAGAGATTTCCTGAGAATAAGGGAAATGAGGAGTTGTGTTGCTTAATTGTCACATTTTTCTCAAGTGGTCAGAATGTGCATATACTAGTTTTGGGAGTGAGTACAGCAGAGCTCAGTTTGTGCTCGAAGTCAGTGAGACAGGATGGTTGATGTGGAGCAGAAGTTCTAAGGAGCTGATGTTTATAGGGGAATGAGAATATAGTAATTGAATGTCATTATCAGTGCCAGGGGTTCATATAGCCTCAAGTATTAAAGAGAAGTCCAAACTTAATTCATTTAAAAATCTTATTTAATACTTACTGTAGCGTGTGTGTTTTTTTTCATTGCCTTTCTTGGCAGAATTACGTTATTTTTAACTACATTATTTTCAGACACTACCCTCAAACATGAGAAACAGAAATCCAAAATGTTGAAACCAAGTACATTCAATGTTTTCTGGTTTCTGGACAAGTGATTTGCTTTAAACTGGTTTTAAAAAAAATAATGATTTAATAACATTCACACGATATGGAATTTTAAAAGTATCAATTAAGTATAAAATAGAAAATAAAAGTTTATCTCTTCTTCAGATCCTCCAGTGTTACTATTAACCAGAAGTAATCACTATTAGTAGTTTCTTATCTCCTTCAGAAAATGTGAAGGGCTATTCAAGGATAAATAATGTGGCTCTTTTTATATCACTATGTATAGTTATCTCATTCTTCTTGACATTTGCATAGTATTCCCTTTGTATGGATGTTCCATAATTTATTTAATCAGCTTTTGTCAGTGGATATTTGCTGCATTGAGCAACATTGTGCTTGCGTTTTATACACCTATGTAAGTGTATCTTAAGGAATAATTACTGAAAGTGTTTCAGAGGGTATATGCATTGAAAATGTTGTTGGCTGTTGTTACCAGAATGCCCTCCAAGAAGTTTGCATTAAATTCCTCGATGCTAATGTCGTGATGATAATAAAAATATCTAACACTGGTTGAGTGTTCACTCTGTGCCAGTAATGTTCTATTTTATGTGTATTCTCATTGAATCCTTCCAGTACTCTTATGAGATGGATTCTGTTATCATCACACTCATATTACAGATGAAGCATTTGGAAAATCAGTTTGGAATGATTTTTTAAAAACTATAGTTAAACTGAAATATTAATGAGACTTAGCTCTATTATCAAGAAATCTCAGCTCTTTCAAATAATTAACTTCCTTAGATTCTTAGGAGATAGGTTATTTCCTAGTCATATTTTGAGTGATTCAAATAAAATGATTTGGCAAAAAGTCTTAGCTAATTCAAATTGGTAGAACTAGAACTTGAACTCAGGCTTTCTGGATAGAGTTGGAAAGTCTAAACTTTTAATTTGACTTATTTACTACATGTTAATATGATTTGTATGGATGAATGGATATTAGTTACTCTGGAACTTCTGGGACAACTTTTTCATACAATGTGCTTGTATTAATCCATTGTCACGCTGCTAATAAAGACATACCCAAGACTGGGTAATTTATAAAGGAAAGGGGTTTAATTGGCTCACAGTTCCACATGGCTGGGGAGGCCTCACAATTATGGCAGAAGGTGAATGAAGAGCAAAGTCACGTCTTACATGGCAGCAGGCAAGAGAGAGATTGTGCAGGGGAACTCCCATTTATAAAACCATCAGACCTTGTGAGACTTACTCACTACCATGAGAACATGGTATGTGGGAAACTGCCCCCATGAATTATGTCCACCTGGCCCTGTCCATGACACGTGGGAATTATTATAAGTCAAGGTGAGATTTGGGTAGGGATACAGCCAGACCATATCATTCTGCCCCTGCCGCTTCCAAATCCCATGTCCTCATATTTCAAAACCAATCATGCCTTCCCAACAGTCCCCCAAAGTCTTAACTCATTTCAGTATTTACTCAAAAGTCCACAGTCCAAAGTCTCATCTGAGACAAGGCAAGTCCCTTCTGCATATGAGCCTGTAAAATTAGAAGCAAGTTAGTTCCTAGATGCAATGAGGGTACAGATGTTGGGTAATTATACCCGTTAATATTTCATTCCACATAACTTATGCAAATTTCTGAGCTGGTTTGAATTTCTCCCCAGAAAATGGGTTTCCTTTTTTATCACATTGTCAGGCTGCAAATTTTGCAAATTTTTATGCTCTGCTTCCTCTCGAATGGTTTGCTCTTAGAAATTACTTTTGCATATACCCTAAATCATCTCTCTCAAGTTCAAGGTTCCACAGACCTCTAAGGCAGAGGCAAAATGCTGCCAGTCTCTTTGCATAGCAAGAGTGGCCCATTTACTCCAGTTCCCAAGAAGTTCCTTGTCTACATCTGAGGCTACCTCTGCCTGGACTTTATTGTCCATATCACTGTCAGCATTTTGGTCAAAGCCATTCAACAAGTCTCTAGGAAGTTCCAAACTTCCCCACATCTTCTTATCTTTGGAGCTCTCCAAACTTTTGCAACCTCTGCCAGTTACCCAGTTCGAAAGTTGCTTCCACATTTTCAGATATCTTTACAGAATCACCCCACTCTGTTAGTACCAATTTACTGTATTAGTTCATTCTCATGTTGCTAATAAAGACATACCCGAGACTGGGTAATTTATTCTATTTTTATTTATTTATTATTTTTTTGAGACAGTCTTACTCTGTGGCCCAGGCTGCTGGAGTGCAGTGGTGTGATCTTGGCTCACTGCAACCTCTGCCTCCTGGGTTAAAGTGCCTGAGTAGCTGGGATGACAGGCCTGCACCACCACGCCCAGCTAATCTTTATATTTTTATTAGAGACTGGGTTTCACCATGGTGGCCGGGCTGGTCTCAAACTCCTGGCCTCAAGAGATCCGCTGCCCACCTCAGCCTCCCAAAGTGCTGGGATTACAGGTTTGAGCCACCGCACCCGGCCAAGACTGGTAACTTATAAAGGAAAGAGGTTTAATTGACTCACAGTTCCACATGGCTGGTCAGGCCTCACAATCGTGGCAGGTCATTGAGGAGCAAAGTCACATCTTACATGGCAGCAGGCAAGAGAGAGCTTGTGCAAGGAACTTGGCATTTATAAAATCATCAGATCTCATGAGACTTGTTCACTACCGTGAGAACATGGTATGTGGGAAAATTGCCCCCATGATTCAGTTATCTCTGCCTGGCCCCACCCTTGGCATGTGGGCATTATTACAATTCAAGGTGAGATTTGGGTGGGGACAAAGCCAAACCATATCGGTGCATCAATATTTATTGGCTATTGGGAAATGAACTGATGGAAAAATGTTTTACATTTTAAGTATTTTGTAATATCTTAAAATACTCCAAGACCCAACAGTTGTATATAATTAACTGACTTTATGTCATCAGTTCATTTGTGGTTCTTTTTGGTTTGGTTTTATTTGCTTTTTGAGACAGTCTTATCTGTTGTCCAGGTTGGAGTGCAGTGGTGCAATTATGACTCGCTGCAGCCTCAACCTCCTTGGGCTCAGGTGATCCTCCCACCTCAGCCTCCCTAGTAGCTGGCACAGCAGCAGGTGTGTGCAACTACAGTTGACTAATTTTTTTTTTTTTTTTGGTAGAGACAGGGTTTTGTCATGTTGCCTAGGCTGGTCTCGAACTCCTGGGCTTAAGTGATGTGCCTGCCTCGGCCTCCCAAAGTGCTGGATTACAGGTGTGAGCCACTGCACGTAACCAGTGTATTTGTTATAATCAACAGATTTCTGGAAAATATTTGCTTCTTGCTGTCCCATTATTAATTGGCTTTTAACTTTATTAGGGATTTCTATTATGTGTAGAAAGCCAAAGTGATATGTTACTTGGGTTATTAGAAAGCCTGTTAAACATTTAGTTTTTCCCAGTTGCCAGTGAGGCTGATAATTTATACATTCTGTTTTGTTACTGCAATATGTCAAGAACTCCAGATATTTAAAATAACCTAACAGAAGCTAGGTTTGAGAATAGGTGTTAATTTTAGTAATATATTTCTAGGATCTATTCAGAGAACCTTACTGGAACTAATTGACATTTAATAACACAAAAACCTTGGGTTTCCCAATTAATTATGGATATGAGGACTTCTTTATACTTTATTAACTTTAAAATTAATAGGTATTGCCGGGCGTGGTGGCTCACACCTGTAATCTCAGCACTTTGGGAGGCCAAGGCAGGTGGATCACCTGAGGTCTGGAGTTCGAGACCAGCCTGACCAACATGGAGAAACCCCGTCTCTACTAAAAATACAAAATTAGCCGAGCGTGGTGGCGCATGCCTGTAATCCCAGCTACTTGGGAGGCTGAGGCAGGAGAATGGCTTGAACCTGGGAAGCAGAGGTTGCTGTGAGCCGAGATCACGCCATTGCACTCCAGCCTGGGCAACAAGAGTGAAACTCCCTCTCAAAAAAAAAAGTAGGTATTACAGATTATATCTCCTTCAGTCTTCAAGGAAACGTAAATGTCAAATATGCTCCTAAATAAGAGAGCTTAAGTCAGTCCCATTTTACCACTGAGGAGAAAAAGAAGTTTTGTCTATCTTGCTTTGAAATACAAAGTTTTAAGGCTGTTGTTAAAATAGTCATATGTCTTATTAACTTATTTACATATAAGATATTGAAAAAATGTTAATTTAGAGTTAGTGATTATTACCCACATTTCCTGAAAATAATTTTATTCACACAACCATCGTAGACCTTGATGTCTTGGTAATTGCTAGAACCATTTTTTAAGTCATCACAATTTTTGAGAGCATAGGATCCTCATCTGCTTTGTGTGAGGTATGGCACGCACTGACTCCATGAGTGATGCATCACTAGAAACTTTGTCTCAAACTACAAATATCATTTTACCTTATATTAGGCTTTAAAAAATTATCTAATAGCTGTATATATATATATTTTCCATGTGTAGTCCATACTGTATTGACTTTTTAAGCTTTTTTAAAAGTTTGCTTAAAAAGATAACCCTTGGAATTGTAGAGTCCCAGGATCAGGAATTATATCTAATGCTGTGAATACTTCTGTCCCTCTTTTTGTAAAAGTAGCATTGATTGAGTTATAGTTTTTGGTTTTATGATTTTATTTGGGAACTTTTAGACTTACACAAAAACAGAAATATGCAATGAACTCCCATATAATCATCATCTCGCTTCAGTTGTTGACATTCTGCCATTCTTAATTCATTTCTAACCCCTCTTTTTTTTCCTGGAGAATTTCACAAAAATTGTAGACATCATTTTACTCATAGACACTTCAACACACATGGTTTAATTCTTTTTTATATATGGCATCATTTCTGTAAACTGGTAGGTAGTTGGGTCTAAAAGCTTGATTAGGTTCAAGTTTAGTTCCGGCAGTACTTTGTTGATGATACTGTGTGCTTTCTGTTGCGTCACAAATTGAGCTTGATCAGAGGGTTCAGATGTTGTCATTCTGATCCTTCCATTATAAAGTTCCCCTTCACTGTTTTCTGTAATGTTTTTTAGCAGTTATTAATGGTCTTGCCCAGATTCATTATATTAGGGGTGCAAAATATTGATTTATTTTTTGAGATGGAGTTTCACTTTTGTTGCCCAGGCTGGAGTGCAATGACACGATCTCAGCTCACCGCAACCTCTGCCTCCCGTGTTCAAGTGATTCTCCTGCCTCTGCCTCCCGAGTAGCTGGGATTACAGGCACGTGCCACCATACCTGGCTAATTTTTTATTTTTAGTAGAGATGAGGTTTTTCCATGTTGGTCATGCTGGTCTCGAACTCCTAACCTCAGGTCATCTGCCCGCCTTGGCCTCCCAAAGTGCTGGGATTACAGGTGTGAGCCACCACTCCCGGCCTTGATATTCTAATTCTATCATTTTGCTTAGGTTTATTATCTGAGGTTCTTCTATAAAGGAAGAACACTTTGTTCATCAGCTCATTGGTTATTCTGAAATTCTGTTCATACAGGAAAGGCAAGATGAATGCTTGATTTTCTTCTTTCATTTACCACTTCTCAGAATGACTTAGTTGTTCTAGCAGCATCCAAAGAGGTTTTTTCACTTTTGAGTATCATTATGAATGCATGAATTTTAGTATATTTGATGGGTTTCAGTTTGTTGCAGTCTTTTTATACTTTTTTAAATGATTTCATCTTTGGCCATTGGGAACATCTTCAAACTGGGTCATTGTCCTTTTGATGCCATCCTAGTAGTCGTTGATAACTTCCTTCCTCTCTGGTATATCAAGTTGGTGCAGATTAATCTACAGTTCCTGCCCCAGACCTAGAAACAGCTATTCCTTTAAGAACTCCTGATTTTTTTTTTTTTTGAGACGGAGTCTTGTTCTGTTGCCAGGCTGGAGTGCAGTGGTGCGATATTGGCTCAGTACAACCTCTGCCTCCCAGGTTCAAGCGATTCCCCTGCCTCAGCCTCCTGAGTAGCTGGGACTACAGGCACATGCCACCGTGCCCAGCTAATTTTTTGTGTTTTAGTAGAGACGGGGTTTCACCGTGTTGGCCAGCATGGTCTCGATCTCCTGACCTCATGATCCACCTGCCTCAGCCTCCTCAAGTGCTGGGATTACAGGTGTGAGCCACTGCGCCCTGCCCGATTTTCTTTTATTGGGAGGTGATAGAGACTACAGTCTGGGAATTAAGGTGGTTTTTGCTCTGCTGGGTTGCCAATGCTTTTGGCTTTTTTGAATTTAACCTAATTTTTTTTTTTTAAAGGGACGGTCTCACTCTGTTGCCTAGGCTGGAGAGCAGTGGTACACTCAATAGCTCTTTGCAGACTTGACCTCCTGGGCTCAAGTGATCCTCCTGCCTCAGCCTTCTGAGTACTTGGGACTACAGCACATGCCATCTTGCTCCACTAATTTTTAAATTATATTTTAATTTTTTTTTTAGAGATGAGATCTTCTTAACGTTGCCCAGTTTGGTCTCAAATTCCTGGCCTCAACTTATCCTACCATGTTAGCCTCCTCATTTGCTGCAATTACAGGTGTGATGTGAACCACCATGCCTAGCACATTTTGACTGTTTTAACAGACAAAGCTAGAAATGTAAAGATTTTAGAAAAAAATAAATCTTTAATTTAAGTGAATATTTCCACTGCAAGTTTAGGATTAGGGTTTTTATGTAAGTTGTTGTTTTATATTTGTATTTGTTCTTACACTGAAAACTCTGATTCTTAACAATATTAACCATTGCTTATTTGCCTTGTCGTATATATGCCATAAATACGTACACATAAGTGAACTAGTTTCAACATAAAAATTACTTTTAATGGCAAAACCACCATTGCTTTTGCACTAACCTAATACAGTAATTCTAATTAATACAGTTTAAGTATTTTGTTTTGTATAGTGTCTTTTTGCCCTTGGCCAGTTTTCTGTGTGGTTATGCCACCAATTTCACATGCATTTAGGTTCATTTATTTCAGGGTTGGCTTTTTTAAAGATATTTTTAAAAAATTTAATTTCGCTTTTTAAATTATGTAAAACATTTACCTAGCTTCAGAGTCAAAACTTTAAAACAAGATATACTCAGGTCTTAATTTAGTTTTGGTTAACTCTTTCATTTTTTTTCTTCAAAAATATACCCAAAATATGACCCCCTTCTCTTACTCAAAAGTGTCTCTTGCTTTTTTCACTTAATATATACTATTGTTGGGGTATACAGAGATACTGTAGAGGAATGAAAGTATATATCTCCGTATATCTCATTTCTTTTTATTCCTTTTGTTGTTAAGCTTCATCATACTCCCTTGCATGGTTGTACCAGTTTGTTCAACCAGTCTCCTATTGATGAACAGTTTGCAGACTTTTTTTTATTATTTTAAATAGCACTGCAATAAATAGCTTTTCTTGACCCCGTGCAGTGGCTCACGCCTGTAATCCCAGCACTTTGGGAGGCCGAGGCGGGTGGATCATGAGGTCAGGAATTCAAGACCAGCCCGACCAACATGGTGAAACTCTGTCTCTACCAAAAATAGAAAAATTAGCCGGGTGTGGTGGCTGCACCTGTAATCCCAGCTACTCAAGAGGCTGAGGCAGGAGAACTGCTTGAACCCAGGAGGCGGAGGTTGCAGTGAGCCGAGATCTAGAGATTGTGCCACTGCACTCCAGCCTGGGTGACAGAGTGGGACTCTGTCTCAAAAGAAAAAAAAAATTACTGCAATAAATAGCTTTTTGTATATGTCATTTCATATTTGTTTGACAGTGTGTCTTTGGAATAGTATTCTAGAAGGCAGTTGTTGAATAAAGGATAAATGCATATGTTATTTTGTAAAATATGGCCACATTTTTCTCCATGGTGATTGTAACCATTCTGAATGCTCACCGGCAAGGGTGCCTGTTTTCTCAAAATCCTTCCAACAGAATATGTTGTCAGATTTTAGGGGGTTTTTGGTCCGTCTGATAGCTGAGAAATAGTATGTCAGTACATTTTAAATTTGTATTTCTTTTATTTTTTTTAATGTGTAATGTGTATCTTTTCATATGTTTTAAAAACTTTAGGTCATTTTCATTTCTTTTCCTGTGATCAGTCTGTTCATATTTTTTTTTTTTTTTTTTGCCTGTTTTGATATCAGGATACTGGTCTTCATTCTTCTATCCATTTTTAGAAGCTTTTTATATATTAGCAATGTAAGTCCTATATAATACACACATTTTTCACAAATTAATTAGTAGTTTCTTGACTTACATACTTTTATGCCAAATTTTTTTTTCTTTTTTTGAGACAGGATCTCACTCTGTCACCCAGGATGGAGTGCAGCATATTGCTGCCTCGGCTCATTGCAACCTCAGCCTCCCACGCTTAAGCAATCCTCCCACCTCAGCCTCCTGAGTAGCTGGGACCACAAGTGCACACCCCCACGCCTGGCTAATTTTTATATTTTTAGGAGGGATGAGGTTTTGCCATGTTGCCCAGGCTGGTCTTGAACTTCTGAGCTCAAGTGATCCACCCGCTCGGCCTCACAAGGTGCTGGGATTATAGGCGTGAGCCACTATGGCTGTCCAACATTTTTTTTCACAAGTCATATTTATCAACTTTTATTCTTACTGCTTCTGGATTTTGAATCATAATTAGGAATACTTTTACCACTCCAAAGTTCTAGCAAAATTAGCCCATTTCCCCCCAGTCCTTGTACTTAATTCATTTTTAACATTTAGAGCATAGATCCATTTGGTGTTTATCCTTACGTATAATAGGAAAAATGGACCAAATTTTTTTTCATGTGACTATACAGTTGTCCCCAAACCAGTCATTAACATCTTTTTCCTATTGACTTGAGATATGCTACCTTTGTCACATGTTAAATTTTCCACATGCATTTGGGCCTGTTTATGGAGTTTTTACTCCGTCTTATTGCTCTGTCTGTCCATGTACAGGAAGAACACTCTTTTAATTATAAAATCTTTAATGTTTTCCTAGATATTGTTGTTTGTTTATTCCTCCAAGTGAACTTTATAATCAGTTTGTTTACATGGAGGTGTTTGGGGGTGGGGAGGTCTATGATGGTATTTTTATTGGGATTCCATTTGTAGATTACATTACAGAGAGTTGACATCTTGGGATTTTGAGTCCTTGTATTCCAGAATATGGGATGTCTTCATTTGTTGATGTCTAGTTTTGTATCTTGCAGAGAGCGTTTTATGTTCTTTTAAAAATTATTGAGGTATAATTAACTACTATAAAATTCATTTTAACTATTATAAAATTCATTCATTTAAAGTGTACAATTTAGTAATTTTTTTTTTTTTTTGAGACAGGGTCTCATTTTGTTGCCCAGGCTGGAGTGCAGTGGTGCGATCTCCGCTCACTGCAGCCTCCGCCTCCAGGGTTCAAGTGATTCTCCCACCTCAGCCTTCCAAGCAGCTGGGATTACAGGTACCTACCACCTCAGCCAGCTGATTTTTTTATTATTTGGTAGAGACGGGGTTTTCACCATGTTGGCCAGACTGGTCTTGAACTCCTGACCTCAGGTGATCTGCCTGCCTTGGCCTTGCAAAGTGCTGGGCTTGCAGGTGTGAGCCACTGCAACTGGCTGGAATTGTTTAAGTGATTTATTCCTTGGCTGGGCCCTGGTCCTGCTTGTGTTTCTGCACTGCCATTAGTCATGAAGATGAGATACGACATCTATAAGGCTAGTGAGCAGGCTCCTGTAGGTAGGTAGAGGTCAAGGGTGTTTTGAATGGTTTCCGGTATTTGCTATTGTGAAAATGCTACAGTGAACATTTGGGTACAAATCTTTGTGTACATATATGTTTTCATTTCTGTTGGAAAGATACCAACAGAGGAGTCCCAAAGTAGAGTCATTTGCTTATACCTTCAGTAACTTTAATTGTGACTGTAAAAGACGAGAGCAGTGGCAAAAGCATCTGGTAGCAGGAAAATGCTTTTGATAGTAACTAGGCACCCACATGTTTAGTAGGTATGGTACCATGGTGTCATTTATGAAAAGAATATGAGCTTTAGAATTGGAATTAGCTTTGAATTTTAAGTGTTGCTTATTTTCTTGCAAGTCACTTAAACTTTCTAAGCTTCAGTTTCTTGATGAGGCTAGACATGCATAATACTATATGTGGCACAAAGTTTGTGCTCACAGATTGGAAACTGTCTTTTTTTTTCTGGTGGGGGGAGACAGAGTTTCGCTTTTGCCGCCCAGGCTGGAGTGCAGTGGCGCAATCTCGGCTCACTGCAACCCCCACCTCCCGGGTTCAAGCGATTCTCCTGCCTCAGCCTCATGAGTAGCTGGGATTAGAGGCACACATCACCATGCCCAGCTCATTTTTGTATTATTAATAGAGACGGGGTTTTGCCATGTTGGCCAGATTGGTCTCAAACTCCTGACCTCAGGTGATCCATCTGCCTTGGCCTCCCAAAGTGCTGGGTTTACAGGCATGAGCCACCACGCCTGGCCATGGAAACTCTTCTTATTGTTAGCATCATTCCAGTCTTAAGGCACAGAGAGACTAAGGTGATCAGTGAGTATAGTGGCTAACGTTGCTTATTGCTGATGCCAAGAGAATCTGTGATCTCTTACCAGGAAATAGAAATGGGCTTTGAAGAGTTTATAAAGAACTCTCGCAGAGAAACCATTGTTTTTGTTATCATTGTTGTACTACTCATATTCTTTCTGGCCTGGTAGCCAGAGAAATATGTTATTTTTCTCATGATGTTTTAAAAGCTATAAACAACCTAACTAACCTTAAAAAAAAAACAATTCGAAGAAAATCACCCACAGTCCTACCACTGTCTTAGCCATACTCGTTTTTTATCCTTTAGTATTTCTAAATGTAAAAGATAAAATGAAAATAAAGTTGACCCAGTAAGAAGTGACCTATTCTCTTGATTTTCTTTTAAGTCGTGCTATTTAATAAGATTAACTTTATAATTTTTGAAATGTTTCCCTTTTAAAATTTTGGTTTAAATAACTTATCTTAGAAAACACTGGATTGTAGATGCCAAAATGTTGCCTGTTGTGAATATGCTTTAGTTATATAATTTTTATGTATTATGTTCAAGTTATGCATAAAGTCCTTTTTAGAAAAATAATGATGTTTAAGCAATAGAATAAGAGTGCCTAAGCAAGCTATTTTTATACTTTTAGTTACATAATCTCTGTATTCATAAAAAGTTATATAAATTGAATTTTCATGCATTAGCAAAGCTAGCTTTGTATCATTTATCATTGAGGTTTCAAAATGTTACATAAGCCATGTAAAAGGTGTTCGATAATGTTAGCTTATTTTTTACAGTTTTTTTTTTTAAGTGTTTCCTCTTTTTTTTTTTTTTGAGACAGAGTTTTTGTTCTTGTCACCCAGGCCTGGAGTGCAGTGGCACGATCTTGGCTCACTGCAACCTCTGCCTCCCAGGTTCAAGTGATTCTCCTGCCTCAGCCTCCCGAGTAGCTGGGACTACAGGCACCTGCCACCACACCTGGCTACTTTTTGCATTTTTAGTAGAGACGGGGTTTTACCATGTTGGCCAGGCTGGTCTCGATCTCCTGACCTTGTGATCTGCCCGTCTTAGCCTCCCAAAGTGCTGGGATTACAGGCGTGAGACACTGCGCCCGGCCTTAGTTTTTCCTCTTTTTAAAAACAGGTTTTAAAAGAAATTTTGTATACAGATAAATGGAGAAAAATCATAAATGAAGTTGACATATAGATATAACTTTTCTCCATGTCGAATTGGTAATGCCCAGTTTATGGGTTGAAATAAGGAAAGTTTTTTAAAAAATATGACTTGTCGTTGATACATAATGCTTTTAGTTTTAAATGTACTTTTACCACCATACTTAATTCCATATTTAATAATTTGAGTTAATTAACAAGTAACATGTCTGCAAAGTCAATGGTTAGCTGGATTAATATCTCAAGGTTCCTTTTGTACTTCTACCTTAAGCTGCATTGTGTTTATGATTATGAAGCAAGAGTTGGAAAATAATTTGGAAATTCAATCTACAATATTATTTTAAATAGCCACTTGGGTGCTACTGTTTTGTTGTTTTTCTGCCTGTAAGATATATTTGCACTGTTAAAAATGCATTTTACCTCAGTCTGTGTGTGTAATCTTTAGGACTTAAAAACCACTTCAAATATTTTCACATCTCATAACTCCTAATAAATGTTATGTTTTCTAATTGATAATAACATTTCGCAAATATTCCAGAATATAAATACAATATTATTAAGTAATTTTTAAAACGTTTCTGTAAATCAGATAATCTTTCATTATCTCCGTTATTTACCAGTGTCTGCTCCTATTTGCTGCTTTTTTTTTTTTTTCCCTTTAATTTTTTGAGACAGGATTTCATTCTGTTGCCCAGGCTGGACTGCAGTGGCGCCATCAGGGGTCCCTGCAGCCTCAGCCTCCAGGGCTAAGGTGATCCTCCCACGTCAGCCTCCTGGGTAGCTGGTACTGCAGGCACATGCCACCACACCTGGCTAATTTTTTATTTTTTGTGGAAATGAGGTTTCACCATGTTACCCAGGCTGGTCTCGCACTCCTGGGCTCAAGTGATCTGCCCACCTCAGCCTACCAGATTGCTGTGATTACAGGCGTCAGCCTCTGTACCTGGCCTGTTCTGTTCTTTGGAGTATTGTATATTCATATGCAGAAAAGATAAATTTAGACCTTTTACCTGTTGTCTGACACAGAAATTAACAAAGTAGATCATAGACCTAAATGTAAGAACTAAATGATACAAGTTCTAGAATAAGGCATAGGAGAAAATCTCAGTGACCTTGGGTTAGACAAAGGTTTCTTAAATATGTCACCAAAATCACAATCCATAAAAGAAGTTGCCAATTTGAACATTAAAATTAGAGACTTTCGTGCTTCAAAAGACACTATTAAGAAAATGAAAAGGCATGTCACAGACTGGGAGAAAATATTTGCAAATAGTATATCTGAGAAAAGACTTGTATTCAGGATATATAAGGAACTCTTTATTTTTTATTATTATTATTTTGAGACACAGGGTCTCACTCTGTTGTCCAGGCTGGAGTACAATGGCACAGTCTCGGCTCACTGCAGACTCGGCCCCCTGGTTTCAAGTGATCCTACCACCTCAGCCTCCGGAGTAGCTTTTGTTGAGACGAGGTTTTGCCATGTTGCCCAGGCTGGTCTTGAACTCCTAGGCTCAAGCAATCCACTTACCTCAGCCTCCCAAAATGCTGGGATTACAGGCATGAGCCATCATGCCTGGCCAGGAATTCTTATAATTCAACAATGAGACCAAAAGCTCAGATTAAACATGGACAGAAGAATAGACATTTCACCAAAGTGGCTAATAAAATTAGGCTTGGCACGGTGGCTCACATCTATAATCCTAGCACTTTGGGAGTCCAAGGTAGGAAGATCACTTGAGCTCAGGAATTCGAGACCAGCCTGAGCAACATATGAGATCTCATTTGTATGAAAAATTTAAAAATTAGCTGGGCATGGTGGCAGGTACCTGTAGTCGCAGCTACTGGGGTGGCTAAGGTGGCAGGATTGCTTGAGCCCGGGAGGTCAAGGCTGCAGTGAGCTATTATCGTGCCATTGTACTCCAGCCTGGGCATTGGATCAAGACACTTTCTCAAACACAAACAGACAAAAACCAGAGTAACTAATAATCACATGAAAAAATGCTCAGCACCATTAGTTATTTTGTGTTTTTTTTAATTATTATTATGTTTTGAGACAAGGTCTGGCTCTGTTGCCCAGGCTGGAGTGCAGTGGTGCCATCTTGGCTCACTGCAACGTGCGTCTCCCAGGCTCAAGCTGTCTTCCTACCTCAGCCTCCCAAGTATCTGGGACTACAGGCATGTGCTACCATGCCCAGGTAATTTTTGTGTTTTTTGTAGAGACAGTTTTTCGCCATGTTGCCCAGGCTGGATTGAACTCCTTAGCTCGAGCAATCTGCCTGCCTCGGTCTCCCAAAGTGCTGGGATTATAGGCGTGAGCCACTGTATCCAGCCTACTTATTTTAGAAATGGTTATTAAAACCACAATGAGATACCACGTATAGCCACTGGAACAAGTTTAATGAAAAAGAAACAATAATAGGTACTGGTGAGGATGTGGAGAACCTGAAACCTTCATTTCCCTATTGGGAATGTAAAATTGTAGAGCCACTTAGGGAAACAATTTGGCAGTTCCTTAAAAAGTTAAACAAATTTACCATAGAACCTAGAAATTACATTCCTAAGTATTTACCTAAGAGAAATGAAAGCACATGTTTGTAGGAAGACTTATACATGAATGTTCATAGCTACTTTATTTGTAATATGCAAAAACTGAGCAAAACCCAAATGTCCATCAGTGGATGAATGGATAAAGTATGTTATATCCATATGATTGGATACTACTCAGCAATAAAAAAAGTATGAATATTGATACAACAAATGAATATATTTCAACATAAATACGCTGAGTGAAAGGAGCCAAAAGTGTATGCAATGTGTGACTCCACTTAACATAAAACTTTACAAAATCCAAACCAATTCATAATGACAGAGAGCAGATCAGTTGTTGCAGGGGTATTGGAGTTGGTATAGGGGATGATGACTGACTGAAATAGGACTTGCGAGCTCTTTTGGGGTTATTGGAAATGTTCTTAAACTGGATTGTGGTGATGATTACACTCCATAAATTTACTAAAATTAGCAAAATGTACACTTAAAATCGGTGAATTTTTTTACACTCATTATGTGAAAATTCTTAATTACAGACATTATTTGTAAACTGTTGGGTGACATTTGTATTGACAGGTGATAGTAATGAAGAAGCCATTCAACAACAGGTTTGTAAAAAATACAGCAAGAAAAGAAATGGAGGGTTACTTTTTTAAAAACCATTTTAACTATTTTTAAGCTTATTGTTCAGTAGTGTTAGGTATATTCACATTGGGACCAGGTGCAGTGGCTCATACTTGTAACCCCAGCACTTTGGGGGACTGAGGTGGGAGGAGTATTACTTGAGCCTAGGAGTTCGAGACCAGCCTGGGCAGTGTACTAAGATCCTGTCTCTTTAAAAAACAAACAAACAAACAAAAATTAGCTGGGTGTGGTGGTGTGCACCTGTAGTCCCAGCTACTCAGGAGGCTGAGTTAGGAGGATCACTGGAGCCCAGGAGATTGACGGCATGAGCGTGATTGTGCCCCTACACTCTAGCCTGACCCTGTCTCACACACACACAAAAAAGTATATTTACATTTGTTGTGAAACAGATCTCCAGAACTTTTCCATCTTCCAAAACTGGAACTCTATAGCCATTATACAACTCCTCTTTCTCCTCGCTCTGACCCTGGTTACCACCACTCTTCTTTCTGTTTCTACAAATTTGACTACTTTAGATACTTCACATAACTGGAATCACAGTTTTTGTCTTTTTATGACTGGCTTATTTCACTTAGCGTAATGCCCTCAAGTTTTATTTTGTTTTATTTATAGTCCAGGTGTCTTTGATTTTTTTTTTTTTTTTTTTTTTTTGGCCACCTAGTATGCCATGAATTCACAGGTTATAGGTTCCAGCAGTTCAGGCTCCTGTCCATTGGTTCTCACAAAGTGTGCTTTTCTGGGTGGAGAATGCTGGTGCTTCAGTTGTACCTAGGTACCTTTCTCTTTGGCTTCCTTCTTTTTCTGATCTTTTTCCTTCATGTGTTTTGGGAAGCCATCTCAGCTGTAGTGCTTTATATGCTCATTATATACATTAATTCTTTTGGCAAGAATTTCGTTTGTTACAGCATTGCCAACAGCATGCTGGATAACATTGTAACTTCCAGTTTTGCCATGGTAATATTTGTGGGCATTCCTTTTTGAACAGTAGCCATTTTCTTTTTCTTTCTTTCTTTTTTTTTTTTTTTTTTTTGAGATGGGGTCTCGCTCCGTCACCCAGGCTGGAGTGCAATGGCGCGATCTCGGCTCACTGCAACCTTTGCCTCCCAGGTTCAAGTGATTCTCCTGCCTCCTGAGTAGCTGGGATTACAGGTGCGTGCCACCACACCCGGCTAATTTTTGTGTTTTTAGTAGAGATGGAGTTTTACCATGTTGGTCAGGCTGGTCCCAAACTCCTGACCTCATGATCCTCCTGCCTCAGACTCCCAAAGTGCTGGGATTACAGGCGTGAGCCACCACGCCCGGCCCACAGTAGCCATTTTCTTTTCTTTTTCTTTTTTTTTTTGTTTTGAGATGAAGTCTCATTCTGTTGCCCAGGCTGGAGTGCATTGGCGTGATCTCGGCTCACTGCAATCTCCGCCTCCTGAGTTCCAGCGATTTTCCTGCCTCAGCCTCCTGAGTAGCTGGGATTACAGGCTAGCACCACCATGCTCGACTAATTATTGTATGAGCAGTAGCCATTTTCTTGATGTCTACAACATCGCTTTTTCTTGTAGATTCCTGTGTCTGTGGCCAAAGGAACAACTCCATGTTTTCCAAAAGCCCTAGAGAACAAATTGGAGGTGCCTCTTCTTTTTTCCTTTGTGTTTGTCATCTTGGTGAATTATTGGAAGATGGTGGTTTCTGGCGAAAGGCCAGATTAAATGGTTGAATTTTAAAGTATGTAAATTATACCTCAAAAAAACTATTTTAAAAAGTAGACTTACCCTGACACTAGACTCTATATCAAAGGGGTTGAATAGTTTCAAAATGGACCGTAAAATACGTGTAATATTTAAGAGAAGTATCAAAAAATATTTTAACTGCATTATTGAGGTATGATTAGTATACTAAAAGCTGAAGGAAGGTAGTGTATATAACTTGATGTGTTTGGAAAGAGCTATAACACCTGTAAAACCATCATTACAATCAGTGCCATGGACTTAAATCCATCACCTCCAAAAATTTCTTCCTGTCTCCTTACTTTTGTTTCCTTTTTTGGTTAGAGCACTTAATGTGTTATACCCTTTTAGCAAAGTTTTAAACATACAATACGTTATTGCTAATCATAGACCCTATGTTGTGCAGTAAATTTCCAGTATGTATTTCTTTTGCATAACTGAAAATTAGAGGAGGTATCAAAAATTAATGGGGTAAAAAAGATTTTTCAATAAATGTTTTGGTGATAGCTAGTTAGCTGTGGAGAGACAGAGCAGGATTCTATTTATATAATCTTATCTAATGTCATAACAAAAATCAGTTCTAGATACAGTAATATAAAGAATATTAAAGACTTGGACCAACTCTAATTTAATACTTATCCATCTTCTAAATAAGGATGCACTTTCCAAGTTTAGAATGATTTAGAAAAGAACGGGCATTTAAAAATGACAAATTTTGCGCCTGGTGCGGTGGCTCACGCCTGTAATCCCAGCACTTTGGGAGGCTGAGGAGGGTGGATCATGAGGTCAGGAGATCGCGACCATCCTGGCTAACACAGTGAAACCCCGTCTCTACTAAAAATAAACAAAAAAAAATTAGCTGGGCCTGGTGGCAGGTGCCTGTAGTTCTAGCTACTCGGGAGGCTGAGGCAGGAGAACAGTGTGAACCCAGGAGGCGGAGCTTGCAGTGAGCAGAGATGGCGCCACTGCACTCCAGACTGGGCGATTGAGCGAGACTCTGTCTCAAAAAAAAAAAGGAAAAAAAAAAAAAGACAAATTTTGGCTGGGTGCAGTGGCTCACGCCTATAATCCCAGCACTTTGGGAGGCTGAGGGAGCCAGATCACTTAAGGTTAGAATTTCAAGACAAGCCTGGGCAACATGGTGAAACCCCATCTCTACTAAAAAATTAGCCTGGTGTGGTGGTGCATGCCTGTAGTCCCAGCTACTTGAGAGGCTGAGGCATGAGAATCACTTGAACCCAGGAGGCAGAGGAGGTTGCAGTAAGCCGAGATCATCCCACTGCACTCCAGCCTGGGCAACAGAGTGAGAAACTGTCTCAATAAATAAATAAATAAATAAATAAATAAATAAATGAATAAATAAACAAATGACAAATTTCATAACATAAAACTAAAAAGCTACAGTGTTTTTTTAAAAGAATATATCACCTAAATGAAAACAACCTTGGAAAAAACATAAAGCTATTGTAATTACTTTGAGCTATTAAAGGGTTAATATCTTATATAGTAGAATATCTTATACAAGATCTAT
The DNA here is from genome assembly GCF_000001405.40 of Homo sapiens. Taxonomy (NCBI): domain Eukaryota; kingdom Metazoa; phylum Chordata; class Mammalia; order Primates; family Hominidae; genus Homo; species Homo sapiens. The sequence continues at coordinate 59,051,985 of NC_000015.10, forward strand.
AATATACTACAGATATTACAGGATAAATATCTATATAAGATCTTACAAATCATGTAGAAACCACTGAACATCTGTAATGAATACAACAAATCCATAGAAGAGGAAGTAAACATGCAAAGAAGTGTAGATTAAAACAGTGATTACCATTTTTACTGTGTGTGTTTTTTGTTCCTTGTGTATTTTTTTAAAAAACCTTTTTGACAGATAAGATTTTTATTTTTGCAATGAATTTCATGGTCTTCAAAGTCAAAATAAAAATTTCTGCCTAACGATTAGCTGACAGGAAGATGCCTTTAAATGTTTTTTCTTTTTGTTTCCAGGAAGTATTGATGAAGATGTTGTGGTGATAGAAGCTTCCTCCACTCCCCAGGTTACTGCCAATGAAGAAATTAATGTTACCTCAACTGACAGTGAAGTGGAGATTGTAACAGTTGGAGAAAGCTATCGGTGAGATTTTAATTCTTAGTTAAATGTTTGAAATATTAAATATAAATATTAAACATATTTGTGCTGCAGATATTTGCATTCTTTTTATTTATTTATTTTTGAGACCCAGTTTGAGTATGCATATATCAGATTAGTGGATTTTTTTTTTTTTTTTTTTTTTGGTAAGAGATAGAATATTGCTATGTTACCCAGGCTGGACTTCTACCCCTTGGCTCAAGTGATTCTCCTGTCTCATTCTCCATAGTAGCTAGGACTGTAGGCACATGTCACTAAGCCTGTCTAGATTTGTCCTTTTCAAAGCAGGCTGCATTAAACTCACCTGGAGAGATAATAAAATAAAGCTATATTGTTGCCCAGACTCTTTCCCATACTTGAACTAGAATTTTAGAGGTTAGTCTTTTTAAAAGCACCCCAAGTATACAATGAGAGTTAAGAGTTAATGCTCTGAATAAACAATAATTTTACTTAGTGTTTTATAAAATTGTGTTTTTTAATGATATGGAGAATTGATCTGCTTTGAAATTTAGATGTGAATAATACATAAATATTGGGGATGGTACCAAATTAAAAATGAAAAAATATTAAGGGGTATTGATGTTGAAATAGCCCTTTCTGTTAGAATCTACTTGTTTCAATATGTTACTCATTGATACCAGTGAAACTTGTGCTGTTACTGTGTTAGGGCACCCTAATTCAAAACATATGTTTTGATTCTTTTTCCTTCACTCAGTAATTTTATCGGTGCTCTGAACTAACACATTAATGAAACATCCTTATCTGTTTTTATAAATAACTGGAAAAGACATTGCCCTATTGCGGAATCACTTTGACTCTCCCTCCAAAATATCAACTCCTAACATTGCATTCATCTTATACTTTAGATGATTATAAGTATTGGTAATAATAGCAATAAAGAGTTGCTTTGTTACATTTGATACACCCAACTAATAATCTAACGGATGAATCTTAATTTTTGTGTTGGAACGAATTTAGAAGTGCATTTGCTTATTGCATGTTAATATGTTACTGATTTTAAAAGTATATATTCATATTTCTGACATCTGTTACAAACACTTAGAACATGCTTTTCCACTTGCCATTTTAGCATCGAAGTGCTACTTCTAAAGGCATGGAAGTGAGCATTCTATAACATATACTTGTTTGTTTTAATTTTATATTATTTTCCCCAACTCTGAGTAAAACTGAAAACCAGTGTTATGTACCACACCTATCCTCTGACCGTGCATAGTGCTTGGTACAACATTGACTCAATTTTTATGAGCTGTAAGGACTACTGAAATTACAGACCTATTTTTCCTTGTAGGACTAGAGATCTTGTTTTGGACATGGTTGATGTCAAGCAGATGCATTTACCTGAGTTAATAGGCAGTGATCTTGAAAAAGACCCACAGTGTACATGACCCATTGTTATATCTCTTATTGTTATTAAGAGATATTAATTTTGTTACTGTTTAGCTGGCTTTTTGCCCTTTAGTTTATTTTACTTAATTATTTATTTTTTGAGACAGAGTCTCCCTCTGTCACCCAGGCTGGAGGGCAGTGGCGCCATCTTGGCTCACCGCAGCCTCCATCTCCTGGGTTCAAGCAATCCTCCTCCCTCAGCCTTGTGAGTAGCTGGGATTACAGGCATGAGCCACCACACCTGGCTAATTTTTTTTGTATTTTTAGTAGAGACGGGGTTTCAGCATATTAGCCAGGCTGGTCTCGAACTCCTGACCTTGTGATCCACCCGCCTCGGCCTCCCAAAGTGCTAGGATTACAGGCGTGAGCCACCACGCCTGGCCTGGCCCTTTCATTTAAGAGAGTATTTCTTTGTTTTAGAGTCTTTTGTGTCAGGATTTGACAGTTGCTACTAATCATAGTGGCCACTAATACCTCCTTGAGACTTCCTCATACATTCATGTTTTTTTGCAGTTGCTCCATCTAGTACAATATGATGCTTTCACAAAAGTACTGCAAAGTGGACCTATAACTTCCTTCAGCTATTAACAGCTTCCCAGAGATAATAGACTACTCAGTCTCATCATAGACTCTTGATTTTTCAAGAATTTTAAATGGTGGTATCTTTCCTCATACAAAACCATTTTATCCCAAGACATGGCTATCTTGGCTCAAGCTATACCACAACTGTTTCTGATATGTACTATCCTATGTTGACAGTGGCTCGGTAATTAACTTTATACTCCTTCTTAAGAATTTTATTTTAGAATTTGAACTTTTTAAACTCTGGGTTCTATAATCGTTGAAGTTCAAGTTGGGCTGAAAATGTTGAGGCCATTTTCAGCCCACTTTGACCTTTGGAGTTCTCTTCTTAGTGGTTAAGCACCCACCCCCAATGACCTTTTATATTACAGATATTTTCTGTAAATGCTGACAATAAGGTTATAAGCAGTTTTATATTTAGTTTGAACAGGAGAAAGCCCTTGTGTTTTATTGGCCTCACCTTTCTAAAAGATTTATTTTTTTATCCTGGAGCCTTAGGACTGCATATTCTACATATTATCCCTGTATGTCCTTAGTCCAAATCATTATAGTGAGTCCTTCAAAGTATATACACCTGTAAGTAAATTTAGAACAGTGTAATGCCACACACATACTTAAATGAAGTTAGATGTTTAGGGTTCACAGTCACGTGTTTTAGAAGCATAAACTAGCTCACGCAAGTAATATTTCTTAGGGCTACCAAACTAGTAAACTAGCCACAATGTCCTTACCTCTACACATCAGGAAATCTCCCTGGTGCCTGTTTATTTTTTTTGTTTTGTTTTCTTTTATGGCAATACTAGAAGCTTAGCTTGGTTTAGGACTCCCAAAGGAATGTTTTGCAAATCTATCCTGAGCTAAACATACAAGACCTTGTGGATATTATTAAATGTGTAGGGTGTTATTTTTATTCCTTTACCTATGGTGAGTAATTTTAGCTATTAACAGAAAATGTAAATAGTTTATTATAACCTGGGTAAATTCTCAAAAGTAACCATGGAAGAGAGAGTAGCATTCTTGAAACAGAATCCTGTATTTTACACTAATGATTGGTACAACATAGTATTTCTTATATTCTTAGGTCAATTAGTTTACCGAGTGCCAGTCATGATTTTTAATTACGATTATTTCTTTGGAGAAATCTTGTATGAAAAACTTAACATTTAGTAAGAAAGGCTTATGGGTTTTTGTGGTGACTAAAAATTCTTTATTTATATTTACTAACTTAATATTGATGTCATTTAAGGTCTCGTTCAACCCTTGGACACTCCAGATCTCATTGGAGCCAGGGTTCCAGTTCTCATGCAAGTCGGCCACAGGAGCCACGGAACCGCAGTAGGATTTCTACTGTTATACAGCCCTTGAGGCAGAATGCAGCAGAAGTTGTGGACCTTACCGTTGATGAAGATGGTAAATTGAAGTAGTAACAGTAGAAAATTATGAAAGGAGTTTGATAAAAGGAAATCTCTTAATATGCTAGAAACTCCTCCTGCTTACTGGTAATATATTATTAAACTACAGGGAAATTGTCAGATTTTTTAATCTCGTTTTTAATTGATATCCTAGGCTTGTAAATTTACATAAAATTCTTTGTGGTTATTGTTTCAATACTTGATAGCTATTTTCTCAGGAAAAAATATTTTTGTAAGTGGTAGTTTGAGGTTAGCTCAAACTAGTTTAGTTTGATTTGTAATAATGATTGTCTTTAACTTGCCATGAAAAAGTAGAAGCAGTACTTTTTAAATATAAACACAAAAGCAGTATAACTGAATTTTGAATGACTAATACTGGCTGTTTGAAATGTCTAACTTTACTTTTAAAAATTATGTTATCCTTCAATATTATCGGTACCTTTTTGTGCTGCTCATTTTTTGTATTTTATTTTGGCTTACAGCTGTACCCAAGTAACTGAGGAAACAAAACCAGAGTTGGAATACAGAGGTTAGGAAAAGTGGTAGAATTTAGGAATATATGAATGAATACATATGTGAATTTGCCCACATATTGGGAATCATCTTGAGGTATTATTAGTTATATCTTAGGAAATGGTCACTCATAATTTCCCAAAAGGAAAATGGTAAGCCATATATGAGTTTGTTAGGTTTGGGAGTTAGCTATAAATTGGGCAAAGAATATATCAGGTAGATGGAAAGAGTTGATAGGTGGAAAGAGTTAGAGGCCATATACAATCAGCTCTTCTATGGGCTATTTGCAGTTTGGGTGGTCATAACTTTCAGAGTATCAGTACCCAGTTGTTTATGAAGAGATAACAACTGTTTGCATTTCATTCAACAATCTCTTGGTTTTTGTTTTGAAGCACTGTAAATGATCTGTAAGACAGTCGTTAATGTAATAGGGATTAATTAATGATTACTCAGTTAATTAAATATAGGGTGACTATTTTGGAAACTTTTTGTGTTCCGATGTGACACCTGCTAGCCAGTAAGTAGGAGAAGGTGATAGAGTAGCCTTTTCCACATTACAGTAAGTTCAACCAGAATTTACACTTTACTGGGTTAAAAGTATTCCAGTGATTAGTAGATGCTCCCTTTCCCCCCACTAGTTTTTCTCATTGGAAAGCTTCTCTCTTATTAAAAATGAATCTAAAACTAAGTACATCAGACCAGTGGTTCTCAACTAGGGGCAGTTTTCTCCCCCAAGTGATATTTGGCAATGTCTGCAGACATTTTTGGTTTTCACAGTTAGGGGAGGATGCTACTGACATCTAATGGATAGAGACCATGGTTGTTGCTAAACATCATGCTGTTCACAGTGCACATCTCCTCCCCAGCGAACAAAAAATTGTCTAGCCCAAAATGTTAGTATTGCCAAGGTTGAGAAACCCTGGTTAAACTATTTACAAATAAACAGAAGTTCTTTTCCCCCTTTTTTATGTACAAGCAATTTGCATATACAAGCATTTGGACATACTAGCATTCAAAGTGTCCCATATAGATTCACAGGTACTATTTGTGCCTAAGGAATTAGCTTACCTTACTGCATTGTATAGAAAGTCAACCCTCTCATTCCATAGCACATTAAGAGACCCCCCTTCTTTTCAGATTTAATTGTCGTGACTATGCTTTGGATGGATTTATTCCTACCGTTCTCAATTTTAAGCAACCATTTTAAAATTAGTTCTTTGAAACTTAACTCACTCATAAGTTGAAGTCTACCTGAAATTTCTTTTACTTTCTGATAGAAAAATGTTAATTTTTATTAGAAAGCACTGATGAGTATTAATATTTACAAAATTTTCTTTGGAAAACATATAAAAAGGCATGGAAAGGAGATTAAAACAGTTATTGGAAATCATAGCTAATGCTAAGTGATTACTCTCTGTAAGGCATCATACGAAGTATGTGATCTCAGTTCATCCTAATGACAGTTCTATGAAGAAAATTCTGATGCTTTCCCAGTTCTACAGATGAGGAAATGGAGAATGGTTAAATAACTTATTTATATTCATACTGTCAGTGGTGAAATCAGTATTGCTATCCAGGCAGTCTTACCCTAGAATCCATATTGTGTCAGACAGTGTGGTTTGTAACACTGTTCTGGCAGCTCGTGACCATGTGTACGTGCATAGTAAGGAACTTTTATTTCCTTTTACTGTTTTCTTCTTTGTGATAGATCAGACAACTTATTTAGAAGCTACCTGAAAAACTGTTAAATCACCTAAATTATTGGAATAAGCATATCGGTGTTGGATTTTTTTAAAATGCAGTAATATTTTGGTAACACGTCTGTTCGATATTGCAGTTTAGCTTTGTGAACGCTTTCTTTACCAAATGTTATTAGAGAGCTTGTATTTTTAAAGTTTTTTTATTTATTAATTATAAACACATTAGCTTACATTAAAATATAACCCTTTATCTAATTTGTTTTGAAATGCTAAGTTGACATTTTGTATTTTGTAGAACCTACTGTAGTACCAACCACTTCTGCAAGAATGGAATCACAAGCTACTAGCGCTTCCATTAACAATTCAAATCCATCTACCTCTGAGCAGGCCTCTGATACTGCTTCAGCTGTCACCAGTAGCCAACCTTCCACAGTGTCAGAGACTTCAGCTACTCTTACAAGCAATAGTACCACTGGCACTTCTATAGGAGGTATGTAAAAAAGTGGGGGAGGGGAGACTTTTTGTCATTACTTTCGTTAGGAAAAGTATTATTGTTTTTAAGTCTAAGATTTTAGCTATGTTAATAAGCGGGTATTCTTACATTATAATAAACTTCATATGTTATCAAGGTAGTCTTTATTATAATTAGGCTGATTTCATATTTGAGTTTGTGTGCTATATGTAACCAGAGTATTATAGCTCAAATAAGAGAGCTTGGGGAGAAGCAAATGGCTGACACCAAAAGCATGAGCAACAAAAGCAAAAGTAGATAAGTTGGACTTCATCAAAATTTAGAACTTTCGTGCATTAAAGGATATTATCAAGACAGTGAAAGACAGCCTACAGAATGGGGGGAAGAAAAATATTGCAAATCCTTTATCTGATAAGCACTTTAGAATCCAGAATCTACAAAGCACTCTTAAAACTGCCCAACAGGCCGGGTGTGATGGCTCATGCTTGTAATTCCAGTACTTTGAGGGGTTGAGGGTGGAGGATCACTTGAGACCAGGAGTTCAAGACCAGCCTGGGCAACATGGTGAAACCCTATCTCTATTTATATTTAAAAAATAAAAAAGTAAAAAGAAACAAACAAAAAGCCCCAACCCAACAGAAAGACAACCCAATTTTAAAATGAGAAAAGATTTGAATAGATATTTCTGAAGAAGTTATGCAAATGACCAAGAAGCACAAGATGCTCAACATCACTAATCATTAGGGAAATGCAAATGAAAACCACAATGAGATACCACTTTGCACCAACTAGGGTGTCTATAACACAAACAAAAATAGAAAATCACCAGCGTTGGCAAGGATGTAGAGAAATTGGAACCCTTGCGAATTGCTGGTAGGAATGCAAAATGGTGCAACTGCTGAGAAAAACACTTTGATGGTTCCTCAGAAAGTTAAAATAGAGTTACCATTGGATGCACTAAGTCTACTCCTTAGTTATCTTCCCAAAATAATTGAGAATGGGGATGGGAGTTTTTAAAATTTTGGTGATATCCATTTTCTGGGGTTTTTTGGTTATGGTTTGGTCTGTTGGTGTCATATCTAAGAAACCGTTGCCTAATCCAGGGTCACAAAAATTTATTCTGGAGCTTTCTTTAGTTTTAGCTCTTATCTCAAGCTAGTTCTTACGTTTCAATTAGCAGTGATATCTCTGGCTCTCTCTTATATCCTTTGTTTAACTGAGCCTTAAACTAACTTTCTTTCATTTTTGGATAATGGTACAGAGATAGGAACTTGCTAACTGCTTACCAATAGGGACACTGTAGACCCTGTAGCTTGTGGATTGACTAAATCACCATTAATAATGAAACCATCTTATATTTTCTATCCCTTTTTGCTTTTAATAATATCTCATTTAATTCTTTTAATATTCATGTAATTTACATCTAGCAGATTAGAAAACTACATGTGGCTGGATCAGGAAGTATTCTCTCCCCTGGAAAACTGAGGGCAGAATTGAGAAACATTCTCAAGGAGATTTCCCAGGAGTATCTTTTTTGTTTTTTTGGCCCAGGCCAGTCTTGAAGTTCCAGGCTCAGGTGATCCTCCTACCTCAGTCTCTCAAGTAGCTAGGACTACAGGTGTGAACCACTGTACCCAGGGGTGTCTTTTAAAAACATTCTCTGAAAAAATGTAGGCAGAAATGAAATGGGCTTTTATTTCATTTGTTGAGTACATACTCTTTTCTTAGCTTGTTACTTGGGTATCTTATATGTTATTGTATATATTTTAATTCTTAAAAAAAAAAAAATCCTTGACATGGTGAGACTCACACCTGTAATCCCAGCTCTTTGGGAGGCCAGGGACGCAGATCACTCGAGGCCAGGAGTTCAAGACCAGCCTAGGCAACGTGGTGAAACCTTGTCTCTTTTGAAGAAAAAAACAAAACAAAACAAAAAAACAGAAACTTGCAGAAATTAGTGAGGCTTGGTGACACACACCTTTAGTGCCAGCTACTCAGAGACTGAGTCAGGAGAATCATGTGATCCTGACAAGTTGAGGCTACAGTGATCCTCGAGGGCACCACTACACTCCAGCCCAGATGACAGAGTAAGACCCTGTTTTAAAAAATAAATTATTGATGTTGGCATTTCTCTTACCATTTCAGAAATGAAGAAACCTGAGAAGTTAAGTACCTTGACAAAACTGTAATAATTTTTGAGGCAGGGATTTGACTTCTCATTGACTCCTGTCTCCTGTTGTAGCTTTATGTAGCATTATTATTATTATTATTATTATTTTTTTTTTTGTGAGACAGGTCTGACTCTGTTGCCCAGGCCTGTGTGCAGTGGCACAATCTTGTCTCACTGCAATCTCCACCTCCCAGGCTCAAGTGATCCTCCCGAGTAGATGGGGGACCACAGGCATGACCACCACGTCCGGCTAATTTTTGTATTTTAGTAGAGATGGGGTTTTGCCATGTTGCCGTGTTGCCCACACTGGCCTCAGTCTCCTGGGCTCGAGCGATCCACCTGCCTCAGCCTCCAGAAGTGCTGGGATTACAGGTGTGAACTACCACCCTCGGCCTATGTGTAGCATTATTCTTACGTACATTTTATGTGATACAGTCCCAACTTTATTTCAGAATATTCCAAAAACTTTTATATATAAATCTTTGTTCATTCACAAATCAGATTTAATTTCTGAGCATCTTGGCTACAGTCCTAAATGGGCCTCTCTTAAGGTCAATTTCCTTCCAGGACCCTATGGAACATTAGTTCAACTATGTTCTCCACAACCCGTCCTTATCTTGTACCTTTTTGAATATTTCCAACCCTCACATTCAAGCCATCTAGCTTCACACTTATCCAAGTTCCTCCGTAAATTTATGGTTTCGAATCCTGGGCTTTCTGTAGGAAATCACCATTGTCTTGATCAGTTCCCTTTCGTTCCTCTAAGTGCCTATTTCAAAACACTCTCCTTTTCCTCAAGGTTTTCATTCCCCAGGGGAAATTTTAAAAAAATGAATAAATGAAAGTTCTTAAGCATGAACTCCTGCAACTTCCAATGCCTCCATATAAACTTTTGTGGCTCTCTACCTGTCCTCCTCTACTAATTCCTAGTCTCCTAACTCCTTCCTTTCCCTTCCAGTTCCTTTATCTGTGCTCTACCTCTTATCCTTTCCTTTGTCCTTAACCTTGCTTTAACTGTTATCTTCCTTGTGTCTTCGGCATCTTCTCTGGTTTCATTTCCTTAGTACATGCACATGTACACTTGTTTTTGTCTGTGTACATTTAAGTGTATTTTTGTCACACTAAACTCTTTCCTCTAATGGGCTTCTGACTCCTTTCATAATGAATAAACATGATCTTTTAAAATCTGACAATTGTCTCCTTTTCATAATTCATTTTCTTCCCAGGACTGTGTTCTCATCCCCCCTTTCACTAGCCCATTTCATAACTGTAAGTGTTGTCACCTATCACTAGTATGCTGATGACTCTCTCTTCTGTGTTTTTTGACCACTATATTTGTTTTAAACTTCTTTTTTTTTTTTTTTTTTTCCCCGAGACAGGGTCTTGCTTTGTCACGTAGGCTAGAGTGCAGGCTCACTGCAGCCTCCACTTCCAGGCTTAAGTGATCCTCCTGCATCAGCCCCACAAGTAGCTGGGACTACAGGCACACTCTACCACACCTGGCCAATTTATGTATTTTTTGTAGAGATAGGGTTTTGCCATGTTGCCCAGGCTGGTCTCGAACTCCTGGACTCAGGCAATTCACTTGCCTCAGCTTTCCAAAGTGTTGGGATTACAAGTGTGAGCCACCATGCCCGGCCATTTTAGACTTTCATATCCAATTGCTTCTTGGACATCTCTCCTGGACCGTTCTGCAGTCAGTTCAAACTCAATGTGCCACAAACAGCTCATTATCTGTCTGACCTCTCCATGTGGTCCTTGTGTTATGCCTACATGATATCTTATATATTCATTTGTTTAACACATATTTATTGATGGCACACTATATGTCAGGCACTGTTCTAGGCAGTGGGAACAAAACAGATAAATTTTTGTTCTAACAGAGCTTACCCTCTAGTGGATAGCAATAGCTAACATTTATTGAGCCTATAGTGTTGGCCGGTGGATTTGCCTATAATAACTCTGATTTTTACAGTAACCAGTAAGGCAGATTTTATTACTCTTCTCATTCTACAGGTGAAGTAACATATCCAAGGTTATATGATAGTGGAGCAAGAATTCAAACCTAGGCAGTCTGGCGTGGTACCTCTACTTTTCCCCTTTATGCCAAGATTTCTCAACCTTGGCACTACTATTGACTTTGGGCCAGATAGTTCTTACAGTGGGAGGTGGGGAAAGGCTGTGCTTACAGGATATTTAGCAGCATCCTTGGTTTGTAGCCTCTAAATTCCAGTAACATCACCTCCCTTCCAATTGTAACAACCAAAAATGTCTGCAGGCATTGCCAGATACTGGGGACAGCATTGCTTTATGCTATGCTAGAACCCAGTGTTTCTGTTCTAATACTGGTTGATTTGTATCCTAAATTGTCTCCATGCTTGATGATGAGCTTCCTTAAGGGCCAAAGAGCAAGTGTTTCTCTTCTTGGCGCTTAGCTACATGATTGCATGCTGCTTTTCCCTTGTGAGTTGAAATTAAATATAGAAAGTGCTTATTGAGCCACCTACATTGTGCAAGCATGTTTCTGGTTGCTAGAGATAAAAACAGCAAAAGCAGACCATACCGTAAGTTATGTTAAAGGCCAGGACTTTCATTTTCACCTTTGTATTATCCAGTGCCTTTTGTAGATCTTTTACCACGACTTTATTATGTGTAAGACTGTTGAATGAATGAGTAATTCATGCCTGCCTCTCGATAATCCTGCTAGAGTTACTGAAGGCACTCCTAGGAGGCACTTTAACCAAATTATTGTCCCTGGGTTGTGGAGTTAATTTCCCTAATGCAGGTTCATGATTGTCTCATTTTTAGTGGGCCCTCTATGGGTTAATTTTAATAGAAAAGGAAGTGTTTTATTTACTGAATCATATATCTCTGTATTTCACCTCTAATTTATGACAGTTTTATTTGGGTAGTAACTCTCGAATGAGAGGCTAATTGGTTGTCTTTAGTTTTGGATGCAAGCCTGTTTGAGAAACAAAGAGGTTCTGGACTATATATATTCAAAATGCTCGAAGGCAAAAGAGGACAAGCTGTTTCTGAACAGATACATGTCATATCCATCACTTTAGTGATGGTTACAAACTCATACCCTGACTTTTAGAGTCAACGTAATCCTCAAATAACTTGGTTTGTAAAATTAAAGTGTCAGAGTTGGAAGGAACCATGAAGGTAATTTAGCGTATCCCAGTGAGTGAGCTTAGTATCCCAAAGGTTTTCAACCTTTTTTTCCTGATGCAATACACAATAAATGATATTGACTTGTATAACACTTTTACATAGAGACTAAGATAAAACCCTGAAAATGCTGTAGCAAGTAAAGCTACTGTAATAATGAGTAATTACTATACATATTATAATTTATAGGAAACAGTTACTTAATGTTGGGTTCAGCATAGCCCTAAAAGACTTTTGATCATGGTCAGTTCCTGATATGCTAGTTTTAACACTTGACCAGGTTATTCAACACATTTGGAATACAAGTGAATGAAAGTAACATAATTATAGAACTGACTTTGGAACTGCTATTATTTGTTCTAAAAAGTAAATAATCTGGCCGGGCGTGGTGCCTCACGCCTGTAATCCCAGCACTTTGGGAGGTCGAGGTGGGTGGATCACGAGGTCAGGAGATCGAGACCATCCTGGCTAACATGGTGAAACCCCGTCTCTACTAAAAATACAAAAAAATTAGCCGGGCTTGGTGGCGGGCGCCTGTAGTCCCAGCTACTCGGGAGGCTGAGGCAGGAGAATGGCGTGAACCCGGGAGGCAGAGCTTGCAGTAAGTGGAGATTGCGCCACTGCACTCTAGCCTGGGCGACAGAGCAAGACTTTGTCGCAAAAAAAAAAAAAAAAAAGGAAATAATTTGTCGACTTTGTTTTTTTGTTACAAATTACAATATTTAACATAATTCTAGGGGCAGTTAGAGGTTAGTGTCAGTTTGTATTTTTCTTCCGTCCAAGTTCACAGACGCGTGAATTCTAGTTCCCAGGTTAAGAACCTTTACAAAAGGGTTTGGGAGATTAGCCCCCATAGGCCAGACTAGCAGCTTGGAAAAAACGAATATACAGAAATTTAGATTAGAGCTACTGTGTAACAGAGGTTAGAGCACAGACCTTGAAGAGATGAGAATCCGGAAAGGCAGGATAAGACATGTAAGAGAGGGCAGAGCCAGGAGAATTTTAGGGAAATTTGCTGAATCTTACCAAGCAGAGCCTGAAGCACCCCCCTACCCAGGTTCATTTATGTGAACCCATAATTCCCTTTATTATTTAAGCTGTTTTGGTTGGATTTTTATTTTATTTGTAAACAAGCAGAAGATTCCTAATTGATACATTGACCCAGAAGAGATTAGCTAGGTACTTTGAGCCCCATAGGAGCAGGGTATCCTTACTCTTGGGTACTGTAAAATCAAGGCTAGGACAGTAATGTTCCAGAATTCTAAGGATTCTGAGGAGATGCCTCAGAATCAGAGTAGGGGGTTAAGGATGGCAGCAGGGCGGGGCTTTGGCTTTAGGCTCTTCACTCTTGTAATTTAATCAGAAGCTTCAAGTTTTAAAAATCTCTTTTATATAGTTTCCATATAATATTTAGTTTGAGGAAGCGTTTCTAGGTTTTAAATGAATTTGAAACACTGGGACAGACTTTCAGAGGATACTTTTGCAGTTCTTCTGCCATAGAAGAACATACCTTCAAAATAACTGGGCATGTGGCGGAGAGCATAATCAGGACTCATGTGTTTTATACTGAGAAATTTATCTTTTCTAACAACCATGCAAGGCAATTTTATTACCACATTTTATAGATGAAAAGGAGGTTAAATAACTTCCCTAAGGTCACATTGCTGAAAGAAAGGTCCCAGATTAGAACCCAGATTCATTTGACTCCATGTTTCTTTTCCCACTGTGTGACACTAAGTCATTAGATTACTTTAAAGCACATTTTATTTTCCAAGTATTAGAGTCTAATCATTTCTTACATTCTATTGGTTCTGACTGTAGAGTCCAAAGGAAGGAAAAAAGATAATGGCCCAGACATGGTGGCTCACGCCTGTAATCCAAGTACTTTGGGATGCTGAGGTGGGCGGATCACCTGAGCTCTGGAAGGAGCTTAAGACCAGCCTGGGCAATGTGGCAAAATCTTGTCTCTACAAAAAATACAAAAATTAGCCAGGCGTGGTGGTGTGTGCCTATGGTCCCAGCTACTTAGGAGGCTGAGGCAGGAGAATCTGTTGAGCAAATATATACAATGTATATATTTGTGTTGGTGGATAGTGAGACTTCACCAGATACACTCTGACTTGGCTGGCTGTGTCTTAAGGTGAGATTTTAAGAAGTACATAGCTGCCTGCATTATGTAGGAAGGATTTATGATATTAGGGGTTCATGGAGCTCAGGGGAAGAGCATTTGCTTTGTAGCATGTAGTGGAAGGACTCGTATTTTTAAACTTTTAAAATACAGTTTTACTGGTAATAAATCATTTACTGTGCCATAGGAAAACATGATCTATTGCCATACTTACACATCACAGTAAATATGAGCCTCCTGAAGAATTTAGAGTTTCAGGAAAATCCCAGTGAAGACCACTGCATAAAATCATATGATGTATATGTTAAGAATATGGCACTATCAGCCGGGGTGTGGTGGCTCACGCCTGTAATCCCAGCACTTTGGGAGGCTGAGGCGGGCAGATCACCTGAGGTTGGGAGTTCAAGACCAGCCTGACCAACATGGAGAAACCCCATCTGTACTAAAAATACAAAATAAGCTGGGCGTGGTGGTGCATGCCTGTAATCCCAGCTACTCAGGAGGCTGAGGGAGGAAAATCGCTTGAACCCAGGAGGCGGAGGTTTGGTGAGCCAAGATGGCGCCACTGCACTCCAGCCTGTGCAACAACAGCAAGACTCCATCTCAAAAAAAAAAGAACGTGGCACTATCACATTATTTACAGAGATTTGAAATTACCGAACATTTCTTTAAACATTTATTATTTATACCCCATACCTATTTTTTTACACAGTGATATTTCATGATTTGATTATTCTGTGCATTTTTTTCTGTTTCAAGATGACTCAAGGAGAACTACATCTAGTGCTGTAACGGAAACTGGCCCTCCTGCAATGCCAAGGTTACCTTCCTGCTGTCCCCAGCACTCACCATGTGGAGGGTCGTCACAGAACCACCATGCATTAGGACATCCTCATACAAGTTGCTTTCAGCAGCATGGTCACCATTTTCAACATCATCACCACCACCACCATACTCCCCACCCAGCTGTCCCAGTTTCTCCTTCCTTTAGTGATCCTGCTTGCCCTGTGGAAAGACCTCCACAAGTACAAGCACCTTGTGGAGCAAATAGTAGTTCTGGTACCAGCTATCATGAACAGGTATGTGGAATTTGAGTCAGTCTTTCTTTCCTGCCCCTCTTGTCTCTCTCTCTCTCTCCTTCTCCCTTTTCTCTCTCTTCCTCTTCCTTCATTCCTGTCTCTCTCCCTCCCTCCATTTCTCTCCCTGCTTTCTTCCCTCCCTGCCTCCCTCCGTTTCCTTTTTTTTTTTTTAACTCCCTCCCATTCTTCCTTCCTTTCCTCTCTTCCCCTCCTTCCTTCCCTCTCTTCCCTTTCCTCTTCCCCTTCATTCCTTCCCTCTCCTTTCTCCTTTCCCTTCCCCTTCCCCTTCTTCCTGTTTTAGATGGCTGGAAAACCCAGCATGAGGGAGTAACTACTTGCGTTAAAACCAACCCACCTTTCTTTTTTAATTGTGGTGGCTTTGGGAAGAGGAAAAAACCCCTAGGGATAGATTTTATACACTAAATTAATCACATTCTTACACTCGAAAATGGCCTAATTTAGTGGTCTGTAGTTTCTTTTTAATTAAGTCTCTGGGATTTTTAGATGGACTAAATTATTACAACTAATTGAATGGACCAGGGATGTGGGTAATCAAAACTGATACTTAATCTAAAAATCACTTTTTAAAAAGGCTTTTGATGTTTTTAGTTAAATACAGTTGGATCTGATTTTTGGGATCTTACTTTAAACAAATTGTTGAAACTCTAGTGTCCAGCTAATTCATGAAAAATTGGAAAATTCTCCCAGTTTTCCCCTTTTACCTCCTACTGTAGAGTTCACTATAACCTTCACTCATCTAAAAATAAACAGCCTTCTCATTTGCAGACCTGTAGCATGTTTTCTCAGGGGCAGATGAGGTTTTCAGTTTATGGAGAATCAAAATGTCAGCAAAAAATTATAATTAAGTAAATTAGTTGGTATTATTATTGAGTTCGCAAAATGTCAACTAGTATTAAATTAGTATTGGCAATCACGTGGAGTAAAAGAAGTCAAGCGTTCCATGCTACTTTAACTTTTGTTATGTCACTTCCATGTACGATTATGATATAAGTCTGCGTGTTGCAACTCAGGAGGCTGAGGCAGGAGAATTGCTTGAACCCGGGAGGCTTAGGTTGCAGTGAGCTGAGATCACGCCATTGCACTCCAGCCTGGGCGACAGAGTGAGATGCTGTCTCAAAAAACAACAACAACAACAAAAAACAAAAGATGTAATTTCAGAGAAAAATTGTAATTTTGACATATACTATTCCAGAAAAAAAGTGCTGCAAAAAAAGTCAAAGAGGCTGGCATGGTGGCTCACGCCTGTAATTCCAGCACTTTGGGAGGCCAAGGCAAGTGGATCACCTGAGGTCAGAAGTTCAAGACCAGCCTGGCCAACATGGTGAAATCCCATTTCTACTAAAATACAAAAATTAGCTGGGTGTGATGGTGTGTGCCTGTAGTCCCAGCTACTCGGGAGGCTGAGGCAGGATAATCACTTTAACTTTAGAGGTGGAGGTTGTAGTGAGCCAAGATCGTGCCACTGCACTCCAGCCTGGGCAACAGAGCAAGACTCCGAAGTTCGTTTTTTTTTCTTTTTTTTGAGATGGAGTGTCACTCTTGTTGCCTAGGATTACAGGCATTAAGCCACCGTGCCCGGCCAAGCTACCACTTTTCTATGTCACCCGACCTTTCCTAAAGTACTTGCCTCATCTTTTAAAATTTTGATGGTATGTCTTCTGGGTCTGACAGATTAAAAATAATTAACAAGGGCTGGGCGCGGTGGCTCATGCCTGTATTCCTAGCACTCTGGGAGGCCAAAGTGGGTGGATCACGAGATCAGGAGTTCGAGACCAGCCTGACCAACATGGTGAAACCCCATCTCTACTAAAAATACAAAAATTAGTTGGGTCTGTGGCGCGTGCCTGTAATCCCAGCTGCTCAGGAGACTGAGGCAGGAGAATCGATTGAACGTGGGAGGCGGAGATTGCAGTGAGCTGAGATCATGCCACCACACTCCAGCCTTGGCGACAGAACAAGACTCCGTCTCAAAAAAAAAAAAAAAAAAAAGGAGTTGTATTCTCTTTGAAAATACAGCTGGTCCTATCAAGAGGAAGTTTGAATTGAGTAGAAAATATAATTAAAGAGATTTTAGATGTCATTTCGGTTTTGGTAACATTTCTTGGTATTAATGGATTGTCCAGACCTGTCCTATCTCTTGGGAACGAGGGAGCATCAAGAAGAATTTTCCAGTGGATTGAATGAAAGGATCTGCTTGGAAGTATAACTTTGTTTTGCTGTAAATTTGGTTACATGATGCTTCATAAATATTGTAGGAAAATGGTGAAGAGGTGGGTCTACCAGCTTTTCCTACATTCATTAAAGAGCTGCCAAAAGTCTCATTTACAGAATATTTTGTTATTAATAAAATAATACAGCTAGTTTGAGACATCAATTATGTATACAACTTTTTATTTCAGCTTGAGTCAGTTGTAGGTAGGATCTCTTTTACAGGTCTGTTCAGTGTAAAATAAATATAACTCGTTTACCCACCTGTAAGTATTAGTAGAAGTATTTGGACTGCAAACAAAACTTGAGAAGAATCAGCAGGATCACAGGCATTCAGTGGTGATAATGGATTTGAAGGTAAAGAGAGTGAGATTTTTGAAGACAACAGTTTGAGACTCATGTTGATGTTTGTAGGACTCTAAAATTAACCAAATGCTCATAAAATAGCTTCATATAGTCTTCACTTTAGACCTATTTGGGTACAGCAGAAAGTAGAGGAGCAGAAGAAGCAAACAAAACCTGAGATTTGTGATTTTGTAGATATCTTATGTTTGAGTGCCAGATTGTGCGTAGTCAAATAAAAATTAGACTGGCATACCGAGAAGATGCAGTAGTCATGTAGATAGCCCTCACTGCTTGCTTTGATATGATATGGCTTTCATCCCTACCCACCCCTGCCACACCATCCCCACCCCCCAACCCCACCCCACCTCCTGCTTTTTTTTTTTTTTTTTTTTTTTTTTTTTTAGAGAGGATCTTGCCTTGTTTCTCAGGCTGGCCTTAAACTCCTGGGCTTAAGTAATCCTCCTGCCCCAGACTTCTAATTGGCTGGGACTACAGGCATGTACCACTGTGCCTAGTAGTTTAATTAGTGTGATGCATCATTTATAATCTGTGTAAGCCAATTATTATGTCCCATCACTATACTCATCTTGCTTACCCTTGATTGTCCTTCGGGAATAAGAATTGAATGAACTGGAATTGTGAAGAAGAGGGTTCTCATTACTGTTTTTATTTTCCCTTTATTCTTTAATTTTACCCTCAGTTTCTTCTAGGAATTACTTTACTCTGGGAATGTTCTTAATCACTGACTAGAGATGAAGATAAAATGAAATTTGGTCACCTTCATAAGATGTTGATATTCTAGTCCATTTGCTAATTTTAGTCTAAATAGTAGGGAAAGGATTTGAACCATAAACATAAATTCAGTCTTAAAACATTATTCTTAAACCGTATTTACCTGCATTGAAGACATACATTGTATTTGCCAACTCAATAGAAGAACAGACATATACTTGATTGTACAGCTCAACAGAAGGAGAACAGACATATACTTGATTGTAGATAAATAATACAAAAGAAAGGAGCTCCTCCTTTTCTCTTTCCCAACTTGAGTATCATCACACCCCTTTCCTTTCAGCACCCAGAGTTCCTTTTGTTTCTATTATTCCCCCTAAACCTAGAGCTCACTGAAATTAAAAAGAATGCTGTGGTTCCTCTCGGGACTGTTGGGTGACTTGAGCCTTTGACAAATGCATTACCCTAGGTTTTTTCATCTCCAGCCCCTCAGCTTCCAGTATTGCACAGTTGCTGTATATAATTCCATATATAACATCAGATCTTTATGATCTTTCATCACATTTTGAAAAGTATGGTTCCACTGAACCTAAGCAGTAGGTTTGTATTCAAGAATACGAAGAAGTGGCCGGGCGCGGTGGCTCACGCCTGTCATCCCAGCACTTTGGGAGGCTGAGGCAGGCGGATCATGAAGTCAGGAGATTGAGACCATCCTGGCTAACATGGTGAAACCCTGTCTCTACTAAGTATACAAAAAAAGTAGCCGGGCGTGGTGGTGGGTGCCTGTAGTCCCAGCTACTCGGGAGGCTGAGGCAGGAGAATGGGCCTGAACCCGGGAGGCGGAGCTTGCAGTGAGCCGAGATTGCACCACTGCACTCCAGCCTGGGCAACAGAGCGAGACTCCATCTCAAAAAAAAAAAAAAAAAAAGAATACGAAGAAGTGATTCTTGCCTTTGCTATAGAGTAGAGGTGAAAGTGTTTTGCTTAGGATTTTTCCAGATGCTTTTGGAAGGCAGTGCATAGTGGCTTACGCCTGAAATCCTAGCACCTTGGGAGGCTGAGACGGGTGGATCGCTTGACCGCAAGAGTTCGAGACCACCCTGTGCAACATGGTGAAACCCCGTTTCTAACAAAACGAAACAAAAAAACAAAAATTAGCTGGGCGTGGGGTCTCGTGCCTTTAGTTCTAGCTTCTTGTGGGTGGCTGAGGCAGGAGAATCGCTTGAGCCTAGGAGGTGGAGCTTGCAGTGAGCCAAGATTGTGCCACTGCACTCCAGCCTGGGTAACAGAGATCCTGTCGCAAAAAAAAAAAAAAATAAAGTTTTTGGAGGAAAATATTACTGATGAGTGGAAGTGGAATCTACCCTCTGGTTTATTTCCCAACTTAGTTGATGGGCTTTCCCTAAAATCGTATTCCTAATACAAGCATACCTTGGAGATACTGCAGGTTTGGTTCCAGACAACCACAATAAATACAATAAAGTGAATATTGCAATAAAGCAAGTCACATGAATTTTTTTGTTTCCCAGTACATATAAAATTTAATATTTACACTGTACTAAGTCCACTGCACAGTGACATTATGTTTGAAAAAATGTACATGCTTCAATTTAAAAATACTTCAGTTTAAAAATACCTTATTGTACATGTTTCAGTTTAAAAATAATTCAATTTAAAAATACTTTATTGCTAATACATTTTTTAAAAATGCCAGCAATCCTCTGAGACTTCAGCAAATTGTAAACTTTTTGCTGATGGAGGGTCTTGCCTTAATGTTGGTGGCTATGACTGATGAAAGTGGTGGTACCTAAAGATTGGGGTGGCTGTGGCAATTTCTTGAAGTAAGATAACAATGAAGTTTGCTGCATTGATTGACTGTTACTTTCATGAAAGATTTCTCTGTAGCACATGATGCTGTTTAATGGTGTTTTACCCATAGAACTTCTTTCAGAATTGGAATCAATCCTTTCAAACTTTGCAGCTGCTTTAAGTTTATGTGATGTACTAATGTAATATATTAAGTTGATGTGATATTCTAAATCTTTCGCTGTCATTTCCATCTTTTTTTTTTTTTTTTTTTTTTTGAGACAGCCTCGCTCTGTTGCCCAGGCTGGAGTGCAGTGGCGTGATCTCGGCTCACTGAAAGCTCCACCTCCCAGGTTCATGCCATTCTGCCTCAGCCTCCCAAGTAGCTGGGACTACAGGTGCCCGCCACCACGCCTGGCTAATTTTTTTGTATTTTTTAGTAGAGACGGGGTTTCACCGTGATAGCCACGTTGGTCTCAATCTCCTGACCTCGTGATCTGCCTGCCTCAGCCTCCCAAAGTGCTGGGATTACAGGCGTGAGCCACCACACCCGGCCTGTCATTTCCATCTTTTTCCTAGTATCTTTACCTGGAGAAGATTCTATCTCAAGAAACCACTTTTGCTGCAGTTTTTTGTTTGTTTGTTTGTTTAAATGATGTGTCTGGGGCCCTGCAATTTTTTTATTAAAAAAAAAAAAACAAAACACTTCCAGCTGGGCATGCTGGCTCATGCATTTGCTCCCAACACTTTGTGGGGCTGAGGTGGGAGGAGTTAAAGACCAGTCTGGGCAACATGGCAAGACTCTGTCTCTACAAAAAATCTAAAAATTAGCTGGGTGCAGTGGCACGCGCCTGTGGTCCTAGCTACTTGGGAGGCTGAAGTTGGGAGGATTGCTTGAGCTGGGTAGGTGGAGGCTGCAGTGAGCCACGTTTGTATTACTGCACTCCACTGTAGGCAACACAGTGAGACCTTGTCTCAAAAGTAAATAAAAGAGCCTGGGTGCAGTGGCTGACTTCTGTAATCCCAGCACTTTGTTTGAGAGGCTGAGGCAGGCAGATCACTTGCGGTCAGCAGTTCAAGACCAGCGTGGGCAACATGGTGAAACCTTGTGTCTACTAAAAATACAAAAATACAAAAATTAGGTGCGTGGTGGCATGCACCTGTAATCCCAGCTGCTCGCGAGGCTGAGGTAAGATAATTGCCTGAACCTGGGAGGTGGAAGTTGCAGTGAGCCAAGATTGCACTACTGCACACCAACCTGGGCAATAGAGTGAGACACCATCTCCAAAAAAAAAAAAAATAAATAAACTACTTTCTTTGCTCCTCCGTCAGAAGCAACTCATTCAGCTTTTATCAGGATTTACGGCAATTCAATCACATCTTCAGGTTCCAACTTCTTATTCTAGTTCTCTTGCTGTCTTCACGACATCTGTAGTTACTTCATCCACTGAAGTCTTGAACCCCTCAAAGTGTGCATGAGGCTTGGAATCCACTTCTTCCAAATTATTAATGTTAATATTTTGACTGCCTTCCATGAACCACAAATGTTCTTAATGACATCTAGAATGGTGACTCCTTTCTGGAAGGTTTTCAATTTACTTTTGCCCAGATTGATCAGAGGAATTATTATGGCAGCTATAGCCTTATGAAATGTATTTCTTTAATAGTAAGACTTGAAAGTTGAAATTACTCCTTGATTCATAGTCTGCAGACTGGATGTTGTGTTAGGTATGAAAACATTAATCTACTTATACATCATCAGAGCTCTTTGGTGACTATGTGCATTGTCAAGAAACAGCAATTTTCTTTTTTCTTTTTTGAGAAAAGGTCTCACTTTTGCCAAGCAGTAACATTTTGAAAGGAATATTTTTTTCTTAGTAGTGGGTCTCAACAGTATTCTTAAAATATTCAGTAAACCACGTAAATAGCTGTACTGTCATCTAGGCTTTGTTGTTTGTTAATAGAGCACAGGCAGAATAGATTTAGCATAAATCTTAAGGGCCCTGGGAATTCTGGAATTGCAAATGAGCATTGGATTTTAAGTCACTAGCTACATTAGACCCTAACAAGAATCATCCAGTCCTTGGAAACTTTGAAGCCAGCCATTGACTTCTCTTTGCTATGAAAGTCCTGGATGACATCTTCCAATATTAGGCTGTTTTGTCGACATGGAAAATCTGTTATTCACTGTAGCACTTTCCATAAATGATCTTAGCTGGATTTTCTAGATAACTTACTGTAGCTTCTACATCAGCACTTGCTGCTTCTCCTTGCACTTTTATCTTATAGAGATAGCTTCTTTCCTTCAGTTTCATGAACTAACCTCTGCTATCTTCAGACTTTTCTTCTGCAGCCTCCTTGCCTCCCTCAGCCTTCATAGAATTGAAGAGTTAGGGCCTTGCTCTGGCTTAGGCTTTGGCTTAAGAGAATATTGTAGCTGGTTTGATCTTCCATCTAGATCACTAAAACTTTCTTTAGATCAGCAATAAGGGTGTTTCAGTTTCTTATCATTTGTGTGTTCACTGGAGTGCTTTCAGTTTCTTTCAAGGATTTTTCCTTTGCATTCATGACTTGGCTAACTGGTGCAAGAGGCCTAGCTTTTGGCCTCTCTGGGCTTTTGACAT
Source organism: Homo sapiens (assembly GCF_000001405.40). Lineage (NCBI taxonomy): Eukaryota > Metazoa > Chordata > Mammalia > Primates > Hominidae > Homo > Homo sapiens. Next base: position 59,074,820 of record NC_000015.10, read on the forward strand.
GCCTTCCTCACTAAGCTTAATCATTTCTCGGTTTTGGTTTAAAATGAGAGATGTGCAAATCTTCCTTTCACTTCAATACCAGAGGCCATTAATTGGCCTAATTTCAATGTTGTTGTGTCTCAGGGAATAGGGAGGCCCAAAGAGAGGAGAGCAGGGTAATGGGGAAACATCTGGTCAGGACACACATGTTTATCTGTTAAATTTGTTGTCTTATATGGGCACAGTTCTTGGTGCCTAAAGCAATTATAATAGTAACATCAATGACTACTCATCAAATATCACCATAACAGATAAAATAATAATGAGAAAAATGTAAATATTAAGAGAATTACCAAAATGTGACACAGACACAGAGTTTCCACATGCTGTTGGAAAAATAACTCTGATAGACTTGCTTGACACAGTGTCGCCACAAACCTTCAATTTATTAAAAATAAAACAAAAAACCCCGAACATCTGCAAAGCACTAAATGTGCCTATAAAATGCAATAAATATGCCTATAAAAGGAAGCAGTGCTTTAACTTTTTTTATTCTTATGTTTTTGAACAAGTGAAAGCTTTGAGTGGCAAAGGTAATTCATGATTTAGTCTGAAAAATCTTATGTCCATTGTTATTTTGAATAATGTAGATTTGTTTATTAGCACTTTAATTGAATTCTTGCTTTATACAGTTTGGAACTTGGGGCAGACAAGATTTTTCCTAGAACCTTAATATTTTCAGTAGTGTGATAGTATGTTTTCTCAAGGAGTCCTAAAGTACTAGTCACAATGTTGGGATAAAGGAGAATATAGAAGTATGATTTTTAAAGTTTCTAAGATGTATTTGTTATAAGACAAAAAGATTTTAATATATTAAACTTTTGTTCATCTTGTGATAAAATCTTATGCTTGATTTTTAAAAATTGGTTTAACTGTAAAACCACTACAGTTTTCACAATCCAGGATACACTTGTTATATTCAAGATAACCAAGTATTTTGTTGGTGCTCACTGGTTCTTCATACTAAGAATCTTCCTGGTTTCAAACTAATTTAAAGATTATGTTTTTTTGGTTATATTAGGAATACTTTTATAATATAACATGAAATATTTGACCAAACTTTAGAAAGATAAAATATACTTCCTTTTTATCTAGCAGGCATTGCCAGTGGACCTGAGCAACAGTGGTATCAGAAGTCATGGAAGTGGCAGTTTTCATGGAGCATCTGCATTTGACCCCTGCTGCCCTGTTTCTTCCTCCCGAGCTGCAATCTTTGGCCATCAGGCCGCTGCTGCTGCCCCAAGTCAACCTTTATCATCAATAGATGGCTATGGATCAAGCATGGTTGCGCAGCCCCAGCCCCAGCCCCCTCCACAGCCCTCTCTCTCATCATGTCGACATTACATGCCACCCCCTTGTAAGTATATACTTAGTGGACACAAAATCTAGAGTCATGTCAATGAAGCATTTTGTACTTCCTTATGAAATAACCTTTAATCCCAGTTCTTAAATTTTTAGTATTTACTTGGCTTAAGAGTAGGGTATATTTTTTCCCATGTTAGTATTATGTAATTGAGGTGGATTGAATGGAAGTTTTAAGGAATTTAGATTTGTTCTTTAGTATAGCTGAAGAAATGTGAAAGTTGAGTAGTATTTCTAGGCACAGTAAAGTAAATTTTTAAGAATTCTCAAGCAGTTAGCTGAGACATAACAGCAAGCTTTGGGAGTTGTAAAAGGATTTTTATATTCATTTGATGCAGGCAATTAAAATATAACCATGGTTGGGCATGATGGCTCACTCCTGTAATCCCAGCACTTTGGGAGGCCAAGGCAGGAGGATGGCTTGAGGCCAGGAGTTTGAGACCAGCCTAGGCAACATAGTGAGACCCCGTTTCTATAAAAATAAAATAGAACCAGCCATGCCTTTTCTAAAGAAATTGAAATTCGTTAGATATCACAAGAAATGATAAATACTCTAAGGCTATGTAACATATTTACTATTTTGTTAGATCATAAGCTAATAATGAAATGAAAGCTTAATAAACACTTGGCTGATAAACACCAAAAATTCATGCTGGAAATGAACCAGGAAGTCAGCAAGGAAATTTGTGTTTTGTTTTGATTACATGGCAAGTGGTAATTTTCACTTACATATCTTCTTGGATTTTTTCTTCTACTCCAGTCATTTAAAAAAATCTGCATCGTGCAGACGCAGCTGGAATCAACCCAGAATCTGTACAGTGAAACTGGTGATATATTATTTACCTTCTCAGTAATGCAACTTAAAATTTAAAGTATAAATTGGAAAACATTTAGCAAGTTTTTACAAAGCATTGACCAATGGGCCAATTCTTTGTATGAGCACCAGTGTGATGCATGGCCTATTTTGTAATACTTGATGGTATTCATTTTTGATTGATCATCTTTTATTTGAAATTCAATATGCTTAATTTTCTGCCCCTCCCCTTTAAAAATAATATACTGAAGCAGTTTATGAGTAAGTTCATTCCTTTCAAAATGTCCTAATAAATACATGTTTTAGATTCATTTGTTATATTCTAAAACATTCAGACTGTGCAGTCATATAAAATGAGAATTTAAAAGCTTCCTCGCACAGCTTACTAATCTTAATATATCAGAGGTAGTAACTGTTCTATAAAAACTTTTAGAAATTTTCTTTGTACACATAGATAGGTATATGTCTTACCTTTTAAAAATGGGAAATCAAACATATTCTACTTCTTGTTTTTTGTTTTTAAATTTAACAGTATATTTTGATTTTTGCATATTAGCACATAAAAATCTAGCTCATTGGTTTTTAATACCCCCATAATATCCATTGTATATTAAATCAGTCTTCTGTTGATGGACATTAAAGTTGTTTATGGTTGAGTTTATGTATAGTTTAACTTCCTAGAAATGTGATTGCTATGTCAGAGGGCTAAACTTTCAGATAAATACTGTTAAGTTTTCTCTCCAAGGGGCTGCATCAATTTACACACCTCATTAGGAGTGTGTTAATGAGAATGAAGGTAGGAAATTTAAATTGTATTATTTTCTGTTAGAGACATTTTGATAACTCTGTTTTGGGCTTCTTTTCCTGAAGGAGTGTGTGTATTCTCTCCCCAACTTGCCCGTGCTTTTAAAAAACATTTCCCGTATGCTTTAGTTCACGTGTGAAACATGTGGTTCTTAAACCTTTTTTCATCCAGAATGAACTGGGGAAGACAATATGGCATAGTAGAGCACTAGCTTTAGAATTGGATAGATTCGAGTTGACCTCCCAGCTCTGACTAATTAGCTTGGTGACTTTGGATAAGTTATTTAATCTCTCTGTCCTTACATTCTTTGCACTTGTAAAATGGGAATAATTCCTATTGGCTATAAATTGTGATACTTGGATCCAGATGAATAGTTTGCTGTTTCATAAGTACATTTATATGTATAACAACAATACTTGTGGAGTAAGAATATGTCTCTCTCTGCTTTTGAAAGGTTTGTGGTCTTGATGAAGTGATAAAACAACTGTACTTGAAATGCTATTATTTAAAAGTTTTACTATCTTATTAATAAGATGTATTGAGAAGATATGTAAGGCCTGGCTTGGTAGTATGAGCATGTAGTTCCTGCTCTTCAGGAGGCTGAGGCATGGGGATTGCTTGAGCTCAGGAGTTCAAGGTTGTAGTGTGCTGTTATCACACCTGTGAACAATCCTTGTACTCCTGCCTGGACAACATAGTGAGAACCTGTCTCTAAAAAAAAAAAAAAAAAAAAAAAGACCAGGCACAGTGGCTCACGCCTGTAATCCCAGCACTTTCGGGAGGCCGAGGCGGGTGGATCACCTGAGGTCAGGAGTTCAAGACCAGCCTGGCCAACATGGCGAAACCCTGTCTCTACTAAAAATTCAAAAACTAGCCGGGTGTGGTGGCAGGTGCCTGTAATCGCAGCTACTCGGGAGGCTGAGGCAGGAGAATTGCTTGAACCTGGGAGATGGAGATTGCAGTGAGCTGAGATCACACCACTGCACTCCAGCCTGGGCGATAGAGCGAGTCTCCCTCTCAAAAGAAGAAAAAAAAAAAAAAAAGAGAGGTATAGGTAAGGCTACTTACGATTAATCATAAAGCAAATGGTCTACACTGTAAAGCTATGGGAATGCAGTGAGTAAATGTTGGAATAAAGCATAGTATTACATCTGCAAGTGATATGTTGAACGTCTAGGAAACAATATCAAGAACTTTTTTTAACTGTTGGGAACACAAATAGAGGAAGGGAAAGGGTTTTTGGGAATGTGGAATATGTCACTCTTAAAATGGTCAGCAACCTGTTTTGTTTAAACAGTGAATTAAAGTGATGTCTAAAGAGTAGTTAAATAAATGGACTCATTCTGAAACAAAACTTCTTGCTTTGTAATATTTGTGAATGTTGTATAATGATTACACAAATATAAAACTTTGCAACTAGAAAAAATGCTGTGAATTTGAGAAAGGATAGTTAACAATCATAAAACATAGTGGATTCATTTTTTATGATTAAGAGCTAGCTACTGAGCTTTGTGCCTTCTTGAAGAGTAAAGCATTGATTTGAAAACAGAACTTTTAGAAAATTGGTTTAAAAATTTGTCTTGCAACTTTTAAAAATTAGATTTGTTGAAAGTTTCCTTTAAGTACATGCTAACAAGGCATACTTTGAAAATATAGTTGAGTTATTGTTACCTAACTTCTGCCCTTGCTGAATGAATCAAAAGCATTAAAAATTGAAAACTTCTGTAATGAAACTAGAGAATGGCTGTTGGTCTATATCAGACTTCCAAGAACATCTTCCAATAAAATGAAATTTGTATTGAAATCTAAGACAAACTTTTTTTTTTTTTTTACATGTCAAGTAGATGCACATCTCTAAGAGTAAGGAAGATGTGTATTCCTCAGAGAGATTTTTCAGCAGTCACTTTGAAACATAAAGATGTAGAATGAAGAAATGGTAGGAGCCATCTTATTAAGGACTTTACGTCCATATTTGATGGGAAACAAATAGGTCTCCTTCACCTTAATGTAGCACAGGAATAATGACATGGGGTAGGGAGAGAGAGAGACAGTTTGGAAAAATGTTTACACCCTATTATGACAGAGCTTCCATATATGCAAATAATACTTACAAGTCAATAAGAAAAAGGTGAGTAATACAATAGGCTAAGCATGTAAATAGATAATTCTGAGAACACATACAAGCGGTCAAGAAATAAAAGATTTTTCTCAGATTGGCATTTATTTTAAAAATTTAGTGGTAATGTGGGGGTAATCAGGCCTTCTTGTGTGCTCCTTTTTTTTTTTTTTTTTTTTTTTTGAGGTGGAGTCTCACTCTGTCGCCCAGGCTGGGGTGCAGTGGCATGATCTCAGCTCACTGCATCCTCCACCTCCCAGGTTCAAGCGATTCTCCTGCCTCAGCCTCCCTAGTAGCTGGGATTACAGGTGTGCATCACCATGCCTGGATAATTTTTGTATTTTTAGTGGAGACGGGGCTTCGCCATGTTGGCCAGGCTGGTCTCGAACTCCTGGCTTCAGGTGACTCTGCCCACCTTGGCCTCCTAAAGTGCTGGGATTACAGGTGTGAGCCACGGTGCCTGGCCCTTCCTGTGTACTCTTGATGGAAATATTAATTATGGCAACCTTTTGGAAAGGGTATTTTTATTAACTGGCATCTAAATTTATTTTTTTCTTTCTGTCCCACAACTACTTACAGGAATTTATGCTACAGAAATGATCTCTATATATGTGTGTATACATGTGTGTAAATGAAAGAGTGAGTGCAGGAGTGAGCATATACACAGATATTTATCATAGCATTTGGGTTTCTTTTTTATCAGTGGGGATTTTGTCAGTACATTTTGGTGTGTTCATATAATAGAATGTTGTGAAGCTGTGAGTGAAGTTAAACTATAATATATATATTGACATAAGATATCCAAGATTATTGTAAGAAGGGAGCAAGTTGCTTGAGCAGTTGCTTGAATACTTTACTTGATAAAGTATTCATAAAAATAAAATACTAATATGTTTAAAAGTACACTAGGAATGTATAATAGCAATATATGTTCAACTGCATGGTGCCTATGTAACATACTCAAAATATTTTTCTTGCAGATGCCTCTTTGACAAGGCCACTTCATCATCAAGCTTCTGCCTGCCCGCATTCTCATGGAAACCCCCCTCCTCAGACTCAGCCTCCGCCTCAAGTGGATTATGTTATTCCTCATCCTGTACATGCTTTCCATTCTCAAATATCTTCTCATGCAACATCTCATCCTGTGGCACCCCCACCACCAACTCACTTAGCCAGTACAGCTGCACCAATCCCTCAGCATCTTCCTCCTACACACCAGCCAATTTCGCACCATATTCCAGCCACAGCACCTCCAGCACAGAGACTGCATCCTCATGAAGTGATGCAGAGGATGGAAGTTCAAAGGAGGAGGATGATGCAGCATCCAACGTATGTTTTACGTTTTTAAAAAGAAAGTCAAGTTTGCTTTTTCTTCTACTTCCATTGGTCTTTACAACTCTGAAATCCAACTAGGCATGGTGGCATGCACTTGTAGTCACAGCTCCTTGGGAGGCTGAGACAGGAGGATTGCTTGAGCCCAGGAGTTTGAGTCCATCTGGGCAACACAGTGAAATACTGTTTTTTGTTGTTGTTGTTTTCTTTTTTTAAAAAAAGAACAAAGAACAGCAACAACAACAAAAAAAACCATGAAGTCTTTAGAAATAATGTAACTTGTAACTATAAGCTGGGTGAGGCTCATTCCCGTAATCCCCAGTTGCTCAGGAGGCTAAGGCAGGAGGATAATTTGAGCCCAGGAGTTCAAAGCTGAGCTATGACTGTGCCACTGCACTCTAGCTTAGGTGGTAGAGCAAGACCCTGTGTCCTTTAACAACAGTAGAAAACAAAAGATAGGTGGCTGCAGTGATTCACCCCTATAATTCCAACACTTTGGGAGGCTGAGGCGGGAGGATCGCTTGAGCCCAGGAGTTTGAGACCAGCTTGGGCAACATAAGGAGACCTCGTCTCCACCAAAAAAAGGAAGTAGCTGGGTGTAGTGGCATACTCCTGTGGTCCCAGCTACTGGGTAGGCTGAGATGAAAGGATCGTCTGAGCCCAGGGGGTCAAGGCTGGAGTGCAGTGGTGCAACCATAGTTCTTTTATCCTTGAACTCCTGTGCTTAAGTGATCCTCCCATGATCATGCCACTGCACTGCAGCCTGGGTGACACAGGGAGACCCTGTCTCTCCCCCTCTCCCCAAAAAAGTAACTATACTAAATCCTCATTTCACTAAGAAATTGATTCTTTGCTAACGAGAACCTTCCCCTGCCTTTCCCTAAATTGTATGTGTTGAAAAAACAAGTTTATACCAGGTTATTTAGTAAAATCTGACCAGTTTTACCATATGACCCAGGCTAATTTCTTTATGCAAACCAATTAAAAAAAAGTACCCAGACTGGTCTGATGTGAGCTAATCTTTTGTCTGTGTGTTTCTGCAATATCGTGTGGTAAAAATCAGTGTTAAAATTGATGATTCTGAGGAATAAGATCTAAAGATATCAAAGATTTGAATGTTACTAACGAGAGGGAAGGAAAGTATTAATAGAATTTTCAGTGAATGACAGTGAAAATATTGTACTTCAAGTTTATGAAAATCCTTTTTTTTCTTTTGATTATTCAGGATCTGATTTTCATATTCAGATCAGCAAACTATTGGTCTAATTCTGCCTACTGATTTTTGTAAACAAAATTTTATTGGAAAACAGCTGCAGTTTTTCAGTTACAAACAAACTGAAAAAGTGTCTGTTGTTTGTGGCTGTTTCCACATTACAAAGGCTAAGCTGAGTAGTTACAACAGAGAACATACGGCCTGTAGAGCTGAAAAAATTTCCCGTTTTACCCTTCACATAACCTGTTTGCCAAACTCTTGATCTAATTAATGATCCAGCTCTCTTGTGTAACTTTTTGTTTTACTTCTGTCATTTAAGATTGTATCCCAAATCTCTGGCTGTTGCTGCCATTCTAATATAGTAACCTTTTATATAGAAAATTGCCAGTTTAACAGTCTTATCTTCCAGTAACTGGCAAATTGTTGTTTAGAATAAACATGCAAAATCTGCAATTGTGTTAAAAACTAATATAAAATAATTAGACTATAAAAATGAATCTTAGCTGGGTATGGTGGCACACACCTTTAGTCCCAGCTACTCAGGTGGCTGAGGTGGGAGGATCACTTAAGCCCGGGAGTTCAGGGTTACACTGAGCTATGATTGTGCCACTGCACTTGATCCTGGAGCAAGATTCTGCCGCTTAAAAAAAAAAAGAAGCAAAAAATGAATCCCTGAAACTAAGTTGTTTTTAGTGTCTTCTGTTAACTGACTTTAGGAAGAGAAAATACAGTAAACTGGGATGCAAAATAAAGAGTATGAATGGAGGTTGGGCACATTGGCTCATGTCTGTAATCCCAGCACTTTGGGAGGCCAAGGTGGGCAGATCACAAGGTCAAGAGATTGAGACCATCCTGGCCAACATCCTGGCCCATCTCAAAATACAAAAATTAGCTGGGCGTGGTGGCATGCACCTGTAGTCCCAGCCACTTGAGAGGCTGAGGCAGGAGAATTGCTTGAATCTGGGAGGCAGAGGTTGCAGTGAGCCAAGATTGCCACTGTACTCCAGCCTGGTGACAGAGCTAGACTTCCTCTCCAAAAAAAAAAAAAAGTATGAATCAAGCTAAATACACGTTTCCTAGGTGTGTTAACTTGTATTACATGTGTTTTGAAAAAAAATGCACAGGGTTAACATTGTTTTCTCTTAAACTTTCATCCATTAAAATGGTTGAATGTCTTTACAGTATAAGAGTAAATGAAGCAAAATTAAGGTTTCAATGTGTCCTGCTTTAATGTTTATATACAATAATTTATTTGTGCCTGCAACATTTGCCTGGGGTATTTAATTTTTAAAAATTTTATTTTTATTTAATTCCTATTATTCTCCTATTTAAAATATCACTTGTAAAGAAGGTGTACAAGATAATGTTAAAATTACTTTTTCCTTGGGTGATATTTGAATTGGAAGCATTGGAATAAATGAGCAATTAGAATTTATGGAGAAGGTGATGGTTTCTTGATTTATTAACAAATAATTTTATATGTTTTTATAATTTATTATAAAATTTATTTTATGACTAATCTATAGATGTTTATAGTATTAATACTAGGGATTTTTTTCTACATTAAGAAAAGAAATAACCAATTATTCAATTATTTCCAGTGGTCTTTTTGTGTTCTGTGTTTCCAGGCGGGCACATGAACGCCCCCCACCCCATCCACATAGGATGCACCCAAACTATGGTCATGGGCATCATATTCATGTGCCTCAGACTATGTCCTCACATCCTCGACAGGCTCCAGAGAGGTCTGCCTGGTCAGTATCTTCTTTAATTTCAAAACAGTGCTTCACAGCTTGTGGTAAAACTATTGGAAGAGATGCCTTGTGATTGATTGCTTTGCAGAAGGATGATGTGGAGAAACCTAATCCCCAGTTTAACTGAGACACTGCCTCTGGGCAGATAGAGGTTTGGAGAGGAAAGAATAGGAGCTGGGGCAGGGAACCATATCAAGCAGGAGTAGTACTTTTTTTAGGTGTTATTTTATGTTTAATTGAAAAATAATAATTGTATATATTTGGAGGTACAGCATAGTATTTCAATACATACATACATTGTGAAATGATTAAATCAGGCTAATGGCACATTTATCACCTCCAATATTGATCATTTCTTTGTGGTGAGTATATTTAAAATCTTTTGTCGCAGTTTTGAAATAAACGGTACGTTATTCTTCACTGTAGTCACCATGCTGTGCAGTAGAATATCAGAACTTACTCCTCCCAGCTGAAGCTTTGTACCCATCGACCAGCATCTCCCCTTTCCTCATTCATGACCCCCCACCCTCTCCCCAGCCTCTGGTAAACAACATGCTACTCTCTCCTGTGAGTTTAGGTTTTTTAGAGTTCCCATGTAAGTAAGAGGCGTGGACCTTTTTTCCTGTTCTTCAGGGTTACTACCAAAGTTGACTCCCTCGACTGATCTTACTTTTCACATCTTCTTTATCTGACCCCCACCTTTGTACTCAGATTTGCTCCACCACCCTCACCTGCCATTGACAAGGGAAATTTAGCCTGCCTTCTCCTAGACTTGTGGTCTTTCCTAGATAGGTGGAAGCAGATTTTCATTAGATTAATTTTCTGAATCCATTGTGTGTGGGCATTCATTGAGATCTTGAACCACAATGACTTTTGAGGCAGAACATAAAATGAGAATAAGTAAATGAAGACTTAGCATATAACAGTTTTACCCCTTCTAAAATTTTGTTTGCCCTTCTTTTATAAGGTGTAGAAGAGTTTGCTATTCTAATCGTCCTTAATGTCAACAACCAAGAGATGATATCTAGCAAACAAAAACCCAGAGAGCATCTGTAACATTCAGATACACCAAAAAAGTAAATTCTATGTTGTATGCTCCTCAAGTAGAATCAGACTTTTATCTTGGAAGGGAACTTCGTAGCCATATATTTCCTTCCTTTGTAAGATGTGAAACCAAGTAGAAATGCTTTGCTCCTCATTGTCACAAAATTTAAGTTTTTAGAGCTTTCAGTTCTAAAATAAATTTGAAATTATTAGTTAAATATTTTGGGCTAAATTATCTTTCCTCAGCTTTGTAAGTTAAGAAACCTTAGATTACTTTTTTAAGTGTAAACATAACTCCCCATGTCTGTTGATAAAAAAGAGACCCTAAGGAGGATTAAACTGTTCTCATCCTTTCGTTAGGGAACTGGGAATTGAAGCTGGAGTGACTGCAGCTACTTATACACCTGGTGCATTGCATCCTCACTTGGCCCATTATCACGCACCTCCTCGACTTCATCACTTACAATTAGGAGCTCTTCCTTTAATGGTAAAATGGAAAATTTTCAAAATTTTGACATGTTCTAAAAGTTCCTTTTCTAAGTATTTTATTGGAAATACTTCACTATATTAATATAGATGTTTTAATAGAATTTGAGAGTAATCTTGTTAGCTAAAATTGTGCTATAAAAAGGTATTAGATGTATTAAAATCTGCACGTATAATTTGCATCATAACATGTACTCTTAATGTACGACATGACAAAAAAGTGTGGGGTTTTTTGTATACCAAGATACTCTTAATCCACTGTCAGGAGTATACTGTGCTTCAGTTATTTTGCCGTAAGTGGTAATAGATCCGTTCTGATGCAGTCATACTTGATTTTCTTTTTTCTTTTTTTTTCGACAGAGTCTCACTCTGTCACCCAGGCTGGAGTGCAGTAGTATGATCTCAGCTCACTGCAACCTCCACCTCCTGGGTTCAAGTGATTCTCCTGCCTCAGCCTCCCAAGTAGCTGGGATTACAGGCACGTGCCACCATGCCTGGCTAATTTTTGTATTTTTAATAGAGATGGGGTTTCACCATTTGGCCAGGCTGGTCTCAAACTCCTGGCCTCAAGTGATCTGCCCACCTTGGCCTCCCAAAGTGCTGGGATTACAGGCTTGAGCCAGGGCACCCAGCCTGATTTTCTAATCTGCAGAAAGATTATACTAATTCTCTACATCTGATTTAAGCAGGTTCAGATTTTGTAAAGTGCTAAAGGACAAGTTCAGCAAAACATACATTGCGTTTGCTGTTTGTATTACATACTTGTTATATAAATGGTACAGAAAAGGGAATAGTTTTGTGTTGTTGTGGGTAGAGGCACTGCAGGAAAGCTTTCAGAGAAGCTTTCTGGTACATGTGACTTCTAAGCAGACTGGATTATGGAATGGTGCTCTTGCAGAGGTTACAGCATGTAAAGATGTAGCAAATAGCACAAGCACTGGGAACTCCAAGTAAGCTGGTGTTTCTAATTTTAGGAGTGAGGGTCAGGCAGCAGTGAGAAATAAAACTGTTCTACCAAGAAACTGGAACTCAGGAACCATTGAAGGGGAAATGTCCTGATCAAATTTATGATTTTAGAGTTATTTAATCAGATTATAGTTAGATCACCTCCTCAGTTATGTGGAAAAATAGATGTAAATGTGGGAAACCAGTTAGGACATTATAGTAGAAGAGGTAAATATTGATGAATGCCTGAATGAAGGCAATTGTAGTTGGCATAAAAATGATGATACACATTTGAGAGATATTTAGGGTTTGGGTGAAGGGGTTAGGTGAGTTAGGTCTTGGATGTACTGAATCTCTATGAAAGTTGAATGTCCAATAGGAAGTTAAGCCTGTGGTCTGGATTTCCAAAGATATTTGGGTTAAAGATATGTTTTGATCTGTCAGTATATGGAGGTAATGAATCCATGGAAGAGGATTAGGTTTTCAGGAAAAATGTGCAGAGTGACAAGAGGGTGAAAAAACCTTAGAGAATGACAATACTGTATTTAAATGATAATACTATGCTTTGAACAAAGGATTCTGAGAACTGGCTTGAAAAGTTGAGAAACACAGTTAAAATAATATCAGAAAATACAGTTACCACTTGAACAATGCAGAGGTTAGGGGTGTTGACCCTCCTCACAGTCGAAAATCAGAGTATAACTTTTGAGTTCCTAAAATCTTAACTACTAATAGTCTATTGTTGATCGGAAGCCTTACTGCTAAAATAAACAGTTGATCAACACATATTCTGTATGTTATAAGTACGTGATAATGATAGTCTACAATAGATAATGATAGTTTACAATAAAGTAGAAAAAAATGTTAAGAAAATTATAAGGAAGGGAAAATACATTTACTATTCGTTAAGTGAAAGTGTATCATTATAAAGGTCTCTTTCCTTATTGTCTTCACATTGAGTAAGCTGAAGAGTAGGAAAAGGAGGGATTCATCTTGCTGTCTCTGGGGTGGCAGAGGTGGCAGAAAATCTACATGTAAGCAGACCCATGCAGTTCAAACCCATTTTATGTTGTTCAAGGGTGAACTGTAATATGGTCAGTATGGTGTCATCACAAAAAAATAAAGTTTGAAAAGTATTGAAAGCATTTGGCAGTAGAGTGGTTATTGGTCTTTTGTGTCAGAATGGTTCAGTAATGGTGAGTGATGTAGATGGGGCACCTCTTAGATTACGTACGGTAAGGAAGTGAAAACATGGAGACAGTGAATATAGCCTTCTTGCTTTATAAGCTTGGCTGTGAAGGGAAAGTGAAGGAAACCCCTATTTGGTTGGCAGTAATTCCAGGATTAGTAGAGAATTTAGGTTTGGAAAAACTTAAGGTATTTTCAGGTTTAAGACAGAAAACCATTAGAGAGGAATTGTTTGAAGATATTGAAGAGAGAGAGGCTTGGTGGGAAGTAGTGAAGTAAGCATGACCCAGGGTGAACAGGTGAAGGGAGGAGTGGGTGATAAGGATTGAGTTCGAATAGGAGAAAAGCTCATCCATAAAGGCTGGAGGAAAGAGACTAGGGAGGAGAGGCTTTTCAGGGTAAGTGAAGATTTAGATAATTTGGGATGCAGGAGTTCCTTTCCGATTTCTTTGAAGATGTTTAGGAGGTTGGGTTATCTGCTGAGTAGTAATGATCTTGGTTATAAGAAAAGTTGTAAACAATTTAAGTAATAGGCTATTGAAGGTTAAAAGTTATTGCTTATTTAAATTCTTTTCCACATATGAAGTGTCCGTTAAAGCTATAAATTCTGCTTAAAGTATGTTGTGATTCAGTGTAGGCTAATTAAAAAGTAATGTCAGAGATTTATTTATAAAGATGGAAGAATGGTGCTGTATCTCAGAAATGCCCTTTCCTAATACTCTCACTATGCATGGCAGTTATGATCTATACAGTTGCTGCAAACACTGAATTAGCAAATATGGGACCCTTGCAAACCTCTGTTCACAACTAATCAGTGTATAACCTTTTTTATGTGTGTTTCTGCTTAAAGACAACTTTAAAAAATATTGTAGAATCATTAACATTGAACTCATAGCCAACAACACTGTAACTCATGCGTGAATGAAACTTATTCTCTCCATAAGGTGTATGACAGCCTTCTTTGCTTAGGAACACTAGACAGCACTTCAGCTCTATGCTTGGGTGCCATTTTAAACAACACAATCACCAACAAAAAGCACAAAACTGTGAAAAACGTGGCACTAAACAGTCTGCAAACAAGACACTGGTTTATAGTAGGAGCTCAAATACGGCAGAGCCCTGTTCTACCTCAGCTGGGAACAGAGTTGCATGTTGGGCAACTGCAATTTTTTGCCACCGGTCATATCCACGAATGACTCTGAAAGCACAAGTGTTGATTATGGGGTTACAAGTAAATTTTAGCCTGTGGGTCAGTTCACACATATGTAATCCATAAATAATGAAGATTGACTGTAACTAACAAAAAATTAGAAAACAGTGTTAAAAGTTTCCCTAATAGAATCAAGCAAAAAAGGCATAGGGTACTTTGGCTGTTAGGAAGCTTAACAGAAGTGAAGTAAAAAACTTATCTTGAAGTCGAATTTTGTTGGAAAATTGTGTGCATTTTTTGTTGTTGTTTTAATAAAGCTCTCTGAAATGGACAGGATCTTAAGACAATTTTACTCTTTTCAAGTTTGAGCTACTAAGAGCCTCAGGCTTAAGTTTGGGCATTTTGGAGAGTTAGGTTATATTTTAACAGAAACCTAAACCTGTTACAGAATGCTTAGTTGGAGTTATGTATTCTTATTGAAGTCAAATTTTATGAGCAGTTGAATTGAAAACATTGAGGGTCTTGAATTATTCAATGTTAACAGTAAATCACAAGTCTATTCTTAAAATTGATTTAGCCTATCTCTTCTGTTGAAATAGGTTCCTGATATGGCAGGCTATCCTCACATCCGTTACATTTCATCAGGATTGGATGGAACATCATTCAGAGGTCCTTTCAGGGGCAATTTTGAGGTATGTAATAAAATAAATGAATATGTTTGTCACAGTATCTTTAATGCAGATTGAGTATATATATACTACTATACACAATTGTGTAGGACTGCTACAGTGGCTGGGAATCACATGTGATTTTCTGATGTTGCTTCTGGGAGTTACAGAAATATTTGTAAGTATTATTAATCTTAGGGTCAAAAGTTACCGAAATATTTAAAGATGAGTAAATGAAAATATCTAATATAGAAGAATATAAAAATGTATTAAATCAATATAAATGTCAGATATATAACTATACCATTAAATGTGGTGGGGAACGGAATGTTTTTGACTCAGCTAAATTTTTAGAGAAATCGGTAGAGAAAAAGAAACTTAAGTAATTCCCTTTGTAGCTAAATGTCTTGTTTGAATTTTCAGGAAGAACAAATCATTCGAATGGGATTTAAAGTTTTGTTGTGGTTTGTTTTTTTGTTTGTTTGTTTGTTTGTTTGTTGTTGTTGTTTTTTTAGATGGAGTCTTGCTCTGTCACCCAGACTGGAGTGCAGTTGCACAATCTCAGCTCACTGCAACCTGCGCCTCCTGGGTTCAAGCAATTCTCCTGCCTCGGCTTCCTGAGTAGCTGGGATTACAGGTGCCCGCCACCACGCCCGGCTAATTTTTGTATTTTTAGTAGAGATAGTGTTTTGCCATGTTGGCCAGGCTGCTCTTGAACTCCTGACCTCAAGTGATCCACCCACCTTGGCCTCCCAAAGTACTGGGATTACAGGCGCAAGCCACCGCACCCGGCCCCCGTTGTGTTTTTTTTATGTCAGTTTGGAAGTTGGAGTCATTGTGACTTAGAACTATTGTTTGATTTGGTTCCTTAATTTACTAGAATTATTTCATCTTCTCCATACATACATACATACTGACTTACATAGTACCATGTGATAATATTGTTGTAATTTATAAAGATAACTTTTGCTGTACCATTTCAGTTGGCTGAGGAAAACATGATAAACAACCATTTGCCTTACTGTCTATGAGAAACATTAAGTCAGGCATGGTGGCTCACACCTGTAATCTCAGCAGTTTAGGAGGCCGAGGTGGGAGGATCACTTGAGGCCAGGAGTTTGAGACCAGCCTGGGCAACATATAAACTGTTTTATATATATACTTATATATAAGTAACCACTTGTCATGTGTAAGTTTTTTTGAACACTGTATTTATATTGCAAGTTTCTAAGTATGGAGGTTTATTTCTTATACAATGTTGACAGTTCTGTTCAAGGAATAATCATCTTGGCTTTTACCAGTCATTATATTCTTCACTTTCAGGAACTGATTCATTTGGAAGAAAGATTAGGCAATGTCAATCGTGGAGCATCCCAGGGGACAATTGAAAGATGTACATATCCACATAAATACAAAAAGGTAAGAATTTATTCTATGAAACTTCTGGAGTGTTACTGAAAGGCATAAATGTAATATATACCTTTTTTGAATTTGTAGACTCTAGCAATGACATTTTTATTGAAGTAATGCATACATATTGTTTAAAAATTTTGGAAAGTATAAAAAATATATACTTTGCAGTTTTTTACTCTGCAGACCCTAGTCCTTCTTCCCAGAAGTGAAATCATAGTTAAGGATTTAGATATTCTTCTAGATATTTTTTAGCATTTTCTAATAATGTGCATATGTATATATATTTTTGTCTACTTTAAAAAAAACACAAAAGGAGATGATTACCACATAGTTTGCAGATTGCCTTTCATGCCAATTAGCTCCCACAGATCACCCTTATTATTTTTAATAGCTTATGCAGAATTCCATCATATGGCAGTACTGTAATTTTTTTAACTAGCAATTTATTTTGACGGACATTTTATTGATGTATGTTTCTTCTACTCTACCCTCAGTTGCTTGTATAGCATTATACAGTTATGGGGTAGACATGTTAAATACGTGTCTTAAACCATGCTCAATACCAACGGTCCCCAACCTTTTTGACACCAGGGACCAGTTTTCATGGAAGACAATTTTTCATGGATAGGTGGCAGAGGGGATAGTTTCAGAATGAAACTATTCCACCTCAGATTATCAGGCATTAGTTAGATTCTCTTAAGGAGCATGCAACCTAGATCCCTCACATGCACAGTTTACAATAGGGTTCACGCTTCTATGAGAATCTATCGCTGCTGCTGATCTGACAGGAGGAAGAGCTCCAGCAGTGATGCTCGCTCACCTGCCACTCACCTCCTGCTGTGCAGCCAGGTACTGGTTTGCAGCCCAGGGGTTGGAGACTCCTTTATACTATGTAAAGAATAATCATAAAGTGTGAAAATTACTATTCTCTGTATTTTTCATCTATTTTCAAAGAGTATTGAGGTATTACCAGTACATTCAAGTTTTCAACTGTCCAAGTTAAATACTGTAACTAATGTTAATTTAAATGGATGTTACTTGAAACATTCACTAATAAAAAAAACTTATTTATGCTCATGGTAGGATAAAAATAGTTTATATTGTTTATCATTCTCATTGTGGATTAAAAGTAATAGCTTTTAAGTGAATGAATTTCTGTTAAATTTGATTTTGCTTTTGATCCCAATTATTAGAGGGTCTTAAAAATATACTTAATTGATGATAGTCACTTAATTCATCCATTTATTTATGACAGTCTTACCTGGGAAAAAAGTGCGGGTGAATATGTGGTTTTGTTTTGTTTTGTTTTTCAAATAAACACAGACTTTACTCAGTTGTTCAATAATGTCATCTCTACTAATAAGGTAACAACTGATTGGTTCTCACAGAGGAAACTGCACTGCAAACAAGATGGGGAAGAAGGGACTGAGGAAGACACAGAGGAAAAATGTACTATCTGTTTGTCTATTTTAGAGGAAGGTGAAGATGTGAGGTAACTAGATATTAATTATCTAAAATCCATTGTCAAAACTGTACATGGGATTTTATTTGAAAAGTAAATTACACCGGGCATGATGGCTCACACGTGTAATTCCAGCACTTTTTGAGGCCAAGGCCAGAGGCTCTCTTGAGGCCAGGAGTTTGAGGCCAACCTGGGCAACATAACAAGACTCTGTTTCTACAAAAAAGAAAAATAGTACAATTATTTGCATGTGATGGTGTGCACCTGCAGTGCCAGCTACTCAGGAGACTAAGGCAGGAGGATGGCTCAAGCCCAGGAGTTTGAGACTGCAGTGAGCTTTGAGCACACCACACTGCACTCCAGCCTGGGCAATAGAGTGAGACCCTGTCTCTGAAAAAAAAGAGTAAAAGTAAACTGGAAACCAAATAAAGATTACTTTTGGCATATACTGTTACCAATTTCTGGCACGTAGAACTGGCTTCATCTGGCGAGTGAAACAATAAAAGATTAAAGTATCTATGTTACCAACATGGGAGTGGGAAATATACTGCCTATTGTAGGGCCACACAAGGTTTGGCCAGGGAAATTTCGTAGTCAAAATTGTCTTCTGTAAATCTTGCAGAAATGAGAATTTGAGAGGCTTTGGAGGTCCTAGAAAGTTATAATGTGTTCTTCAAAACTTAAACAGGGATCCAGATTAGTCCTATGCAGTCTGTTTTACAGCATCTTTTTTTTTTTTTTTTTTTTTTTTCCTTTTCTGGGAGATGGTCTCCTTCTGTTGCCCAGGCTCAGGGCAGCAGTCTCAGCTCACTGCAACCTCCACCTCCTGGGCTGAAGCGATCCACCTACCTCAGCCTCCCAAAATGCTGGGATTACAGGCGTAAGCCACTGCACTCGGCTATAGCATCTTTTATAAACTGGTTTTGTCATAAAATTTCCTCTAAACTAGTAGGACTATTCCCTTCTTGCACCTTTGTTGTTTAGAAAATGTTAATATGTTAACCCTATATTAATTTTAGGCATTTTCTTTGTATAATCACTTAAGTAATTGTTTTCTTCCTGTTCTTTTTTTTAATGTTAACATAATGCCATATGAAACAGGTTCTATATCATATATAACAGAACCTTGTAGTAATATTATTGCCCTAATTTATAAGGATAACTTTGTCGTACCTCTTCAGTTGGCTGAGAAAAAAATTGTCTACCATACGACAAATAAGGTTTTTTGCACACTGTATTTCTAATGAAGGTTTATAAATTTGGAACTTAATTGCTTTTACAGTATTGACAATACTGTTCAAGGAATAATTGGGATACTTTTTAAGGCTATTATTTTAACAAGATATTAGGAAGTCTGAAAAGTGTATAAAAACTCTTAACAGTTGCTAGAAGTAGAAATGGACACGAGTCAGTAACTTTTATTCCACTGTTAACACTCAGATTTAATGTTACCCTATCTTGCTTGGGGGCTTTATTTCTCAATTTCTAATTGGTAATTTGGCATGATGTAAACAAACAAATCATTACATCTCCTTTTAACTTACCTGTTAAACAGTAGCACAATATTAAGTGTATATAACAATTATTCCGTGAAAAAAGTATTACTCACCTTTAATCAGTTATGTACTTAAGTTTAATGTGTAAAGATATTCTTGATAGAAAATAACATTGCACAATAAGACATTTTTTAGTGAGGAAAGTGTAGTTACTATATATTTGCCACATGAATTGTAATGTTTTTGAGAGAGAATTAAATGATGTAATAAATATATATTTGAGATAATATGTATTTTTAAAGGGCATTACAAATACAGTGATGATTTGATTTTTAAAAATATATTTGCAATATTATGTGACAGGTAACATACTGCTAACTCCAGGGCATTGGCAGCTCCTGTACCAAAACAAAACTGGAATAATTGGCAGTGTAATTTGTGTTCTTACAGTTTTTAAGATTTTATATAATTTGGTCCTGTAGCTTTGAAAGTTAATTATCTTGATCATTTATATATTATATTGCCCAGAGTGCTAATTTAATCGATGTGTTTTTTATAGAAGAGGAAGATGCTTAGTACCTTCAAAACATTATTGAATTATTACATATATAATTTGTTAACTACGTACAATTATCATAAAATTAATTTTTGCTTTTTGTTTTCTTGCCAATAATAGACGTCTTCCATGTATGCACCTTTTCCACCAAGTGTGTGTTGACCAATGGTTGATTACCAATAAGAAGTGCCCCATATGCAGAGTGGACATTGAGGCCCAGCTGCCAAGTGAAAGTTGACACCATGTTTCAGAACTCTTGCCCTCCCTCTCATTCCCATCCTTCCTGGTACTGCAGTCAACCAAAGATGGCATGACTTACCTGCGCAGATTTGGAAGCATTGAACTTAGAGTGCTGGCTCTGCTATATGGTACAACTAATGCTAGACCTACAGTTTATGTATACAGTTGATTTTGATGTATTTATAAAAGCTTTTTTTTCTAGATTTGACATTTTTCTGTATCATTTTACTGTATTTTTGCATGGTTCCTTGTATTGCATTTCTTTGCACATATTATGGGCTTGTGACCCTAAACTTGCAGGCAAGGTTAGCTGCTTTAGTAAGTAGAATTTTGTGGTCTTTTTGTTTTTTACATAGTACCAAGCCTTGATAATTATGAATTTTTTATCCATTACTAACCTTTAATTTAATCAATCATGTACTTTAGTTTAATGTATAAAGATCCTCTAGAAAATGATAATATTGTGTATTAAGACATTCCTTAATTAGGACAAAATGGCTGCTGTATATTTACTATATGGAGTTCTGAGTTAAATACCATCCTTAATACTGGGAACAGAATACAACCCATATAAATCAGATGCAGGTGGTAGTCACATCACCAGAGTGATCAGTATAAATTTTCTTGGTGTATCCTTTTCCTTTCAACACAGTGCAGATAAGAGTTGAATATTGATATCATACATTTAGACTGCTGTTCTGATTGCATTTATCTTTTTCCTACATCATTTAGAATTTTATTTCCCTGATTCAGTTTTTGCTGCTGTGAAACAGCTCTGATGAACACTAAATATTAATTTCAATTAGCTAGATTGTACATACTTGCAGATTTAACAAAATTTTAGGGAAATTGAAAAAGACATGTAGAATTTGTTGTCTTCTGCTAAGCACGAAAAGTTAAGATATCTGCTTACATTGATTTTGTAGACACATTAAGTCAAGATTTGGAATTTAAGTCACTGGCAGGTATCTGTGCATTCATAGAACTTATAAAGGTCCCAGGATCACTTTTAAGGGATTTTTATTAGTTTAAAGGTAAATAAAGTCAGCTGAATCTACATGTCTCTTGTTTTATTTCTCTCTAAACTTGAAAACAGTAAATCTGCAGATACTGTGAGGCACAAATTATACTGTCAACCTACTGTTGCTATGGTTATATACTCCCACTTCATACATTACCAAGAGTCGATCACTGATTTAAAATTTTTAATTTCTATAGTTAAGATTTACTGCATAATATAGAATATAAAGTTAAGTTAACATACTAACATTTCTCCTTTGGAGGAAGTTTTAATCTACTTCAGGATGCATATTATTATCAAGATACTTTCATATACAGGATAGCCTAATTTTATTTGTTTAAATATGCTTAATATGCCCCAGATTGCAAATGCATCCAGTCAGTAATATCACTGTCTGTATGTGGAGGACATGTTCCCATGGATCATATGTGAAGATGTCAATAAGCTTGCATTAAGCCACCTGCTTTGTAAGTGGATTGATTAATAAATAACTTATATTTCTATTGTCTTTGTGTTTCATAATTAGTTTTTATAAAAACAGTTTACATTAAACATCTTGGAATTCAACAATAGTGATCTCACTCAAATTGACATTTGCATAATTTGACATTTATATTCATTCAGTTATGACTACTTGCCCTTTTCTTCATATTAGTAAATGTTACACTGTAGTAGTTGTCAATGTTAACAGGCTTCAACATAGTATGTGTGCAGATGGACGATGGATTTAAAGAGCATACCTTATGATTAAACCGAGGTTATAGAAGGTCAGGGGAGAGTGAAGGAGTCAGTGACCTATGTCTGCCATCTTACTGGGGAAAAGAGCAAGTAGCCTGTCTTCCTTTAAGTAAGTAGCCTGTAATGGATGTACTACTTTGCCACTGGAATACCCCGGGTCTGTGCCAAGGGACTGAAGAAGTGTAAGATGGGGAGAACTGTATGTCATGGAGTCCTCTTGACGTTCCCCCAGATACAAGTAAAGCACAGGTGGATTTCTCTATTTTTGAATACTACATCAGATTTAGATGCACGACTACCTGTTGACTTGTTTTATAATTGCTACTGATTTTTTTAATGTAGGCAAAGCTTTGTTACTTTGAAATTTATTTAATAAAAGTATTTGTGACATAAACCTGAATTGTTAATATAGGAGCTTATTAAGCTACTGCCATTAGTTATCGAAAAATGTGATAAGTAATGAAGAAAGTAAGGAAGAAAATGACTTTGAACATTTTGACTTTTTGTGCTTTGTTTTGGTGTCTTCCATATCCTGCTGCATCTTATATGTCAAAATGAACATTTCAGTGGTAGCTGTCCAAATACATAAAAACTAAAATTCTTTTGTTAGCAAGTCCTTATTTTTATTGTTGTTAACATGCAAGTGATAAACTGATAATTTGAAACATTTTTCTTACTCTGGTGACTTTCTTTTAGCTGCTAGCACACTTCAGCATTTGAACCATAACAGTTGTGATAAACTGATCGTTTGAAACGTTTTTCTTACTCTGGTGACTTTCTTTTAGCTGCTAGCACACTTCAGCATTTGAACCATAACAGTTGTGATAAACTGATCATTTGAAACGTTTTTCTTACTCTGGTGACTTTATTTTAGCTGCTAGCACACTTCAGCATTTGAACCATAACAGTTGACTTAGAGAAAACTACTTTTGTTTTAAAAACTGTTACTTGTTCACGCCTGTAATCCCAGCACTTTGGGAGGCTGAGGTGGGCAGATCATGAGGTCAGGAGATCGAGACCATCCTCGTTAACATGGTGAAACCCCATCTCTACTAAAAATACAAAAAATTAGCTGGTCATGGGTAGCGGGTGCCTGTAGTCCCAGCTACTCAGGAGGCTGATGCAGGAGAATGGCGTGAACCTGGGAGGCGGAGCTTTCAGTGAGCTGAGATAGCGCCACTGCACTCCAGCCTGGGTGACAGAGCCAGACTCCCTCTCAAAAAAAAACCACAACTGTTATTTGTAACTAGATGAAACACTAAAATATAAGCTCTTGAGGATATTTTGTTATTAGTGTTTCATAAATGGGAATAGTTTAAATCTGTAGAAAATACATCCTAGTTTCTAACTTCCAAAACCTCTGGGAACACAGTATATGTGTGTCAGACACACACACACACACATACTGTGTTGTTGTTATATATATATGTATATTTGTTGTTGTTGTTGTTGTTTTTGAGACAAAGTCTCCATCTTTTGCCTAGGCTGGAGTGCAGTGGTACGATCTCAGGTCACTGAAACCTCTACATCCTGAGTTCAAGTGATTCTCGTGCCTCAGCCTCCAGAGTAGTTGGGATCACAGGCGCGTGCCACCACATCACTGTGGCCGGCCAGTATATATATGTATATTTTTTGAAAACTTCACATGTCACAATATTTAATATGTCATTTTTTCTCAGTCATAGATATTTTCTTAAGAAGTATATACAATGTTGGGCGTGGTGGCTCACACCTGTAATCGCAGCACTTTGGGAGGCTGAGGCAGGTGGATCACCTGAGGTCAGGAGTTTGAGCCCAGCCTGTCCAAACCCCATCTCTACTAAAAAAATTTACCAAAATTAGCTGGATGTTGTGCATGCCTATAGTCCCAGCTACTTGGGAAGTTGAGGCAGGAGAATCGCTTGAACCTGGGAGGCAGAGGTTGCAGTGAACTGAGATTGCGCCACTGCACTCAGTTTTGGTGACAGAGCAAGACTCCGTCTCTTTAAAAAAAAAAAAAAGCCCAGTCTCTCCCCAAAGCTTTATCTGTTGTTATACAATAGTTTTCACGTTGTAACCCCAAAACTTAGTGGTTTACACATCAAACATCTCAGTTTCTGTGAATCAGGCACTCAGGAACAAACAGCCTCGTTTTGCATTTCTACTTCAGGGTCTCTCATGAGGTTATAATCAAGGTCAAGGTGACTGTTGGGGCTGCAGTCATCTTTTTTTTTTTTTTTTTTTTTTTTTTTTTTTTTGAGACAGAGTCTCGCCCTGTCGGATTGGAGTGCAGTGACACGATCTCGGCTCACTGCACTCTCTGCCTCCCAGGTTCAAGCAATTGTCCTCCCTCAGTCTCCCTAGTAGCTGGGATTACGGGCAAATGCCACCACACCTAGCTAATTTTTGTATTTTTAATAGAGATGGTGTTTCACCATGTTGGCCAGGCTGGTCTGGAACTCCTGATCTCAGATGATCTGCCCACCTCGGCCTCCCAAAGTGCTGGGAGTACAGATGTGAGCCACTGCACCTGGCTGGTCTTTTTTTTTTTTTTTTTTTTTAACCTTTTAAAAATCTACCCTTCTGCACACTGTTGGTCTACAAGTCATCTGAGGGCATCACTGGGTCTGGACAATCCATTTCTAAGATTGCTCAGTCCCCAGGCTGTTGACAGGCAGTCTCAGCTCCTCACTGGCTACTGAGAGAGTTCACTTCTTTGCTACAGGAGCCTCTCCAGAGAGCTGCTAGAATGTCTTTACAACAGGGTAACTTGTTTTACCCAGAACTACTGATCCCAGAGAAAGCCAGGAGGAAGCCACATGCCACTTTTTGATCTAGTCTCAGAAGTTACACTTTGTCCTTTCTGCCACATTCTATTTCTTAGAAATGAGGGTAACTAAGGGCAGGCTATACTCGAGGTGGTGAACTAGGTTCCACCATTTGAAGAAAGGTGTAGCCAAGGATTTGTGTACAAATTGTGAAAACACTCTTATCCCGTATATCAAGACCCAGCTTCAAACATGTAAACTTCTGTGGGCAAAAATTCTTTTTTTTTTTTTTTGAGTGCAGGGGTGCAATCTCAGCTCACTGCAACCTCTGTCTCCCGGGTTCAAGCGATTCTCCTGTCTCAGCCTCCCGAGTAGCTGGGATTACTCGTGCCTGCCACCACACCCAGCTAATTTTTTGTAGTTTTTAGTAAAGACGGGGTTTCACCATGTTGGCCAGGCTGGTCTCAAACTCCTGAACTCAAGTGATGGTGGTAAACATTCTATCAGACTGGCCTCAGTGCTTCCTAAGGCTTTGAATTACATCTGATCCATAGTTCAGCACCAGATGATTTCTTTTACCTGCAGGAGATAACCAAATGCCAAAATATCTCTTTGAAATGACGAAGGCAACTCAAATTTCCCATATGAAAAATCTACCAGGATAACATCATTGAGAATTCAGTTTACAAATGATCAGAAATCACAGATACTGTGCTATGTTTTCTTAAACTGTGATCCCCCTGTGAAACCAAGATGATAAGACTATTCCAGCAAACGAAAAGCTTATTTGGTGCAACGACTTGGAATGCCCCCAGGTAAGTGTATTTGTTACCTGTTTTGTAACAAACCACCCCCAAATTGAGTGGTTTATAAAACACATTTATTTGCTCACAGTTGCGTGATTTGGGCGGTGCTGGGCAGGCATAGCTCATCTTTCACTGTGGTATGACGTTTCCTCATGTGGCTACATTCAGCTGCAAGTTCTACTGAGACAGTGTCCACGTGGCCTCACCTTGCATATCTGACGCGTTAGCTGGGATGGTTAGGACAGGTGATAATGCGCTGGGCATTTCTCTCAATGTCATCTCTAGAAAGGAATAGCTTGGGTCTCTATGGTGGTGACGCAGGACTCCAAGGGAGAAATAAACTGCTTCCTAAGACCCAATCCTGTTACTGGAACAGCATCTCTTCTTTCACATTCTGTTGGTTAAAGTAAATAACAAGGCTAGCCCAAATTTAAGGAGAGAGAAAATAGATTACACCTGTTCACAGAAGGCACTGCAAAAAAAAAAAAAAAAAAAAAAAGGGGGGCACTCTTTCATCCACCACAGTGAGGTAAAACAAGCCCCATTGTTTTGTTAGAATACCTAGCACAAGCTTTCTGAACGCATTTACTTCTCCCCCCAAACCAAAGCTTTGCATATAGAGAAGCGCATGTGCAAAATGATTTATATTCTCAGAGGAATCAGCAGTGAAAGAACTTTCCGTTTCCCAGTGTGATTGATTTATTATTATTATTATTTTTTTGAGACAGAGTCTCACTCTGTCACCCAGGCTGAAGTGCAGTGGCGTGATCTTGGCTCACTGCAACGTCCGCCACTCAGCCTCCCAAGTAGCTGGGACTACGGGCACACGCCACCATGCCTGGCTAATTTTTTTTTTTTTTTTTTTGTATTTTTAGTAGAGAAGGGGTTTCACTGTGTTAGCCAGGATGGTCTCCATCTCCTGACCTGGTGATCCACCCGCCTTGGCCTCCCAAGGTGCTGGGATTACAGGCATGAGCCACCATGCCAGGCCTCCTAGGGTGATATTTGAAAAAAAGAAATTTATGGATGGGCTGGGCATGGTGGTTCATTCCAGCACTTTGGGAGGCTGAGGCAGGAGGATCACTTGAGCCCAGGAGTTCGGGATCAGCCTAGGCAACATAGTGAGACCCCCATCTGTACAAACCATTTAAAAATCAGCCAGCCGAGTAGTCCCAGCTACTCGGGTGGCTGAGGTAGGAGGATCACTTGAGCCCGGGGGATTGAGGCTGCAGTGAGCTGTGATCACACTGCTGCATTCCAGCCTGGGTGACAGAGGGAGACCCTGTCTCAAAACAAGAAGTTTGTGTGTAAGGTTTTAGGTTAGTTACAGTGAGAAGTACAAAATAAGAAATATTATCTTCATTTTTAACACCTGTAATCTCAGCACTTTGGGAGGCCAAAGCCGGAGGATCTCTTGAGCTCAGGAGTTTGAGACCAACCTGGCAACATAGCAAGACCTCCTCTCTACAAATAAAAAAATTAGCTCGGTGAGGTGGCTCACTCCTGTGGTCCTAGATCCTCAGGAGGCTGAGGTGGGAGAATCACTTGAACCTGGCTGGTCAAGGCTTCAGTGAGCCATGATTGCACCATTGCACTCCAGCCTGGGCAACAGAGCAAGACGCCTTCTCAAAAAATAAAAAATAAAATAAAACGTGTTAATACAGATTCAATTACTCAATTTTGACAATGTCAAGTCGGTTAATAAAAGCACTATGCCCAGCCTAGGCAACACAGTGAGACCCTGTCTCTACAAAAATTTTTAAAAATTAGCTGGGAGTGGTGGCATATACTTGTAGTCCCAGCTACTCATGAGGCTGAGGCAGGAGAATGGTGTGAGACCAGGAGTTCGAGGCTGCAGTAAGCCGTGACTGCACCACTGCACTCCAGCCTGAGCAACAGAGCAAGACCCCGACAAAAATAAATAAATAAGAAAGCACCTTTACCGTTCATAAAAAAGCCCTATGAGTAAGCAAGCATTGTCACTTTTATGGTTGTATCTTTTGATAACATATCAACATAAAGCAAAAATATTTTACAACTTCAGTGCACTAAAACATCTATTTTTCTTTTCCAAGACTTTTCCATAGGATACCTAGTTTTTAGTTATGGGATGATTATGGATAGGCTAACATCTTTTCACATAGTAGCTGCAATTATTCCTGTTTCACCTAAGAGGAAACAAGTTCAGAACTGTCAGATGCCCTCCAACCAATAGGGATTGAGGCAATTTAGGAATTTAACTTTACATAAGTCTCGTCCAACCACACTGATTATTCGTCCCCAAGTAACAGAACCATTTAAGAATGATGGGAAAGCTCGGTCAAATTTTTATTTATTTATTTTTGAGACAGAGTCTCACTCTGTTGCCCAGGCTGGAATGCAGTGGTGCGAACTCGGCTCACTGCAACCTCTGTCTTCCAGGTTCAAGCGATTCTCCTGCCTCAGCCTACCGAGTAGCTGGGATTAGAGGCCTGCACCACCACGCCCAGCTAATTTTTGTATTTTTAATAGAGACTGGTTTTTACCATGTTGGCTAGGCTGATCTTGAACTCCTGACCTCAAGTGATCCACCTGCCTCAGCATCCCAAAGTGCTGGGATTACAGGTGTGAGCCACCATGCCAGGCCTTCAGATTCTTAATGGAACCTGATATCATGGGTGTTAGATCACTCCTTTCCTCTTTTCCTTCTCTTTTCCCATTAATCTCACTTTTTCCTTTCCTGTTTCTTTTTCTGTCTTGATCTTCACCTGCTTCTTTTTACAAGGGCAACATTAATACTGTTCTCTTTGGACTGTGCTAATCCTCCCACTCTTCTGCTCAAGACTGGTGTCACACCTTGTTTTTCATTCTTAAATCTTACATACATCATAAGATCATTTATTAGATGAATATTTTTTAATTAATACACTTAAATTTTATTTCAGTAGCTTTTGGGATATAAGTGGCTTTCTGTGATGTGGGTGAATTATATAGTGGTGAATTCTGAGATTTTAGTGTGCCCATCACCTAGGTAGTGTATATTTTATCTAATATGTAGGTTTCTATCCCTGTCTCCCCTTCCACCCTCCCTCTTCTGAGTCTCTAAATTCCATTATATCACTGTGTTTGCCTTTGTATATTCACAGCTTAGCTCCCACTTACAAGTGAAAACATACGGTTTTTGGTTTTCCACTCCTGAGTTACTTCACTTAGAATAATGGCCTCTAGCTCCATCCAGGTTGCTGCAAAAGACATTATTTTGTTCCTTTTTATTGCTGAGTAGTATTCCATGGTGTATATATACCACATTTTCTGTACCCACTCGGTCGATGGGCACTTAGGTTGGCAATTGTGAATTGTGCTGCTGTAAACATACATGTGCAAGTGTCTTCTTCATATAATGACTTCTTTTCCTTTGGGTAGATACCCAGTAGTGGAATTGCTGGACCAAATGGTAGAACTACTTTTTGTTCTTTAAGGAATCACCATACTTTTTTCCATAGAAGTTGTACATTCCTACCAGCAGTGTTTAAGCATTCCCTTTTCCCCACATCCACGCCTACACTGTTTTTTGACTATTGTTTTTTGAGGTTTTTTTTCTTTTTTAGACAGGGTTTCAATGTGTTGCCCAGGCTGGAGTACTGTGGCACAATCATGGCTCACTGCAGCCTCAGACTCATGGGATCAAGGGATCCTCCTGCCCCAACACACGGCCCCCCGCCCCCCGCCCCCCGCCCCCCTCCCAGTACCTGGGACTACAGGTGCTCACCACTACACCCGGCTAATATTTGTATTTTTGTAGAGACGGGGTTTTGCCATGTTGCCCAGGCTGGTCTTGAACACCTGGGCTCAAATGATCTGCCCAACAGGCCTCCCAAAGTGCTGGGATTACAGGTGTGAGCCACTGCGCCCGGCCTTTTTTTCTGACTTTTTAATGATGGCCATTCTTGCAGGAGTAAGGTGGTATCTCCTTGTGGTATTAACTTGCATTTCTTCGATGATCAGTGATGTTGAGCATTTTTTCATGTATTTGTTGGCCATTTGAATATCTTTTGAGAAATATCTATTCATGTCCTTTGCCCATTTTTTGATGGCATTATTTTCTTTCTTGCTGATTTGAGTTCCTTCTAGATTCTGGACACTAGGCCTTTTTCCGATGCATAGTTTGCAAATATTTTCTCTTAATCTGTGGTTGTCTATTATTTCTTTTGATGTGCAGAAGCTTTTTAGTTTAATTAGGTCCCATTTATGTATTTTTGTTTTTGTTGCATTTGCTTTTGGGGTCTTAGACATGAATTCTTTGCTTGGGCTGATTATTAGACGAACATTTATTGAGCACCAACCATATACGACAAACGATGTACTAGGTGTTGGGAATACAATGGAGAACTTACATGAATCACCAGTCACACAAATCTCTTTTATCTTTTTTTTTTTTTTTTTGCCTTACTTGAGAATTTGGGTTTTTGAGTAAACGCCATTATTCTCTCTTTTTTTAAGCACACTTTTGCATCTCAACCACCTAACACACTGCATCCCTGAGCAACCCGGAGGGGCCGGTTCCTGCACCCAGGCCAACACAACTTAAACCCCAACACACCAGAAGAGGAATAAAGGCCAACCAACTTCCGCCCACCCACTACAAACGTCGAGAGAAATTCGTAGATGAGGCCTTGTCAAAATTCAGAGGCGTCCTACGTCTGCTTTCCCAATGAGACAGTTCCTTTTTGTTTGTCTCAGAGACTGGGGTTTTTTTTTTTTTAAAAGACTGTAGGCAGAAAAAACACCCCAACCGGCTGTTGTGACAATCAAACGTGTCTAAGAAAATTCAGCCAATGAGAGTGCGAGAGTGCATCTTGTGTTGGCCAATGAGAACAGCGACCCGTGCGCAGGGCCGCCCAATGGGGCGCAAGCGACGCGGTATTTGAATCCTGGAACAAGGCTACAGCGTCGAAGATCCCCAGCGCTGCGGGCTCGGAGAGCAGTCCTAACGGCGCCTCGTACGCTAGTGTCCTCCCTTTTCAGTCCGCGTCCCTCCCTGGGCCGGGCTGGCACTCTTGCCTTCCCCGTCCCTCATGGCGCTGCTCCGACGCCCGACGGTGAGTGTGCCCGGGGACCGCTCTCAGAGGCGAGTCCGTCGGCCCCACAGCTCCCCTGTCGCTTCTCTCATCTGCTCCGAGCTTCTCCGTCCCAACCGGGGCTGCTTTTCTCTTCTCCGGAGCTCACTGCTTCGCCCGCGTCCCTGGCCCTGCGGCCGGTCCTCTCCGGCCCGCCTTTCCCCGTCTGGATTCCGCCCTCCCCTAACCCCTCCCTGCCCCGGGGTGGGAGAAGTGTAGGAAAGCGCTTCCGAGATGGCGCCTGTCAAGTGAGCCCCCAGAGCACTAGGCCTAGTACTCAGCGAGCGATCCCCGAGTGCTCTTCATTGCTAGAGAGTTATCTACTTCCACGTTCCTGGGATTTCCCTCCCCCTTTCTTACAACTCCTTGCCAACTAAGGGACCTGTGATGGCGGCTGGGAGGAGGACTGGAAGGGTTCTGTAGGCAGTAAAGTGTACGGCGTGTTTCATCAGGCAACTGCCAGGCTGTTTTTCAGATTGTTCACATTTCTTTTTGTATGAGTTTCCCATTTATTTCGGCACGCTAAGTCTTCCATGCTACGTTCACTAATAAATGGGTTTGTCCCCTTAAAAAATTAATTTCTTTACTCAAATGTAACAGAGGTTTTTGAATATAATTTGGACCAATGTGGCAGACTGAGAGAAAAGGGTCCAAATTCATTTATTTCATCCTTGCAGAGATCAAAGTGTTATGGTGTTTTGGGTATTTTTCCTGTGGGCTTGAATTGTACCGGGACCTACTTTTTTCCTTTGCCGAAAGCTAGAGGGCCCTGACACACCTGAGTTCCATCATCTTGGCTATAAGGTTAGATAAAAGCTGCCAATTTTCCTATCCAGATGAATTTAAATTGAGTCACATTACCAGGCTTCTACCCATAAGCATTACATTTTCAAACACTTTTTCAGATTGGCAGTTGCTGCTGGAAGAAATTGAAGTGTGACTTTTGAGAATCCTAATAGATTGAATACATTTAGCATTTAATTAATATCCTTTTGTGGATCTAAGTCCAACTGACAAGTAATTTTTTATAATAATGTATTCTATAACGTTATTTAATAGTCAAAACCTTTCTGTTCAGGGAAGGCTTGAGTTTCCCTGGCCCCTCTCTCTGCCTGGTAGATCCACTCAAACCCCTTGTTGGGAGTTTTATTAGAGTCGGGACCCTGAACTCTCAGGGATAGGACATGCTGGTTTTTTGCTTTTTTCTTTTTTAATGAAATGTTTATCACTTCTATAATAAACTTTTTTTGGTATGAGTTGCTTTTCCTAGCAAGTTTTATTTCCAAGCACATTATGTCTAAAGCAGGTTAAGGTCAACTGACAATTTTTATTTCATACAATTCCAACCTTCCCTGAGTTTGGGAGCTAAAACTATATTACTCAAGAAAACTACTTCCATTCTAAATGTCCTTAATATAAGAGAAAATCCATTCTATGGCAACCTCATTTTAAAAAGCTGTAGTTCTAAAAGATCATGCATACAGGAGCATTTCTTATTTGTGAAATGGCATAAGAATCAAAGCTAGTTTAGGTTTTAAACATCTGGTTTTTAAACAACCAGACCTATTATTAACTATTAATATTATAGCTTTATTATTTTTCATCTTAATTTACTTTTTACCAAGCTCTGTAAAGGAAGGTTTTTAAATATATGCCTTTAACTTGCAGGGATCTCTAACAAGTGATATGGGTACTATATGAGAAATAATCATTAAATACTAATAAGCTTTGAAGTTCTCTTACAGGCCCACTTGAATACTCAGAATAGCTTTGCAAGGTTAGTGGGAGGATCTTTATTACGGATAAAGTAGATGGGTGATTTGCCTAATTTAGAGTGATGTTATTAATCACAAATAGCATTTTTAGACTTCCTGAAATGTACCTTTTCCATCTTGCAAATAGATCTTGACGTATTGTCCTTTCCCAAAGCAATTCTAAATTTGAGTATCTAACATTAGCAAAGTATTTCAAATTCTTTCAAGGTTTCATTACTTTTTTTTTTTTTTTTCAGGTGTCCAGTGATTTGGAGAATATTGACACAGGAGTTAATTCTAAAGTTAAGAGTCATGTGACTATTAGGCGAACTGTTTTAGAAGAAATTGGAAATAGAGTTACAACCAGAGCAGCACAAGTAGCTAAGGTAACAATGATGAAGACTGAATGTGAATACAGAGGCCGATTCTGTATAGTGCTGAGTCCCACAACGCTGGCTGTCTTGCGCTATTCATGTTTCTTTTTCCTTATAGAAAGCTCAGAACACCAAAGTTCCAGTTCAACCCACCAAAACAACAAATGTCAACAAACAACTGAAACCTACTGCTTCTGTCAAACCAGTACAGATGGAAAAGTTGGCTCCAAAGGTAGGAAGTTCTGAATTTACAAACGTATTTAATGAGGTAGCCTGTTTTTAGCCAGACTACAAGGGTGCCTTTATCATTGCTGTACCTTCTAACGAACATTCATAGCTGGAGCTCTGCTTTGAAGCAATAGTGTAGGAAATGAGTATATACACCTTTTAACTTAATAACATTATGACCTTGAAGCTGGGCATGGTGGCTTATGCCTGTAATCTCAGCACTTTGAGAGGCTGAGGCAGGAGGATCGCCTGAGGCCAGGAATTCAAGGCTGCAATGTGCTATAATGGTGCCACTGCACTCTAGCCTGGACAGCGGAGCAAGACCTTGTCTCTGAAAAAAAAAAATAAATATTACGACCCTGAATAATAAAGTTGATTACCTTAATACCCAAATAAAGGACAGAATGGTTCAGAAAATTCATGGAATGAGTGAGATTTTTAGGGGTAGAGAGAAGATGATAGCTGACAGGAAAGGGCACGTTTGTGGAGAACAAAGTAGCAACAAAGATCAAGGTACCAAAGCGGATATGGACCTATAATCATGTCCTTTCGTTAAGGAGTCTGAAAGACTTAACTGAGTCAGGCGGCTTGAGTGAGGAACCAGAAGATAAGGCTGGGAAGAAGGTTGCAGTTGGATTTGAAGGACTTGGAATTTGGATTTTTATCCCATTAGGCTTGAGGAAACAAAGTTTTGAGGAGTACCGAAATGATGAAAACAATGTAGGGAGGTAAGTTAGGAGGTATTGCACTTATCCAAGCAAGAGCTGATGAGGGTCTGGAGCTAGCCCAGATCTTCCCTAAGCGCCTACCCATACACCAGTATCAATAGTGGGTATGAAGAAACAACATCAAATGTGTTAGGATGTCTCAGAATGTCTTTCATCTTGTATTTAGGAAAGAATACTTTGGACACATGGCTTGCACTGCAGGAGTGGTATCCTTACCCACTTGGATATTAAATAAACCATTTATGCAATAAATGAACAAAAAGTAGGAAAGTCAGGAGAGGGCGGTAGCTTTGGTAAAGGTATCCTGTTTGGCTTCCGATTTGTTGAGGTAACCGAGGGACATCTGCCTGGAAATGCAGTTGGAAATGTGGCAGCAACATCTGAAGGCAAGGAACAGATTTGTCAGCTTTCTTCACAGAGATGATGGTTGAAAGCTCTTTGCTCTTTATGAGAACTAAAGCTTAGAAAAAGTAGTTGAGATGGGACTTCATTTAAAAAGCCTTCCCTAGAAGGTTTCTATAACAGTGACCTCCTGAAAGCCAAACCCAAAGGCTGGTTTTCAGACCTTGATCTCTTAGCAGTTGTGCAGTGTTTTACATGTGTAATGGTTTGAATGTGGTTCCTCCCACATCGCAGGAGGGCGATTTGGCAGTATATGTATATATTTTTGGGGGGGGACGGAGTCTTGCTCTGTCGCCCAGGCTGCAGTTCAGTGGCTCGATCTCTGCTAACTGCAACCTCCGCCTCCCGGGTTCAAGCGATTCTCCTGTCTCAGCCTCCCGAGTAGCTGGGATTACAGGTGCATGCTACCATGCCCAGCTGATTTTCACTATGTTGGCCTGGCTGGTCTCCAACTCTTGACCTCAGGTGATCCACCTGCCCCCGCCCCTCAAAGTGCTGGGATTACAGGTGTGAGCCACTGCGCCTGGCGGTAGTATATTTCAAATGGTTATTCTCCATACCCAGTAGCTTTGTTTTTTATCCAAAGAAAATGATCAGAGGGATAATCAAGTACTTTTAGATAGTGCTATGATGAGTGTCTCTTATAGAGTAGAGAAATACCCTAGTTAAATCCATTTAAGGAAATACTATGCAGCCATAAATATCATGTTTTAGTAGAATATTTAAAGGCATCAAAATGCTTGTAACATTAAGTGGAAAAATCAGATTATAACAATATATAAACAGTGCAACCCCAGATTTGCTTTTAAAATGTACATTTGTATGCAGAATATTGATGGTAGTTATTTTTGAATATTATGTTGGACTTAAGATTGACTTTCATTTTCTTCCTTAAAACGTCAAACTTTGGCCGGGTGCAGTGGCTCACGCCTGTAATCCCAGCACTTTGGGAGGCCGAGGCGGGCGGATCGCGAGGTCAGGAGATCGAGACCATCCTGGCTAACACAGTAAAACCCCGTCTCTACTAAAAATACAAAAAATTAGCCGGGCGAGGTGGTGGGCGCCTGTAGTCCCAGCTACTTGGGAGGCTGAGGCAGGAGAATGGCGTGAACCCTGGGGGCCGGAGCCTGCAGTGAGCCGAGATTGTGCCACTGCACTCCAGCCTGGGCGACAGCGAGACTCTGTCTCAAAAAACAACAACAACAAAACAAGAACAAAAACAAAAAACTTCAAACTTTTACCATGGGTACATATTACTGTTCAAGTTAGAGAAGAAGAAAAGAAGGCTTTTTTTTTTCTTTTTTTAAAAGCAAAGACCATAAATATGTTACTAAAGAAACAAAGGGAAAAATAGTTTCCTCCTGTGACCTCCATAACTTCATCCTTTTTGTGTTTCCTTTACTCCTTGGCTGACTCCTTTTTCTCTTGCTTCCTGGCAAAATTGAGGCCACTGTTTGAGATAAAGCATTATGGACCCGTAGCTCAGTTCATATAAAAATCAATTCCAGGGTTGAAACATATAGCTACATGTTCTAGATTTAGAAGTTATGAGGAATTAATGAACAGGAATTATTTCCAATTCAAATACATTTCCCTCTGAGAAAGTAGTGAAGGAATCTCTAAGTCCACGATTTAGGTAGAGTCCCACCTTCTAGCAGGTGAGTCTCTCTGCCTGCCTGTCTCTGGTCAGCCTTCTGGCTTTTACTTTGTCATCTGCTTTATCTGCAGGGTTATCACTGTTCTTTAGAGCCAATCCCTGGAGGTGTGGAAATGCCACTTGAGTGCACAGGTTTCTATCAATTTTCCTGGAAAGGTGATAACATAAGCCATGTGTCCATGATAGGAGATGTTCCCAGTCTTCTAACCAAATTTATACTATCCTTTTTGCAAAACTGGAGGGCAGGTTTCTTTCTCTGTAGCAGTTGACACAACTGAATCACAAAGTGCCCTGGCTGAGACCTCGGAAGAGTTCCAGCCCTTTACAGGTAGTCATAGAAGCTTATTATCCTGCAGGTTTTGGAGAAAATGGTGTTTTTTGCTGATTAATGAGGCTTTGGTAAACACAGTAGTTAGAAAGGACATGGAAGGCTTTCTACTAGTCCCATGTTTGCTGGACACTGGGGAAACAAGTTGAATAAACCATCGATTCTGTCTAGAGGAGCTCCCAGTCAAGTTGGAGGACATAGGAGTAGAAGTATGGCTTTATCTGTCACAAAGAGAGATGCATGCTTATGAGAGGTACTGAGGAGTCATAGCTAGAACAGATTACCTGACCAGATGAGTAGGATCTTAGAAAGGGTCTTACAATAATTAAATTATGTTGGAGTTCAAAATGAATGCTTTCAAGGAATTCTAAATTAAGGGCCAGGGCAAGAATCTTTGTCTTATCCTAGTGGCTTTTGTTGTTGACTGCTTGATTGATGGAGAAGATCTCACTATGTTGCCCAGGTTGGACTCAAACTCCTGGGCACAAGCAATCCTCCCACCTTGGGCTTCCAAAGTGCCCGGATCACAGATGTGAGCCACCACGCCAAGCCCTTGGTGGCTTTTGGATATGGCTAAACTCAGTTGCACTTCTGAATAGGAGCCAGAAAAATATTCTAAAGTGGTATGATAGCACATGATAACCTCTATCTCCTTAAACCAGACTTTTTGTTATTGACTGCCCTTCCAGGGGTGGGTGATAATGCTTATCCTTGAAAAAGTTAACCTTCAGCTGAAGCTGCATATGCTTATTACAATGCAAATCTGATTCTAGTCACTTGATAAACTCCTTCAGTTTTTCACCTTAACGTTTGGATAAAATCTAAGCTTCTAGAAGCTCGGCTGTTGTTCAGCTTTTCAGCTCATCTTCTCATACCTCACAGGCTATCCTGCTGACATCTCAAATCAATTTGCAGTTCCCAGAATTGCCTTGATTTTCTTTGGTTTGCTTTTGCCTGTTCATCTTCCTTAAGGTCTTACCGTCTCTGGTACCCTGGGTACCTCTACTCATTTGTTCTAGCTCCTTGAGGTTTCCAGGTTCCCAAATTCTATTCTATTCTTTTCTTTCTTTCTTTCTTTTTTTTTTTTTTTTTGACAGAGTCTCACTCTGTCTCTAGGCTGGAGTACAGTGGCATAATCATGGGTCACTGCAGTTTTGATCTCCTGGGCTCAGGTGATTCTCCCATTTCAGCCTCCAAGTAGTTGGGACAACAAGTGTGCGCCACCATGCCTGGCTAATTTTTGTATTTTTTGTAGAGGCGAGGTTTTGCCATGTTTCCCAAGCTGGCCTCAAACTCCTGAGCTGAAGCAATCCACCTGCCTCAGCCTTCCAAAATGCTGGGATTACAGGTGTGAGCCACCGCACTTGGCCTGGGTTCTCAAATTCTTGTATAAATGGCATGCATGCCTGCATAGTTCTTGCTCACCTGGTTCTTCCTCAGTTTAAGACCTTTGATTTAAGAGGGGAGGACATGTTTTAAACTGTTTTTTTGTTTTGTTATTGTTGTTATTGATGCATCCTCGAAGACTGGAAATTATAATCATTGAGCTTTACTGTAAATTAAAATTGTCTTTTTTTTTTTGAGACAGAGTCTCGCTCTGTCACCCAGGCTGGAGTGCAGTGGTGTGATCTCCGCTCACTGCAACCTCTGCCTCCCAGGTTCAAACGATTCTCCTGCCTCAGCCTCCTGAGTAGCTGGGATTACAGGTGTGTGACACCACAGGCCCAGCTAATTTTTGTATTTTTAGTAGAGATGGGGTTTCACCATGTTGGTTAGGCTGATTTCAAACTTCTGACCTCGTGATCCACCCACCTTGGCCTCCCAAAGTGCTGGGATTATAGGCGTGAGCCACCAGGCCTGGCCGCCTCCTCTTTTTAAAAAATATTTTATTACCTTAATATATATTTGTATAGCTTAGCATCTTGTTAGGTTTTACTTGGAGAAGTACTTTTTTTTTGAAAGCATTGATTTGGCTGGGTGCAGTGGCTCAAGCCTGTAATCCCAACACTTTGGGAGGCCGAGGTGGGCGGATCACAAGGTCAGGAGATCGAGACCATCCTGGCTAACACGGTGAAACCCCGTCTCTACTAAAAATACAAAAAATTAGGCGAGTGTGGTGGAAGGCGCCTGTAGTCCCAGCTACTCCAGAAGCTGAGGCAGGAGAATGGCGTGAACCCGGGAGGCGGAGCTTGCAGTGAGCCAAGGTCGTGCCACTGCACTCCAGCCTGGGCGACAGAGCGAGACTCCATCTCAAAAAAAAAAACATTTAAAAAAGCAAAGATTTTTTTATCTTTCATTAATAAATACTTGTTTTAACTGCTTTATAAATTTTTAATTTGCATAATTTTTATAAATAATTACCCAGTCAGCATAGGAAAGTGAAATACTGAGTTGTGAACTTGCTCAGTCTTCGCTCCCTTCTCCTATTTTATTTATAGACTGCAATATGCTTTTCTCCTTTTTAGTTGCCAGTTTTTCAATTTAGAATAAATTAGTTAAAGAGAAGAAAACATTATACTGCAGAAGAGGCTGCTACTAAAGTAGAATGATCAGCTCCAGTAATCTTTGAACCCAGGTGGTCAAGTTTCTTCCATTTATTGAGCACCTACTACGTATCAGGGATTATATAGATGTTTGAGGTGCCTTAGTGGGCAAAACCAATTAAATAAACGTAAGCTTTTAGAGCTTACATTCTGGCAGAGGTAGACAGAAAATAATACACATACTATATAAACTATAGAATTTTAGAAGTATAGGTATTATGAGAAAAAACAGAATAATACACATATAAACTATAGAATTTAGAAGTATAGGCTTTATGAGAAAAAACAGAATAATACACATATTAACTATAGAATTTTAGAAGTATAGGTTTTATGAGATGAGACATATGGGTAGGGTAGGAGGACAGGGATTGGAGGCAGGTGATAATTTTGTTTTTTGTTTATTTGGTTGGTTTTGAGGCGGAGTCTTGTTCCGTCCAGCCCAGGCTGGAGTGCAGTGGCGTGATCTTGGCTCATTGCAACCTCTGCCTCAGCCTCCTGAGTAGCTGGGACTACAGGGGCGCACCATCACGCCCAGCTAGTTTTTGTATTTTTAAAGTAGAGATGGGGTTTTGCCATATTGGCCAGGCTGGTCTTGAACTCCGGGGCTCAAGCCATCCACCTGCCTTGGCCTCCCAAAGTGCTAGAATTACAGGCGTGAGCCACCGTGCATGGCCTGATAATTTTAAATAGGAGTTAGGATAGACCCCATTGAGAATGTAACATTTAAGTAAAACTTGAAGTAAGGGAATTACCCATATGGACATAGGGGCAAGAGCATTCTGGGTAAGAAGAACCTGGCTTGAGTGAAGCAGTCAAGGGAGAGAAGCAGGAGATGGGTCAGCGAGGGAACTGGGGAGGGCCAGATTATATAAGGTCTGTAGGCCATTGGGAGGACTTAAGTTTTCAGTTTGAGTGAAATTAGAGAGTTTTAAACAGAGAAGTGTCTCTTGAAGAACTTCACATACTATATCTTGAATTATTCACCTCTTGGTATGAAATTTGTTGTGTCTTTAACATATTTCAGATGTGCGTATGATATTGATATTTAAGCCAGTTGGCTCTGCATGTATTTATGGTTAAGGCTGCTCCTACATGTGCCTAAATTTGTTGGTGTAGGGTCCTTCTCCCACACCTGAGGATGTCTCCATGAAGGAAGAGAATCTCTGCCAAGCTTTTTCTGATGCCTTGCTCTGCAAAATCGAGGACATTGATAACGAAGATTGGGAGAACCCTCAGCTCTGCAGTGACTACGTTAAGGATATCTATCAGTATCTCAGGCAGCTGGAGGTAGGTGGGCCTTTGTGTTTTGGTTGTATAAGCAATGTGGAATTTACCACACAGCTGGGAAGCAAACAAGGTCAGCTTTTTAAACTTTTGATTCTACCCACAGGTTTTGCAGTCCATAAACCCACATTTCTTAGATGGAAGAGATATAAATGGACGCATGCGTGCCATCCTAGTGGATTGGCTGGTACAAGTCCACTCCAAGTTTAGGCTTCTGCAGGAGACTCTGTACATGTGCGTTGGCATTATGGATCGATTTTTACAGGTAGGTGTGGCTTCAGGGACTTCACGCCAGTGGCTCATTGAACATTGCATTTATGCTTGGGGGATAGAAAACTAAAGTGGGTACTTCTGAAAAAAAGACCAAAAATCAAATTGTGAGAAGCCAAAGAACTTTGGGGACTAAAAAGGGAAGTAATCCAAGTGTGTCAAGCCTTTGATGATGCGGACCAATAATGGGCATTTCTGTAAGGCCAGCCAGCTAAAAAGTACTTGGGGGAAATATTGCATTGCCACAATCCTTCATCAGAGGAAATATACCATCAGTTGGGCTGAAAGTCCATCTGAAGCCTGTAGTGCCTTTGGATGCTGGTTTTCTGGGCCTGCTTGCACAATTTCCATAGTTTGGTGCTCTGGTGTTAAGTTTCCTCATCTGAAAAACGATGAGTTTGGCTGGAGAACCTCCACATTTCCAGCCAACTATGTCATTGAATCACTGTAGAAGAAGAAGGTGGCAGTATTTGTTTTTTTTAAAGGAGCAGGGGTTGTGTGTGGAGTGGACTGAGAATGTAGTGTAATAAAGAGTAATATAAGAAAATAAGAGGCAAACATAATCTTCAGCATATTTATGAGTGGGTAATGCACAGCCCCTGACCTGTTAGAAGAGACAGCAGATATAAATTGCCAGTGTGTTATCTACCAAACAATAGCCCTGCAGATAAGGTTTTATTTATTTAAAGTCAACATTCAGGATAGGGGTTTAGGTCAGGCACAAATTCTGTCCAAACAATGTAATAAAAATTACTTTACAATAATGACCCTGAGATACTACAAAATCCCAGGTAGCATGCATTCCTCTTTGGGCAGGAAAGCACAACAGTATTTTAGGTAGGTTTCTTTATTTTTTATTTTTTTGAGACAGGGTTTTATTCTGTTGTTGCCCACGCTGGAGTGCAGTGACACAATCTGGGCTCACTGTAGCCTCAATTTCCTGGGTTCAATCAATCCTTCTACCTCAGCTTCCCAAGTAGCTGGGACTATAGGCATATGCTACCACGCCCAGCTAAGTTTTTGATTTTTTTATAGAGATGGGGTTTTGCCATGTTGCTCAGGCTGGTCTCGAACTCCTTAGCTCAAGTGATCTGCCCACCTCGGCCTCCCAAAGTGTTGGGATTATAGGCATGAGCCACTGTGCCCATCCGTGGTAGATTTTTAATAATGAGAGTTGAAGCAAGAAAAGTACAGAGTTTGGGAGGAAAAAAAAAAAGCAATTAAGGGAAACGCTTTACCCTAGCCTGAGAGTCTGCCTGACTCCAAAGCATTAGCGAAAGATTTTCTAAGCTGAATAATGGGTATGCTTTTGGTAAGGATTAAGGAAATGAGCCATCCATTAAATTCTCACTTTTTTCTTTGGCCTCATTTCTATTCAGACCATGTTTAGTGTGTCAGGCCAGGGCTGCCACAGATACTCAAGTCAGCATGAGGTTGTGGGAAGGGTGACTAGGAGCTTGGTATTCAGGCTTGGATTCTTCCCTTCTTGGCAATTGAATGATCTTGGCATGGTGTCTGAATCTGTTCTCAGGACATCTATTTGTAATTGAGGAATAAAATATGCCTTTCCTAGAATTTTTATGAGGATTGGGTGAGATAATATGTTAGAATCTTAGCACTGTGCCTAGCACACAGTGCTCAATTACAGATAGCTGTCATGATCAGTGGTAGAACAGTCAGGTCTCCTGTGCCCTTATGAGCAAAGACAATGTGCACTTTTCCAGGACTTGGTTTCCTTTCCCCTTCTCCCACCTAAAGCTTCACTCTTCTTGTTAGGTGTGACTTTTGTTACATTAATTTTCCATTAGGTTCAGCCAGTTTCCCGGAAGAAGCTTCAATTAGTTGGGATTACTGCTCTGCTCTTGGCTTCCAAGTATGAGGAGATGTTTTCTCCAAATATTGAAGACTTTGTTTACATCACAGACAATGCTTATACCAGTTCCCAAATCCGAGAAATGGAAACTCTAATTTTGAAAGAATTGAAATTTGAGTTGGGTCGACCCTTGCCACTACACTTCTTAAGGCGAGCATCAAAAGCCGGGGAGGTAAGTGCCTCCAGCTCTGTAAGAGACTATTTTTGCTTGGTGTCTCATCCCAGAAACCTTGACCTAATTTAAGGAAAGCTTATTTATAGGACGCTTCCTTTAGGTAAGTCTTAATGCTTTCCTCATCAGTTCTTAAGAGAAAAGGCCTCATGATCTATGTTTACAACATAGTGTGGAATAGAGTAATTCTTGAGAAGGATAAGTGAGTCAAGTGAATTGGAGTTCCTAGGCCTTCACGCAGAATTTTGCAAGACAGTAATTACACTTGTGATTCTTACTATCCCTTGCTGTTCTTTCTTAGGTTGATGTTGAACAGCACACTTTAGCCAAGTATTTGATGGAGCTGACTCTCATCGACTATGATATGGTGCATTATCATCCTTCTAAGGTAGCAGCAGCTGCTTCCTGCTTGTCTCAGAAGGTTCTAGGACAAGGAAAATGGGTGAGTGGTGGATTTAAGAAGAAACTAATTAGGCTATATTTTAGTCCTTCGTAATACAAAAGGCCTTAGCATTTTTACAACACTATCCTTGAAGCAGTTGGTTTTGTTTTGTGTTTTTGAGACAGGGTCTCATTCTGTCACGTAGGCTGGAGTGTGGTGGTGCCATCACAGCCCACTGCAGCCTTGACTTCCCAGGCTCAAGTAATCCTCCTACCTCAGCCTCCCGAGTAGCAGGGACTACAGGCATGCATGACCATGCCTCGCTAATTTTTGTAAATTTTTTTGTAGAGACAGGGTTTTGCCATGTTGTCTAGGCTAGCCTTGAACTCGGCTCAAGCAGTCTGCCCACCTTGGCCTCCCAAAGTGCTAGGATTTCAGGTGTGAGCCACAGTGCCTGGCCTGAAGCAATTGTTTAAAGTCCAAAGTCCTAAAGGAAAACTACTTGGAGAGGGGCATGGGGGCTTGTGCTTGTAGTTCTAGCTACTTGGGAGGCTGAGGGAGGAGGATCATTTGAGCCCAGGCCCAGGAGTTCAAGTCTATCCTGGGGAACACAGAGAGACCCTTGTCTCTTGGGAAAGAAAGCAAGCAAGCTGCTTGGAACAGTTCACATAGAAGTGAGTTGACTATACATACTAAGGTGCATGTGTGCAGTATAGAGTTGTACAGAATGAGGAAGGCCACTAAGAACTGACATGTATGATTTCTTAGATATTACGTTAAGTGAAACAAGCAAGTTGTCAAGCACACAAGACAAAGGAAGGCCAAGGCCTGACTGATTTAGCCAGTAAGAATAGAATGAGCCACTTGTAGATTTAGAAGAGTAGCCAAGGATGGCAGCTCCTCGGGTCTTTGTTTCACATGGCAAAAAGGATAATGTGGAAACAAATGGAGCTGGATGGCTGCAATGCAAGTCACAGGTACACTGTTGTGGAGAAGCCAGTTCTAGACCACCGCTAAACAGTCTTCTAGTCTGCAGTTATACCCTGAGAGCAGTACAATAGAAAACCTCATCAGAACCTAGGGGATACGAAGCTGTCTTGGCCGGGTGCCATGCCAGTAATCCCAGCACTTTGGGAAGCCAAGGTGGACAGATCACCTGAGGTCAGGAGTTTGAGACCAGCCTGGCCAACATGGCAAAACCCCCGTCTCTACTAAAAATACAAAAATTAGCCAGGCATGGTGGCAGCTGCCTGTAATCCAGGCTACTCTGGAGGCCTAGGCATAAGAATCACTTGAACCCGGAAGACAAAAGTTGCTTTGAGCCAAGATCGTGCTACTGCACTCCAGCCTGGCGGACAGGGCGAGACTCTGTCTCCAAAAAAAATATAAAAAAGAAGAAGTTGTCTCGTGACAGCCTCCCAGGGGAGATAGGGAGGTGAGTGGGAGATGGCTGGGCGGCAGCTCTGCCCACACCTGCCATCTCCTCCTTTTTCAGGAGGATCACAAAGCATTTTGCCAGGACAGATCAGCTGTGGTTCAGGCCTTGGCCTGTGTGGCCTATATGGATATAGGCAAGGTCACCAGGGCAGCATGGT
The DNA here is from genome assembly GCF_000001405.40 of Homo sapiens. Lineage (NCBI taxonomy): Eukaryota > Metazoa > Chordata > Mammalia > Primates > Hominidae > Homo > Homo sapiens. Next base: position 59,118,904 of record NC_000015.10, read on the forward strand.
GGAGCTGTTCACCTAAACAATGTATATTGTAGTTTACATTTTATGCAAGAAAGTGTGTGTATGTATATATATTTATATATTTGTTAATTTTTTGGTACGGGAGGAATAAACCAGAAAGAATGAAAGTGGAAACTATGGGGTTCTTTGGGAATAGGGTGGAGGTTGAGGATGAGAGGACTTCTGATTGTAACCTTTTATTGACTTTATAATACAGTGTAACTTTTTTGACTTTTGAACAATGTAAATATTTTATGCAAACTTTAAATTGTAATTAAGTGGAAATAAACAATGTAACTACATGTGAAATTGGTAACAGAACACAGAGGAAAGAATTAATTTAAGTACTTGTTGCTTGAGCCCAGCCTGGGTAGCGTAGCAAGACCCCCATCTCTATAAAAAATTAAAAAATTAGCTGGGTATGGTGGCACACACCTGTAGTCCTAGTTACTCAGGAGGCTGAGGCAGGAGGATTGCTTGAGCCCAGGAGTTCAAGGCTGAAGTAGCTATGATCCTGCCAGTGCACTCCAACCTGGGCAACAGAGCAAAACCCTGTCTCCAAAAAAAAAAAAAAAAACAAATCTGTAACCTGAACACAGCATTCTGACTGTGCATCCTTAGTGGGATTTAAAGTATGACAAAATAAAGGACTAAAGTGGTAACATCAAGTTTACTTAGTAGGTTCATTGTTAATAGTAATCTGTTATTATAATTTTGGAACTAGTTTATGTGTATTGTAGGATAAAACAAATTTATTCATGTTATTAAGGACTAAAATTTTCAATATAGGAAGAGTTTTAAATTATTAATTCATTAATTTTTTCTTATACAGGGTCTTGCTTTGTCATCCAGGCTGGAGTGCAGTGCTGCTGTCACAGCTCACTGCAGCCTCAATTGCCTGGGCTCAAGTGATCCTCCCACTTCAGCCTCCCACGTAACTGGGACCCAGCCACACGCCATCATGCCTGGCTAATTTTAAAGTTTTTTTGTAGAGATTAGCTCTCCCTGTGTTGCCCAGGCTGGTCTCGAACTCCTAGGCTCAAGTGATCTTCTCGCCTTGGCCTCCCAAAGTGCTGGGATTACAGACGTGAGCCACTGTGCCTGGCCTAAGAGAGAAAATATTAACAATTAAAAACAAAAGGTTAGTCCTCACGTAGGAAATAGCAAAACAAAAACAAAGGAAAACCCCTATTATGTTTTGGAAATAACAGCAAATTCATAATAAAGGGTCTCAGAAACAGTGACAACTCAGTAGTAGTGAGCATATTTAGTGCCCACATCTTGGATACTAAATACCATTATCTACTGGCAACTAGGGCTGTTTAGTGAAATTGCTGATTTCAGGGCTATGGCAGGGGAAGTACAAGGTGAGCCTAGAACAATTTGTGCCAGATAGCACACAAATTCTCAAAGATCAATGAGGTCACATCAAAAGGACATAGGAGAGCTGGTCATGGTAGCATGTGCCTATAGTCCCAGATACTCAGGAGGCTGAGGCAGGATCCCTTGAGCCCAGGAGTTGGAGGCTGCATTGACCTATGATTGCACCACAATAAAATAGGAAGGAAGGGAAGGAGGGAGATAGGAACTGGCTTGAAAGGACTCTGGCTGACTGAATTAGAGCATTAAAAAGAATAATGACAGTAATAGATTATAGTGTATAAAAAAAAGGATTCCTGGGACCATAATGACATAAAAAATAAAAGAGGGGTTCATTTTTAAAAATCAGAATACCAGCTAATTAAAGTAGAATGATAGAGTTAGAAACCACTAATTTTCAACCTGTAATGTAATAATTTATTCAAGCAAGGTGCATCAATGAATGCAAAAATCATTAGATGGAATAATTTTGGGAAACAAGATTCACGTGGTCTCAATTTATCATCCCATAGATACTTATTAATTCTGTAACAAAACTGCACATCTATGATGAAGTGGTCTGGTGGTTTCCACCTTCACCCAGTGATTAAGCTCAGCATTACCACTGGCAGACGACCTGAGTTGCCATGCCGTGTTGTGCAGTAAGATGTATACATTATCACCTATTCATGCCCAAAATGTTTGACATGAATTAAATCTTGAGGAAATATGCAAATCCAGAATGTGAGACATTTTAAAAGGAACTGCCTCGATGCTTAAAAAAAAAAAGTCACTGGTGACAGTGTTTCTTATGTGAGAATGGTGTTATGGATAGGTACGAAAACGTACTTTTTAGAATATGCTTCTGAAACATTTAGCAGGGATGTGCTGTGATATCTGCAAATCGCTTTCAAATGGCATAGCAAAAATTGTGTGTGAGTATACACAGAGAGGGAGAGGAGGGAAACGTGGCACATGTTCATGATTGATCAGTCTACATGAAGGATATATAGAGGATCATTCTTTCAGTTTTTCTGTAGATTTGGAATTTTTTGAAATAAATAAAACATTTGAGGCAAAAATGTCACTGGTACATGGTACCAATGGCTCATTTTTAGTCACCTTACTCTTAAATGTGCTTCGCTCTCCCAGTTTTCTGAGAATTTATTTCAAAAGGCTAGAAATTGTGCATTATTTCAGTTTTTACTCGTTTCCTCTTTCTTCCCTTCAAAGTATTTTAGGATTAAATTGTGTAGACTGGGCACAGTGGCTCACACCTGTAGTTTCAGCAGTTTTGGAGGCTGAGGCAGACAGATTGCTTGAGCCCAGCAGTTTGAGACCAGCTGGGCAACATGGCGAAACCTCGCCTCCACAAAAAAACAGAGAAACTGGCTGGGCGCAGTGGCTCATGCCTGTAGTCCCAGCACTTTGGGAGGCTGAGGCGGGTGGATCACTTGAGGCCAGGAGTTTGAGACCAGCCTAGCCAACATGGTAAAACTCTGTCTCTATTAAAAATACAAAAATTAGCTGGGCGTGGTGGCACATGCCTGTAGTCTCAGCTACCCAGGAGGCTGAGACACGAGAATTGCCTAAACCCGGAAGGTAGACGTTGCAGTGAGCAGACATTGCACCACTGCACTCCAGCCTGGGCGACAGAATGAGACTCTGTCTCAAAAAAAAAAAAAAAAAAAAAAAAAAAAAAGGAGAAATTACCCAGGCATGGTGGCATACACCTATAGTTTCAGCTACTAGGGAGGTTGAGGTGGGAGGATCACTTGAGCCCAGGATGTCACGGCTGCAGTGAGCTTTGATAGTGCCACTGCACTCCAGCCTGGGCAACAGAGTTGAGACCCGGTCTTCAAAGAAAAAAAGAGATTAAATTGTGGTTTATTTTGCCAATTATACCATGCATATGAAAAAAACGTACTTTCGCTTTTAGAATTTTTGTCACAGAACTCTTAAATAAAGTCAGTTGACATATCTTTTTTTTTTTTTTTTTTTTTTTTTGAGACAGAGTCTTTCTCTGTCACCCAGACTGGAGTGCAGTGGTGCGATCTCAGCTCACTGCAGCCTCTGCCTCCCGGGTTCCAGCGATTCTCCTGCCTCAGGCGCACACCACCATGCCCGGGGAATTTATGTATTTTTAGTAGAGATGGGGTTTCACCATGTTGGTCAGGCTGGTCTCGAACTCCTGACCTCAGGTGATCCGCCCACCTCGGCCTCCCAAAGTGTTGGGATTACAGGCGTGAGCCACTGCGCCTGGCCTTTTTTTTTTTTCTTTTTTTTTCTTTTTTTTTTGAGACAGGGTCTCACTGTGTTGCCCAGGCTGGAGTGCAATGGCGTTAATATCGCTCATTACCTCAAACTTCTGGGCTCAAGCAATCCTTCCTCCTCAGCTCCTCAAGTAACTGGGACTATAGGTGTACACCACCAAGCTTGGCTAATTTTTCATTTTTCATAGAGATAGGGTCTCCCAATGTTACCCAAGCTGGTCTGAAACTCTTAAGCTCAAGCGATCTTCTTGCCTTGGCCTCCGAAAGTGCTGGGATTATAGGCGTGAGCCACTGTGCCCCGCCAATTTATATATCTTCTTACATGATACATCTTATTATCAATTGACAGCTGTTCTTTTACTTGAATTTTACTCTTTGGGAGGCTAGGTCACAAGGCTTGGTGTGGTAGTGTCTAAGTTCTCTCTGCTGTTTGGTGCTTAACTACACAGGGTTCAACAAGAGAATCATAGGTAGTCCTAGTTCTTCTGGATTTGATAGATTGTTGCTTGTAGCACAGTTTATTTCTTATTTCCGAACATCTTTCCCTGACTGACAGTATGTCTGTTTGGGCTCTTGAGCTCATAACAGGGACAGCTGGGCAGGGCTTTGATGCAGGGTTGTGTGAGATGTGGCCAGCACTGTAAAGGGGCACTTTGTTTTAAGTGTCTCCTTTTCCATCCCCTTTCAGTGTTGTTACTTGAAGGACTCTTACCTGTGCAACGTCTTTGAAAGATCGTATGGGACCTTTGGCACTTGATTTAGTCTGGTCTCAGGGCCAGAATCATCTTGCATTTACCAGCTGCTTTAGTGTTGCTGGTACTGTGAGAGTGGTTAGGGCTTTGATTGAATTTCCAGAAGGTAAGAATATTCTTGTACAGCTTTTACATAAGTAATGTCATCATGTACAAGATGTGTTCTTCTAAAGAAGCAGAGGTTTTCTCTTGCCCCTCAGTCATGTCTGTCTGTCTGCTTCTTGTGTTTCAGAACTTAAAGCAGCAGTATTACACAGGATACACAGAGAATGAAGTATTGGAAGTCATGCAGCACATGGCCAAGAATGTGGTGAAAGTAAATGAAAACTTAACTAAATTCATCGTAAGTACTACTGTTTTCTTAAGCTGTGGAAAGCTTTAGGTTCTGGGTTTTGTGTGTATGTTGGGCGGGGGGGGGCGGTGTGTGCCGTCATGTAAATATATTAATAACATGTGGGAGTTTTAGCACAAATCCTTTATCCTTTATATTTTTCTGGTACAGTATGGTATGGAGCATACTGATAAACCCTGAAAGCAAGCTTTATTTGAAACAAGGTCGATAGGCTAGCCATGTCCAGGCCCAGATCCCAGTCAACCAGTCGGTTACTCAATGTATTGAATTACTCTGTGCTTATACTAGCATCCTGGGGAGGGCACTTTGCAAGCAGGGAAGGCTGGTCTGCATGTGATTGGGAAGAGAGAGGGCCCACTTCAAATGGCGGTGTATTATATTGCGTATTCAGGTGATGTTACTCAGAGCCTTTGTCCAGGGTCTTTTGAGGCAATGATGGAAAAACGCCTAATTAGCAAGCATGGTTAAGAGGGAAGAGGCCCATTCAGGGGGCATCCTGAGGGCATGGTGTCTATCTCTGCATGGCCCACCTATGAGGAGGAGCCAAAGGAGACTTAGTGCTGTCCTGTGCTTGTGTGACACCAAACATCAGAGCTCACCAAGTGTGTGGTGGCAAAGAGCAAGGTATTTGAACCTCAGAAGAGTCTCAAGTGTCCTCACAACATGATTTGCTTCATGGAAGTGTAATATGTGTTCAGTCCTGAGAGGACTGTCTGGGATTTGTTAAGCACTAGTTGCCACCCTCTTTTATTGTCTTTTATTGTCTTTTAATTGTTCCTATTGCTGCCAGGCCTGGTGAACCTGTTATGTCCTGATGGCACTTAGGTGTCGTAAACACAGCTCCCCCTCCCATCCCTCTGGTAGCCTACAAGAGGAAGCCTGCTACTTGGACCTTGAAATCATTTGTTCCTATCACCTGTGCTACCAGCTGTGTTTTATTCATTAATGGGGATGGAAGGAAATGGTCAGGCACATGTTATGAGCCCAGAGCTTTCACTGGCTTCAGCGATTGGGCATCATCAATGTGATCATGATTGTAGCCGTGGACCTTTGATAATTGTGAGTTAGACTAGGAATAAGGTATCATTGGGGGTTCCTGACATGTGCTTAATCACAAATGACTTCTGCAGGCCATCAAGAATAAGTATGCAAGCAGCAAACTCCTGAAGATCAGCATGATCCCTCAGCTGAACTCAAAAGCCGTCAAAGACCTTGCCTCCCCACTGATAGGAAGGTCCTAGGCTGCCGTGGCCCCTGGGGATGTGTGCTTCATTGTGCCCTTTTTCTTATTGGTTTAGAACTCTTGATTTTGTACATAGTCCTCTGGTCTATCTCATGAAACCTCTTCTCAGACCAGTTTTCTAAACATATATTGAGGAAAAATAAAGCGATTGGTTTTTCTTAAGGTATCCCATGTGTATTTATTTGTGTATTCTGTACTTAAGAAATCAGTGAAAGCTTGCTTTGACTAATTTCTTTTTGAGCTGTTATGAATAGCATGTAAATTACTGCCATTATGGCTTGGGCAAGACCTTTTTACCATTTTCTCAAATGGAAAAAACTAGAACTTGGCCTCAGTGAACACTAAACCTATTCCTAAGCTTCTTGAATACAAATAAGTTTATTATGAAAATTTTAAATGGGAGGATAACCATGACACTTTCCTTTCTAGAAGCTAGTCAGCTGCTCTCTAATTCCTGCATAGGAACGCCTGGCCCAGAGCAACCCTTGTAATGGGTCCCTCTCTCAAATGCATTGTTGAGACCAGAGAGAGCCATCCCATGGGTCACAGCTGGAGAAAATGGGCCCGTGGCATCCTGTTCAAGGTGAAGCTTGGCATGCATTTTTTCAGGTACATTATGGGGTAAATGGCTTTGCATTTTTTTGTTTGGTTGGTTTTTAATGGGCATTGAACTTTTTTTTTTTTTAATTGAAGTTCTGGGGTACATGTGCAGAACATGCAGGTTTGTTACATAAGTATACATGTGCCATGGTGGTTTGCTGCACCCATCACCCTGTCATCTACATTAGGTATTTCTCCTAATGCTATCTCTCCCTTAGTCCCCCACCCCGTGACAGGCCCCTGGCAGGGGTTTTCCCCTCCATGTGTCCATGTATTCTCATTGTTCAACTCCCATTTATGAGTGAGAACATGAAGCGTTTGGTTTTCTGTTCTTGTGTTAGTTTGCTGAGAATGATGGTTTCCAGCTTCATCCGTGTTCCTGCAGAGGACATGAATTCATCCTTTTTTATGGTTGCATAGTATTCCATGGTGTATATGTGCCACATTTTCTTTATCCAGTCTGTCACTGATGGGCATTTGGGCTGGTTCCAAGTCCTTGCTATTGTGAACAGTGTCGCAATAAACATATGTGTGCATGTGTCTTTATAGTAGAATGATTTATAATTCTTTGGGTATATACCCAGTAATGGGATTGCTGGCTCAAATGGTATTTCTAGTTCTAGATCCTTAAGGAATCACCACACTGTCTTCCACAATGGTTGAACTAATTTACACTCGCACCAACAGTGTAAAAGTATTCCTATTTCTCCACATCCTCTCCAGCATCTGTTGTTCCCTGACATTTTAATGATCGCCATTCTAACTGGCATGAGATGGTATCTCATTGTGGTTTGGATTTGCATTTCTCTAATGACCAGTGATGATGAGCATTTTTTCATATGTTTGTTGACTGCATAAATGTCTTCTTTGGAGAAGTATCTGTTCATATCCTTTGTCTACTTTTTGATGTTTTTTTTTTTTTCTTGTAAATTTGTTTAAGTTCTTTGTGGCCTCTGGATAGTAGCCCTGTGTCAGATGGATAGATGGCAAAAATTTTCTCCCATTCTGTAGGCTGCCTGTTCACTCTGATGGTAGTTTCTTTTGCTGTGCAGAAACCCTTTAGTTTAATTCAATCCCATTTGTCAATTGTGGCTTTGTTGCCATTGCTTTTGGTGATTTAGCTATGAAGTCTTTGCCCATGTCTATGTCCTGAATGGTATTGCCTAGGTTTTCTTCTAGGGTTTTAATGGTTTTAGGTCTTACATTTAAGTCTTTAATCCATCTTGAGTTAATTTTTGTAAAAGGTATACCAGTATAAGGGATCCCGTTTCAGCTTTCTAAATATGGCTAGCCAGTTTTCCCAACACCATTTATTAAATAGGGATTCCTTTCCCCATTGCTTGTTGTTGTCAGGTTTGTCAAAGTTCAGATGGTTGTAGATGTGTGCTGATATTTCTGAGGCCTCTGTTCTGTTCCATTGGACTATATATCTGTTTTGGTACCAGTACCATGCCGTTTTGGTTACTGTAGCCTTGTAGTATAGTTTGAAGTCAGGTAGCATGTTGCCTCCAGCTTTGTTCTTTTTGCTTAGGATTGTCTTGGCTATGCGGCCTCTTTTTTGGTTCCATATGAAATTTAAAGTAGTTTTTTCCAATTGTGTGAAGAAAGTCAGTGGTAGCTTGATGCAGATAGCATTGAATCTATAAATTACTTTGGGTAGTATGGCCATTTTCATGCTATCGATTCTTCCTATCCATGAGCATGGAATGTTTTTCCATTTGTTTTTGTCCTCTGTTATTTCCTTGAGCAGTGGTTTGTAGTTCTCTTTGAAGAGGTCCTTCACATCCCTTTTAAGTTGGATTGCTAGGTATTTTGTTCTCTTTGTAGGCATTGTGAATGTGAGTTCACTCATGATTTGGCTGTGTCTGTTGTTGGTGTATAGGAATGCTAGTGATTTTTGCACATTGAGTTTGTATCCTGAGACTTTGCTGAAGTTGCTTATCAGCTTAGGGAGATTTTGGGCTGAGATACTGGGGTTTTCTAAATATAGAATCACGTCATCTGCAAACAGAGACAATTTGACTTCCTCTTTTCCTAATTGAATACCCTTTATTTCCTTCTCATGTCTGATTGGCCTGGCCAGAAGTTCCAATACTGTGTTGAATAAGAATGGTGAGAGAAGGCATCCTTGTCTTGTGCCAGTTTTCAAAGGGAATGCTTCCAGTTTCTGCTCATTCAGTATGATATTGGCTGTGGGTTTGTCATAAATAGCTCTTATTATTTTGAGATACGTTCCATCAATACCTAGTTTATTGAGAGTTTTTAGCATGAAGCAGTGTTGAATTTTGTCAAAGGCCTTTTCTGCATCAATTGAGATAATCGTGGTTTTTGTCACTGGTTCTGCTTATGTGATGGATTACGTTTATTGATTTGCGTATGTTGAACCAGCCTCGTATCCCAGGGATGAAGCCGACTTGATCACAGTGGATAAGCTTTTTGATGTGCTGCTGGATTCAGTTTGCCAGTATTGTATTGACGATTTTTGTGTCGATGTTCATCAGGGATTTTGGCCTAAAATTTTCTTTTTTTGTTGTGTCTCTGCCAGGTTTTGGCATTAGGATGATGCTGGCCTCATAAAATGAGTGAGGGAGGATTCCCTCTTTTTCTATTGTTTGGAATAGTTTCAGAAGGAATGGTACCAGCTCCTCTTTTTACCTCTGGTAGAATTTGGCTGCTAATCAGTCGGGTCCTGGACTTTTATGGTTGGTAGGCTATTAATTACTGCCTCAATTTCAGAACTTGTTATTGGTCTATTCAGGGATTCGACTTCTTCCTGGTTTAGTCTTGGGAGCGTGTGTGTGTCCAGGAATTTATCCATTTCTTCTAGATTTTCTAGTTTATTTGCGTAGAGGTGTTCATAGTATTCTCTGATGGTAGTTTACATTACTGTGGGATTGGTGGTGATATCCCCTTTATCATTTTTTATTGTGTCTATTTGATTCTTCTCTCTTTTCTTCTTTATTAGTCTGGCTAGCGGTCTTTGAAATTTTGTTGATCTTTTCAAAAAACCAGCTCCTGGATTCACTGATTTTTTTTGAAGGGTTTTTTTGTGTCTCTGTCTCCTTCAGTTCTGCTCCGATCTTAGTTATTTCTTGCCTTCTGCTAGCTTTTGAATATGCTTGCTGTTGCTTCTCTGGTTCTTTTAATTGTGATGTTAGAGTGTCGATTTTGGATCATTCCTGCTTTCACTTGTGGGCATTTAGTGCTATAAATTTCCCTCTACACACTGCTTTAAATGTGTCCCAGAGATTCTGGTGCCTTGTGTCTTTGTTCTCATTGGTTTCAAAGAACATCTTTATTTCTGCCTTCATTTCGTTATTTACCCAGTAGATATTCAGGAGCAGGTTGTTCAGTTTCCATTTAGTTGTGCGGTTTTGAGTGAGTTTCTTAATCCTGAGTTCTAATTTGATTGCACTGTGGTCTGAGAGACTGTTATGATTTCCATTCTTTTGCACTTGCTGAGGAGTGTTTTACTTCCAATTATGTGGTGAATTTTAGAATAAGTGTGATGTGGTGCTGAGAAGAATGTATACTCTGTTGATTTGTGGTGGAGAGTTCTGTAGATGATGGTTAGGTCTGCCTGATCCAGAGCCGAGTTCTAGTCCTGGATGTCCTTGTTAATTTTCTGTCTCATTGATCTGTCTAGTGTTGACAGTGGGGTGCTAAAGTCTCCCACTATTATTGTGTGGGAGTGAGTCTAAGTCTCCTTGTAGGTCTCTAAGAACTTGCCTTATGAATCTGGGTACTCCTGTATTGGGTGTGTATATATTTAGGATAGTTAGCTCTTCTTGTTGCATTGATCCCCTTACTATTATGTAATGCCTTGTCTCTTTTGATCTTTGTTCATTTGAAGTCTGTTTTATCAGAGACTAGGATTGCAACCCCTGCTTTTTTTTTTTTTTTTTTGGTTTCCATTTGCTTGGTAAATATTCCTCCATCCCTTTATTTTGAGGCTATGTGTGTTTTTGTGTGTGAGATGGGTCTCCTGCATACAGCGCAATGATGGGTCTTGAGTCTTTATCCAATTTGCCAGTCTGTGTCTTTTAATTGGGGCATTTAGCCCGTTTACATTTAAGGTTAATATTGTTATGTGTGAATTTGATTTTGTCATTATGATGCTAGCTATTTTGCCCGTTAGTAGATGCAGTTTCTTCATAGTGTCCATGGTCTTTATAATTTGGTATGTTTTTGCAGTGACTGGTACCAGTTGTTCGTTTCCATGTTTAGTGCTTCCTTCAGTAGCTCTTGTAAGGCAGGCCTGGTGGTGACAAAATCTTTCAGCATTTGCTTGCCTGTAAAGGATTTTATTTATCCTTCGCTTATGAAGGTTAGTTTGGCTGGATATGAAATTCTGGGTTGAAAATTCTTTGAATGTTGAATATTGGCCCCCACTTTCTTTTGGCTTGTAGGGTTTCTGCTGAGAGATCTGCTGTTAGTCTGATGTGCTTCCCTTTGTGGGTAACCCAACCTTTTTCTCTGGCTGCCCTTAACATTTTTTCCTTCATTTCAACCTTGGTGAATCTGATGATTATGTGTCTTGAGGTTGCTCTTCTCGAGGAATATCTTTGTGGTGTTCTCTGTATTTCCTGAATTTGAATGTTGTCCTGCCTTGCTAGGTTGGAGAAGTTCTCCTGGATAAATAACCTGAAGAGTGTTTTCCAACTTGGTTCTATTCTCCTTGTCACTTTCAGGTACACCACTCAAATGTATATTTGGTTTTTTCACATAGTCCCATATTTTTTAGAGGCTTTGTTAGTTTCTTTTTACTCTTTTTTCTCTAATCTTGTCTTCTCGCTTTATTTCATTGAGTTGATCTTCAATCTCTGATATCCTTTATTCTGCTTGATTTGGCTATTGATACTTGTGTGTTCTTCATGAAGTTCTTGTGCTGTGTTTTTCAGCTCCATTAGATCATTTATGTTCTTCTCTGAACTGGTTATTCTAGTTGGCGATTCGTCTAATCTTTTTTCAAGGTTTTTAGCTTCCTTGCATTGGGTTAGCACAGGTTCCTTTAGCTCGGAGGAGTTTATCACCCACCTTCTTAAACCTGCTTCTGTCAGTTTGTCAAACTTGTTCTCTGTCCAGGTTTGTTCCCGTGCTGGTGAGGAGTTGTGATCCTTTGGAGGAGAAGAGGCATTTTTTGGTTTTTGGAGTTTCCAGCCTTTTTGTGCTGGTTTCTCCCCATCTTCGTGGATTTATCTACCTTTGGTATTTGATGTTGGTGACCTTCGGATGGGGTCTCTGAGTAGACGTCCTTTTTGTTGATGTTGCTACTATTCCTTTCTGTTTGTTAATTTTCCTTGCAACAGGCCCCTTTTCTGCAGGTCTGCTGGAGTTTGCTGGAGGTCCACTCTAGACCCTGTTTGCCTGGGTATCACCAGCGGAGGCTGCAGAACAGCAAAGATTGCTGCCTGTTCCTTCCTCTGGAAGCTTCCTCCCAGAGGGGCACCCGTCAGATGCCAGCCAGAGCTCTCCTCTATGAGGTGTCTGTCGGCCCCTACTGGGAGGTGTCACCCAGACAGGATACACGGGGGTCAGGGACCCACTTGAGGAGGCAGCCTGTCCCTTATCAGAGCTCGAATGCTGTGCTGGGAAATCTGCTGCACTCTTCAGAGCTCTCAGGTAGGGACTTTTAAGTCTGCTGAAGCTGTGCCCACAGCCGCCCCTTCCCCCAGGTGCTCTGTCCCAGGGAGATGGGGGTTTTATGTATATGTCCCTGACTGGGGCTGCTGCCGTATCTTCAGAGATGCCCTGCCCAGGAAAGAGGAAATCTACAGAGGCAGTATGGCTGCAGCAGCCTGGCTGAGCTGCAGTGGGCTCTGCCCAGTTTGAACTTCCGGGCAGCTTTGTTTACACTGTGAGGGTAAAACCACCTACTCAAGCCTCAGCAATGGCAGGCACCCCTCCCCCAACCAAGCAGGTAATTTCTGCGTTTCCAACTGAGGTACCTGGTTCATCTCATTGGGACTGGTTGGACAGTGGGTGCAGCCCATGGAGGGCGAGCAGAAGTAGGGTGGAGTGTTGCCTTTCCCGGGAAGCGCAAGGGGTCGGAGGATTTCCCTTTCCTAGCCAAGGGAAGCCGTGAGAGACTGTACCTGGAGGAAAGGTACACTCCGGCCCAGACACTGCACTTTTCCCAGTCTTCACAACCGGCGGCAGACCAGCAGATTCCCTGTGGCGCCTGGCTCGTCAGGTCCAACCCCCACGGAGCCCAGCAAGCTAACACCCATTGGCTTGAAATTCTCACTGCTAGCTCAGCAGTCTGAGGTCGATCTGGGACGCTCGAACATTGTTTTCTACGGGGGGAGTGCATCCTCAGCCTCCAACCATTGACTTAAAAACAAAAACCATAAACATAGTGAGTCTCGTATAAAAACAACTTCCCAAGACGTTGGTTTAACAAGATGTTAATTGGTGTTGTAAGAGAAAGGAGTTAGTTAGTCAAATACACTTGTGAAACATTGCAAATGATTGGAAGATTCATAAAGGTTCTGTGCTTTGCAGTAAACTCATTTATCTCAGTTATTTTCCCCAACCTAGAGTGTGGTTGCCTCTTGCTGACAGAGAAATTCAGCGTCTGCTCTTTTGATTCAGGTGCAGCTTGAGGACAACTGCCCCTGGGGAGGAGAAACTGGCTCCAGTTAGGGCTGGCTTTTTACTCTCTTCCTGGGCAGGCAGGACTGCCTGACTAGTATGTCTTTAACTGTAAGTTTTGGGTATCTTTATATGCTGAAATCCTAGTATAGAGTTTTATGAATATCCCTTATTGGGTTAGTGAAGCTTGTTCCCATGGCAGCCTTGGACAACTCTGATCACAAGTGTGAATGGTAACGAAGTGAGACCATGAAAGGGAGCTTTCCTGGCTCTGACAAGCAGTTACTTCCCAGAGATGCTTGAGCTCAACTTCTCTCCAAGAACGCCTGAGTTTTGTAAGCATATTCCAAAGACATTTTATAGCTTCCTTATTACATATTTTACTTAGTTAAATATTAAATGTCCTGACTTAGGAAATTCTTCCAGGATGTCATAAAAAAAGACCTTTAAGATACTTTCTTAGATGGCACAGCAGGCACCCCAAACTAAAATGTCATAAATGGGAAATGAGTGGCAGAAGTAGAAACCATATCATAAAAACACGGAAATTAAAAATGAGATGATGTATCCATAGTATAGAAGAGCACTAACTCTGAACGTGGGTGCTTTGGGTTTGATTTTAAGTAGTGGTGATCTCTATACTTTAGTTTCTGTACCTGTGAAGTGGGGATAAGAGTGTCTCCCTCATAGGGTGGTGCTAAGTAAAGTATGCCAAGCACTTAGTATAGCTTCTAGTGTGAAGAAGATACTTGAACATAGCTGTTAATTATTTTAAAGAGAAGGTTAATGGTCTTGGAAAGAGATGAATCAGAGGATTCAGATTTGTTAGATGGAGCTCCTGCCCATTAAAGGAGCTTACAAGTTTCTAGCTGTTGAGTTTTATGCGTGAGTTTTCTTCTCTCTCTCTTTTTAAATAGACTTTTATGTTCTGAGAGGAAGATATTGGAAGTTGAAAGGCTGACACAGTAGACCATCACATTACTAAATATCTGTTGAATTGGAGAAAATGATTAAAAGCACAGGCCTTTTGGGCACAGTGGCTCATGCTTGTAATCCCAGAATTTTGGGAGGCCAAGGCGGGAAGACTGCTTGAGCCCAGAGCTTTGAGACCAGCTGGGCAACACAGGGAGACCCCATCTGTACAAATAATTAGCCGAATGTGGTGGCACATGCTTGTGGTCCCAGCTACTTGGGAGGCTGAGGTGGGAGGATCACCTGAGCCCTGGAGTTTGAGACTGCAGTAAGGCATGATCGCACCACTGTTCTCTAGTCTGGGTGACAAAGTGAGGTGCTGTCTGAAAATAAAAACGCACAGGCCTTTGACTCAGAGTTCCTGTGATGGCTCCCCCAGGGAAGAACTGTGTGACCTTGGGCGACCTAGTGAACCATACTGAGCCAGTCTTCTTGTTAGAAAGGGTGCTCAGAGTGGAAAGGTATGATCTAGTAGGGAAAAAGACATCAAGATTAGTGGGTAGGAATAAAACCAAGTTACTAAATCCAGAAAGAACTGCAATCAATCAGCTAGGCCTTGGGAGAAAAGCAAAACAGGGAAAGAGGGCAGAATTGCAGAAAGGCTCCTCTGGTCTTTCTTTTGATCACAAAAGTGAGGGGTGCCAGAAACACAGAGTTAAATTGTCTACCAAAGACGCACCGTTCATGCTCTGCTCTTGATTGCCCTGGAAACCAGAATCCAGCCCTACTGCCAGTGAAATCTTAACTGGGACAACACCTATAAAAGAAATGGTAGCAACTAGAGGCACAGGCTGACTTGGTGTGACCAGCTCCACTCAGGGAGGGTCTGGGGATGAGTTCAGGAGGGAGTCGCAAAGAGAAGGAATTTAGATTATGTAAAAGCCATGCTCTATGGAAGCCCATGGAGTTTGTAATTCATAAAGGCACATCCATATTTTCTCTTACTCATTTTTGTGAACACTTCCACCTGGCAGGAGCCCGCTGTCACTCTGGTGCTCTGGGTAAGCTGCTGAGACAGCTCTGTGCAGAGACCTCCAGCCCCCTTGAGTTGAGGCCACATGACTAAGCTCTGGCCAGCAGAATATTGGTGGACATGGTGTGCACACAGGGCAGGTCCTTTAAGGAGGAAACTGCACGATGCTTTTCTACCTTCATTGGGCTGGACTTGGTAGTAGTGGGGAGTCAGGTTTGATTACGATGGGCTGGGACCACACGTTGGGAGGTCAGTGGGTTGGCATCCTTCATGGTTGGGGAGCAAGCTTATTCAAGAAGGCTTCACCCTTTGTCCTCTCCACATGTCTCTGTATTGTTTCACAAAACACTGTGGAAGAGACGGCCCTTTTGCATGTCTTTAAGCCAGTTGGCCAGGTACGGTGGCTCTTGCCCATAATCCCAGCACTTTGAGAGGCTGAGGCAGGAGGATCGTTTGATCCCAGGAGTTTCAGATCAGCCTCTCTCTGTCTCACAGACGGCCATCAGTAGAGTGGATACC
Source organism: Homo sapiens (assembly GCF_000001405.40). NCBI lineage: Eukaryota > Metazoa > Chordata > Mammalia > Primates > Hominidae > Homo > Homo sapiens. Next base: position 59,134,538 of record NC_000015.10, read on the forward strand.
ACCCTTATACAGACCTCTGTCTCTCTCTCTTCTACAACTAAAGCTTGAACACCTCTACCCTAGGGTACACAGTCAGGCCTTCTCATTTAGTTCCTGGTTACTTAAAACCTTTGGTTGAAGGGATGTCACATTTTTATACTGTGTTTGATACTGCTATACACGTTGCTGTGTGTGCACATGAACACCCCTTATTTCAAACAGGATGGCAAGTTCCAGAAGGTGGGGGTGGCCCCTTGATCTTCTGTATGTTCTTTCCTGGTAAGTGACTCCTAAAGTGGTCATATTTGCTTAACTGCACAGTGAACAAAATGGCAGGCCAGGCTAGATCCACAGACTAGAGGAAACCCAGGTTAGTGTCTTAAAGGGAAAAAAGACATTTTTCTGAAGACTTTTTAATTAGGAAAAAAAGGGAAATGTTATTTATCCCAGATTTTTCTGGTAGTCCCCATGTTGAATTTCTAAATATATACAAATAAGTTTAAGATAAACCACTATTTCTCCAAACTTTTCTTAATAGTGTCAGCATTTCAGCATCTCTACGCAGATCTAAGTCTCCTTCCCCTGTGGGTCACTTACCTATTTCAGCACCATTTGTTGGGCATCTCCTTGAGCCTGGCACTGGCTGGGCACACGATGCAGGTGCTAAGGGCTTGGTCTGTGATTTCCATGGATGAGGGTGTTACTCGTGGGGGTTTAACTCAGTCCCTGTTTTGTGACCTAGAGCCCGATGGTTCCCAGTTACACACAAGTGTAAAATGCCAATCAATCAATCAGGAGGAAAAACAAAGGCTTGTCCCAGCCAGCCAGGGGCTTATGATAACAAGGGAAGATGGTCCTGGTGTTCCTGCCCTGAGAACGCAGCCTGAGTGCTGGTGGCTGTGGGGACTCCAGCATGCTCCTCTGTCCCAGTTCTGGTGGTATCTTCCTCCCACTGCGGGGAGTCCATGAATGTGAAAGTACTTTAGAGACCACTAGTGTCAACAGGATTACCTTTCCTCAACTCACCGCATCATGGCTCTACTTTCCTCTCTGGTCGCAACATGGAACTGAAGTAGCCTTTTAACATTATTCGTTACTGTTACAGAATGGAGTTTGCTCCCTGTTCTTGAAGTAAAACACAGCAGAATTAAATGTATCTTCGTTTCAAATCTAGATCAATTTTTTTCCCTTATACGTAAGCCCTGATAATTTTTTCCCATGGACTTGAGGATCCTGAAAGCCTCAAAGGTGTATGCTGCTCAAACTCTAAGTTACCAGTAGCTTAAGAATGGCTATGGCACCCAGAGGAGGAAAGGTAGAGAAATGGCAGTCTCTACTTACAACCATTCCATTATTGATGGGCATTACACTGATTCCAGCTTTTCACTATTATGGCAAGAAAACATTGTTTTAGTTTGTTAGGGCTGCCGTAACAAACTACCACAAACCGAGTGGCTTAAACAGCGAAATGTATTGCCTCACAGTTCTGGAGGTTGGAAGTCCAAGACCAAGGTGGGCAGGGCTGGTTCCTTGTGAGGGTGTGAGGGAGAATCTGTTCCAGGCCTCTGTCCAGGGCTTGTGAATGGCTGTCTTCTCCCTGCCTTTTCACATGGTCTTTCCTCTGGCATGTTGGTCTCTGTGTCCAAATTTCCCCTTTTCATCAGGACACCATTATATTGGATTAAGACCCACTCTAATGACTTCATTTTAATTAGTTTTGTTTGTTTGCTCCATAAAGACTCTATTTCCAAATAAGGTCATATTGTGAGGTACTGGTGGCTGGGACTCCAACATCTTCTTTGGAGGCACACAATTCAACCCATAACAAATGTCATAAAAGAAGAAGGTGTTCGCCGATTCCTTTATTTATTTAGGAGGTGGGGGCAGGACGCGGAGTAAGTTTCCTATAGGGAAAGAGTTGAGAAGAGTCTGCAGGGACTGACCTAGAAAGCAGTGACACTCCGTAGTTGGAAAAAAGCAGAGCACATCTTTAAGTACCTGGTGTGAGTTTTGTAAGAAAACCTACCTTATGAATGAGTACAGTGGAATACTACTTAGTACATTCATACATGTTTCTACCATCTCAAGATTTTTATATATACAGTATATGATCTGTTTTTATAAATGTACAGCTTGAAAAAAGATCCTTCTTGTAGTAAGTACAGCATTTAAACACAAACCAATATGGGCCAGCCACATTCTAATTGAAGACCCAGAGAAAGCAAAGCCAGCAGCCCAGCCCCCAGCCCCCAGCCCCTGACCTGCTTGGCGGCCCTGATGGTCCCGGCAAAGTGTAAACCAGTGCCCCTCTGTCGCCCTGGGCTCAGCAGGCCAGCTTACCCTTGGCACGTACATGGGAAGTGCCTGCTCACGCTAAGCCCAGTCTGCAGAGGGCGGGTCCTCCCTGAAGGAAGGTGGCAGAGAGGAATGTGTCTATCAGGTATGGACAAGAGAGATGAAAGAAATGTGCTCTTCAACTAAAGGCACTTGTCAGCGGCCACCTACAGCCATTCTCTAGGCCTGGTGAGCAAGCAGGGTGCTGTTTTGATAGAAGCCTACAAGGTCTGAGCAGACCTCACTTGTCCTCTCACCAGGTTTAAATACAATAAATAAATCTTAATGCATGGTGGTTTTGTCCTCCTGGGTTCCTATGAAGAGGCTACCTTTTAGGATCACTTATGGAGTGATACTCCCTGTCCCCAACCCAGCCTTTTCAGTGTCCTCCATGGGGAAGGTACCAGAATAGCTCCAGGCCTTGGAGAAGCAATTGCTCATTGTGGATTGTAAGGGGAGCCCCTAAATATCCCCTCCCCTGGTCTGTGCCTGGAGCTCCTCTGCCCCATGTGTCAGAGTCACGGGCACCTCAGATCTTGGTCACATAGTTGTTGGGGAACAGGCCCTGCTTGCCTCGTAGTCGACCCGTCCACCAGCCAGAAGGATCTGCAGGGAGAGAGAGGTGGTGGAAGTGAAGATGAGAAAGTCTGTTCTGCCCCAGCCACACACACTCCGCTCCCATGGGCTCAAGTGATTTGGCTCCATCCATGTTGTTTTCCCTTTGTTCTTTAAATCAAAAAGTTTGTTGAAAAAAGTAAGATATCTACCAAATTAATAAAGCACTCAGCCAAGCCCATGGACTGCTTTAATAATGGATATTCAAGGTTGTCTTCCTGGCTTCCACTCCATCCACTTTCATTATGAAGAAGCCAGGAAGTGTGGGTGGGACAGACCTCCCCGTTTCTGGGGACAGCCCCTACCAGGTCTCATCCTCTCAGGGTACAGCCTTTGTCTTGCTACTGAAGTTGGTTCAGGGATGGACACATGGCTAATTTGGTCTGATCAGAATAAAAGTCAGGACTTTTGTCCAATGACTAAGAACAGAAGTTTCAGAGATGATGCACATTTCAGACATGGTTTGATATGTTGGCCTGGAATTGCTGCTGCCGTTTTGCTACCATGAAGAAAAACAGCTTGACAAGGGAGGGAATATAAATAAGGGGGCAGAGCTGAAAGAAGCATTAAAAAAGCTGGTGTCTTGATCAGACTGAGCCTGAGGCCTGACCTGCCTCTACAAATTGCAGTTTGAGGAGCCCATAAATTCTTTTCATTTTCACACTAGATCTTACAGCAATGTGACTGCATGCTCTTTGGGAGGCTGTCCCAGCCAACCAGCCACACACTTACCTTCTTTGATAATATCAATAATGTCATTGGCATTAAAGCTGAGTTCGTCTGTGTCCTGAGCGTCATAGGCATACAAAGCCTTGCACTGTGGCACCTGAGGCTTGGGCTTGGGCTGGGGCTTGGGTCTGCCCCCTGCTGGGGGAGGCCGACTGGTTGTTTGTCTCCTGACCCTGTGGAGAGAGTGGAGCAGATGAGACTGGGCCCCAACAGGGGGCAGCAGCACCGAACGGTGGTTTGGAGCATGGCGGCCGGCACTGGCCTGTTCAAGTTCAAATCCAGCTCCATCCTTAGAAGACATGTGGCCCAGGGTGCAGTCTTTAAACTTGAGGAATAAAAGTAACTTTTCTGACAAGGTTGTTGCAAATGCACATAGCTCTTAAAAACCTTAGCTGCTGTTGTCACTGTGTCCCCAGCATAGAAGGAAATGTGGGAGACACATATCCATAAAAAAGTGTCAAAAGTATACCCATACATTTAAATCAGGAACATTCAGGTATCTGTCCCTCCTTCCTCAAGTTTCGAAATGGAACTTTTGCAGGTGCCACAGAAGCCTGTAGGCATTTCTCCTTCACTGCATTCCCCCCAGATTACCACCACCTTACAGTTTGTATTAACCATTCTCTGGCTCATCTCTACAGTTTGCCACACATGTAAATACCCCTAGCCAATATTTGTGGTCCGACTGTCAACTGTATGAAAGGAATCATATTCCACGGTCACATGCTCAACAACTGGATGACGTGCCCTGCTGATGCCTGCAGCTATCGTTCCTTCACCCTTGCTGCCTGATACTACACCACTGCGCGAGTGAGTGTGTCACAGTTTACTTCTCCAGGGCACTGTGGATGGTCACTTGGGATGGTTCCAGTTTTCACTATTATAAAAAATGCTGCCATGAGATTTGCTCCCCATTCACAACCTTATTATGCCTCAGACCTCACTCCTGTCTACTCCCATCCCATCTATCCACCCACCCTCATTACTCCAGAGACTTCCCTCCCACCAGTTCATTATTACTCCTTAGACTTCCCTCCCATCCCTCATTATTACTCCTCACACTTCCCTCCCACCCCCTCATTATTACTCCTCAGGCTTCCCTCCCACCCCCCTCATTCCTCCTCAGACTTCCCTCCCAACCCCTCATTATTACTCCTCACACTTACCTCCCACCGCTCATTGTTACTCATCACACTTCCCTCCCATCCCTCATTATTACTCCTCACACTTCCCTCCCACCCCTTCATTATTACTCCTCACTTTCCTTTCACCCGCTCATTACTCTGCAGACTTCTTTCCCACCCCCTTATTACTCTGCAGACATCCCTCCTACCCCCTCATTATTACTCCTCAGACTTCCGTCTCACCTTCTCATTATTTCTTGTCAAACTTCCCTCCCATCCCTCATTATTACTCTGCAGACGGCCCTCCTACCCCTTCCTTATTACTCTACAGGCTTTTCTGCCCTCTCATTATTACTCCACAGATGTCCCTCCTACCCCTCATTATTACTCTGCAGACTTCCCTCCTACCTCCTCATTATTACTCCTCAGACTTCCCTCCCGTCCCTCATTATTACTCCTCACACTTCCCTCCGACCTGCTCATTATTACTCTGCAGACTTCCCTCATACCCTCATCATTACTCCACAATCTTCCCTCCCACCCCCTCATTATTAATCCACAGACTTCCCTCTCATTTTATCAATCAGTTATTACTCCTCAGGTCTCCTTCCCATTCTTTCATTATTACCCCTCAGAGCTCCCCTTTGCCCCTCCAAAAATGTTGCTGTAAATATTCTTATACAAGAGTTTATCCAGAGCAGTTTCTCAACATCTGCACTACTGACATTTGCGGCTGGGAATTCTCTGTTGTGTGTGTGTGTGTGTGTGTATGGGGGTGGGTGCGGGAGGCTGTCCTATGCCCTGTAGGATCCCTGGCCTCTACCCACTGGATACCAGTGACACTCCCTTCACCCCACTGTCATAATTATTAAAAATAACTCCAGTGCTCTAACCCTAATCCAGATCTTCTAGCTTTAAAGTTATTCTTCCTATATACTATGCTGCCTTAAGTCACCATTCATACATTCTTTCAAAGGTGTGTAAGTTCAACTTGTTCCTATTTAGTGAGATCTTTACACTTATACCTGAAACATTTATTAAATATGTTCATAAAAAGCATTTAGCAAAAACAAAAAGGAAAACGGAAACATGGAGAACATTTCTTTTTTTCCACTTCGCTTAAGGACAAACCAAAGTAAAGGCTACATTCATTTCCCTACAAAACAAACTTAAGATTTCTCCCTCAAGAAGTTGGGCTGGACCTCAACAGGGTGGGGCTGGCTGTTAGGTCTGTGCACATCATTCACACCTACAGGAGCAAGGAGGAAAAGGGAGGGCCTTCCTGGGGCCTGAGTTCTGGAAAGAACAACCACACCCAGTTTTGAGCTGTGCTCTCAGGAGCCACAGCCTGCTGGCCTTGCCCAGGTCCTGTGATGACAGATGTTCATGGGGTGCTGATGAACAACCTGGATCACAAAGGGGTGGCTGGGGGGAACACTGACTGCCAGCAGGGTGGTGGACTGTCCCCAGGAGGGGCTGGGCGCCCCTGAGACTCGGCTTTTACACCACCCCACGTGGGAGGGAGCAATCCTCAAGGCTACTCAGGCTCCACTCCTCCCACCACCACCACCCCCCTGCACTTTTCTCTTAGTGCAGAGGAAAGGCATTTTGTAGGTTCTTAGTGTGACATCATTCGTTTTCTACCTAGTGCCTACTGGAAATCCCCATTCCCTGTTCAAGAAGTGCTTGCTTCTCTGAAAGTTGGCCAGGCGAGCAGGTTTTTAATTAAGCACCCTATATATTGGGATGTGTCAGCATTTGGTTAATAAGAGCCATTAGCCTGGATACCAGACGTCATGTGACTTCTCAGCAACAAGGAATGAAAGGGGATGGCGGCGGGCATTACAACACCCTGGGAGGGAGGAAGCCTCCAGCCTGGCAGTCCACAGAACTGGGCTACAAGTGCACATGGAAGGACACAGATGCACACATGTGCACGCACACACACCAAAAACTCATCCCTATCTCCCTGGGGGACTGGTTCCAGGACTCCTCACAGATACTAAACTCCACAGACACGTCCCTCATATGAAAGTGTAACAATTGCATATAACCTATGCACATCCTCCTGTATACGTTAAATCACCTCTAGATTACTTATAATACTTAATATAATGTAAATGCTATGTAAATAGTTGTTATACTATATTGTTTAGGGAATAATGACAAGAAAAAGGCTTTTTAAAAAATATAGGACTGGCTAGGCATGGTGGCTCACGCCTATAATCCCAGCACCTTGGGAGGCCAAGGCGGGTGGATCACCTGAAGTCAGGAGTTCGAGACCAGCCTGGCCAACATGGCGAAACCCGTCTCTACTGAAAATACAGACGGTAGCTGGGCGTGACGGTGCATGCCTATAGTCCCAGCTACTTGGGAGGCTGAGGCAGGAGAATCGCTTGAACCCGGGAGATGGAGGTTACAGTGAGTCGAGATTGAGCCACTGCACTCCAGCCTGGGCCACAGAGTAAGACTTTGTCTCAAAAAAAAAAAAAAAAAAAAAGGCTGGGTGCAGTGGCTCACGCCTGTAATCTGTAATCCCAGCACTTGGGGAGGCCGAGGTGGGTGGATCATGAGGTCAGGAGATAGAGACCATCCTGGCTAACACGGTGAAACCCCGTCTCTACTAAAAATACAAAAAATTAGCCGGGCGTGGTGGCGGGCGCTTGTAGTCCCAGCTATTCGGGAGGCTGAGGCAGGAGAATGGCGTGAACCAGGGAGGCGGAGCTTGCAGTGAGCCGAGAGCGTGCCACTGCACTCCAGCCTGGGAAACGGAGTGAGACTCCATCCCAAAAAAAAAAAAATTTTTTTTTTAAGTCTGTACATGTTCACTACAGAGGCATCTATCCATATTTTTTCTGAATATTTTCATTCCAAGTTTGGTTGAATCCACAGATGTGGAACCCATGGGCACAGCGGGCCAGTTGAACCCACAGATGCTAATTTGTCCTGTCTTGTTCAGGGAAAAACCCTAGTGTCCTTAGTGTAGACTGACAAGGTCTCTGGAGCCCAAGTATGGGGGCTTAGATACAGGGTCCTCCTGCTGAAGGACTCCCCTCGCCAGGGTCGGGGTAAGACCTCTTAGTGGGAAGACAAGACGGATGGCTCCTGAGAGGTAAGACCCTCCCTGCCCTGGGCATCACCCACTTGTTCTGCCCCACCTGCCTCCAGCTTTGACTAAGACCTGTTTCTGTCCTTCGTGTCTTCCTTGCCAGTTGTTTCCTTTCTAGGACACTTGGCCCTCATGCTAGCTCAGCTGTTATTAGTTCGCCCCATCCTCAACCTGAAAATCTTTCTAACAGCTTCTCTCTGCTCTTGGAAAAAGGACCAAAACCCTTCATGGCGCCTACAGACTCTGCCAGGGGCGGCCCCTGCTCACACCCCAGCCTTACTCCCTGCTGCAGGCCACATTGGTGCCTTCCTACCTTTCTTCATGAGCCCTGGTTGGGGAGAGGACCCTTGTCCACATACTTCAAGCTTACATCATATTTACTGGTGAAACTCACAATGATTTCCCCATAAGATCAGGAACAAAACAGGGATGTCAGCACTCACCACTTCTGTCCAATATTATCCTGGAAACTCTAGCCAGGGTAATTAGGTGCAAAAAAAAAAAAAAAAAAAAAAGGCGTCTAGATTGTTTTAAACTAGAGATCGTAAGTCTCATGGAACGGATTCTTTCTGGTGATAAGATACCAAATTATAAATAAGACCTAAGGGGATGCAGGACGCAAAAAGCTGTGTGTATGTGGCCACTGCGTGGTCTTTGATATCAAGGCATCAGAGGCTACTTCCTCAGGATAAGTGACTCCTGGCCAAAGTAAAACCTCCGAAATTACCCGGGGAATTTGGGGTCCATAATTGTCCAGGTTGTGGACAACTGCTACCATGCTGGCAGTGTAAGCCATTTGGCCCTTTATCACTAGGCTGAATGGGGTTCCTAGTAACTCCACAGGTGAGAGGTGGGGGAGGCCAGGGCAGCTTTGAGATGGGTGTGGATAGTGGGGACTGTCTGATGGCAGCCGGGAGGAGTGGGCAGGTGGGTGGAGGAGGGAGGACCTCTGCAGTTTGCACTTTGCATTAGGAAGGGCAACACTGATGCTGCCACCATTGGCTCTGTCTTGTGACCACAAAGAGGCACAGCTGCTTTGCTGGGGCGGCATATTCCCAAAGCGAGCCACAGTGAGAGCCATTCTCCCTGGCCAGCCTGCACATGTCTACACCCTTCTTGTGAGGGCTAGCAGACAGGATGTCTTCTGGGAAACTGCCGGTAGCTGTGTGAAGTCTGGATAAACTCCCCTCAACTCAGCCAGGCCTTGTCCTAGGCATTTTCACAGATGCTGCTTCATTTCACCCTCACGACACTCCTGTGAGATGACTGATGCAGGCTCCTGGGATTTCCTGCTGGTTTCATCCCTGGCCAACATGGTGGCACACGCCTAAGGCTCCTGGCACTGCAGCCACATGGAATCTTTCTGGATCCTTGGTCTGGCTATGCTCCCCTGGCCTCTGCCCACTTCCCAGGCAGCACTGCTAACTCCTGCTCGGCCTTCGGATCTCATTTCCATCACTGCTTCCTCATACTCTGGCAAACCCCCGGCCATACCCTCTCCTAGCCCACGGCTTCTCCAGAACATGGGTCAATTGTAGCATGACAGTGACTTGTGTGGCTATTTGGCTAACTCCCCCTGAGATGGGGCCTCAAGCTCTATGTTGACAGTGTGTAGCAGGAGGGGGACGTGGGCTTGAGTCTGTGTGCTGGGTTTGGGGCCAAGCTCTGCATCTGTAAAACCTGAGCAGATTCAGGCAATGGCCTAGGTCCTTTTTCTTTTTCCTTTTATTTATTTATTAATTTATTTTTATTTTTTTGAGACTGAGTCTCACTCTATGACGCAGGCTGGAGTGCAGTGGCATGATCTCGGCTCACTGCAACCTCCACCTCCCAGGTTCAAGCAATTCTCGTGCCTCAGCCTCCCAAGTAGCTGGGATTACAGGCGCCCACCACCACACCCAGCTAATTTTTGTATTTTTAGTAGACACGGGGTTTCACTATGTTGGCTAGGCTGGTGTTGAACTCCTGACCTCAAGTGATCCGCCCGCCTCAGCCTCCCAAAGTGCTGGGATTACAGTTGTGAGCCAATGCGCCCGGCCTCTTTATTTTTAGAGATGAAGTTTTGCCATGTTGCCCAGGCTGGTCTTGAACTCCTGGGCTTAAGCGATCCTCCCACCTTGGCCTCCCAAAGTGCTGGGATTACAGGTGTAAGCCACCGCACCGGGTTCCAGGTCTTTTTTCTGATTCTAGGAAAGTTTTACAGAGAGCTCTCAACAGCACTGAGGAACACAGGAAATCTGTGTCAACGAAGCCGTCACAATCTCTACGATTCACCAGACTGGAGACCTGGAAGCCACCTTGGAACACAGTTGGTGGGAACAGCCATTTTCCCAGACTCCAACAGCCTCGAAAACCCAGGCAATCTCCTCTGCGTCACTAGGTGGCAATCCTGTGTCATTAATGAGAAGAAAGAATGACTTTTTGTTTTGTTTTGAGACGGAGTTTCACTCTTGTTGCCCAGGCTGGAGTGCAATGGTACGATCTCGGCTCACCGCAACCTCCACCTCCTGGGTTCAAGCGATTCTCCTGCCTCAGCCTCCTAAGTAGTTGGGACTACAGGCATGCACCACCATGCCCGGCTAATCTTGTATTTTTAGTAGAGATGGGGTTTCTCCATGTTGGTCAGGCTGGTCTTGAACTCCTGACCTCAACTGATCCACCTGCCTCAGCTTCCCAAAGTGCTGGGATTACAGGCGTGAGCCACCGCATCCGGCCAGGAATGACTTTCAAAGAAACTGCCAGAAATTTGATTAATGAGGTCTTCTAGGCAGGTGGAGCCCCCTACTCCCAGCCGAGGCAATTGGCTAGTCCAGGAGGAAGGGATTACACACCCCCTTACAGGGCACATGAGACCCGCATGCCCACTGTGCCAGAACAGGCTTAGTCCAGCTTGCGAGAGCTGATAGAACTTTCAGGAATTTTGTGAGCCAGTTGTCAAACATGGCCATTATTAAAAACCAAATCATTGACAACAAAGAAATTACATTAAAACAAAAGCAATAAATGCTCATCATTTATCTCTTCCTACTTCTCACTGCAACCTCCGCCTCCCGGGTTCAAGCGTTTCTCCTGCCTCAGCCTCCCGAGTAGCTGGGATTACAAGCATGTGCCAACAAGCCCGGCTAATTTTTCTTTTGTATTTTTAGTAGAGATGGGGTTTCACCCTGTTGCCCAGGCTGGTCTCGAACTCCTGGCCTCAAGTGATCCACCCGCCTTGGCCTCCCAAAGTGCTGGGATTACAGTCGTGAGCCACTGTGCCCAGCCTACTTATTTTCCTCTATCTATGCATTTGAAGTTATTAAAGTCTATTGCTGATGTATGGTAGAAATACTATACAATGGTGAGACTGCCCATGTTTTCCCAACTCCGCACTCAGTAGTAGTCACACTGGTAGCTTGAAATTGGCCATGAAGAGAGAATTTTACCATGGAAACTGGTAAATGTTACAGTTCAGGCCTTTTCCTCCCTGGAGTGCCCACTGTTTACCAGCACACTACCATCCTACCATCCTACCATCCTCAAGCTGCCCTCACGACAGCACAGGCTCACTCATGTCTAAAAATGCCTTGCCAACTTTTGTTTCATTATTTCCTTATTGTTATTATTTTTAGAGACAAGGTCTTGCTATGATGCCCAGGCTGGGGTACAATGATATGATCATACCTCACTGCAGTCTTGAACCCCTGGACTTGGGCCATCCTCCTGCTTTAGCTATCTGAGTGCTGGGACTACAGCCATGTGCCACCATTTGTTTTATAATTGTACAACTTAGATAATTTTGGTAGGTCTGGTACTCTGTGATACAGTATTTGTATTTCTAATAAACATCACAGAATTGAAAATCGTGTTATAAAAATAATTATTTCATTGAGATAATGGTTGTTTTTTGTTTTGTTTTGTTTTGTTTGAGACAGATCCTTGCTCTGTCACTTGGCCGGAGTGCAGTGGAATGATCTTGGCTCGCTGCAGCCTCCGCCTCCCAGATTCAAGTGATTCTCATGCCTGAGTCTCCCAAGTAGCTGGGATTATAGGCACCTGCCACCACGCCCGACTAATTTTTGTATTTTTAGTAGAGACAGGGTTTCACATGTTGGTCAGCCTGGTCTCGAACTCCTGATCTCAAGTGATCCTCCTGCCTCGGCCTCCAGAACTGCTGGGATTAACGGCATGAGCCACTGTGCTTGGCTAGATGATGGGGAGTTGCAGCAAGATTTCAGACTCACAATAACTTATTTTTTCTTTTGACATTTCAATAATAAAGGCTCATTATATATATAATATATATTACTTATATTGTATATATTATTTATATATGTAATATACATATGTTAATATATGGTTATAAAACTATACATCACTGAGCAAATCCAGTGTTTCATTATATGTAATTTCTGTACAATCCAATTTAGTTTTCTTATTTTAGGGTAATTTGTACACATCACTTTATGTGTCTATTACCAATTAACATAAATGCACGAAAAAGCTGACCCACAGCAACTTCTTTTTGCACCAGGTTCTTTTTTCTGAGTAGGGCAATCACATTATAACCCAGAAACAAATAACATTTCCTGATGAATTAAGTACACTACATCCAGTTTGCTTTGTGAAAACTTGCTCTGCAAGAGAAGTCCTATATTAGTGACCAGAGAAGACCAAGTGATATACTTGCCCCGAGACATTTGGATGTCAGCTGACATTTGAGTCCTCATGGATGGCTGCCGAATCTCACAAGGTGCCAAAAGCCCACAAGAAAACAAAACCCCAAATGACATGAAAACTCTCTAAACTGAGGGCTAATTCCCTCTGCCCTAGCAATGTCCATCCTTTCCATGGGCTGTTCATTGTTATGATGACTGCAGCTCAGATGTTTAGTTAGAAAGAGACCGTGGAGGCCAGGTGCAGTGACTCATGCCTGTAATCCCAGCAGTTTGGGAGGCTGAGGTGGGCGGATCACTTGAGGCCAGGAGTTCGAGACCAGCCTGGCCAACATGGCGAAACCCCGTCCCTACTAAAAATTAGCCAGGTGTGGTGGCTCATGCGTGTAATCTCAGCTGCTTGCGAGGTTGAGGCATGAGAATCGCTTGAACGTGGGAGGCAGAGGTTGAGCTGCAGTGAGCCAGGATCGCGCCATTGCACTCCAGCCTGGGTGACAGAGTGAGACTCTGTCTCAAAAAAAAAAAAAAAAAAACAATACAAAAAAAAGAAAGGAAGAGACTGTGGAACGGTGCAGAGCCAGAAGGAGTTTGTGACTTTTCATCTTCAAATTGTCCAAATGAGGCTCTCATGTCTAGTGATTATTACCATTACTGCAGAACTCTGTGTGCCACTGATGCTCTGTGCCCACGGAGAACAGGCACAGCTGCCAAGGGTGTGTGTGTGTTGGGGGCGGGCGTCTCCCTGTCTGGTCTCCTTGTCTTGGCTTCCCTAGGCTGCCCATTCCCCGCATTACAGCCAACAATGCCTGAAGCGTAGACCTTCATGGAGTCCACAGCTCTAGGCAGGCCAGAGATTTGAGTTCTTGAGAATAAAGCCACTGGGCCAGGAAACATCACCTTTCAACCCTGGTAGAGCATTAAAATTTCCTTGCAAGACCAGCCAATGAATAATGGTAATGAATCAAATACAAAATAACTTTCAAATAGCATTGTGCTTTATAGCACACAAAGCCCTTATTTAACCTTCAAGAAAACCCTGAGGAGTGGGTTTTCAAAATTATTATATTAGTATCCCTATTATACAGGTGAAGACACCAAGAGTAGAAAGATTAAGTGACAAGCCTGGGGTAGCACATAGAAGGCACATGGCTCAGTAAATATTGATGAATAAAAGAAAAAGGAAAGAATGAATGAACCAGGACTCACCCTACTCTTACAGATGCAAATCCTGTGCTCTCTGCACTCTAAATGCCACCTTTTGTGAATTTCTCTGTAGCTCCCACACCTCCTGGGTGGGTGTGCCTAGTCTATGTCGGGGGAGCTAGGATTAAGCTTTCGAATATCACCTCTTTGTTCTGCAGATGGGAAATTTATGTCTTGAAATTCCAAGAAGGAAAATAATGGCATTTTATTTCACTGGCTCTTAAAAATATGCTGTGTTCCAAAAGGTTGAATCTATAAACATTACTGGAAATGTGGAAATGGATGCCAGGAATTCCTCAGCACCATGTCTGCCTGGGCCAGGATATGGCTGCTGCTCCCATAGATTATGGGTTGAGAAATATTGCTATTGGACACTTGATGGAAATTTTAAGCCCCATAAAAATATGACTCCATTGGGAGGATCTTGACAAGAGACACACAGGCAGCATTTAAATATTTCTATTGACCCCTCCTTTGTGGCATGCCCAGAAGCCCTACCACTGAGCACTTCCAAGACTTTTCTGTTTTTCCAACTTCTAGTTGGATTAATCTCTGGAGTATCTTGAAATTTCCTGAAGTTATCCTCCCACAAAATGGACCACAGGATTAAAAAGGTCAACAGACATTTCCAGTCTGGGTTTTAATGCTTCCAAGAATGAACTGCAGGTAGATTAGGTACATTTCAGTTATAGGAGGGAAAATTACAAAGCACACTGGATAGTGAGATCAGAGCAAAGGTGGGTGGATGAACTGTTTTTTTTTTTTTGTTTTTTTTTTTTTTTTTTTTTTGAGACAGAGTCTTGCTCTGTCGCCCAGGCTGGAGTGCAGTGGCCCAATCTCAGCTCACTGCAAGCTCTGCCTCCTGGGTTCACGCCATTCTCCCGCCTCAGCCTCCTGATTAGCTGGGACTACAGGCACCCACCACCATACCCAGCTAATTGTTTGTGTTTTTAGTGGAGACGGGGTTTCACCGTGTTAATCAGGATGGTCTTGATCTCCTGACCTCGTGATCCACCCACCTCGGCCTCCCAAAGTGCTGGGATTACAGGCGTGAGCCACCGCGCCCGGCCTGGATGAACTGTTAATAGGATTCTTGCCTAACCTCTTCCCTTTCCTTGAGAAACAGGAAAGATCTTTGACCTGAATTAAGACTTCTCAAAAGCTATGCTAATCGATGGCAAGATCCTGATTCCCACGCAGATCTCTCAGTGTTTCCTGGAGAATGATAATGATAGCTACCATGTGCACCAATACTGCAATGAAAGGGTAAAGAATCCAGTTGGGATGGTAATTAATTTAGTGAAATCTTCATGCTCTCTTCAGAACAACTGATTGAACCTAAAATAAACTGATAAAGACTTGCCTGAATTAACTTGAGGTGCTAATTACATCATTTGATTTTATCCATATTACATGATCCAAAATAAATTACAGAAAAAGTGCACTGAGGGATGAGAGAGAGGAAGGAAAGATAAACTCAGAATGTGAAAGCCAGGAAAGAAAGACCATAGTAATCCTACTTTTATAGATTGGTAAAGTCAAGGTGACTGTTTAGAACTTTGATGTATAGGAATTTTCATGTTTATGGAAAAAGTACAAACTTGGGATCCTAAAATTCCCTGCATGCTTCAACAGCCTCCTGTGGAATAAATGCAATTCATGTTTTCTTGGCAAATAGGAGAAGCTGTTAAATTTAGGTAACCATGGGGATCCATAAAATGCCACATCCAAAGTCTCTGGCCACATTAGATACTTTTAATTTTCACCTTTACATGTTTTAGAAAATAAATACTAAGAAAAGGCTGAGCCTTTTGCCCAAGGTACTATTTTGTAAGGAATGTTTGCACAGCAGATTTAAGGTTACAAAGAGGAGGCTGGCTAAGACACAGTGTGCCTACTAATTGTGTTTTACATACAAGGAAATCTTAATGCCTAGCAGACAGGTGTGAAGGTGTCCTCTCCTTCCGGCCTCATGGCCTGCCTCCAAGACAGCACCACGTGTACCCAGTCTTTAGGCTGGAGGGTGGCAAAGGGTGCCATAAGACTTAAATAGGGAACCACATGGCAGAGGGCTGGAAGGGAGCAGCCTTGGTTAAGACACAGTGTTCCTAAATTGCCTACTTTTGGCTGACAGATGCTCCCAGCTGGCTGATGTGCAAGTTTGCAACTTGCAAAGTAGGCTGGAAAGATGGTTTTGCTTGCCAAAACCAAAGTAAGTAGGCAGCTAGCACACAGAGCTAAGAGATTTGGTGCATTCTGTTGACTGCTTTTAATACCCTGCCTACTTTGAGGCATCAAACTGGGCCTAGGTGGGATTGTGACTTAGTGATGCTCACCCACCTGAAAGGTGTAGGTCTGGGTTAGAGAGCAAAAATCCCATAAACCTAACAGCACCCTTGCAATTCACCTTCACATGGAGGCTTCCCTGGCTTTATCAATCAGACTACAGGTGCCTTCAGACCAGTGGTTTTCAAAATGTGGTCCCTGGATCAGAGCATCACCTGGGAACGTGGTACAAATGCAAATTCTTAGGCCCTACCCCAGACCTACAGAATCAGAAACGCGGAAAGTGGGCCAGCAAGCTTTCCAGCGGATTCTACTGCACACTAGAGTTTGAGAACTACTGGTTTAGACCAAGCCAATCACGTGAACCACGGTCATGAGAGCTGGTGGGATATAGCTACTTACCCAAGACTGGGGGGTAGTGGAAGGGAAGAGGAGAGGGACACACACACACACACACACACACACACACACACACACACGCGCGCGCGCGCACGTGCACTTAGAGAGAGGTCTACATAAGGGCGGCATCCACTCTACTGATGGCTGTCTGTGTGATAAAACTAAGGTGCTTTCAGCTGGGCGCGGTGGCTCACGCCTGTAATCCCAGCTACTATGGGAGGACAAGGCAGGCAGATGACGAGGTCAAGAGATCGAGACCATCCTGGCCAACATGGTGAAACCCCATCTCTACAAAAAAAAACCAAAAAAATTAGCTGGGTGTGGTGGCACGCACCTGTAGTCCCAGCTACTCAGGAGGTTGACGCAGGACAGTCACTTGAACCCAGGACATGGAGGTTGCAGTGAGCTGAGATTGCACCACTGCACTCCAGCCTGGCAACAGAACAAGACTCCATCTCAAACAAACAAAAAACCCCCCCCAAAAAAACCAACTAAGGTGCTTTCATATTTGTAGCCCAAATGAAGTGAGATAAGACTTGCCAGGGCAAAAGGAATGCTGCTAGGAGAGAACATGGTAAAGCTCTTAAGAGCTCTGTGGTCTTTAGAAGGAAGCTGCCAAGGCAGGAAAAACATCAAATAATAGGGCATAAAGATGAATGAGGCCAGGCACAGTGGCTCACGCCTGTAATCCCAGCACTTTGGGAGGCCAAGGCGGGTGGATTACTTGAGGTCAGGAGTTTGAGACCAGCCTGGCCAACATGGCGAAACCCTGTCTCTACTAAAAGTAAAAAAATTAGGCTGGGTGCGGTGGCTCACATCTTAATTCCAGCACTTTGGGAGGCCAAGGCGGGTGGATCACGAGGTCAGGAGATCAAGACCATCCTGGCCAACACAGTGAAACTCTTGTCTCTACAAAAATACACACACACACACACACACACACACAAATTAGCCGGGCATGGTGGCAGGCGCCTGTAGTCCTGGCTACTCGGGAGGCTGAGGCAGGGGAATCGCTTGAACCCGGGAGGCAGAGATTGCAGTGAGCCGAGATTGTGGCACTGCACTCCAGCCTGGCAACCGAGTGAGACTCCGTCTAAAAAAAAAAAAAATTAGCTGGGTGTGGTGGTGCGTGCCTGTAATCCCAGCTACTCAGGAGGCTGAGGCAGGAGAATCACTTGAACCTGGGAGGAGGCTGCAGTGAGCCGAGACTGCACCACTGCATTGCAGCCTGGGCAACAGAGCGAGACCCTGTCTCAAAAAACAAAGCAACCAACCAACAAACAAAAAGGTAGATGGATGGCTGCCCCCTCAGAGGAAGGAGCTGTTGTTTCTCTTCCTGCACAGGTCTATTTTGCATTCATACCTCCTGATCCTCATTTGAAACTTCTCCATGGTGCTGGAGACAGGAGACAGTGGAAAATGGAAGTGGGCTTGAGAGAGGGGAAGAGAAGAGAGAGTGGGTGGGAGCAGGCCATTACTAGCTTTAGCAGACAGAGCCACTCCACCATGGAGAGTCGTGCAGAGCTGGAAGATTCCTTACAAGTCTCTAGTTCAACCTCCATGAAGTGACGGGGGTCCTTATGATCATCACCCTGTCACCGTCATTACCACCCTCAAGCTAGAGTTAAGTGAGCAGACGCCTGCATGCCAAGTACCATGCTAGAGATTTTATGTATATAATTTCTAGTCCTCCCAACAAGTTTGCTGCAAGTTTGATGGCATTACATTAGTGCTTAGACAAGGAAACTGAAGCTCAGAGAGAGCAAACAGCAGGTCCAGTGTTAGAGAGGCCTCTCTTTCCCCTTATCTACCATTTGACAACACTACTCTGAACACTCCTGCCTGGTGATCCCCATCCACCTGGTGCCTGGATGCTCCCAGGAACAAAATGCTGTTTACATACGAGGGCAACTCATATTTGGGTTGCTACGTTCTTCCTTTTACTGGAGCCAAAATCTACCTCCTGGCAGAGTTCACCAACTGGCTTTCAGTTGGCGCTAGTTCCATCCCTACGACTCCACAGGACATGTCTTAACCCCCTTTTAAAACTGATAGCTCTTTTAATATCTACACAGAGTTTCAGGAATCTTCACTTCCTCCGGCTAAAAAGGCTGGGTTCTCTTCACCACTCTTTATTTATATTCTAGAAAGGCAGAGAGGCTCTCACTATAAAGCCACAAAGACCCATATTCTTCAACAAATATCATATAGAATGCTGGGATGTTATGCTTAATGTTGCTGAAGACTCTTAAAGCTGTTGTATTTATGCAACTGCAGGCACAGACACAAATCAAAAGATCCATTATTCCTCAACCATGCAAGAAAGCACAAAGAGGTCACAGAGTAACCATATCTGGGGCCAAGGGGAACCCGTCTTCTGATGTTTCCAAGATAAGCCCTCTCTGGAGAATGAAATGAATTGTGTGCTATTAATGTGACTGTACCTTTACAAATAACCAGCCACAGCCCCACAGCCTTGGGTCCTGGCATATAGCACTGAGGTGGAAAACTAAACCTTAGAATCCTGTGTATTGACAGCCCACAGGAATCTCTGAACCCTTGTTTTGAATGATGGAGATGGAGCTTGCCGGCTTCATCCAGAGGATGTGAGAATCTTACCCTGCAGCTCCCTGGTCCGGGACCTTGAGGAAATCCAGGCTCTCTGGCGTCTGTGACACTCGGTCTGAACTGGTAGACTGCTGCCGAGGCAAGGGCGGGCGGGCCATGGAGGTGTACAGGCTTTTCTGATTGGACCTCTGGCTTCCAGGAGCATGGGGATATGGCACATACTGGTTTCTGATGACTCCGTTCTGATGGTATCCTAGAGAGAGGAACAGAGAAGGAAATAAGGCTCAGATTTTTGGATCCTTTGCCAAAAGTCTCTCCACATTTCTTCCATGTACTACAAGGGCAGCTTACTTAACTTCTGAGTCTCAATTTCCGCATTTGAAAAAAATGGAAGGCATCACTGCTAACACATTGTGAGAATTAGAGCTGATTCCCTGTTTTCCCCATCACCGGGCTTTACTGAGGTATAACTGACAAATAAAATTGTATGTATTTAACATGTACAACAATGCATGGTCAACTTCCCGGGATGTGCCCGGAACACAGCGGACACTCAGCACATGCTTGGTGGCAATAGAATCCCCAGATTTCCTGGGGTTCAAAGCCCACAGTAAGGTAAGCTTACAGCCGGCTGGGAGACACCTTCTTGGGCCTAAGAAAAATTATGAGATTATGACTCAAGAGGGCTGACAGGCAGCTGCTTAAACAGCTGGACATCCATTTTCGAGGGGTCAATCTTGGGCATCCACGGCAGGAGCCTGCTGTGTGAGGCAGAGGGGGTGCTCTACACAGGCAAGGGAAAAGTGGCCACCCAGTTGGATCAGTCCGGATGGAGCAAGCTCTCTCAGCCAAACAGCGATGTCTAGTTAAAATCGCATTAGCCAATAAGTAATGGGTTACAGTGGCAGGCTCCAAACCATGCGTCTTGGCAGACTCGGGCATTAGCATTCCATGCTACGTATGAAGAGGCCCTTATTCATTCTCCCACTGACAGATCTGGGCTGAGTGGAGAAAGAGAACAAGACTCTTCAAGGCCCACTTTGGTGAACCCTACCTAAAGACCTCTTCCAACCAAATTAAGAGAACTCTTTGGTACCAGTGGGATGACCCTTAGGAAAGGATTAGGGGTTCAGTTCTGGCTCTGCCTCTGAGAGCTATACTGATCATGAGCAAGAGAGTTGATCTTTCATAGTCTCAGTTCTTCATGAAAGAACCACGAGATAGGTCCAGAATCTGCTTGGTGGCTTCCAGCTCCGACAAGCATTTTCTCTATATCCTTATTATTGCAGAAATATTTCATGCCCAGTAATAATAGGTGGAATTCTTACTTTGAACCACGGTTTTATCAGGGTGGAGCTTTCAAGAGGGTGGCTCCTCATCCAGCCATGTCTCTAGCAATTTCCTCCCACAGGCCGTCAGACCAGATCAGAACTAGACATTTGGGGCAAACAGCTGCTCTTCATCTTACCTCATTCCCTCAGTGAGTGAGAGCTGAATGGGCTCCCACAGGGTCTGGGGATGGGGAGGGTAGAAGGACCCTGCTTGCTGCCTAGGGTCCCAACAAAAGGAGAGGGGCATCTTAGGAGTGTGACATGCCCTCGGGATGTCACATGGCCAGTGATAAAAGTGGGGTCCCCACAGGGGCTGCTCCACATGCTGCTCGAGATCCCCTTGTCCACGATAAGGTCAGAAATGAAGAGTAAGCATTTAGAAACGTTCATGGCAGTTTGACAGATCTATTTCATGCCTGTTGCATCTTATAATAAGACATTTTGGCTTATATTTTATATGTTTTGAAAATTCCATTCTTCTACTAATTCATTTTTATTGTAACATACAAATACATGGTTTGTGACGGACTGGAAATTTTTTAAAACCCCCTGAAAACTCCTGGTCTTTCACCACAGACAGTTTGAGAAGTGCTGGTCAAATGGATCTGGTCCCATTGTCTCATTTTTTTGATGAAGGAACTGTCATTTAGAGAGTTGGGGAGCCCTGCTCAAGGTCGGAAACTTTGTGGCCTGATTTGATCTGAGGCTACTTTGGCCAACCTAGCTGAGGCCAGTGAGCTTTCCAGGTGGACTTGGCCAGAATTCTCCACTGGAACCAGCGCACACGCAGTAATATGATACTACAGTGCTTCTCTTAAGTTCCTTTGTGCTTGGATTTTCTTCAAAGAAGAAAGGAGGAGACAGAGCCGGGTCAAGGCAGGATGGGGACTCCAAAAGAGATGAGAATTAGTTTCTCACTGCTGGGCCCCAGTGTCCATACTTTAGCATGCAATGGTGAGATTCCAGAGACTAAAGAAATGCCCTTTTCTGGGGGGAAGGTGGGGGTGGATGGGGAGGGGAGACAGACTCTCACTCAGTTACCCAGGCTGGAGTACAGTAGTGCAATCTCAGATCACAGCAACCTCTGCCTCCCCGGCTCAAATAATCTTCATGTCTCAGCCTTGTGAGTAGCTGGAATCACTGGTGCATGCCACCACGCCCAGCTAATCTTGAGACAGGGTCTCACTCTGTTACTCAGGCTGGAGTGCAGTGGCATGATCATAGCCACCTCAGCCTCCCACTTCAGCCTCCTGAGTAGCTGGGATTCCAGGCATGTGCCACCATGTCCAGCTAATTTTTATTTTTTAATTTATTTTATTATTTATTTATTTTTGAGCCAGAGTGTTGCTCTGTCACCCAGGCTAGAGTGCAGTGGTGTGATCTCAGCTCACTGCAATCTCCACCTCCCGGGTTCAAGCAATTCTCGTGCCTCATCCTCCCCAGTAGCTGGGATTACAGGTGTGCACCACCATGCCTGGCTAATTTTTGTATTTTTAGTAGAGACAGGGTTTTGTCATGTTGGCTAGGCTGGTCTCAAACTCCTGGCCTCAAGTGATCTGCTCGTCTTGGTCTCCCAAAGTGCTGGGATTATAGGCATGAGCCACTGCGCCTGGCTGCAGCTAATTTTTAAGAACATTTTTGTAGAGATGGGGTTTTGCTGTGTTGCCCAGGCTGGGCTCTAACTTCCGGTCTCAAGCAAGTCTCCTGCCTTGGTCTCCCAAAGTGTTGGGATTACAGGCGTAAGCCACCATGACCAGCCTCAAGAAATGCTTTTTACTCCTTATCTTGGACATTGGTACAAATAGAATTCTCTTGGCTGGGAAGACTGGAATCAAATACAGTCTCAAAATGACCCTATCAGACTTAGAATTCTAAACTGCTTAATACCAAACACTCTGGGAGTAATTTTTTATGAACTGAATTTTGTGAGTGATGGAAAAACATTAAAAGATTTTATGTATTTTTGCAAGCATTCTGCAAACACTACACAGATTTTTAGAGACAGAAAATCTTAGATTCAGGTTTAGAGTGTCTGGATATGTCAGTTATATTTTTACTATTAAAAATGAGAGGCCAGGTGCAGTGGCTCACACTTTCAATCCCAACACTTTGGGAGGCCAAGGTGGGATGACTGCTTGAACCTAGGAGTTCAAGACCAGCCTGGGCAACACAGTGAGACTCCGTGTCTACAAAGAGTAAAAAAAAAAAGAGCCAGGTGTGGTGGTGCGTGCCTGTAGTCCCAGCTACTCAAGGGGCTGAGGTGGGAGGATCACTTGATCCAGGGAGGCTGAGGCTGCAGTGAGCTATGATGGCACCACTGCACTCCAGTTGGGCAACTGAGACCCCATCCCAAAAAAAGAAGAGATAAATATGAAATATGAGCATAAATTTTATAACAATTTTGTAATACTCTCAGATATTACTTTGTTTTTTTGAACAGGCCTCCTGAATCCTAATCTCAGAAAATAAATAGAAAACAGATTTCTTCTATTCAGTCATTAAGCTGCTATAACTTACAAAATAGTAGCCCCCTCCCCTCCTTATCCATGATTTTGCTTTCCACTGTTTCAGTTACCCATGGTCAACTGTGGCCTGGAAATATTAAATTAAAGTTCCAGGAATGAACAATTCCTAAGGCTTAGGTTGTGTGCCATCTCACCCTGTCCCGCCAGGACACGAATCGTCCCTTTGCCCAGCCTATCCATGCTGTGTGTGCTACCCCATCATCAGTCACTAAGCAGCCATCTTGTTATTCATAATGGCCCCAGGAAGCTGGCAATTTGGGTATGCCAAAGAGAAGCCATTAAGCGCTTCCTTTAAGTGAAAGCGCTTCCTTTAAGTAAATTCAGTAACAATATATCTTCTATCTGTAACACTGTGAAGACAGAAAAAAATTTCTGCTGGTTTTGTGGAAAACTCAAACTGGAAAAGTATAGATAGGTTTTGGTAATATCTGCATTTTCAAGCCCCCACTGGGCGTCTTGGAATGCATCCCCCGAGGATAAGGGGGTGCTGCTGTAGTGGTATTTGGCCGGAGCTGGGTAGTGGTGGTGGGGTTAGACCTGTAAACTCCTATTTCCATAAAGCAGCATCCTGTGTCTTAAAAGCTGACAACAGTCTGGTTGTTACGGACAAGGAACTCCTTTCTCTCTGTCAGAAGCCTTTCCTAAGGGAGTAATATTTCGAGGTAATGAAATCCAGATTGCAAACTCAGCCGCAGTTCAGTCTCACTGACTCCTATTTTTCTGAATTTTGAGGTCTCAAGTAGGGCTGCTGTGTTGTACATGTGGCACTGAAATGGTCCATGCCTGGTTAATATGTGTGCATTGATTTGCTAATGGGTTTCTTCCCAAACATATTTTATAAGTTATGGGTCCAGATTTAGTGGTCCCAGACTACGGTACGTAGCTGGCTTACCTGGGGGAGGAGGGGCAGCTCTCACTGGGTAGTTGGCATTTTGAGTCCCACTGGAATAACCTGTATTTTGGGTAGTGTTCCTTCTGGTAGGACCTGAAATAAACAAGACAAAGTTAAAACCAGTGCTACTGGTTGGTTTTATGGATCCTCATGGTTCTTTGCATATGGAAAATTTTTGAGAAGCTTGGATTCCAGCTCTCAGGTGGATCTGCAGGAGAACAGTTGCAGTGGAGAAGGAGCCGTTGAGGGAAGTATGTAATGGTAGCTATTGGGTGGGAGGGGCTGGAGGACAGGGTTATAGAGGTACAGTTTTGAAATGTTAGAGACAGTGGTTCTTAAAGAAGGATTGGTCATCTTACAAAGGTGTTTCTATTTTTACAGACTTTTAAAAGAGACAGATGGAACATTTAAACATTTGCATTCATGTTCTAAATGCTAAGTGGCTGAGCAGGTTCACTAATGCTGCGGATCAACGGGGTTGGCATGAAGCCCGTTCTGGCACTGACTGCACACCTGCCTACGTCAAGCGCCTTGCACGCAAGAGTGTGTGTTCTACGGTCCTTGAACTAAACACAGACCACAAGGAGGAGAAGCAGACTTGTACCCTTGACACAGACATGAAGGAATGAGGAACAAGCTGGGGCCAAAGGAACACACTGTGGGTCACAGTCAGGGCTGGACAGCAGGGCCAGAGGAGCCAGAGGAGATCTCTGCAGAGACATCTATGTGGGGAAGAAAAACAATAGGGTCTTGAATGGAACAGGAAGGAAGGTAGGATTAAACCAGCTGGAAGAGGGGTGCAGAGGGAATTTCTTATAAAGAGAAGAGCTGAAGAATAGAGAAGGGTAGGAGGTGACAAGGTGCACAGTGCAAACACAGCAAAGGAGCTGCAGCTCTAGGGCCTGGGAGAACCGACCACGTGGGATCGGGGCAAACCCAGTGTGGCCTGCTGGACGCTTCCCTCCCAGTACCTAGGCCACTCTCGCCACCCCAAATAAGATAGAATCCAACACCTATTGGGCAATTTCCCCTCGGGGGCCCGCCGCACAAACATAGCCTGCTGGTTATTTGCAGCCTTTCTTTGCCCGGCTCTGTGCCCTGGGGTCTGAGTCCTGTGGACAGCCAGGCCTCTGCCTTCCAGTGGGGTGAGGCCTATAGGCCAGGCCAACAGGAGGCACTGGAAGGAGACTGGAGTGTCAGGAGGGAGGTGGGGGACTTCATGTGCCTCCTTCCTGACTGTAGCCTTCAGTTCACCTCGTTCCTCCCTCTGCTGCTTCAGGTTTGCGGATAATAATGATTTCCTGCCACTCCCTTTCCCTGGGTCCCTACTTTGTTCCCTAAACCCCGTCCACATCTTTTCACTGAAAAATCGCTTCAGAAATCCCTCCAAAAGTTGCTGTCTGTTTTCTGCAAGTACTAACGGATACACAGACATACATCAACATTTTCTGAGTGGCTCTACATATATAAAGATATGATGGCATTTGCTGGTATTGTATTAATATGTTAGAGAACATGTTAAGGTGTACCTTTGCAGACAGATTTGAGAAATGGCTAATTAATTAATTAATTTTTGAGATGGAGTTTCGCTCTTGTTGCCCAGGCTGGTGTGCAATGGCGCGATCTCAGCTCACTGCAACCTCCACCTCCTGGGTTCAAGCAATTCTCCTGCCTCAGCCTCCCAAGTAGCTGGGACTACAGGCATACGCCACAACACCTGGCTAGTTTTTTGTATTTAGTAGAGACTGGGTGTTGGTCAGGCTGGTCTCAAACTCCTGACCTCAGGTAGTCCGCCTGCCTCGGCCTCCCAAAGTGCAGGGATTATAGGCATGAGCCACCGTGCCTGGCCTAGAAACAGTTATTTTATATAAGGCATCTTCATGTGTGTGATCACACACAGGCTAAATCTTAGAACAATATCACAGTATATGCATACATAGCATGTATGATTATTCTATGCTGTGTGCTATAGATATAAGTTTATAAATATCAATTATAAATACAAAAATAAAGGCCAGGGAAGGAGTTAGACTGGGGTTTGAGGTAGTGCGTGTGTGTGTGTGTGTGTGTGTGTGTGTGTGTGTGTGTGTGTGTATGGTGTTTTATTTCTTTTTCATCTTCTTTTTTTTAATGAGGCAGGGTCTTGCTCTGTCACCTAGGCTGGGGTGCAGTGGCACCCCAGTAAAGATCATGATTTACTGCAGCCTTGACCTCCCAGGCTCAAGCCATCCTCCCACCTCAGCCTCCGGAGTGGCTGGGACTACAGGCATGCACCACCATGCCTGGCTAATTTTTACATTTTTATTTTTGTGTGTGGAGACAGGGTTTTGCCATGTTACTCAGGCTGGTCTGGAACTCTTGGGTTCAAGCGATCGTCCGGCCTTGGCCTCCCAAGGTGCTGGGATTATAGGTGTGAGCCACCACGCCGGGCCCAGTCAATTTCTTTAAAGGTGGCATAGAGGATGATGTTGGTATTGTGGACAAGATCTGACTGGAAAGGGAGGGGAAATTTGAAGCTAACAAACTTTGATTTGTTTTAACCACAATATTGTAATGCCAGGTGTACTGATACATAAGTACTAAGTCCCTCAGAAACTTTTAACCTGCTCATTTTCCTTGCTGTTGCTTTAGTTTGAAATGTTCCATTCTGAAGAAAGCGTGAGCCCCAGCAAGCAGAAGGTGTACTGATTCTCAGCCCCCACATCTGTGCACATGTTTGCAGCATTTGCTCGGGAGACTCGGGGGAGCGGCGGCAGTTCTGCCTGCAGGGCCCGTGGAGCACTTACGGGAGTTCTTGGGCAGTCCAGGTCCGATGCTGACCTGCAGCACTTTGTTACTGGGCTTGAGGACAGCCAGGTCCCCAAACCCTTGGTGGAACTGCACTTGCCGGGAGCCCCCTGCACTCCAGGGGCCCCAGTTTTCCTTTTTCAACTTCAGTTCAAGCCTGCAAAAAGCACAGTGGGGTTAACAGGTCGAAGGACGCAGTGAGAAAACGGTGCTCAGAGATCCCGCCACGGAGTTCTGCTGCTGGAAAAGCATAAACATGAGGCGAGAACGGACAATCTACACCAGGAGCAGGGCCCTGAGGATGCGCACCGCATCCATGGGGTGGCACTGTCGCTGCATGACAATGAGCCAGAAAAAGGAGCATCTGGGGCCCGGTACCGTGAGACACCAGGTGGTGAGGGAGGTACATCTGGCTAATGTGCCAGTGCCACTCTGTCAGGTGGTCTCAGAGGCGCCTGCTGAGGGGACAGAGGAAAGAGACAATTTCCAGGTCATACCGCTGTGCTGTCATTGTGCTTCCAGCTGTTGTCCCTGATTCTGTGCTTGTGGAGGACTGAGAGATGCCAGACACAGGCCAGCTTGAGGACTCTAGCATAGAACCTGGCTTTGTTTAGTCCTGTACTATTCTTGCACCATCACAGCCCACCCAGGGATGGAAAAAGACACACACTAGCAACCAAAATCCAAATAGAAGGCAGGATTTACCTGCAATTCCCAAACTCCCCATCCAGTTTTAATGCTTCTATATTGCATATATGCCTGTATTATGCAATCCTTATTCTGTTTTTAAGTTATATTTTCTGATATCATAAGAAGGAAAAATCATAATTTTAAGTAGCTGCCTATTATAAGTTTCCCTCATCATGATATAAAGGCTTTGTCTTGGCCTTATTTTTGTAGCTAGGAAAAGATGGAGGATATTCCCATTTTATAGATGGGGAAATTTAAAAAGAAAAGCTAAATAACTTTCTTTCTGTGTTTTAGACAGGGTCTTGCTCTGTTGCCCAGGCTGGCGTGCAGTGGTGCGGTCTCAGCTCACTGCAACCTCTGCCTCCTGGGCTCAAGTATCCTCCCACCTCAGCCTCCCGAGTAGCTGGGACTACAGGCATGCACCACCATACTCGGCTAATTTTTTTTTTATTTTTTACTTTTTGTAGAGATGTGGTCTTACTATATTGCCCAGACTAGCTAAATAACTCTTACTCAGCAAATATGAGATTAGAGGGTCAACAGTATGCCAGCCAGTACCTGGTCCATTAGATCATGTTGCCAAAAGAAATGAAGGTGAGGCTGGGCATGGTGGCTCAAGCCTGTGATCCCAGCACTTTGGGACGCCGAGGCGGGTGGATCACTTGAGGTTAGGAGTTCAAGACCAGCCTGGCCAACATGGTGAAACCCCGTATCTACTAAAAATAAGAAAACATTAGCTGGGTGTGGTGGTGAGCACTTGTAATCCTAGCTACTCAGGAGGCTGAGGCAGGAGAATTGCTTGAACCTGGGAGGCAGAGGTTGCAGTGAGCCAAGGTCGCACCACTGTACGCCAGCCTGGGCAACAGAACGAGACGCCATCTCAAGAAAAAAAAAAGAAAAAAAAAAAAAAAGAAAGAAAGGTGAACCACCTACACAATACGTTGGCCACCTATAGTCCTCAAGCCCCCGGAGGCTCTACCAATAAACAGGTTTTATTATGCATTGGTTTGGGGAATTTAAACCCCCACCTCTGTCACTTTTATCTGCTTCCAGTGTGATTCTACTCCTGTCTGCTCTCCTAAATTAAAAAAACCCTTTTTTGGGTGATACATAAAAATCTGCCTTTGTCTGCCTCATTCAGGTGATTTTTGTCTAAATGATAAAATACACTAGTCTATGAAGTCATTATTTCACAGAAATGCAAAAGTAACCTTTTCAAAGTCTGTGACTACTATCCAGACTGTCTTCTGCAGGCTCTAAGGTTCCACTGGGGCCAGCCAGACCCCACTCTTCTCCTCGCAGGCCTCCTCCAGCCCCATCCTGAATCGCAGGGGTGCGATCAAGACCCCTTTTTAGCTACACGCAGAAGTCTGGGTCCCAGATCCGGACTTACGTATTGCTGAATTTCAGAGGTAGTTGCTTCTGGGTCTTCTCCTCGTAACGCTTTGCTAAGAGGCTTAGGAATTCAGTTTTGAAGACAGATTCAAGCAAACTGTCATACTCTTGCTCATGGAGAATAAAAATGTCATCCTGCATAGTACTGTAAAGAGATTGGACAAACACACTTGGTGAAAGCTGTGCTTCTGTTTACTCTATTGTTTTTTTTTTCTTCCATTTTAAAAATCCTGCAAGATAGTGCTAAGATTTTACAGTCTTTCTTTCTATAAGTAATAATCTTTCAAACAAAACCAACAACAATGAATTACATAATGAAATTGCTGAAATCTGCTTTCAAAGAAGGTTTATAGTCCAACAAAAGCATGATCAAAGTACTTTTTCCACATGATTTTTACAATCAGGAACTTAAGGACAATTTAGCCCATATTAAAAAAAAATCCATTTTCAAGTCCAACTTGTGTTTTTAAGATCATAAAAATCCAGAAAGTTATGAATAGAATGCAGTTGAAAAGGGATGACTCTACATTTAAGTTCCAAGTTAGTATAATTTATGATATGGTTATAGCTATTGTAGTAAATTTGAACTTGAAGAATCATAAGCTCGGTTCTCAAGAGGGAAGCCAATATCCTGGACTTCAAGGTACTTATTAAGAACCTTCTGGCAAACAGTGCTCTGTGGACACTGTAGGCCAGGAGCTACTAGAACGTACAGACACATCCAAGTTCAGAAATGCGAAGGCCAGAATGGACAAACAGCAAACAAGCAAAAATCATCACCTTCAAGCTAATGAATTTTGTCAGACAAGGAAAGAACACACCTTTGCGGGAACTGCATGTTTGGACAGGGTGGGATTGTGGAGAAATTTATGCCTGGAGGGGAGCAGGTGTTACAAGCTATAGGGTGATGGCAGAGAGACGCTGAGGCAGACCCAGCTCCGAGGAAACGCTTGCTGGTCAGGGGAGGTTGATGAGACAAAGTTCCATCTTCAAGCCTGGCTAGGCTTGGTAGAAAGCAACAACATGTATGTAATTGAGAATTTGCATTCCCTGTTAGATTTATCACTCAGGTGAATGGGGCCACCACCCCAAAGACTATAATATATAAGTTTACGAGTATCTCCAAGTACCACTGCCAAATACCAAAGACAACCCTTTGAAGAATGAGATTTCGTTAGGGATTGTAAGCATTTTCCCAGGCATTAGAAACAAATTAGGCAAACCTGCTTCAGTGAATTGACCATGGTAACATTTTATTCTCTCCAAGTGCCACAGACACGGTTCTTTGTATATCCAGAGCCCTGCAGCATCACTCAGGAGCTCTGCTCTGCTCTCAGAGCACCTGGTGTCACTGCACCAGTGGGATTACTGTGGCTGTGACAAAGCCAGATGATGAGGCAAGGGGATCACAAGAGGACTGAGCTGTGGAGAATCTTTGAGACCCTGGATCCTTCTTCCATGTAAAATCTGATCCATTTAGAAGGAAACTCCTGTGGTATCCCTGTTCAGCCCCATTCACAGGTCAAGGTAGGGGTTGGGCCCTTCTTGGAATGACAGGGCTCCCTTGGGCAGAGAATCTTGGGGGACTATCTCAGGCTTGTCAGGAACCTTCTCTCCAGACTGAGACAGGGAGCTAGTGACCCAGAGGTGATGGAGCCAGTAGCTGTAGCCACAGCCTCTACCTTGGTCTGATGTTGAAACTCATTCACCAATGTGCTAGTATTAAGAAGTGTGGCCTTAAGGAGGTGATTAAGTTACAAGGAAGAGGTCCTCATGAATTGGATTAGTGACCTTACAGAAGAGGTATGACAGAGTGGTTTGCCCTTTCTGTCATTCTCCCATGTGAGGACACAACAAGAGGCGCCATCTATAAAGAAAAGACTGGGCCTTCACCAGACACCACATCTGCCTGCACCTTGACCTTGGACTTCCCGGTCTCTAGAACTGTAAAAATTAAATTCTTACTGTTTACATATTACCCACTTTCAGTCCTCCTACAGGAAAGGGGCTTGGTAATCCACAGGAGAAAAAGAGGTCGAAGGAACCACAGCACAATTGGATAGGAAGGCGTAGAATGGCAGTACGCGCAAACCATGGGGGTGGGGCGGGGCGGTGAATGGAGTTCACTGGAAGCAAGAGGCCAGTGTCAGGGGAAAGGAGCTTGGTCCTTTCATGGCCAGCTTACTGAAGAGCAGCCAAAGAGTTTCCCTTGGACGTAAAGTCAGAACCCTTTACAGTGTTTTTTGGACAAATAATAGCCATTTGGGTGGAACACTTGGTCATTATCATTACCTCAGATGTTTGTTTTCAGACATCCACACATCATAGCCATGCTTCTTGCCCACTCCTGTGATAGTTGGGATCAAGGATAAACCCTGACAAGCAGTGGTTTAAACAATAGACGGTTTTCATCTCCGTCACTCAACAGCTCATGCAAAGGCAATTCAGGGCCAACGTGCCAGTTCCATAGTGCCTGGGAACAAACACCTCCTACTTACCTTTAAAGGTACAGCCAGCAATCTAAAACCCCAAAAAGCACTTATGAAAAGCTGCTCAAAAGAGCTCTTCCAAGTCATTTTGAATTAATAAAGTCTAAGCCTCCTGGCACCCTAGCCCAGGTGTAAGAACCCGGCTGCATTAGGTAGAGTGCATGCAAAAGACCAGAGTAAAACAAGAAGCTCCACTTTTTGGCCTTTGGGGTGAGGAATGAAACGCCTTCCTGTTTTGGTTGTTTGCTCAAAGCTTTCTTTGGCATGTCTGGTCATGCCTGGTGGCCTGGCTGAACTGTGGCAGGATGGTGATTATTCAACAGGGCTAAATGAGCCCAACACAAGTCACCTTGAGTGGTTTAATGGGCTTAGATTTATTAGGAGTTTCATTACTATTATAACGAAAAAAGCAAGCAGGCCAAAACTTCAAGGTCAATTATCAGCATGAATCTAGAAATGAGAAGAGATGTGTTTGGACACTTTGACTTTAACCAACAACTCCAAAATCCCCTCCCTTCAATGATCCAGGCATTGGAGCTAGGCAGACCACCTTCACCCAGGCCAGGGTCTCAGCTCATTCTGCTCTCCTTAGCCCACGCTCCTGAACCTGAAAACAAAGCTTTCGTGTTTATTTATTCTAAAAAGTCAGACTTATCTTTGGACTTCACCCCTGACTTATTCCTATGCTGCAATTCCTTACAGATGTTTGACGCTGTAAGCTGTGTTGAAAGACCTCTTCCTAGTCTCTGGTTTGGATCTGCCCTTGTTTTTTTATTCCTCTGTCTTTGCGGCTTACTGTTGTATTGCTGAAAACACTAGAAAATCTGTTTTACTCTCTTCACCAATATATCTTTTCACAGAAATGTTAGTTACAAAACACCAAGGAAAGTCCTGAAGGAGTTTTGTTTTTTTTTTTTAAAGCTGAAAAGGCAATTTCCAAGGATAGCCCTGCCTTTATTTAAGCTTTTATAAAAGTCTTTCCTGATTATGAAATATATGCTGCTTTTAGGAAACTGGAAGATACGGAGGCGAATCAAGAAGAAAATAAACCTTGCCCAGAATTCTACCACTCAGAGAAACCAGTGGCACCAGTTTCAGAACCTTCTTAACTTCTCTGAGAAAGCCCGGACGCAGATGCAGGCCTCAGCAGTGACGTGTCCAGCTCAAAGAAGCTTCACCTGACCCGCAGATGCAAAGACCCACTCTCCTCTCTTGTGTCCCAGGAATATCCTTTAAATCACGCTGGGAACACTTATAGTAAGGCACATGTTTACTCAGCTGTCTGTTCCCCCTTCCAGAATGAGAGGAGCTTCCTGAGGCAGTGACTGTGCCTCATCCACCTTCGAATACCAGGGCTCAGCACCAGGTAGGTGCTCAATCCCATGATGTTGACAACTTCCAGGTTCCCAATGCTTACAGACCATAGCAAGTCAAGATGCCAGTAATGCTTCAGGTCAGCAGGACAGGCAGTGAAGCGGGCTGTTTTTATTGCCAGAAAGTTTAGGGGATTCAGGCAAGGAGACATTCTGGGCAAGAATGTTGTGACCAGGGAGCTGGAGCCTCTGTCTAAAAGCACCGTCTTACGGGTTGTTTTTCCAATTGGAGATAAGTACTGGAAAATCTATTAACCCAGACAGACAGCCACACAACTTTTGGTCTCATCCTTCTGGTGATCAGCCACCAGAATGAGAAGAAAAATGAGAAGCCTCATCAGAGACCCCCAAATAAGAGCTTCCATGGCACCGAACTCAACACCTACAATAGCAAAGCCAAGAACATGGGTCATTACACCTGTGGTCACCCTTCCTGCAATTGAGTTTTTCAAATAAGAGTGGGGCCAGGCCAGTACTTGAACAAGAAGCAACTCTGGGAGGATCCTTCAAAAACCCAGGCATGGCCTTCTGCCAGCAGCCACCATACACTCAGAAATCCCGTGTCTCAACTCTGTATTGGTGTGTCACCTCCTGACACTCTTCCCGAGTCTCCAATGAAGCCAGAAATGCAAGCGTCAGTGTTTCACTTTAATTTTTATTTATTTATTTATTTTGAGACGGAGTCTCGCTCTGTTGCCCAGGCTGGAGTGCAGTGGTGTGATCTTGGCTCACTGCACCCTCCGCCTCCTGGGCTCAAGCGATTCTCCTGCCGCAGCCTCCTAAGTAGCTGGGATTACAGGCACACACCACCATGCTCAACTAATTTTTTTGTATTTTTAGTAGAGAGGGGGTTTCATCATGTTGGCCAGGCTGGTCTTGAACGCCTGACCTCAAGCAATCGGCTCGCCTCGGCCTCCCAAAGTGCTGGGATTACAGGTGTGAGCCACCACACCCAGCCTAATTTTTATTTAAATAAGGATTTTTCCTGATCAAATTATCCTGGAGTCCCTTTGACAAACTATTGTCTTAATATCTCTCTGAGCTATTGGCCCTATTTCTACCTGTTGGGATCCTATTTTTTCTTGTAAATGAAAACTTCAAAAAAATTTTTAACCGTAACTCAACTAGACATATATCTGTATGTTTAGAAAAGATAAAGACTTCTAAAAATTTAACATCTACTGGAGGATTAGAAAAACATTTTATTATGGAAAATTCTAAATTGTAAACAAGTAGGATAGTAGGGCCAGGTGCAGTGGCTCATGCCTGTAATCCTAGCACTTTGGGAGGCGAGGTGGGTAGATCCCATGAGCCCAGGAATTGGAGACCAGCCTGGGTAACATGGGGAAACCGTGTCTCTACAAAAAATACAAAAATTAGCCAGAAGTGGGGGTACATGCCTGTAGTCTCAGATACTTAGGGGGCTGAGGTGGGAGGATTGCTTGAACCTGGAGGGCGAGGCTGCAGTGAGCCGAGATTGCGCCACTGCACTCCAGCCTGGGTGGCAAAGTGAGACCCCGTCTCAAAAAAATAAAAAGTAGTATAGAATGAACCACCACATGTCAGATTTCAAGCACCAATTCACGGATAATCACAATTATCTACAACCTCACTCTCCCTGCTTCCACTTTAAAATAACTACCAGGCTGGAGTGCAGTGGTATGATCATGACTCATTGCAGCCTTGACCTATTGGGCTCAAGCAATCCTCCCACCTCAGCTTCCTGAGTAGCTGGGACCACGGGCACGTACCACCACTCCTGGCTAATTTTCACATTTTTTGTAGAGATGGGTTCTTACTATGTTGCCCAGGTGGGTCCCAAACCTCCTGGGGTCAAGCGAGCCTCCTGCCTTGGTCTCCCAAAGTGCTGGGATTACAGGCGTGGGTCACTGCGCTCAGCCTTTATTTCATGCTCAAATGTTTCAGTACATATTATTAAAAGATAAAGTCTCTTTATATTAAAATTAACCACAAAACATTATCATACCTACAGAAATAAACAATAAATTCTTCATACCAAATATTTAGTCATGCTCACATGTTGTCTTGTAACTGTTACTGAATGGTTGGTTGGTTTGAATAGGGAGCTGTAGGCCCACTGTGCACTGACATTAATTGTAAGAGCTAGAGATGGGCTAAGATCAAGCTTATGGGATACTTTGATAAATCGTAACTAGGAGGCCATATGTTGATATCATTCCAGCCAATAGTCAACTGGTCAATCTCAGAAATTCTTAAAAACACATACAGATGTTGCAGCTTTTTTCCTGAAGTACAAGCCAACTGTTAAAATCTTTCTCTATGCCAGTACTGAAGTATTTTGAGAACACACACGCATGTTCAGTAGTCTGGTACCAGAATTAATTTCCACTCTGGGTTCGATTCTGCACACACATCACCCTCTGGTTGCTTTCCTAACTTGGTTCTGATTACTGGCCTAACTCAAGTATAAAGAAATGAGGGGACACTATTATTCATCTTGGCAAGTGTGAGGTTCAGTGACTGCAATACACAGACATCACAAGTTCAAATGACTCACACTTTCTTTTTTTTTCCTTAGAGTCAGAAAAACTTTTAGGCTAAGTACCTCATTTTACTACAGCCTTTAAAAAGGAAAGACCGCAAGAAAGGAACCTTCCAGATAATGAATACTGAACAGGAAGAAGAAAAAGAAGCTGGTGCTCCCATGACAGATTATATCCCCAGAGGCTGTAAAAGAAGACAATAAACAAACAAAAAACAATAAAAGGAAGAAATTTGAGTGTGAACAGTCCCTACAGTCCCTGCTTGACAACCCCCTCAAGGACTTATCAATAAGATAGTAAGTGTCAAAGTGCTTGATACAAGTGTAGCTCAAGGCCAGGCACGGTGGCTCACGCCTCTAATCCCAGCACTTTGGGAGGCTGAGATGAGTGGATCACTTGAAGTCGGGAGTTCAAGACGAGCCTGGCCAACGTGGTGAAACCTTGTCTCTCACTAAAAATACAAACATTAGCCAGGGGTGGTGGCTCAGGCCTGTAATCCCAGCTACTCGGGAGCCTGAGGCAGGAGAACCACTTGGACCAGGGAGGCAGAAGTTGCAGTGAGCTGAGATCACGCCACTGCACTCCAGCCTGGGTGACAGAGCGAGACTCTGTCTAAAACAAAACAAAACAAAACAAAACAAAACAACCACACAAATGTAGCTCAATTAGGATAATTTATGGTCCCAGTCATGAGCACTCCACCAGGGGTCTGAGGGACTGAAGACATACCTGGGCAATAACAGAAAGAACAAGTCACTCTCGGCACAGCGACTACACACACCCTAGAGCTGTGGTTCCCTGACTTTCACCTGCTGTGCCTGCCAAGCACGCTGTGGCCAACCTGGCTTAGTCCAGGCATGGCAGGGCCCCATGCAATGACAAACAAAGCAGGAGCTTCCTGTTGGGTTTCCACGGCAGCCTCAGGGCCCAGCTAGCCAGGAAGAGTGTGGCCAGCAGGCACTGCCCCGCTCAGGTTGGGACCCAGCCAGTGAGCTGAATGTTTAGGAAGGCCTTCAGAAAATCAGTCAGCGCCTAGAGCTTTAAAAAAAAAACAAAAAAAACAATAGCCTTGAAACCTACCTGAGGTGGGGCTGCAAAATGGACACTGCGGACTCATCTGCTTAGCAACTTTACCACATCCTGAGTTGGCACGTTTTAAATACTTCACTGCACTGCACTGCCTGGTCCTTTATCCAGGGAAATTAGGAACAGATAGAATCAGAAACCACAGAGACACAGGCAAGAATGGATGCAACTAGAAATCTGTTTTGGATTATCAGACTGGAACTAGGATTTCCAGCTTGGTACATCAGACGCCTGAGCACATAAAACCCCTGCTTTTTCCTGAGCGCACCAGTTTTGCCTTCTGTGTGGAGTAAGAGTTTGACAGGCGTCCCAATTCCATGTTCATGTGAGAGCAGAACATCTTTAATGCAAAGGCCCAAAGCTTTTCCTGATTAAAGTAGTGTTAGCCTCAGAGGCCCAGGGACACGATTCTTGGAGGAAGCTATGGGGCTCAAGGAGGCCTTTCTTCCATTCTTAGTCTTCATGGATTGCGAGGATTTCCTGTGTCAGCGGAACTTAGTCTAGGAGTTCTTACCATGGGAGGACTTCGGGAGGACTTAGCATGGGAGGACTCCTAGTCTGGGAGTTCTTGGCATGGGAGGACTTCTTAGCATGGGAAGACCTCCTATGCTAAGAACCCCTAGCCTAGGTCCCACTGACGGAGGAGATGCTGACGGCCGGCAGAGGAGCCCTTCTGCCGAGAGGAAGCCAAGGTGCTGCCGGGAGGAGCAAGGGCCCTTCCTGAGGCCTTGTGGAAGCAAACACCACTCCCCACTGCCTGAGAATTGGAGCGAAGAGAGCATCTCACGATGACTCCAGGGCTACAGAGAATGGAGACCAACTTGCACTCCCTAAGGAAGTCCCAAAGAAACTTCCCTTTCAGGACCCTCTGCTCAGGGAAATGGGTGAGGCCTCCAACCTGGGTGAGGTGGACTGGGGGACAGGGCTCTGAATCCTTGGCTCTACTGCAACAAGAGAAATTATTCTCTGAGGTGTTCCATATACCGGGTTCATTTCTAACACGTTTCGGTTACAAGAGATCTGGGTCCCCCTTGATTAGAGGAGCTGTCCGGAGGCAACCTTTTCTTGGTACCTTCTTCCTGACATATCAAGACTTGCTGAGACTAGGGAGTCTTCCCTTTGGGACAAAGGGAAATTCCATTCTCTTGATCATGATTTTGACAGCTGGGAAGCCCAGCCCGGCCTTCCTCCTGGCTGTTTGGAACAGCGGACCGTGATGCTGAGGCGAGAAGGGGCAGTCCTGCCTCTGCACCTCCACTACTCACCTGAGGGACACAGACAAGATCCGTTCTATCTCGATTTTCCGCTTCAGGACTTCTTTCACCAGGCCCTTGTCTGGGCCCTGTTTGACTTTTTCTCGTCCGATTAAGTACAAGCACTTTGGGGTAAGGAGCAGGTCTCGCTTTACACCCTGTAAGGAGAGGAGCTTTAAGAAGCTGGACAGGCCAGGCATGGTGGCTCACACCTGTAATCCCAGTACTTTCGGAGGCCGAGGCGGGTGAATCACCTGAGGTCAGGAGTTCGAGACCAGCCTGACCAACATGGTGAAACCCCGTCTCTACTGAAAATACAAAAATTAGCTGGGTGTGGTGGTGGGCGCCTGCAATCCCAGCTACTTGGGAGGCTGAGGCAGGAGAATCGCTTTAACCTGGGAGGTGGAGGTTGCAGTGAGCCGAGATTGCGCCATTGCACTCCAGCCTGGGTGACAGAGCAAGACTCCGTCTCAAAAAAAGGTGGACAGACATGGTCAATGTGATGACAACAATTCACACAGTGGACTGCTGTTACCAGGACAGGGGGAAGCTGCCTTGGACAGTCAATCTTCACTACTGTTGAGAGGCCATTCCATTCATCACATGACCGGGCCCCATGACAGTGAAAGAGGGCATTGTTCATGATTATTAGGATGACATGTAAAAAATGATGACATTTGACTCTTTTTGACTTAAAAACTGGCAAACTCATATGGAGTCACTTCACATATCAGGACAGCAGGTGTAAAGGGAAAGTCACCAACACCTGTGGTGAACTTAGCAAGGATGCACTACAGCATGTTTCTAAACAGGGGGCAGTGTCTGCATATATTTTCTTGGGAGTTCATAAAATTTTCATTCTAAAATACTGATATATTGTCATTTGAATGATAATTCTCAATAATCTAATAGAAATCTACTTGGGAATTTGTGGGTAACCACTTTATAATGAGTACCGCTGCGAGAGCTAAGCACCCCTGTGTGCATCCAGGGCTGCCGTCACAGCAGCTGGTGCCATGCACAGGTTGCAAGGAATGGTTTGGTTTTAGCAAAACATGCTTCCGTTGTTTATTTCGTTAAATTTTTTTCTTGACCTCCCCGCCCCTGGCAAAAAGCCAAAAGCTCTTAACGGGTCCATGAGCTTCTGAAGCTTCAGATTTTTCTATTAGGACCAAGACTTTATCAAAAGGTATCTAAAGGAGGAGGTGAAAAATCAACTGTTCCTCCTGTGGCTGGAAAAGCCTTACTTATCAGCCACTCTGGGAAAATGGATGAGGATACTCTGCAATATTACTTGATACTCTGAATCCTTTGATTCAACGATTTCACTCCTATCAATTTCTTCTAAAAATATTAGGAGACAGATAGATACACAAAGATGTGTGAAAAGATGCTCACTGAAGTTACGATAGTAAAAAAGAAAAACTCACTAAAAATTGATTCATGAGAAACTGGTTAAAAATAATAAAGCATCTGTCAAATGGAATACTATGCAGCCATGTAAAATAACTTATATTGCTAACTGTATTACTATCGAAAATTCTCGCATTATTTAAAAGACAAACAAAAAACCACTTCAGGACATAAAACAGCATGTAATGTATATCTCATTTTTTGTAAAACTAAATACGCAAATGTATGTTTTCATAAAAACATTCTGAAAGATATGGATATACACAGAATGTTAACAGTGAATGTTTCTGGGCATAGGTGCCTGTTTATCTTTTGGTTTACTGTATTTTCTCTAAATTTTTCTACAACGAACACATTCTGATTTGGTAACAACAAAAGCAAAATAACAAGTTATTAAAAAAATAAGGAATCTGTTTGGTGATCTCAGAGGCAGGCAGTTAGCACGTACCTTGAACCTCCTGTCATACTTGGTGACTGTGTCTGCGAAATCAATCTTCTCCCTCTTGCCCACGAACTGCTGGAGTTCTGGGTGCTCTTCCATCCCAATATAATCCCCTATAAAGTTCCTGTTAATACTGTTTCTCCTTCTCTCCTTCTTGTTCAATAAGAGGTCTGAGGCTACAATTCCCAAGAGGGTCAAGATGGAAGAAGGATAAGTCAGTCAGAAAAGGGAGGAAAATACTGTGGAAATATACAAAGAAACTCTAAATGATGCAATATTTTTAGCGTGACATTATATGCAAAATAAAATGGAACTTAAAACTTCACTTAAGCTCCAATTTACTCTTCAGATTTATTAAAATCAATGAAACAAAATTGCTAAAATACCTTCTTCTCTCATTTGAACGTATTTCTTCCGGGCCACGAATTTCCTCCATGATTTCTGTATCACTCGAGCATACCCATCATACTTTCTCTCTCTCATCTCTTCTAAAAGAAATAGCTGTGAATGGAGAGAAGACAAATGTGAGCCAAGCCCCAAGCCCCAATCCCTGAACAACACTTTTCTTGTTATTCCAGGGACCCTCAGTTTAGACAATGACACACACGGGAAGCAGCTTCTCTGATTCATGAACGAATATGTGAAACGCTTACTGTGGCATGTTGTTTATTCTCACTATAAAATGACCTATACCTTTTTTTCTTTTAATGGAAAACAATGGGAAATAGGAGAATCTGAGTGTATTCAGTTAGACCTTGTCCTGCCTTGCTACAGTCTCTGTGAGAATCGAATGAGCGATTCAATGCTTCTCCACTTATTCCCCACCTTGATCCAAAGAGTGTATTATTAGGAAGTCAGATCAAGTGAGTGGGTGGAGGCTGTTGCTGTTGTTTGGCGCGGCACTTCTGCATGCAGCCTCTAAACAGAATTTTCCAGTTTCTGCAGGAGCTGGGCTTGTGCTGCTGTGGAAGGAGGGCTGCCCTACTTTCAGTTCCAAGAAAATATAGACTTCCTGTCTCAGGATTCACCAATCTCAGGATTCACCAAGGACCAGCGGAGCAGAGGATAATAACCACAGTGACTGGAGCTGGACGTGAGGTGTGTTAATGAGGACTTGCATTTGCCCAGAAAGGCTGGGGCTGTTTAGGGACCACATCAGCCTCTAGCAGGTCTTGAGAGTCCGGCCATTTTACCAATGAATGCTGACAGCTGCGCCTCAACCAGGCCTTGGAATGATAAAGGTGACAGCAAACAGCTGTAGTGAGCCGAGTGCCCACTATGGGGCAGAAGTCACCCTAGATGATTTCCACACAGTTTCATTCAACGCCTCCACAGCTACATGAGCCGCATACTCTGTCATCTCTATTTTACAGATGAGAACATTGGAACTAAGACTGGGTGGGGCTAGAAAGTGAACCTAGGTCTTTCAGGCTCTGCCAGGCTCCTCCTCATTTAGACACGCAAAGCTTTCTCTGTAAATCTGCACTTGATCCACTTGTAAAATAGTAGGAAACCTTCTCATTTACCTTGAGAGTGGCTTACATGACTCTCTAGGAAAAAAATAAAATCAACCAATAAAAATCCAAAGTAAAGATGATGAACAGTCATTGCAAAAATGTTCCAGAAGTAAACAAGCCAATGTGGTTTGAAGGCAGCTGGGCTTGATTTGTTGTCTCTGTTTATCCGGGTGCATGCTTGGGAGACAGACCTATCCTCTCCTGCCACTCAACTTCTCTCCTCACAGATCCATCTGTGCAGAAACAACAACTCAAACTCCAAACACCAGGGGAGGGACCACGTAATTCCCCTGGCTTCAGTGCTGTAAACAATAGGCATAAGGACAGATTTCTAAACCCCAAGTGGAATGCACAGATTAGCAACTGGACAGAATGTTTAAAATCTGAGCCCTGCAGTTGCCTGTTGTAAGAATATCCATTGATATTTCTTATCTTGTGTATTGGGTTTCTGAGTAAGTCTTGTTTCCTTCTTCTTTCCCAGAACTATTTTGGGCGTATCACAGAAAATACACTTGTGACTCAGAGAAAGGATGAACAGGCAAACGATTCCCAACTTCCTAGAGACTATCTCAAAGATTCGCTGGATTTTAGATTTCTTTTTAAAAGCCCAGGGGGTTAGAAATTAGGGAGGTTCAAGAAAAAACCTTGATAACACAGATAAGGAGAGAATAAAAACCAAACCAAACCAAAAAACAACAACAGGAAAACACACAAAACAACCTTAAATGAGAAAAGCCAAAAGACATGGATACATTTAACAAAACAAAAACAAACCCTATGGTGTCTGATGTGGGTTTTGTTGTTGTTGTTGTTGTTTTCCGAGGCAGAGTCTTGCTCTGTCACCCAGGCTGGAGTGCAGTGGCGCGATCTCGGCCCACTGCAAGCTCTGCCTCCTGGGTTCACGCCATTCTCCTGCCTCAGCCACCTGAGTAGCTGGGACTACAGGCGCCCGCCACCATGCCCGGCTAATTTTTTTTGTATTTTTAGTAGAGATGGGGTTTCGCCGTGTTAGCCAGGATGGTCTTGATCTCCTGACCTCGTGATCTGCCGGCCTCAGCCCCCCAAAGTGCTGGGATTACAGGCGTGAGCCACTGCGCGCGGTTATGATGTGGGTTCTTAAAGCAAATAGGTAATTTTGTATATTCAGAACATTTACTATTAAGGTGAAACCACATGGTAGGTTTTCTTTTTCCTTTTTTTTTTTTTTTTCTTTTTTTTAGAGAAAGGGTCTTTCTTGATCTGTTGCCCAGGCTGGACTGCAGTGGTACAATCATAGCTCACTGTAACCTTGAACTCCTGGGCTCAAGTGATCCTCCAACCTCAGCCTCCTGAGTAGCTAGGACAGCAGGCGTGTACCACCACACCCAGCTAATTTTAAATTTTTTTGTAGAGAAGAGGTCTAACTGACTTGCCCAGTCTTGAACTCCTGGCCTCAAGTCATCTTCCCAACTCAGCCTCCCAAAGTATTGAGATTAGAGGCATGAGCCACTGTGCCCAGCCAGATTTTAAGAGTCAACTTTTGTGAAAGTATTTGCATGTCAGGGCTAGATGGGGATGTATGCGTTTGGGGCAGGGGAGAGAGCGGAGGTGATGGTGTGCGTGTGTGAGTGCATGTGTCAAAGATGGGGGAAAGGAGAGTCAAATAATGGTAATAACACAATTGAATGTAAGGCAAGGAAAAGGACAGCCAAAAATAAATCTTGATTTTGAATATAACCCCCTCCAACGCAACTGAAGCAGAAAAAAAAGTATTACAAATATTGAGGCTGTTTTAATTATATATGAAAACCTCACAAGTTGAAAAGTAACAGCGGGTATGAAACAAGGAGTTCTGCATTGTACCGATAAATCACTCCATCCCATTTTAGAAAGAACAGGAACTGTTCTGTGGGTTGCTTAATGGCGAATGACACAACATTTTCACTTTATATTTGGAAATGAAAATTCTTGTGAAGCTACAAATAACTCAAAGTAGAAAAATGCTACCACAAACGTGTCATAAATGGGTTCCATCTCTGTGTGCCGCTTATTTAATAATCTTGATGTCTCACAAAGCCATTCAGTTATAGCCATTATCATTCCTGAGTCTCAGGCTGATCCTACGAGGCAGGCAGAAACAGTGGCTATGGGGCCCACCTTAGAGGAGAAGAAAACTAATGGCAAGACTGGGATCTGCCTGAAGTCAAATGCTTCCCTTTTTACTGTGAGTTCCCATATGATTTCCCCTTGGTCTGATGACTGATTTCTGCCAAGTTCATCACTGACTCTTGAAATAGGTCTTGTGATGGTTAAGGGAGCCTTGAGAAACGATGATGCTGAGCCTCGGTTCCAGCAGTTTCTCCAGCTTAAAAAGGAATGAATGTCTTTATTCCGCAGCCCTGGAGCAAACTGGGCAGAAGAACTGAACAGAACTTCCTGTGGACATTCATGGGGCTCACTGACCACACTCTCATCAGGAAAGAAAGAAGTGTCTCTAAATGAAGCTGTAGCAGACTGTTTGTGAATTGTAAATGTGTATTATGAATGCCTTACTGGTAAGTACTGTGTTCTATAAACCAGAGATTTCTCCTCCCACCTATTTTCCCCCTCACAGTCCTTTCTAGGCTCCCCCACAGCCTTCTAGGTACAATCCTGGGAATTCCCACCCGGCACTCTGCTGCACCTTCCAGGAGGAATCCTGAGACTATGCGTAACTGACTTGGTGTCAACTAACCATGGGTGGGACACTGAAGTCCCTCTTTAGCTTAGACACTCTTAGAGATTAAGTAACTATTGAGCATTTTCTGTGTGAGGCTTTGGGTATATAAACACATATGGAACAAAGAGTCCCTGCCCTCCAGGAGTGTAGCAGCTAGAGAGGAGCGAGACAGTCAGCGAGGAAGGAGCCACTCTCTGATGCCCCTTTTTCTACCTGCTTAGTGCTCTGCAGGAAATGAACCGGGCAGTGATGGGCTATGGAGAGCAGGTGTTTAGGGAAGGACCCACTTAGACCAGGAAGGGAGGGAAGGCTTCTTTGAGGAGACAACATTGATGGCATGAAGCGAAGAATGAGAAAAAGAAGCCAGCTGAGGGGTGGAGCAGGGCTGGCGGGGGCCCCGCGGGAGGGAAGAGAGTGGAGAGCCAGCCAAGCACTCACAGACTCGGGGGCTTTGATGAACACTTTACTCCTCCCCAGCTGGAACTGGTCGCTGTCCATGTTGACCGACTGCAGCAGGTGCAGGACGCCTTGCTTCTCCTCTCCCTGCCAAGAAGGCCAGGTGGCTTTGGTCAGAATGGCATACCTGTGGGGACATTGGGGAGAAGAGAATCACACTTGGGCGGGACCGCACTGGTTTTCTACCCGGGCAAGGCAGCAAGAGCTCTGCTCTGAAGGTGCCCAGTGCTGCAAAGTTACTGATCATCTGTTTACCAGCGTTCGAAGGCTCAGGCGTGGACTGCGATGACTGCAAAAATCCCGAGTCTGGGATGCTCGTTCCCGAGCTGCCTCCTGCTTCTTTCCCTTTCCCAGCATTCCCACGTCAACACCCTGGTGA
Source organism: Homo sapiens (assembly GCF_000001405.40). NCBI lineage: Eukaryota > Metazoa > Chordata > Mammalia > Primates > Hominidae > Homo > Homo sapiens. The sequence continues at coordinate 59,178,790 of NC_000015.10, forward strand.
AAACCTGCGTACTCTTTCTACCACTGTCTGAAAATAGCATTGTGGAAGGCCACCAGGGGTGGTCTTTAGGCAAAAATCAAACGGTCTTGTCTCAATAATCATCTCCCCTGACTTCTTCAGGGCATTTAACACTTAATGCAAAGAGTTTTATAAAGCTCCTGCTAAACAGCTATTATGACAACTGTGTATCAACTTTCACCTTTGAAATTCTGTGCATCTGGGTCACGAGGCCCTTGGGATCTGGTCGTTGGCTGTTCTCCAGCCTCGCCTCTTCATTCTCACTTTGGCTTGCTGCATTTCTTCGAGAATGGCCTCTTCTTCATGCCCACCATGCCCTTTCCTTCCTCGGCGCCTCTGCCCCTGCTCTCCCCTCTACTGGTGTGCTGCTCCCCAAACTCATCACTCGGCTGGCTCCCGCTTGGGTGTCTCACCTTCAGTGACACTCCCAGACAGGCCTTCTTGGACCAAAAATCAAAAACTGCTCTCTTGTTAGTTTCTCTCATAGCAAGTACTATTTTTCCTTCAGAGCATGTACTCTAATTGGTAGTTATATTCACGGTGGTGTTTATTTGGTTAATTTATGCCTCCCAGATGAAGGTGAGAGCTCCAGGAGACCGGATGCCACATCTGTGTGGCTCCTGCTGTACATCCAGAGCCTTAAACCGTGCCTGGCACACAGCAGTCATAATGAACATTCCTGGCTAATGCGGATGGGTGCTCTCTCTGCATGAGGTGCTGTGATTGAAGCTTTTGATGTACGATCTCCTCTTACTCCTACAGCAACCTGATCAGGTTGGTTTTCCATTTTGCAGAGTAGGAGACAGAGGCAAATTATGACTTGCCCAAGGCTACTTAGCCATTAAGCGTCAGAGATGGGATTTGAATCCCTCTCTGTCTCTTTCATGATGGCACTGTAAAAAAGCCATGGACTGGTTCACATTTAAATATTTCTTTTAAAGATTATCCAGTCTACTATACATGCCTATGTTAGAAACATTACTATTATGTCAGAGGCTGATATAATCAAGGAGAGACAAACACATTACAGTTTGTCAAATATGGATAGAATCATCATGGGTATGTGTGGGTGTGAAGTTGGAGGGCGTGGCCCACGTGAGAGCACATCCAGGGCCCAGGCAATAGGCCCCCAGGCCTTGAGCGAAGCCAGGGCCCTCCTTTGTTCCCAGAAACTACTGTCACGATTAGACTGATTTATGACAGCCAAGGGAGAAGGGAACCTTGAGTGGCCCTGCCAGCTGGTTGCGACTCAGGTGATTTTAGGAGCCTTCTCTGCTCCTCTCAAATGTCTGCATCTTGCCTGATAATATCATAAACTTCCTAGAGAGGTAAATCCTCCTATTCCCTAATTAGAGATAAAAAGCTTAAAAATGAAAATGCCTAGTGGAAGTCACACATTAGCATGAATAACATTCATATATGTTATAAGGATGTTAATTAAAACAAATTAAGCTACACATAAATGACTAATAGCAGAACCTGTCTAGATGTGATTGGGGGAGTTAGTGAAAATGAGTAGGTGCTAGGAATCTAATTGGGTGAGGCAGAAAGTTCATGGAGGGTAGAAGTGAGAAGGAAAAGACTATAGACTTTCAAGGTGACAAGCTTCTGAGAGTACAGTTTTGCTTGGCTTGATCTAACCTAAAATTATAAACTAAAGTATATTTATCGTGCAACTGGAAATGGGTCTTTATGGCAATTCACATTTTTTCCTACAAAATTAATGCTGCGTTTCTCTTTTTTTTTTTTTAATGGTAACGAACCTTGCAGAGACTTTCTCTCCCTTATCCTGACAAGGCCTCCAGTGTTGAGGGTCTTGGCAATACATGGGAATTGCCTGGGGCTTCCTTTGCTTCCATGAAGCCTGATACATCCTCACCCCATCCTTTGGTATCGCACTGGAGACCAGGGCATAAACCAACAACACATGTTCTCCTACCAAGTGTACCCAGGCCACTCTCTTTCTCTAGGATATACTCATGGGAACAGGTTGCACAGGGCAATGGTGCCCCTGCCTAACTGGTGCCTGTGATAATTTTGGACAGATGGCAATAATAGCTTACATTCCTTTCATCACATATTTTCAGTTTAAGACTCAAATATGCTAATATTTCCTCTCAAGGCCTTTGTGCCAGCTCCTCTTTCTGCCTGGAAATCTGTTCCCTGCTCTTGTTATCTCTTGGATCACTGATCCCATGTTTCCTTCTCAGAGGAAATGCAGCTGGGACCCCAGGGACTCCCAGCTGCTGGCACTTGAGATTAAGGATGTTTCTGACCTCGGAGGACACAAACATCCTGGCAGCCAGGAGAACGCTCTCCACCACTCCGTGCTTTCCTGGGCTTCCTATTCCTCCTTCTCTCTTGCCCGTGAAGTGGAACGCCTTTGCTGATGAGGCATCCCTTTATCATCCCCACATTCTGAGAGGCTAAGGTCAGAGGAAGCATGCTTGTGAGGAAGTGTAAATCATGCTACAAGATAGACTTTGCAAATCTGTTATGTTTCTACCACATTCTTCCTCCTAAGCATCAGAATCTGTATTTGGGCTTATTTCTGCCAACCACAGAAAGAAACACACATTGCCTAGCTCAGAGAGGTGTTTTCTGGAGAACTTATTTTCCAAGACACAACATGGCTATTTGTAACAGTTTTTTAACACTTTCTGAAGGCATAAAAGTTGTAGTGGGGAGATGGTGTAAATGGGTTCTTCCTACTACTGCTTCAAGTAGCACAGCACTTACTTCAAGAGCATGGGGCCCACCCATGGGGGAATTAAGGCATCTTTTGATTTTTGCTCTCCAATATTCAGTCAAGAGGGATGGTTTTGATAAATATAAAGGATTTTCCAGAGAGGAAACGAACACACACTAAACACACAGAATATTTCCTAAGCAAACACTATGCTCTGGGTAGTCTGTGAGCCATGGCTCTGTTTAGGCCTGTGAACTTCCTATATAGGGAGGGTGTATAATACATGCAGATGTGGATAGTTGTGCTGGGTATTAATATATCCTTTCCCTTCAGGCTTTTACTTTCTGTTTCTCATTTGGCAGCCTTTCTGTGGACACCTAGAGAGCAATTTTATAAACAAAGCCTTTCCTCTCACCTTTAGAGAAAATAAAGTTATGAGATGGTTCAATTACTTGTAGAGCATCATAGGATGAGACAGTTGGCGGTGGACTCTGGATGAATTCTGCATGACCAAGATCCCAGACTCATGCGTCTTATGGAAAATTGTGTTCTCTCCAGAGAAATACCCCCGCCCACTGATATAGTGGGACTTCAAGCCACTTTTGAGTGGACTGCTTCAATAACAGTTTTGAAATATAGTGTGGGGGATTGAAAATGTCCTTTTTATAGAAAAATAATTTCTTTCCAAACTTTGATTCTCCTCCCAGTATTCTTTTTTTTTATTTTTATTTTTGAGATGGAGTTCCACTCTTGTCGCCCAGGCTGGAGTGCAGTGGCGCAGTCTTGGTTCACTGCAACCTGCGCCTCCCGGGTTCAAGCGATTCTCCTGCCTCAGCCTTCTGAGTAGCTGGGACTACAGGCACCCGGCACCATGCCTGGCTAATTTTTGTATTTTTAGTAGAGGCGGGGTTTCACCATTTTGGTCAGGCTGGTCCTGAACTCCTGATCTGAGGTGATCTGCCCACTGCGGCCTCCCAAAGTGCTGCGATTATAGGCATTGAGCCATCTTGCCCAGCCCCAGTATTCTCAAACCAAGAAAAGTATGACAACAATAAAAGAGCCTACTTTTTGACAATAGAGACAAGGCTATTTGTCTGTTCTGAAAGGAAAAGCTTACAGCAGGAGAGCTAAGGGAGGCATCCAAGGATACAAGCATTTCAGTGGAAGTTCCTCAACATAAAAGGAATAACAAATTTCACAAAATGCCTACTCAGAGTGCGGCACAGCGTAAAGTACAGCATGGAATCATGAAGCTGGCATGGCACTCGAGACAGATCCGGATAATCAACAGAGTCAGTTCACACCTCATGCACGTATCACAGGGTCCCTTACACCAGCCAATCTTTTTGGCACCAGGATTCATGGAAGATAATTTTTCTATGGACGGGGTTGTGGGGATGGTTTTGGGATGAAACTGTTCCACCTCAGGTCATCAGGCATTAGATTCTCAAAAGGAGCGCACAAGCTAGATCCCTCGCACGTGCAGTTCACAATAGGGTTTGTGCTCCTATGAGAATCTAATGCCACCGCTGATCTGACAGGAGGTGGGGCTCAGGCGGTAATGCTCGCTGGCCTGCTGCTCACCTCCTACTGTAAGGCCCAGTTCCTAACAGGCCACAGACCAGTACTGGTCCCCTGCTGCGAGTTGGGGACCCCTGCCTTAGACGGGAAAAAAGAGTGCATAGACTTCCTGCTCTCCTGAGATGGCAGCACTCTCAGCATTGTTTATGGAAGTCAGTTTGGTTGGTTGGTTGGTTTTTAAAACAAGGTAGAAGGAAGGAGGTCTTTCAGAACTGGTTTCTCAAAAAACAAACAAAAAAACCCAGAATAGATTAAAAAAGGTTTGATCAGGTTTTTTTTTTTTTTCTTGTTTTCTTGAGACACAGTCTTGCTCTGTCACCCAGGCTAACTCACTGTGGCCTTGACCTCCTGGGCTCGAGTAATCCTCCTGCCTCAGCCTCCCAGTGTTCTGGGATTACAGGCATGAGCCACTGCACCTGGACTGATAAGTTTTTTTTGGGGGGTGGATACATAGTAGGTATACATATTTATGGGTTGCATGAGATTTTTTTTCTTTTTTACTTTTTGCATGAGATGTTTTGATACAGGCATGCAATGTGGAATAACCACATCATGGAAAATGGGGTGTCCATCTCCTCAAACATTTATTCTTTGTGTTATATGAAATCCAACTATACTCTTTTAGTTGTTTTAAAATGTACAGTTAAATTATATTTGACTATAGTCACCCAGTTGTGCTAGGAAACACTAGGTCTTACTCATTCTTTCTATTTTTTTGTATGCATTAACCATCTGCACCTCCCTTCCCCTTCCCCCACTACCCTTCCCAGCCTCTGGTAACCATCATTTTATTCTCTATCTTGATGAGCTCAATTATTTTAATTTTTAGCTCCCACAAATAAGTGAGAACATGTGATGTTTGTCTTTCTGTGCCTGGTTTGTTTCACTTAACATAATGATCTCCAATTCCATCGTGTTGTTGCAAATGACAGGATCTCATTCTTTTTCTGAGACGGAATCTCGTTCTGTCACCCAGGCTTGAGGGCAGTGGCGTAATCTCGGCTCACTGCAACCTCTGCCTTGGGTTCCAGCAATCCTTTCACCTCAGCCTCCCGAGTATCTGGAATTACGGGTGTGCGCCACCACACCTGGCTAATTTTTGTATTTTTAGTAGAGATGAGGTTTCACCATGTTGGCCAGGCTGGTCTCAAACTCCCGACCTCAAGTGATCCACACACCTTGGCCTCCCAAAGTGCTGGGATAACAGGTGGGAGCCACTGCGCCTGGCCTGGATCTCATTATTTTTTATGCCTGAATAGTACTCCACTGTGTATGTGTAACACATTTTCTTTTTTTTGAGACACAGTCTTGCTCCATTGCCTAGGTTGTATGTAGTACAGTGGCAAAATCTTCACTCACTGCAGCCTCTGCCTCCCGAGTTCAAGCAATTTTCCCGCCTCAGCCTCCCAAGTAGCTGGCATTACAGGCATGGGACACCACACTTGGCTAAGTTTTGTATTTTTAGTAGAGACAGGGTTTCACCACGTTGGCCAGGCTGATCTCGAACTTGTGATCTCAAGTGATCTGCCTACCTTGACCTCCCAAAGTGCTAGGATTACAGGTGTGAGCCACTGCACCCAGCCTGTATCACATTTTCTTTATCCATTTGTCTGTTGATGGATGCAGCTTACTTCCAAATCTTGGCTATTGTGAATAGTGCTGCCATAAACACAGGCGTGAACATATCTCTTTGATATCCTGATTTCCTTTCTTTTGGCTCCATACCTAGGAGTGGGCTTGCTGGATCATATGGTAGCTCTATTTTTAGTTTTTGGAGGAACTTCCAAACTATTCCCCATAGTAGTTATACTAATTTACATTCCCACCAACAGCATACGATGGTTCCCTTTCTCCACATTCTCGCCAGCATTTGTTATTGCCTGTCTTTTGGGTAAAAGCCATTTTAACTGAGGTGAGATATCGCACTGTAGTTTTATTTTGGCTTTCTCTGATGATCAATGATATTGAACACGTTTTCATATGCCTGTCTGCCATCAGCATGTCTTTTTTTTGAGAAATGTCTCTTGAGATCTTTTGCTCATTTTTTTGATTGGATTATTAGATTTTTTCCCCACAAAGTTGTTTGAGCTCCTTCTATATTCTGGTTATTAATCCCTTGTCGGATGGTTTGCAAAGATTTTCTCCCATTTTGTGGGTTGTCTCTTCATTTTGTGGATTGTTTCCTTTGCTGTGTGGAATTTTTTTTTTGAGATGGAGTCTCACTCTGTCGCCCAGGCTGGAGTGCAATGGCGCCATGCCAACTCACTGCAACTTCCATCTCCCTGGTTCAAGCAATTCTCCTGCCTCAGCCTCCCAGGCAGCTGGGATTACAGATGCATGCCACTGCACCTGGCTAATTTTTGTATTTTTAGTAGAGACAGGTTTCACCATGTTGGCCAGGCTGGTCTCAAACTCCTGACCTCAGGTGATATGCCCACCTCGGCCTCCCAAAGTGCTGGGATTATAGGTGTGAGCCACCGTGCCCGGCCCCTCTTAATTAAAAAAGGGTATTTTGGGGTCGGGCATGGTAGCTGATGCCTGTAATCCCAGCAGTTTGGGAGGCTAAGGCAGGAGGACTGCTTAAGCCCAAGAGTTCAAGACCAGCCTGGGCAACCAAGGGAGACCTTATCTCTAAAATAAATAAATAAATAAAATTTAAAAATGATTATCTAAGCCAAAGTTCCTCAACTGACTGTGCCCTGTAGGGGGAACATTAGTCAATGCCTGGATACGCTTTTGGATGTCACAACTCAGAGGAAGGTACACTACTGGCATCTAGTGGGTGGAGGCCAAGAAGGCTGCTAAACATCCCACAATACACAGGACAGACTTCGCAGCAAAGAATCTTCCAGCCTAAAATGTCAGTGGTCTGAGGTTGAGAAAACCTTTTCTGAGCTAGTGTTACTGATCTGTTTAAGGAAGTCTCATAACTAACATCTCAGTTGTGTGTCAGCAAATGGGTGGTGCTATGTGATGCAAAAGCTCTACAAATACCTTTTCTCAACTTCCTAAATATTTCTTTCACATAGTCCTGCTTACACTATAGGCGTACTGACGTCTTTAATTCAGAGAACAAAGAGGGTAAACCTTGTTCCTAGTCTAACTCACCTCCACGGTTATTAGGAAACTCAAATGTGGGGGACTGAGTTTCTGACGCTTTATTATACAAAATCATTAGCTCTTTTTTAAAACCTCTAAATGGTGAGTCGGCTGTCCTAATCTCATAGCAGAAGAAACAACAGCCCTAAATAAGAACTGTCTTATTAGAAATACTAGATTCCAAAGACAGTAATTAACTTCTTCTTCAGTTATATACAATCTGAATTTTAAAAAAAAAAACATTATATCCAGCCCCTGCATAATATATCAGGAAGATGTAATTGTTTCTGATTAAAATGCTCAGTTTGACGCGGTGTGGTCGCTCGTGCTGATAATCCCAACACTTTGGGAGGTTGAGGTGGGAGGATCACTTGAGAGTAGCTGGGGCAACATAGCGAGACCCTGTCTCTACGAAAAGTAAAAAGTCATCTGGGCATGGTGATGCATGCCTGTAGTACTAGCTACTTGCAGACTGAGGTGGGAGAGAATGGCTTGAGCCCAGGAGTTCAAAGATGCAGTGAGTTATGATTGCACCACTGCACTCCTGAGTAATAGAGCAAGACTTTGTCTCTAAATAAATAAATAAAACACTACATTTGGCTTACTTCTTTTTTGTTTCCCTATTCCTTCAAGGAAATTAAATAGATGTAGAAATACAGTGGAACGCCACAGAATCATTAGAGAAGTTAGAGTGATGTAACATTTTAAGGGTACCACATTTTATCCTTTTACAAACAACACAAAATAAGAACAATTTAAGTATAGGTCCTGCCAAATACATGTTAAGGGATATATAAAAATAAGTTTAAATTTATACATGGATTGTACAAAATTTTTGAGGTTAAATATTTTAAGCTTATTGTCTTAAGTGGGTTAAACATTTTCCTGAAATTGTCTTCATACTGTTAATTTATTCAGTCAAGTTAAACCTCCGCTCTTCCTGTGGCACAATTATCAAGAATTCTTGCACTTATGTGTTACACTAAACAGACAGCCTAATGAATACTTATGGCTACTGATTTATTCTACAATAAATAACAGTAAAAGAATTATTATTACAATGCAATGATAAAAAGACAAAACACCCAATTAAAAAATGGCAAAGGGCCTCACAGACATTTCTCCAAAGAGGAAATACAAATGGCTAACAGGCACATGAAAAAATCCTCAATATAATTTGCCATCTGGGAAATGCAAATCAAAACCATCATGAAATACCACTCCACACTCACTAGGATGGTTAGAAAATAACTTATGTTGGCAAGGATTTAGATAAATTGGAAGCCTCAAATACTGCTGGTGGTACAAAATGTGAAGTGGTGCAGCCACTTCAGAAAACAATCAGGCAGTTCCTCTCAAAGGTTAAATGCAGAGTTACCATATGACCAAGCAATTGCACTTTGAAGCATATACCCGAAAGAAATGAAATATGACCACATAAAAACTTGTACACAGATTTTCATAGCAGCATTATTCATAATAGCCAAGAAGTGGAAACAACTGACGTTTATCAACTGATGAATGCATAAGTAAACTGTGGTATATCCACACAATGGAATATTATTCTGCAATTAACAGGAAGGAAGCATGGAAATGCAACAACATGGATGAATCTTATGTTCAGTGAAAGAAGTCAGTCACAGAGGACACATATATGATTCCATTGCTATGAAAAGCATAGGCAAATCTATAGACAGAAGGTAGATAAGTGACTGACTGGGCCCAGAGGCAAGGGGAGAATTGGAGGTTGACAACAAAGGGAAGCGTGATTTCTTTTCAGGGTAAGAAAATGTCCTAAAATTAACGGTGGTGATAGTTGCACAACTCTGTGAATACGTTAAAAGCCATTGACTCGTACGCTTGAAGTGGGTGAATTGTATAGATTTGAATTATAGCTCAATAAACCTGTTTTAAAAAAGGCCAGAGTCACTAGTTCATTACCTCTGTAGGAATTTTTGGAAGATGCGCCGATAGGCATAGCCAGCTCTTCTCACTCGAATGTTCTCTTTCAGACCCAAATATTCGACTTGATGCTTTACCCTGTGCAAAGGAGAAAATGGGGCCTGGACATTACTGGATAATCCTTTCACTCGTGTTCTTACCAGCCAACCCCCAAGCCCCCAGTTCCAAGCTGTAGGGAAACATATTCAGAAGACTACAATTTATAGTGTTCAAACACTGAGCTGACCTCTCAGATGACATAATGCTAATTTTTAAATATTGAAATACAGCAATTAGGCTGGGCGCAGTGGCTCACACCTGTAATTCCAGCACTTTGGGAGGGTGAGGCGGGTAGATCACCTGAGGTCAGGAGTTCAAGACCAGCCTGGCCAACATGGTGAAACCCTGTCTCTATTAAAAATAAAAAAATTAGCCAGGCATGGTGGCACGCACCTGTAGTCCCAGCTACTCGGGAGGCTGAGGCAGGAAAATCGCTTGAACCAGGGAGGCAGAGGCTGCAGTGAGCTGAGATTGCACCACTGCACTCCAGCCTGCATGACAGAGTGAGACTCCGTCTCAGAAATAAAATAAATATAAATAAATAAATAAATAAAAATACAGCAATTAAATAACAGGGCATTACATATCTATTTCAAAGAATAACAGTAACACAAAGACCCATCTATCACCTAGAGTATGAACAAAAATATTGGTTAATCAGAAGGCTAAAGGAAAGAACTTTTAACTTTTGAATTAAATGATGCTAATGCTGGTTTTGTTATTGAACTTAAATTTTAATATTGATTATGACTTAATGGAACTACACTTCTAGGCTTTTCTAATACAAGTTACAAAAGGGCATTTAAAACTATTAATTTCAAGTGTGTACATTAAAAATGGTCTAAAATATATCTAAATTATAGTTTTAGTTGATTTCTTCTTTCTTACAAGAATTTTTTTTTGATACAGGGTCTCACTTTGTCATCCAGGCTACATTGTAGTGATGTGATAGCTCACTGCAGCCTTGACCTCCCCAGGCTCAGGTGATCCTCCTATTTCAGGCTCCTGCGCAGTTGGGACTACAAGCATGCACCACCACACCTGGCTAATTTTTGTATTTTTTGGAGAGACAGGGTTTCGCCACTTTGCCCAGGCTGGTCTCAAACTCCTGAACTCAATTATCTGCCTGCTTTAGCCTCCCAAAGTTCTGGGATTATAGGCATGAGCCACTGTACTCGGCGTGTTTCTTCCTTTCCTTTCCCTTCACTTTCCCTTCCCTTTTCTTTCTTTCTTTCCCTTTCCCTTTCCTTTCTTTCTTTCGAGACAGAGTCTCGCTTTGTCATCCAGGCTGGAGTGGAGTGGCAAACTTTCTTTCCTTTCTTTTTCTTTTCTTTCTTTCTTTCTTGAGTCAGAGTCTCACTTTGTCATCCAGGCTGGAGTGCAGTGGCAAACTTTCTTTCTTTTCTTTCTTTCTTGAGACAGAGTCTTGCTTTGTCATCTAGGCTGGAGTGCAGTGGCAAAATCTCGGCTCTCTGCAAACTCCGCCTTGTGGGTTCAAGAGATTCTCCTGCCTCAGCATCTCGAATAGCTGGAATTACAGGCATGTGCCACCATGCCTGGGTAATTTTTTGTCTTTTTTCGTAGAGACGGGGTTTCGCCATGTTGGCCAGGCTGGTCTCGAACTCCTGGCCTCAGGTGATCCACCACGCCTGGCCCATCCTGGTTTCTTAACAGTAAAAATCTAGCAATGTCTTTTGAAAAAATGGATGTAAAGAACTATTAGGTTAATATTCTCACACATGAGGATTTTCATACCAGAAGATGCCCCATGCCCCACACCTTGGGGATGCTGATTTAGTAGGCCTGCACCTTGGGGAGGCTATTTTAGTACACCTGCTGGGTCTAAGGTGGAGCACGGACATGTGCCTTGTGAAAACCCACCACTTGCTGGAAAACACAGTGCTCTGGATGCCGACAGATCCTGAAAACTTGCTTCAGATCATCCACTCTGGGAAGATAAATTGGGCCTGGGCTGCGTGCTGCGCGAGCTGGCTGAACCAGACACTTGGAAACATGGTATTTGAGGCAAATTAGACATAAAAAGTAAGGTCTCTCTCTTTCGAAGATGGAATGTCAGGATTGTGCTGCAGTAGGGAGGTAACTCCTCACACTCCCTGTTTGGTACATTTGGGGATATCTGTGCTGATAACGGGGCTAATGCGCTCAGCAAAATGGGCCTTTCAGGAGCTGCTGAGCTGAAAAGACAATCAGAAGCATCCTCATTCCGATGTCACGCAGGTTCCCAACAGCTGTCTTCCCAGTAAGGCTCTCACAAAAACCACCATTTCCAATTAAGTCTCATACTTGCGGATGTCTACTGTGGGCCAGTCACACACAGTGCCTATTGCAACATGCTAGGGTCACCAAAAAAGGACAATGCTATGATTCCTGCTGGAGCCCACACAGGCAGCACAGTGGTTAGGAGCCAGGTTCTGGTGCTGCATTCCTGCTGCGCCACTGGCCCTGCCACGATGCAACTTCTCTGTGCCTCTCAGTTTCCTCTTCTGTAAAAACAGGAATGGTGGCATAAATTCTTTATTTCTAGACGAGTACTTTCTATGGAAAGCACTTAGTTCGTAGCACGAGCATGTAAAGCTGTTATTATCGTCATCCATTCCCAGCTACAATATGTAAACCAGGATAGGAGAATAGAGAAGGAAGTGGATTTTTCACAGCACAGGGATTCTCAGGAGCACTGTGATGTGCCTGGGCCTGGAGGGGCGAGTTGAATCCATGAGGTATACAGGACAAGGCAGAGGGCTGTGAAAGCAAAGGTACAAGAATAGGAAAGGCCAGTGGCAGGGTGCTGTGGGACAGGAGGAGGGGGACAGATGAAGCTCGAAGTGGGGGTGCAACCTTGGCTGATGGGAAGGATGTCACAATGGGAGTGGTGTTTAAGAGTCTCCAGTTTGATGGGTCTTACAGAGCCAAGAGCCAGAAATGTTGATTCCTCTAAGATTATTAACTTTCAGAAAGCCTCTGTGTGCAAAGAGTTAAGCCGGGCATAGTGGCTCACGCTTGTAATCCCAGCACTTTGGGAGGCCGAGGCGGGCAAATCATGAGGTCAGGAGTTCGAGACCAGCCTGGCCAACACAGTGAAACCCCGTCTGTACTAAATATCCACCTTTGCCCATATAAGTCAGACAGACAGAGACAGAGAGAGAGAGAGAGAGAGAGAGAGAGAGAGAGAGAAAGAAATGTCATGTCAATTAAAAAGGTAATTAAATTGAAAAATAATTAATTTTCCTTTCTCTCACCCTCCAAATCTAAAACTCGCCACTGGCCTTTTCTCTAGTGAGAAAAATGCATGAAAAATGCATTTAAAGGTTCTGCTCATTTTAAAGTACTTTTCATAAACACTGGCTTCACGCCAAGCTTTCGAGGCAGGGAATGCATCACCCATTAATTCAAGCAGAAACGTTCCTCTCCCATGAATCACATAGGAAGGAATATTCCTCATGTTAAAACATTGTTTCATTCATTATAACTTCCACCATCAGGAAATTTTCTGGTAGAAATGAGTCTAGCAAGTCCTGTAATGTTTAAAATTTGGGGGTCATCAAAGCGACACAAGTTGATTTTTGCATATTCCTGGAGCACTGTCACCTCCTCAGTAGTCGTTGATCAGACAATGCCCAGTTGTTCCCTAGGCTATGCCAACTCCATCTTGCAGAGGGAGTCTTTTTCCAAGACTGTCCCTGGCCGTTTACTCAAATTGATCAGGGCTAGAGAACTCTGCAAGGCAGCAATTCAGAATGCAGGGCAAGCAACCTTGCCAGAAGCCAAACAAAAACGCATTTGCAACAGGAAAAGAAAAACCCTACACCTCATAAACTTGTGGAATGAGTAACCCTCTTTACCAGGAGCTTCAACTGGGTGTGTAATCCCAGCCAGTGAAGCACACTGCCCTTTCACGGACCCTAACACTCCTGACTCATGGATGGAGTGAAACCATTTGTTACACAATAAACCCAAACCAGGATTAAGGGTGGAATCCCAGAAAGCGGTCTTACTGGAATTATAAATCAACGCTCGACCAACTAATACCTTGAACTTCTTAAAACCAGTTTATTTGAATGCATGTCATAAAATTCTTTGCTGCAATTCAAAGGGGAATCATTTAAAAAAAAAAAAAAGAAAAGAGAAAATACCATCCTCATCCTATGAGGATTTACTGAATAAAATGTACCACTCATTTAATTTCTCCATTTTCTGATATTCCAATGAATTATGTTGGATTTTTACAAGGAAGTAGCATCAGGGTTGGTGAACTTCCAAGCAGCTATTGCAAAATTTCTATTTTAGAGGGGCTTTCAGTAGAACTATCTACGTGGGGTAGAGGAGGGTGTGCTAGGGGGCATTGATCAGACAATGCCCAGTTGTTCCCTAGGCTATGCCAACTCCGTCTTGCAGAGGGAGTCTTTTTCCAAGACTGTCAAAATGCATTTGTAGGGCAAGTGAGATGTTTTCATTTAAGAGTATTTGCTGGGAAGAGCAGGTGGATAGAGTTTGAAATGGGGGAAGGTGGGCTAAGGCCCCCTTTGGCAATACCTCTGCTTCCAAGACTCTCATGGTTTATTTCTAAGGTTGACTAAAGATTTGGTTGGAGTAATCATATTGGGATATTGATTTAATATCACTGTTCTGTTGTGTGTGTGTACATGTGGATGTATGTGTGGGTGGGTGTACAAGTGTGGGTATGTGTGAGAGGTGAGTGTAAAAGTGACAGAGACAGAGGCAGACTGACAGCCACTGTCTGGAAGCCTTCATTCTGTCAGACTGAAGGAGATCCTATTCTAGATGGACCCTCTTAAGAGGAAGGAACTGAGGGCTAAGGAGATGAAGAGTCTCGCTCTAACAACTTAGTGATAGGTCAGCACCGGGACACAGTCTAGTTCTTTGCTCTAGATCAGTGATTCTCAAAGTGCAGTGCCTGGGCCATCATCACCAGCACCACCTGCAAGATTTTTAAGATGCACATTCATGGGCCCCACCTGAGACCCACTGCATCAGAAACTCGGGATGGAGCCCAGCAATCTCAGCTTTAACAAGGCCTCCTGGGGATCCTGAGGCAGGCTCAAGTATGGGAACCAATGTAAGAGAGCAAAACAAGATGTTTTCTGTATGATTGATTGATTGATTGACTTGGGGTCTCACTCTAACAGCTGGGCTGGAGTGCAGTGGCTCAATCATGGCTCTCTGCAGCCTCAAACTCCTGGGTGTAAGCATTTTACATCTTTAGAGGAGAAGAGATGACAATGCTGCTACCCTCTTAGTCTGAAAGGAGAAGCGGAACTATACATTTCAGAAAAGCAGAGGCCAAATTAAGTACCTCCAAGAGAAGGGCTAAGATGGGGAATGCTTATATTTCATGTCCTAGAGAAACTGTTGACGGAACTGAGAGGGATTAACCTGTAGAAGAGAAGATTCAAGAGAAACACGACGGTCACCTCGAACTAACAGAAAAGGTGTCCAGTGGCAAAGTAATGAGAATGATTCTTATCGCAGATTGAAAACCTGGGATTAGGATAAAAGTGACCTAGAGAAGGACTGTACAGCCTCCTAAAGTAAGAATTGACCAAAGAAGAGCTGGTCACCTTAGCAAGTATGAGCTCCTCATCCGGGCCTGAATATCATTAACGGACAATATTGTAGAAGGAATCTGACTACATTAAATTGAAAAATTTCAGAGATTCAATAGAAAAGATGCCTTAAGCGGTCAGGGGTGGTGGCTCACACCTGTAATCCCAGCACTTTGGGAGGCCGAGGCAGTTGGATCACGAAGTCAGGAGTTCAAAACCAGCCTGGTCAAGATGGTGAAACCCCATCTCTACTAAAAATATAGAAGTAGCCAGGCATGATGGTGGGCACCTGTAATCTCAACTACTCAGGAGGCTGAGGCAGGAGAATCACTGGAAACCGGGAGGCAGAGGTTGCAGTGAACCAAGATCATGCCGCTGCACTCCAGCCTGGGTGACAGAGCGAGACTCTTGTCTCCAAAAAAAAAAAAAATCCTTAAGAATATGCATCTATGGATGAGATTATTCAGAACATAGTGGCCTGAAAAGATGGCAGCTCTTACATCCAAGCAGCCTGGCTTCTTCAGAGGAGAGAACAGACTTAGACTGCATGCCGAAGTATTCAATATTAAATAGAACGAACTTTCAGACAGTAAATGTTTGACCTACGTGTTTTTCTTACTATGGATCTGTTTCCTCCTGTAAAGGATCAGGCATCATCTATCTGCCATGGTTTAGGATCTTACTGGCAGGAAGGAAAATGGACACACCTGTCCCTCGCAGGAGATAATCGGCAGCTAGGAATTTTAGTCCTTGTCTTCCTGTGGAAGCTAAACCTGGAGTTCTTCACTCGACACCTAAAAGAGCCTACCTTCTTTTCTCCAAGAGAGAAGACAAGAGGTAGCAATTCTGGTAGGCTCCCATCCTGGGACTGATACTAGGTGACGATGGCTAGGGTCCTCTCTGTAGTTTAAGTCTCTCCCTCCTTCCCATGCTTCTATGGACAGTGGGATCAGGCCTCTGAACAATGTGTGTCTGGGTCTCCCAGCGGGCCACAAAATTCATACCCTCTAGCCACCACCTTAACAGGCTCCTCCTCAATGCCGCCATTTCTTCCTGCCCAGGCCACTTCCCTAAATCCTAGCTGTGGGAGGAACAGTGATGCAGGCTTCACTGGAAGTCAGGGCAGAAAGGGTTTGCTGAATTCTTGTGCTCTGCATTTCCCTTTGACATCTTTCCTCCCAGAGTCGTTCTTCTCATCAATACGGTGCTTAGGGGGAATGCCAGAGCCTCCAGCTTGTCCCCAGTGTCTTCACGAGGCACAGCAAATGCTGGATTGTATTTCCATCAGCTCTTACGCCCTCCACTTTCCACCCCAAGCTAAGCATTCTAGGCCACATCCTGTGGGTCCCGATCAGGGGCTGGGTGGACTAAGAATGTCTACACAGAACCTCAAACTGATTTTAAAACCATCATGACTCTGCGGTATGAGGTTATGTTTTGTTTTTTTTCCATCTGCCCCCAGACTAGCCAAGATCAACATTATAAACTGCTAATGCTGAAATGAATGGCACTGCTAACATTTTAGCAAATGACACGGAGGGGAAACAGTATACAGCTTTTGTCCTGAAAAAGTTAAGATGCAAGGGCATGACAAAGACATGTGCGGACAACTGACACTGCTCCTGCCTGTGATGGAGGACGGCTCATCTTGAGCAGAGGGAAAAAGGTCCCGGCCCCACCTAAGCCGGTTTCCCCCGATACCTGCTTTCCTCCCAGTCTCTGGGCTTCTTGGTTTCGTTTGGCTTGATGCAGCGAATGTAGTGGGGCGTACATTTCATCAGGGTGCTCACAAGGTCATTGGCTTGTTTCTAGAAAGGAAGAACAGTATCAGAATCATGGAACTTTCTCTAAAGAAGACCAAATTTCAAAGGAGACTTGTAAAACTCTCTTGTAGAAATACATAGCTAGGAATTAATCTTCATGACAATTTGCTCGTTAAGCATAACTCAGGTCTACTAAACTTTCCGAAAGCTTTGCCGACTTTTATGATGATTTTATCACTCCTAAATGGGTTTGAAATTCAATCTTCAAAAGCAACTAGGCATTTTCAGTACAGTTAATAAAATAGAACAACAACAAAAAACAAAAATCCCAATAAATCTTCACATACAAAATGATTTTCAGGTGGTACAGTGAAGCATGTCAGTTAACAAACTAAGTTCATTTTATGCTGATAGAGCGCCTTTGAAGATATATTGTTCTCATTAACTTTTTTTCCCCCAAAATTATTTGTAAGGATAAATCATCAAATCCCCTACACTCTCTTTTCTGGCAATCCAACTAATGAAGAATCACTTTGCTAAAGTGATGAAAATTCATAGTTAAAGAATGGGAGATTCATAAAAATCTGAGAATTTATAAACTTTTGATATTCCATTTCATTCAGTTTCTTCCTCAATATGGCCATTTAAAAACCTGCAGAGTCTGAACACTTTATCTGTGGCTGCCAACTTACTTCTTTGCAAATCTAGAATATTCTATATAAAACCTTCTATTAATGCCTGTGCACTGGGTACTCAAAGTAGAACTGGATTCAAGCAGAAAAAGCCACATAAAGCTGAAATTGCTTATGAAGTATTTTAAACCCTGAGAATCTCAAACTTTGTTTGAAGAAACAGGAGTAGAGCTCACATCAGCATTCCCACCCCACAGCTGAGCACACCCTGTGGGTCCAAGGATGTGGCACACATGCGAACTCCACTTCCAAGCAAAGCAGCCTAAAGAGAGAAAACCTCTAAAAGAAAAAAAGCCAAAAGGGACCTCCAAAGCCAGAAAACCATTACAGTCAGCAGAAGAGATTTGCTTGCAAGACACAACCCTGTCTCAATTAGGACTTTTCTGTTTTCATGGGTTTGGGAAATCTGAAACCCTTGAGAAAAACTATTGAGTATATTCAAAGCAAGATATTCATTGGTGAATTAAGTTCTCTGTTTAGATGTGCAGGAAATAGCATTCTTTGCGATGCTTGAAATTGAGGACAGACAGGGCTGCAGAGGTTGCATGATCAAAGCAAAGCCCTATGATGAAAAAGTAAATTGCCTCTTATGTTCTTTGATGATGCAGACTGCACTTGAGAACAAATTTGATGATTTTTGCAACACATCAGGTGGAGCCGGAGAGGGACTGCAGGGTTGAATATAGCACAGCTTTTTTTTGTTCTTAAAATCCCCAAATTCTTAATTTTTTAAACTTCATTTTTAGATTTTAGTTTTGTATTTAATTACGACTTTTTTTTTTTTTTTTTTTTTTTTGAGATGGAGTCTCACTCTGAGGCCCAGGCTGGAGTGCAGTGGCGTGATCTCTGCTCATTGCAACCTCTGCCTCCCGAGTTCAAGCGATTCGCCTGCCTCCGCCTCCCGAGTAGCTGGGACTACAGGCGTATGCCACCAGGCCCAACTAATTTTTGTAATTATAGTAGAGATGGGGTTTCACCATGTTGGTCAGGCTGGTCTCGAGCTCCTGACCTCAGGTGATCCACCCGCCTCAGCCTCTCAAAGTGCTGGGATTACAGGCGTGAGCCACTGTGCCCAGCCTACAACTTTTAATTTCCAAGAATAACTTTGCAAACTCTTTTGTCCTAAGTATTTAACAGCATTCCTTCTTTTTCACCTCAGCATAAGAAAACATAGAGAGGCAAGTGTAACTTAAGTTTATAAGTCACTTGCCATAGTCCTCTCCAGCTAAAATAGTGACAGATAACATTTACTGAGTTTGCAGTGCAGATTAGATACATGTATTATCTCATTTACGCCTCACAACAACCTGAAGAGGTGGCTACTATTTAATATTATTCCTGTTTTTTAGATGAGAAAGCTGGGCCTTAAAGAAACAAAGTATTGCTCAAGATGACACAATTTGCATGAAAGAGAAGTAAGGCTTGAACCCACGCCCATGGGCTACCAAGCCTGTTCTTTGGCAACAATCCTATCCTGCCTTGCTGACAAAGAGATGGGATCATTTAGTGTGATATAAAAGGAATTAACTGGTTGAGGTAGGATTAGACAGAAGCCACCAGGCTGTGAATAATTAATTTCAGCAAACAGAAATACATCTTAACCATCAAAATTATCCTGTATTTCAATAGCTATGGGTCAACTTTATTTACCTATTTTTAATTTTTGAAACAGGGTCTTGCTCTGTTGTCCAGGCTGGAGTAGAGTGGCATGATCACAGCTCACTGGAGCCTTGGCCTCCCAAGCTCGAGTGATCCTTCCACCTCAGCCCTCTGTGTAGCTGGGACTGGAAGCACATGCCACCACACCCAGCTAATTTTTGAAAAAAAATTTTTGTAGAGGTGGGGTCTCACTATATTTCCCAGGCTCGTCTCCAATCCTGGCCTCAAGCAATCTTCCCACCTTGGCCTCCCAGAGTGCTGAGATTACAGGTGTGAGCCACTGTGCCCAACCTTGGGTCAACTTAAGATGTCTGCTGAGGTGGTTGTGAAGCAGTAACTGAATTTAATCCTGATTCCAGCCAAGAAGGGTTCCTGAGTTAGGACAGAAAAGTACCAACAGCACTTGCTCAACAGAAGCAGGTGTTAAAATACGCAGACAGCACAGTGAGAAACGGCTCAGGGTGAAAGCTCCTCATTCTACCTTCAACAGAGATGACAGCAGGCCTGACTGTGGGTCCTGGCACTTTTATTTGCAAGTTACATGACTAATCACTAGATTTCTCTGGTCCTCAGTTCTCTATCTGTAAACTAAGTAGGTTGAACTAGAAGACCTCTAATTTAATCTAGAGATTGAAATACATATTAAAAAACAAACAATCAGGCTGGGTGCAACGGCTCACTCCTGTAATCTCAGCACTTCGGGAGGCTGAGGCAGGCGGATCAATTGAAGTCAGGAGTTCGAGACCAGCCTGGCCAACATGGTGAAACTTCGTCTCTACTAAAAAAAATACCAAAAAATTAGCTGAGCATGGTGGTGCCACCTGTAGTCCAGCCACGTGGGAGGATGAGGCAGGAGGATCGCTTGAATCTGGGAGGCAGAGGTTGCAGTGAGCCAAGATCGCATCACTGCCCTTCAGCCTGGGTGACACAGCAAGGCTCCATCTCAAGAAAAAAAACAAAAAAAAAACAAACCAAAAAAACCCCCAACCAATCCAATCACCTGCATGATGCCTGTACTTCCTCTGTCATGTCCCTTATAGCTCCAGCTGCACTCAGATAAAGCTATAGCCAGTCTGCCTTTGCCACCTCTGAGCTTGGTTCTGTTTCTCCGTAGCATCAATCTTTGGCTCTAATTTAAATATGGGATGAGTATCCCTTATCCGAAATGCTTGGGAAGGGAAGTGTTTCGGATTTTGGATTTTTTCAGATTTTGGAATATTGGCATTATACTTTATTTTTTGAGATGGAGTCTCGCTCTGTCGCCCAGGCTGGAGTTCAGTGGCATGATCTCGGCTCACTTGCAACCTCCACCTCCTGGGCTCAACCAATTCTCCTGCCTCAGCCTCCTGAGTAGCTGGCATTACAGGCTCCTGCCACCATGCCCAGCTAATTTTTGTATTTTTAGTAGAGATGGGGTTTCACCATGTTGGCCAGACTGACCTCAAATGATCCAGCCACCTCGGTCTCCCAAAGTGCTAGGATAACAGCCATGAGCCACTGTGCCCGGCCTGCATTATACTTTATAGTTGAGTACCCCTAATCTGAAAAGCTGAAATCCAAAATGCTCCAAAATTTGAAACTTTTTGAGCACCAACACGATGCTCAGAGGAAATGCTCATTGGAGCATTTCAGGATTTGAGATGCTCAACCTGTACTTGTCCCTTCCAGACACGACAATATCGAATTAAGTAAAACCTCAAAATCAAATGCTATTAAATATTACTATATTTATACTTTTATTTATAATCAATATAATAAGAGTTCCCATCAAATGAATATTCTATTAGTTAAATCCTACAAATCAGTTTAAATTTTTAAATAATTAGAATATAATGAAATCTATAACACTACGATGACCTTGAACACAAGTTTAATTTTTCTTTCAAGGAACTCAGAATCCTTTTAAACGCTTACGCCTCAGGGACATCGTTAAGATGACAATGATGTCTGCAAATTACTGTAGATATGGAACGTATCAGCGATTGGGCCATGGCTATGTATCTGTAAGAGGTACTGGGAGAGACTTTTATTCCTACGTGGAGGCAGACAGCCAGGCAGACAGAGGTCACAACATCCACCAAGGAGATTGTGCCTGGAGGTGGGAAAACATGCTGTACTCTCTTTAGGTAAACTGCTGACTTCAGCTTGACCTCCCTAGACAAGGGCCTGAGACTTGTAAACCTAAACATTTTGGAAACATCCCACAATGGTGGCACTTTGAGCCTTCAACCAGACAAGCATACGAAGGAAAGAAAGGGGACAAGTCTTTAAGGAGGAAAAAGTGTCCCTACCCTTGCTCTCCTTTTTATAGACAATAATCCAGACCACTTGAAAATGAGTCATCATAACCTGGATGATCTGGGCCCCTTGGATCTGAATGTGACAGTCTTATGACTCGATTTTCCAGCCCAGAGTTAATCCTTATCCAGGACTTTGCAGTAAAGGCATGAGTCAGACACTTCACGCAGACATTAATATCTGGGCCTCATGAGAATTTCATTTGTTTTCTGCCTTCAGCAATCTGCCCCAGTGAGCCTAACCCAGGGACTGTCCTGAGGCTACTAAATGTCTCTAGTTCTTTCAACATGATGTTCTTGACGCTCAGAGGGCTCTACCCTACAGCTGAAAGCCCAGGCTGGACTCGGTGGCTTGTGCCTGTAATCCTAGCATTTTGGGAGTCTGAGGTGGATCGCTTGAGCCCAGGAGTTCAAGACCAGCCTAGGTGACATTGTGACACCCCAACTTTACAAAAAAGAAAAAAACAACAATTAAGCAGAGACCAACAACGGCGATACAGGAAAGGGGCTAATGGGAAAGAATGTAGTCAGAGCATACATATACATCTTGTGTTCAGTATGCCTCAGGCACTGCGTTACATGCTTCCAATGAATTATGAAGCTGAATCATCACAGTAATCTCTTAAGATAGACACTAATATCTTAAGATAGACTCTTAAGATAGACTCCATTTTACAGGGAAGCGGTGAGGGCACTGAGAGCGTAAGTAACACCTTGGCAAGCACACAGCGAGGAAAAGCCAGAGCTGAGATTCGAACACAGGCGAGCAAACTCAAAGCCCTGCTGTCACTCAACCATTCCTTTGATTGTAAAACTGAGGAAGTATTCAGCTGGTATAATTTTTAAAAAAATTATTCTTAACCAGTATGATTTTAAAAAATAGCTCAGTGAGTATTTCTTAGAGTTACATGATTGTGTGTGACACAATGACAAAAACTATTTTTTTTTTTTTTTGGAGACAGGGTCTCGTTCTGTCCCCCAGGCTGGAGCAATCATGGCTCACTGCAGCTTTGACTTCCTTGACTAAAGCGATCCTCCTTCCTTAGCCTCCCAAGTAGCTGAGAGCATAAGATGTGAGCCACTACACCTCATTTTTATTTTTAGTAGAGATGGGGTTCTCATTATATCGCACAGGTTGGTCTCGAACTCCTGGGGTCAAGTAATCCTCCCTCCTCGGCCTCCAAAAGTGTTGGGATTACAGGCCAGAGCCACTACATCTGGCTGACACAGATTTTTTTTTTTTTTTTTTTTGAGATGGAGTTTTACTCTTGTTGCCGAGGCTGGAGTGCAATCGCGCAATCTTGGCTCACTGCAACCTCTGCCTCCAGGGTTCAAGTGATTCTCCTGCCTCAGCCTCCTGAGTAGCTGGGATTACACTCACGTGCCACCACGCCTGGCTAATTTTGTATTTTTAGTAGAGACAGGGTTTCTCCATGTTGGTCAGGCTGGTCTTGAACTCCTGACCTCAGGTGATCCACCCGCCTCAGCCTCCCAAAGTGCTGGGATTACAGGCGTGAGCCACCGCACCCAGCCCACAAACTCTTAATTCAGTGTAATTAAGTGTAAACTCTTAATTCAGTGTAATGGCTCAGGTACCACAGAACCCTGCCTACTTCCTGAGAAACACTGTAAGATTTCCTTCAGACTTTGAGACACCATGTGGCTAGATGTGTCTTCAATTCACAGCAAGGAGAGGCCTGTAGGACCCAGTGAGGAGGGATGCATAAATTGCCCCTAAAAGACCAAGTAGAATTTCTGGCAAGTAACGTTCCATAACTGGCAGGTTTTTGGGCCTGGCCTGGTAAACTGTCAACAGTATCCAAAACATGGCTCCGAACCATATTTCTCTGACAGTTTAACATAAATTCTTCCAGGTTCTGTTTAAAGCCATTTCCTCTTAGAAAGTAGCTGATTATCATCTGCTGACTATTAAGCTATGAGGTACTTAATATCCATTTAAGGTTTCGGTACAGCCAAGTCAAATTCAGCTTGCATCCTGGAACCTTGTAACAAGCAGCGATGTTACTTCTGGGCATCTTCTGTAACCACCTCCTCACGTCTCACTGACCTCATCCTGGCCCAGGGGTGCAGTTCCTTACTCCTAGAAAGCGCTAGCCCTTATAAGAATCTATAAACTTCCTAAAATAGAACTAACCTTTATTTTGCTTCCGGCAGTAGTTGGGCGCCCTTTCTTGTCAGCCTGCAGATTTTCCGGAAATAAAGACTTTATGAAAGGCCTGGAAAAGGAGAAAGAGAATGAATTAACAATCTGTAAGTACCTCTGGGGCTGAAAGCCTGCCTTTCTAGAGGATGGGGTGAAGGGCCGTCCCCAGGCACATAACCTTGGCTACAGAAAAGCCATCTGACTCACAGCGCGGGCCATCAAGATGTGACTTGGGGAAATGAACAACGGACAAAAGTCATGAAGGGAAAGAATTCTAAGATATAAGCAATTTGGAATCAAAGACTGCAAAATAAATTTTAAAACAATGCCTTTCCAACGTCCCTAGTCACAGGAATTGAGGTATATCTTGACAGAACATAACAGAGGGAGGTCAGTAGGGGATTTTAGGTTTTTGTTTTGTTTTTGAGACAGGGTCTCGCTCTACTGCCCAGGTTGGAGCGCAGGGGTTCAATCATGGCTCACTGCAGCCTCGACCTCCCAGACTCAAGCCATCTTCCCACCTCCGCCTCCTGAGTAGCTGGCACTATATATAGGCAGACGCCACCACGTCCAGCTAATTCTTGTATTTTCTTTAGAGATGGGGTTTCGCCATGTTTCCCAGGCTGGTCTCAAACAACTGGACTCAAGAGGTGCTCCTGCCTCAGCCTCCTGAAGTGTTGGGACTACAGGCATGAGGCACTGCGCCTGGCCAGCATGTGTTTGTTAAGACAAGCAAGATAGACCAGAGCTCAGGGAATTATATGAAATGTCTGGATTCAGTGCAGATGCTGCTTTGCTCTAGAGCAGAGTTTCTGAGTCTGGGCACCATTGGTATCTGCGGCTGAATAATTCTTTGTTGGGGGCCGAGGAGGGCGCCTCTTCTACATATTGTGGGATATTTAGCAGCATCCATGGTCTCTGCTCACCAGATGCCAGTAGCACACTGTTCCCAGCTCTACACAGAAAACCCTGACAAACTGCTTTTGAGTATGAGCAATTTTAAGCGGAGCAGTAACAAATCACCAGGCTCTGCCGGCTGAATATACTTTCTTTTTTTTTTTTTTGAGATGGAGTCTCGCTCTGTCACCAGGCTGGAGTGCAGTGGCGCGATCTTGGCTCGCTGCAACCTCTGCCTCCCAGGTTCAAGTGATTCTCCTGCCTCAGCCTCCTGAGTAGCTGGGACTACAAGTGCGTGCCACCACAGCTAATTTTTGTATCGTTAGTAGAGACGGGGTTTCAACATGTTGGCCACAGTGGTCTCGATCTCTTGACCTCGTGATCCACCCACCTTGGCCTCCCAAAGTGCTGTGATTACAGGCATGAGCCACTGCACCCAGCCTGAAGATACTTTCATTAGTGGTGCTATTTGAGCTGCATGTGTTTATACGTCTGCCTCACTAGCAACAGGGCAGGGACAATGCCTTACTCATCTTAGTGTCCCTGGTGTCTGAAGCATAGCATGGTGCACAGTTGGTCCATAATATGTATTTGCTGACTGGGTGAATGACGGGATCCATGTAAATTAGCAATCTGACATTCAAACTCAAACTCACTTCCTCCTCAATGACTTTTTGGGCATCTTGAATTTTCCAGGAAGTCTCCCCAGCAGTCTACTTTTAACTTGACCAGATACAACTACAGATTTTGACATCAAGTGTGTTTACAAAATAATAGGCCATGTCCGTATGACAGCAGTTTATGTGGAAGCAATAATAGCTCTTAAACTTGGCAGGAATTTTAATAATTTTTTAAAAACAATCTCTGGAAGCAAGTCTGCACCTGACTGCCATAAAACCCACAAGCCAGGACTTGTGGCTTACCTAAACATCTCAGAGAAGAACAAATTGATTATGTATGTTTTGAATAAAAAGAAATGCAAAATCTCAGAAATGGTGGTGTGGCTGCAAGGAAGCGCAGGGATGGAGAGCAGAGGGTGAGGAGGGGTAGGGAGCTACAGGGAGAGAAGTAAACGGAGCAGAACAGCTGACCAGGGCCTGAAAAGGAAACTCTTGCTTTGCTTTCATTGCAGTCAGCCCTTTAATAGGAAATTATCAGGCTCGCTGCTGTTGATCAGAGAAGCTGGCCTTGCTATTGTGACAGCTTAACTAATAGAGAGCAAAAGGGCAGCTCTTACTTGAAAGAAGCTCTAGAAATTGTAAGATCTGGCATGCATGGGCCTTGCCTCGCAAGCATGATGGACTTGCTCATGTAAATTACATCTTATGTGTTATCCAGGATCTTGAGAACCTTTTCAGGGAAAAGGGGAGGAAGGCAGAGGTGGTCTTGAGAGTTCTAGCAGCGTGCAAGGGGGATACCCTCCCTCTTCTACCCCTACAGCTGAAACAGGGTCTTGGGAGTTAAAATGGATCTCTTAGTCACTCCTTCTTTAGTTGTCCCTCCCAGAGTTCTCAAGCCATTTCTTCAGTACTTCAGGGACTCTGGTTAATGTGGGTCTTGCTAAGCCATTAACCATCTTTAAAAATTCAACGACCATGAAGAAGAGCTCAGGGGCAAAGTATCATAGAACCAGACTGTTCCACTCTTAAATAGTCAGAAATGGCCATCCCAATCCAAAGCCAGTGGGCTTATTTCTCCCTGATAATAGTATTGAAAGGTAGAAAGCCTGAGGCCCTGAAGGACCTGTAGATGGCACTTGGAATTTGGGGGCATGAAGTGTTAGGGACATAAAAGGGAGAGACTGATATAGAGAAAAGAAAGCTATTTTGAGAAACCAAATAGATTAAATGATAATCCAGACCCAATAGCATGAAGGAACAAAATGCTAACCACTAAACATCACAGGTGTTTTGTTTTGTTTTTGTTTTTTTCTTTATTAGAGACACAGTGTTCCTATGTTGCCTGGCTGGAGGGCAGTGGCTATTGACAGGAGTGATCACAGCTCAGTGCAGCCTCAAACTCCTAGGATCAAGTGATCCTCCTGCCTTAGCCTCCTGAGTAGCTGGGACTATAGGAACACACCACCACACCCAGCTCATAAGTTTGTTTTCATATTGAAAATTTCATCAAACCTATATCCCCTGTCAGCTATGGCAAAACATACTTACAGCTCGCTGCTCTGCATAAGCTCGATGAGATCCATAAAAAGCACATCCCGGTTCCTTTCACAAAAGCCATCCATGTCATAGGATACCTGGCCAAGAATGGAAAGAAATCGAATTTCATTGAACAAAATGTAATTAATTGAACAAAATCATTTATTGAACAAAAAATCTAATTTCACCAAACAAAAAACCAAAGCTGTCATGGCTACCCTCACCACAACATGTGGATTTCCAGATGTTGCATTTGGGATTTCATTGTGCACTGTCACAGGAAGGCTGTGCACGTCTTACTTGTTAGCTGACTTAGTGGGGAAGGCCTGCAGATGCTGATGAGTATCTGGCTGCCTGGATGGCCCAGCTGATCCGTAATCAGAACTCCAGCTCTCAAGTCCCCATACCCCTTCTTCAGTGGATCCATAGGGGTGTCTAAGTGACATACTCAATACTTTTCCTAAATTTTAGCTAAGCCAGAGCAAAAGTGAAGCCCCTCATGCTCAGTAATTCACTGCAATGAGCCATGTCATCTGAGGCTTTGCAGTTTCTCCCAGAAGTGGTATCAAAGTTGCACCAATCTGGCCAGAAACTCATGCTCAGATACTCTGTTTAACAAGAGATCAGCTGGGATGATGGATGAGACCAGGGGATTTCCATAGCACTAGGAAGTCCCCAAGACCACGACCTCAACTTAACTTTTTTATCATCAGCAGCCCCACACAGCCTGGCATCCAGTAGGCACCCAATACTGATGGGCTTTATAAGAACACCAAAAGTGCACTCTGGGCCTTGATTTATACTACCAGTAGGCATGGGGAGACAAGGAATGCCAGTCTGTGATTCCAGCAAGAGGCAAGACGAAAATCCATTTATTCAGCAGCTAATACATGTAGCAGGGTGATTCATTTTCCAAAAATATGCAGTAGTATGCTGAGATTTAGTGCTGGAGTGACTCCCAGCCGGCCCCTACCCTGCTGAAGCCCCAGCCGACTGTCCCAGGGTGGGTCCTGGCCAGGACTGGCACCAAGGCAGTGGAATCCTTTCAAAATAGGCCTCCAGCGCCATAGACCAGAAAGCAGGCGCCCAATTCTGGGACACTGGGAGATGGTGCAGGCAGCCACCAGTACGCAAAGCATAGAGCCCTATCCTTCCTGGCAGGGTCACGGTTCAGAAAACGTAACCTTATTTTCATCTGTAGTTAACAGAAGCATGTTTCCTCAGCATTCATATTAAAAATAAAAAACTAGTAATTCCAGGGATCTCGGTTAGCCTCTTAAGCATGTCAACTATTGATAATACTCTTAGCAAAACTAACTCCAGAAATCACTTGCTAGAGAAGCAGCCCTTCACTGCCTTAGTCTGAGCACCCACGGAAAGCACGTGTCGGAGACTCTGGCAAGGCCCGCGCAGCCGCAGTAGAGGGCCAGGGGGCGGGGCACGCGCACCTGCCGTAGAGTGCTGAAGGTCCTGCCAACGGCTCTCTTGGCGTCTCAACGTTCGGATCAGCAGCTTTTTTCCATTCTCTCTCTCCACTTCTTCAGTGAGCAGCCATGAGTTGGACTGTGCCTGTTGTGCGGGCCAGCCAGAGAGTGAGCTCGGTGGGAGCGAATTTCCTATGCCTGGGGATGGCCCTGTGTCCGCGTCAAGCAACGCGCATCCCGCTCAACGGCACCTGGCTCTTCACCCCCGTGAGCAAGATGGCGACTGTGAAGAGTGAGCTTATTGAGCGTTTCACTTCCGAGAAGCCCGTTCATCACAGTAAGGTCTCCATCATAGGAACTGGATCGGTGGGCATGGCCTGCGCTATCAGCATCTTATTAAAAGGCTTGAGTGATGAACTTGCCCTTGTGGATCTTGATGAAGACAAACTGAAGGGTGAGACGATGGATCTTCAACATGGCAGCCCTTTCACGAAAATGCCAAATATTGTTTGTAGCAAAGATTACTTTGTCACAGCAAACTCCAACCTAGTGATTATCACAGCAGGTGCACGCCAAGAAAAGGGAGAAACGCGCCTTAATTTAGTCCAGCGAAATGTGGCCATCTTCAAGTTAATGATTTCCAGTATTGTCCAGTACAGCCCCCACTGCAAACTGATTATTGTTTCCAATCCAGTGGATATCTTAACTTATGTAGCTTGGAAGTTGAGTGCATTTCCCAAAAACCGTATTATTGGAAGCGGCTGTAATCTGGATACTGCTCGTTTTCGTTTCTTGATTGGACAAAAGCTTGGTATCCATTCTGAAAGCTGCCATGGATGGATCCTCGGAGAGCATGGAGACTCAAGTGTTCCTGTGTGGAGTGGAGTGAACATAGCTGGTGTCCCTTTGAAGGATCTGAACTCTGATATAGGAACTGATAAAGATCCTGAGCAATGGAAAAATGTCCACAAAGAAGTGACTGCAACTGCCTATGAGATTATTAAAATGAAAGGTTATACTTCTTGGGCCATTGGCCTATCTGTGGCCGATTTAACAGAAAGTATTTTGAAGAATCTTAGGAGAATACATCCAGTTTCCACCATAATTAAGGGCCTCTATGGAATAGATGAAGAAGTATTCCTCAGTATTCCTTGTATCCTGGGAGAGAACGGTATTACCAACCTTATAAAGATAAAGCTGACCCCTGAAGAAGAGGCCCATCTGAAAAAAAGTGCAAAAACACTCTGGGAAATTCAGAATAAGCTTAAGCTTTAAAGTTGCCTAAAACTACCATTCCGAAATTATTGAAGAGATCATAGATACAGGATTATATAACGAAATTTTGAATAAACTTGAATTCCTAAAAGATGGAAACAGGAAAGTAGGTAGAGTGATTTTCCTATTTATTTAGTCCTCCAGCTCTTTTATTGAGCATCCACGTGCTGGACGATACTTATTTACAATTCCTAAGTATTTTTGGTACCTCTGATGTAGCAGCACTTGCCATGTTATATATATGTAGTTGGCATTTGGTTCCCAAAAAGTAGGATGTAGGTATTTATTGTGTTCTAGAAATTCCGACTCTTTTCATTAGATATATGCTATTTCTTTCATTCTTGCTGGTTTATACCTATGTTCATTTATATGCTGTAAAAAAGTAGTAGCTTCTTCTACAATGTAAAAATAAATGTACATACAAAAAAATGCAGTAGTATATACAATCTTTTGTTTTGCTTCCTTTGATAGTTAATAAATTCCGTTTGTTGAATCAATAAAATACGGCGAGCCATATGATTTGCTTCATGAGAAACCAGATCACAAACCCAAAGGCTTAAAACAGATAGACATTAAAATGGATATTGGCCATACCTTCCCAGCATAATGATGAATGATGAAGCCTTGGTTCCAACTGTTGAAGTGCTCATGACTCCCAATCTGCATCTGAAGTTTCTGGAGCAGCGTCTGATCTGCCCCCTCACCCACCGCATGCATCGTGGCGCACACGTCATCCAGGATGCTCATGATGCCAGGAGGGTTCTGATGGGAGCAAGAAGGCAAGGCCCTAGTCACTGACCTCTCCAAAACAGACAATGCTTATCAGGTCCTTTCTTAGGCAAGGAAACAGCTCCCCAGACTTAAGATACCATCTTGAAAGTCAGTATTCCCCTTCAGGCAAGAATGCAATTAATAGTCCCAAATAGGGAGTCACCACTTAGATCTAAAGAGGGAGGAAACTCCACTTTCCAAAAAGCTGTTTAACTCCCTGAAGTTTTATCCAAGAGTCATGCACAGATCATTATCTGCTCACTCATAGTCATGCCAAATTGACTTGCTTAAGAATCCAAAAGTAAAAACATTTTCCTTTGACCTAATCTATTTCTTAATGTTCTCTTTCAGCGTGTTACCCATATAGGCATCATTTCGGTAGTTATTTAGTGTACACATTCTATAATGCATTTCCTTTTTCACATAGCACTATTTTATAAGCATTCCTCATGTTTTACACATTCTTCACACTTACTATTTTAATGGCTATACTTCTCTGTTCTGATATGCTATAGTTTGTTTAATAACTAAGTTGTCTGGCCGGGCATGGTGGCTCATGCCTGTAATCCCAGCAATTTAGGAGGCCGAGGGGGGTGGATCACGAGGTCAGGAGTTCAAGACCAGCCTGGCCAACATGGTGAAACCCCCTCTCTACTAAAAATACAAAAATTAGCCAGGTGTGGTGGTGGGCGCCTGTAATCCCAGCTACTCAGGAGGCTGAGACAGGAGAATCGCTTGAACCCGGGAGGTGGAGGTTACAGTGAGCCAAGATGGCGCCACTGCACTCTAGCCTGGGCAACCGAGCGAGACGTCTCTCAAAATAAATAAATAAACATGTAAATAAATAAATAAATAAGTTGTCTACGGATGTTTTTACTGTTTCCAGTTTTTGGCTTTTATATATATAAAAAAATCCTATAGAGATATTTGTTCTGTATCACTTTTATTTTGAATCACCTTTTTTTTTTTTTTTTTTTTTTTTTTTTTTTTGAGACATGGTCTTGCCTTGCTCTGTCACCCAGGCTAGAGTGCAGTGGCACAATCTCAGCTCACCACATCCTCAACCTCCCAGGCTCAAGCGATCCTCCCACCTCAGCCTCCAGAGTAGCTGGGACTACAGGTGCGTGCCACCATGCCTGGCTAATTTTTGTATTTAGCTAATACAATTTTTGTATTAGCTAAATTTTGTGTTTAGAAATAGGGTTTCACCATGTTGCTGGGGCTGGTCTTGAACCCCTGTGCTCAAGCGATCCACCTGCCTCAGCCTCCCAAAGTACTGGGATTACAGGCACGAGCCACCATGACCAGCCTGAATCAGTCATTAAGGCTAAAGTCCTAGAAGTTGGACTAGAACACAGGGCCAATTTTATGGCTCTTTCCATGCTAAGTCATCATGTGATCCTGTCTTCTCTTAGAATTCAATAACAACTTCCATTTGTACATTGACATTTTACTCATATCCACATGTTCATATTTACTGCCAGAATAAAGCCGTACTGTTCTCTTTTCACACATACAGAAAACTAGTACAATTGCTCAAATTCTCTGCAAATCAGAGTTGTCACTTTGCCTGTTCTAAAACAATGACACAGAGAATAAAAACTCACTTAATGTAAACCTGTGAGCAGTGAAAAGACATACTAAATGAACACTTACCACTTTGTTCTCTATGAGGTCACATACGATTTTATTATTAAAGTACTCAATGGGTGTCCATCTTATTCCCTCTTGAACATATTCTTCCTGTAACACAGAGACAAGGAACTCACATTATTTCCCAGATAGCAAGAGCTCTGCACGGACAGACCCTGAATGGACAAAAATTCCCATAAAAGAGAAAAACCTGAATGTCCTGCAACAAAGACCAGGGACTTTAATTTTTATTTTCTAAGAGGTAACAGGAAAGGAACATTTTATGACTTGGTGATTTTTATGTTTAGTTTGAACCCTATGAAATTATTGCCACACAACTGTTTCTGGCCAAAGAAAACTACAATTTAGTAGCACCGAACTGATAAATCCAGTTACAAAAAAATCACAAAACTCTTAAAATTTAACATAGGACTGGGCGCGGTGGCTCACATCTGTAATCCCAGCACTTTGGGAGGCCGAGGTGGGCGGATCACAAGGTCAGGAGTTCGAGACCATCGTGACCAACATGGTGAAACCCTGTCTCTACTAAAAATACAAAAAGAAGCTGAGTGTGGTGGGGCGCGCCTGTAATCCCGGCTACTTGGGAGGCTGAGGCAGGAGAATTGCTTGAACCCAGAAGGTGGAGGTTGAAGTGAGCTGAGATTGTGCCACTGCACTTCAGCCTGGATGACAGAGCGAAACTCCAACTCAAAAAAAAAAAAAAAAATTGAATATAGGACAGGAGTACAGATTAGCATCCAGGTACTTAATGGGAAGGTTCTTCAGTCTATGAGTTGCTCATTTAACTTGAACACCACAACACCATCCTGGTTTTTTCCTCTTTCCTCACTGGTTTCACTTTGTCAGCTTCCTTTGCCAGGTCTTTCTTATTTCCAGACCTTTATATGTGGTAGAGTCTCAGGGCTCAATCTTTCAGCTTTCTCATTTTCTCAGCCCTCCTTCTCTAGGTGATTTCAATCAATCCCATGGCTTTAAATACCACCTACAGGCTAATGACCCCTGAATTTATTTCTCTAGTCTATACCTCGCCACGGGGTTCCAGACTCAAATCCATTCTACAGATTGGAATCTTCACTTGGATGTATGATAGGCCTCTCCCACTTAACCTGTTTAGAGGAACTCTGATTCCATATTTCCCGTGACCTCCAAACAACCCCTCTTCTAATCTTACCCTCCAGTAAACAGTGTCACCATCGGCCCTGTTATCCAGGGTATAAAGCTAAGAATCACCCGTGATTGCTCTTTCTTTCTTGGCTATTGCTAATTATTTTGAGCAAGTCCCATTCTCTCACTCTCCAGATACTCCCCCTCCCCACCTACACTGCTACCATGGCCGTCTAAGTCTCTACCATGTCTAGCGCAGTCTCCTGCAGTATCCCCCTCACTGGTTTTTAAACTTCCATTCTAGTTTGCTTTCCCCTGACTCATCCCACTCTATAAGTCTATAGAGCCAGAGTGACCCTTTCAAAAACACAACAAATCACATCATGTCACTCCTCCCTCAAAATTCTTCAGTGGGTCCTCATTCCACTTACTGTAACACCCAAAGTCTCAGCCATGCCCTGCAAGTTCCCATACAATCTAGCCCCTGCCTCCCCTCTCCCATCTCACTGGCTATTGCACTCTTACTTGGTTGTTTTGCTCTGGCTACTCTAAGGGTTGGGGAAGGCTAGAGGTTCACAGGAAACCCATATGGAAACTACCAAACCAGTTAGGAGACTACTGCAGGAGACTGGGCTAGACGTGGTAGGGACTTAGATGGCAATGGGAGCAATGGGTTTCATGTGAACCTCTAGCCTACCCCACCCCTTAGAGTAGCTACAGCAAAACAACCAAGGGCAGGTTCCAGGGCAGAAGGTCACGTGAAACCCCCTGGTATGGTGTTTCCTAAGCAGAGGCATAAACACTTCCATAACTAAATGACCCCAAACAGCCTTTGATGTGTGTAATGGCTTGAATAGTATCCCCCCAAATTTCACATCCACCTGGAACCTCTCAGAATGTGAGGTTTGGAAATAAGGTCTTTGTAAATGTAATTCACTAAGGATCTCACAATAAGTCATCCTGGGTTTAGAGTGAACTTGAAATCCAAAACAATGGTGTCTTTCTTTTCTTTTTCTTTTTTTTTACAGTTCACTCTCCATAGAGACTGTCAAAAATTGTCAATGCTGACTGTATTTCCAGTCATCATGGCAGGGTATTGTGAAAAGTTTTCAATTAGCAATAATCATGCCTCAGATGAACAGCCCTGGCTAAAATATTGCCATTGCGCAAAGCTAAAATGGTGTCTTCATGAAAGAGACGGAGATTTGGATATAGACACAGAGGGACATTGAAAAAGGCTACGTGAAGACACAGGCAGAGACTGGAGTCAAACTGCCATAAGCCAAGAAATGCCAGGAGCCACCAGAAACTAGAAGAGGAAGGATTCTCCCCTCTATCCTGAGGAGGAGGAGGAGTGTGGCCCTGAGGACTTCTTGACTTCAGACTCTGGGCTCCACAACTGGGAGGGAAGAAACTGCTACTGTTTTAAGTCACTCAGTTTGTGGTGCTTTGTTATGGTGGCCCCAGGAATCCTAAACAATATGCTATCAGGAAACAATGGAAACTGCACTGAACTATTTATTTATTATTATTATTATTATTATTATTATTATTATTATTATTATTATTATTTTGAGACGAAGTCTCGCTCTGTCGCCAAGGCTGGAGTGCAGTGGCACGATCTCAGCTCACTGCAACCTCTGCCTCCTGGGTTCAAGCGATTCTCCTGCCTCAGCCCCCTGAGTAGCTGGGTCTACAGGCACACACCATCACGCCCAGCTAATTTTTGTATTTTTAGTAGAGACGGGGTTTCATCATGTTGGCCAGGCTGGTCTCGAATTCCTGACCTCAAGTGATCTGCCCGTCTCGGCCTCCCAAAGTGCAGGGATTACAGGCATGAGCCACTGCGCCTGGCTATTATTTATTTTTGAGATAGAGTCTTGCTCTGTTGCCTAGGATGGAGTGCAGTGGTGTGATGATATAAGCCTCGACCTCCTGGGCTCAAGCAATCCTTTCACCTCAGCCTCCAGAGTAGCTGGGACTATAGGCTTATGCCACCACGTCCAGCTAATTATTTTATTTTTTTTGTATGGATGGGGTCTCATTTTGTCCCGCAGGCTGGTCTTGAACTCCCGGGCTCAAGCAATTCTCCCGACTCGGCCTCCCAAAGTGCTAGGATTACAGGCACGAGCCACAGCACCCAGCCTGCAGTGAACTTTAGAAGAAACTATACCAAGGCATGTTACCTCAGGTAAGTATTCAAATACCAGCTTTGTTAAAAATGCACGTATTGTTAGGGAAGATTGAAAATGGCGTAGATCTGAGGAAACCAAGTCTTTTATTTGGAACACAATATTTGCCACAGACAGTCGGGGCTGGAACTAGGCTCCCATTTCCCACGTGCTCAATGAGTCAGTAGAGTAAAAGCAGCCAGTCTTACCTCCAACATCACAGCATCATTTGCTTAAAGAAGAAGGCAAATGCTGCAGACGGTATTTATATTTCATAGATTAAAATGCCACAATGGCATATGGTTTTTCTGCCTGACTTTATTAGATGCATTTCCTAATATAAGACTGGAACCGAAATCTATTAACAAAAGACAGAAATCTATACCCTCTTAAACAAAATAAATTATAAATAGAATAGGATGAAGGAAGAGGGACTGCTTACCTGTTCTGCCTTTAATGTCAGTTCAATAAAAATCTGCTGCAGTTTTTCATTAACAAAATTGATACAAAACTGTTCAAAGCCATTTTTCTGGAAAAAAAAAGTTATTCACATGTAATTCTTTCACAAAATCATTTAAAAGTCATTTCTGGAGTGATTTATTGAAATGTCTTCATGTGAAAAGCTTTAATAGAAATGTTGGATGCATCAAAAGAAATAAGTTTATATTTAGGAGAAACTAATTTGGTAAAGGCACATGAAGAACTCACAAAGGCAAAAATGAGCCTGAGTTGTTTTTTTTGTTGTTGTGGTTTGTTTTCTGTTTTTTTGTTTTTGCATTGCCTAGAATTATTTCTTGCAGGCCAGATGAAATACGTCACCCTCCTCAACCCCTAGTTATTAAAACTGGCCTTACCTGGAATATTTCAAAGCCATAGATGTCTAGGACGCCAATGTTGTATTCTTCATGGTCTTTCTCCATGGCTTTATTGATGGACTAGAGAAAGTAAACAGCATGGCAGTGAACTCCTTTCCATTCATACTAAAAACGGGCATGCACTGGGGAAAGGGAAGCTGGATTCTACACGGCAAACACTACTGCTTGCAGGAAACAGAGGACAAGTGAAGGCAGGAGACTTGCTGCTTTAACAATCTCTCAGTCCAAAGTCAAGTACTTTGGAAAACCACCAGGATTCAGAAAAGCGAGTACAGTAGAAACAAAAAATGTTTGTTTAATGATGATAACCATTAATTTCTGTCCAAGTAAGCTTTTTCAGGAAGTCTTAACAATTAGAAAAAAATGTCATCTTGGATGATCGAAGTAAAACCTATTTCACACAAAGAACCCACACTAAAGGATCTGTAATTGTCATTTCCAGTGTCTTCCATTCACCAGTCATTTAATGATGACCCAACACAATATGCCAGGGATGCTAAGGACAAGACAACCCTTGTTCCTAGGCGCTTATAGAGAGGGTGAGCTATCTGCAGATAGTAACAATAGTCATTATTTTTGAATTGATAATAGAAGCAGCTTACGTCTATTAAACATTCACCTTTGCCAGGGTTTGCTAAGTGCTCTCAATGTGTTGTTTCACTTAATTCCCATTTCAGTTCTCAAAATGGCAGTGATACCATTATTTTCCCAATTTTCCACATGGATACACCAAGGCTTGCTTAAGGTTGTTCTATGTAAGAAGCAGGGTCTGGGACTAAATTTAAGCAGTATGATGCCTAAATCTGTGTTCTTAATCACCGTGAGAAGAGGCCAAGCAATTCATGGGAACAGATGTAATGACAGCAAGGGAGGTTTGGATAGAGCGGTTGGTGGGGGATGCAGTGGGGGAGGAATGTAAGCGAACAATTCTTTGAGGTGATGAATACCTGGACGAATTCTGAAGTACCAGAGGTGTTTTCCAGGCAAACAAAATGAAATATCATCTTTTGTGAGCGAATGAGTAATCATACACAACACACAGTCAGTGCCCAGTAAATCCCACCTCAAATTAGGATCACTTATATGAGTATTCATGTACTGGTACTATTCACAAAAAAAACTGACAGGTGACAGGTAGAAAGGTAGGTAGGAAGCCCAGCGCTGGAAGGTGCTCTGAACAAAGAGAAAAGAGATATGGATTCTAGTCCCAGGCTGCACCACCCCCTTGCTGACCAGCCTTGGGCAAAACCACCATTGCTCAGGCCTGAAGTTCCCTTCTCAGTAAAATGAGGGGTCTGGACAACCTAACTGCATGACTTCTGTTTAGTATGACCCTGACCTTCCCAAGCAATGTTATCCTTTAAATAGCCACTAAAGTACCTAGAATAGTTCTCCTACCCTGTCCTGCCTGACCCTACTCTAACCACACTAACCATACCTTAAGCCGTATAAATGTTAGTGCCTGGAATCAAATACAGATCTTTTGGATTGAATGGCCCCCACTGTTGTCCCTTGACTAGGGTCCTTCTAGCTTGAATATATAAACGTCAAAGAAACAAACTAGCTAGGAATCTAGGGCCTCCTAGATCACTCACATAATAACAGAGTGACCTTGGGCAAATTCCTTAATCGATCTATGCCTCCCTTAGTTTATCTGTAAAGCAGAGATAATAATACCTAAGTCACAGGGTTGTTGTAAGAATTAAGTGAGGGTTTTTTCTCTTTAAAATACTCAGAACAGTATCTGGGCACTAACATAGTTAGTTCTATATAAGTGCCTGCTATTATTATTTTACCATTTAGAGGCTACAGTGATTAACAGAGATTGTTACTGGCAGCTCTACACTGCTGAAAGACTAATTGTCAGAATATATATGTGATATACATATATAAATATATATTCATATATAAGAGTTTATGTGTGTGTGTGTGTGTATCTATCTATCTATCTATCTATCTATCTTTTGGATCGAAGGGCCCCCAGTGTGTGTGTGTGTGTGTATGTGTATATATATATATATATATACACATACACACACACACACACACACACACACACACACATAATTATGCCATAACCAAAAATATCTAATAGTTTCAAAATACATGCAAAAAGTTTTTGATATTCCTTCCTCTAAAAGGTGGAGCCTCATTCCCCTCCCCTTAAGTGTGATCTTTGCTTAGTGACTTGCTTCTAATAAACAGAATGTGGCAAAGTGACAATACCTGAGTCCAAGATTAGGACATAAAAAACTGGCTTCTTGCTCATTCTCTCTTTCAGATCACTCGCTCTGGGGAAAACCAACCATTATGTTATGAGGATATTCAAGGAGAGGTCCATGCAGCAAGGGGCTGAGACCTCCTGCCAACAGCCACATGGGCAATCCATCTTTCAGCCAGATCCTCCAACCCTAGGCAAGCCTTCAGACAACCACAGTTCCAATCAGCTTCCTGACTGCAACCTCGTCTTTGAGTCAGAACCACCAAGCTCAGCCGATCCCAAATATCTCACCCTCAGAAACTGAGAAAATAAGTGCTTATGGTTTCAAGCCGCTAGGTTTTGGGTTAATTTGTAACATAGAAATATGTGAAAAACATATTCCTAAATCTTTAGGTCCAAAAGTCAAGAAAGGCCCATGAACGTGGCTCTCCTCTTTTTCTGGTCTCTAGTCCTAGCTTTACTAAATATTTTGTCCAGAAGAAACTTGTTACCACATTAGATTTAGCTAAGGTATCTTGGTGGGCAGTTCTAGAAGGAAAAGCAGGATTCAGTAATCACAGAGTGAGAGAAAGTGAAGTAAGGTAATGGGTGAAAGGAAGGAGCCAGAACAGGAACACAAAACCCTCAGTCGTTTTACCTTTTTTTTTTTTTTTTTTTTTTGGGAGATAGGATCTCACTCTAACCCCCAGGCTGGAGTGCAGTGGCGTAATCTCGGCTCACTGCAGCCTTGACCTCCCAGGCTCAAGTGATCTTAACCACCTCAGCCTCCTGAGTAGCTGGGACCACAGGCACATGCCACCACACCTGGCTAATTTTTGTGTTTTTTTGTAGAGACAGGGTCTCACCATGTTGCAGAGGCTGGTCTCAAACTCCTGGGCTGCAGTGATCCTCCCACCTTGGCCTCTCAAAGTACTGGGATTACAGGTGTGAGCCACCGCACCCAGCCTACTAGTTTTACTCTTTATAGCTAAGATATGAAGCATCACCAGCATCAACTTCTGTTACTTACATCTACCAAGAAATCAAAGACCCGGGCGTGCAGGGCCTTGGCGAGCGCATCCCGGGTGTAACAGGCCTGCTCTACGTTGAGGGTCACGTGGATGGATTCGGATTTGCCTCCCCACTTGCTATCCATCTGCCGGCTTGTTAGCTTTTCTTTCAACCGGTCCTGGTTTATCCCTAGCAGATATGCAGGAAAAGCTAAAACTGTAGAACATAAAACAAAACATGACAATCTTTCAGAATTGTGACACTTCCAAGTCATCTCACAAACATATGGAGGCACTTATGTGCACATGCACGTGTGTGTGCATAGAAGGCACAATCACGGGCCCCAAGAGCTTACGTTCTAGTGAAGGCTGCTTATCAGTAATCCCATACACATCCATCTCCTTTGTTTTTCCCAATTGTTTTATGACATGAGTCAATTCCTATGATGACTGAGACTTCCAATAATACAAATCAGGGATTCAAGAAGGATGGCAAACCTATCCCTCCTACTGAGATCACAGTCAAATGCCTAAAATGGACATCTCTCCAAGCTTCCAGCACGACAGCCAGGAAGGAACTCAATCAAGAAACATTTCTTTGGCTCCAAATATTGTTTTCTTCCTTTTTAGTACAATGTTTTCATAGCATCATTTTTGAAGCACCTGATATTACTGAACTAATAATTACAACCAATCCCATGTTTATTGAGTATTTAGCATGTGTAGGGTTACTAAAGAGAGAGGAAAAGATAGAAAATATGTAAGAAATCTTGAATGCAATCTAGATGAGGCAAAAATAGTTTGCCAAATAAAGAACCCTTGGAAAAGCTGAATATGTAACACAGACAGACAAGATCTGGAGAAATTAGAACAGGAAGATATTACTACTTGCTGGGGTAGTCAAGAGATTTGAGCTGGGTGTAAAGGATGAATACGATTTGTGCAGATGCAGAGAGGAGAAGGGAGTGTACCAAGGGGAGGAAGCAGAAGTGTGGGAGACATGATCAAGACGAGACGGTCTACAGTGTGTGGACTAGCACTGGCTACAGGTGAAAGTTCAGGTCAGATTTAAAAGGTTAGGACAGATTCCAATGCTGGGGGTCCTTGAATGGTATGATATATTTGGGCTGGAGGCAAAAGGGGGCCTGATGGCTAATAAAGAGGGGCATTATAAGAAGATTCCTCTGAGGGTAGCATATGGAGTGAAATGAAGGGGATGGTATTGTTCATATCCTGCCCTAATGTCACATGGTATGGCAGTCTGTGGTCTTTGGATAGAAAAACGGAGACTTCCATAGCTCAACATCTTGTTTCAGACCATGAAACTTACCAAGGAGGGCTAGTGATATAAATGGGGTTTTCTTGATTTCTGGGCAGAACGTTCTCATATAAATAAATGACACCATTCTTTGACATGAAAGAATGCTCAGATTTTTCCAATATGAATGAAAGATTTTTATAGATGCAATGCAAATTTTGAACTTGGCTGAGTTTTCTTTTTCTGCATAATGCTTTACCAAAATTATCTGATAAAAGAATTTTGTTAAAGGCCTTATGATAATGCTAAAAAATCACAAGCCTCCCAATAAAGGATAATCTGTTTGAATTTCACAGATGGTGTTAGAATATAACGGGCTGACATTTCTCAGTATACACCTTCCAATGAGATTAAGTCAGTGAATACATTTTGAAAAAGTATAATGCCAGAACAAGACATTTATCCTCTATATGAGTGTTTCACAAAAATGCTTTGAGCAATAGAAGGGCTTCCTTTTAGAAAGGACATGTAAACAAAATCAAATGCACTGATCTGAAAATGGCCATTATCCTTAGTTTAGTTTTACTGTTAACACATGTCTAGGAATCTGGATATGTCTTCCAGTGAACTAAACGTGCATTCATCTCACAGAGTTGAACATTTCTTTTGATTGAGCAGTTCTGAAACACTCTTTTTGTAGAATCTGCAAGTGGATATTTGGAGCACTTTGAGGCCTGTTGTGGAAAAGGAAATATCTTCACAGAAGAACTAAACAGAAGCATTCTGAGAAACTTCTTTGCGATGTGTGCATTCATCTCACAGAGTTGCACTCCTGTGCACAGAGTAAGGACAGATGACATTCATAAATCAGACTGGACCCATGTCGGGTTGTTGTGAGAATCAAGAGACATTCACCAACATATCCAACTAAGAAGGGATTTCTTAGTTTGTTTAGCTTCACAGCAACGTAAAGGTTTGACCAGGGAAATGCTACATTTCCATTAGTCTAAGGTCAGGTAAAAAAAACAAAGCTTGTTTGGCCAGGTGTGGTGGCTCACGCCTCTAATTACTGCACTTTGGGAGGCCCAGGCAGGCATATCATCTGAGGTCAGGAGTTTGAGACTAGCCTGGTCAACGTGGCAAAACCCCATCTCTACTAAAAATACAAAAGTTAGCCAGGCGTGGTGGTGCGCACCTGTAATCCCAGCTACTTGGGAGGCTGAGACAGGAGAACTGCTTGAACCCAGGAGGTGGAGGTTGCAGTGAGCCGAGATAGCGCCACTGCGCTCCAGCCTGGGTGACACAGAAAGACTCTGTCTCAAAACAAAAACAAAAAACAAAATAAAACAAAAAAGCTTGCTGTTATTAATGGCTATTTTGCTTTAGTAGGCCAGTTCTGATGAAAATCTTACCATTTTTTTCCATTTTTTTTCTGCACTGCAAGAGCAAGAGAAAGTCTGCTTTTTTCCATTATAAAGGCATGGACTACCACTTCCCTCTACAAATTTATTCCATAGATATACTAAAATATGAGAAAGATGATAGAAACCAAGGCTATTCCTTTCAGTAGTGTTCATTCAGTCTTGTAACAGCAGAAGATCAGAAACCATATTAATGTCCAACAACAGATAAATAAAGTGTAGCCAATGAATGGAATGCTATGCAGCTACAAAAAGGACAGCCAGGTGCAGTGGCTCAATCCTCGATTCCCAGCACTTCCGGAGGCCAAGGCGGGAGGATGACTTAAGGCCAGAAATTCGAGACCAGCCCTGGCAACTAAGCAAGACCCCATCTCTTAAAAAAAAAAAAAAAAAAAAAAGATAAAGCTCCTTAGGAATTGATATAGCATCATCTCACATTATATATATAATTATATATATAATATATATATAAAATTTATATATATATTATATATATATACACACACATAATTTTTTTTCCCTTTTTGAGATGGAGACTCGCTCGTTGCCCAGGGTTCAAACGATTCTCCTGCCTCAGCCTCCAGAGTAGCTGGAATTACAGGTGCGCACCACCACCAAACCTGGCTAATGTTTGTATTTTTAGTAGAGACAGGATTTCACCATGTTGGCCAGGCTGGTTTCAAACTCCTGACCTCAGGTGATCACCTGCCTCAGCCTCCTGAAGTGCTGGGATTACAGGCATGAGCCACCATGCCTGGCCTA
Organism: Homo sapiens; assembly: GCF_000001405.40. Lineage (NCBI taxonomy): Eukaryota > Metazoa > Chordata > Mammalia > Primates > Hominidae > Homo > Homo sapiens. The sequence goes on from NC_000015.10 coordinate 59,221,312, forward strand.
AGACACATGTTAAGTGAAAAAGCAACTGTAGAACATTGCAGTATAAGCCCCCAATATTGCACAAAAGTGAGAAAAAGGAGTGGTTGTGTGTAGTTGTTTTGGAACACACATCCTTTAAAGGGAACACAAGAGACTGAGAATCTTGGTTACCTCTGACGAGGGGAACAAGTGGACTAGAAAAGGTATAGAAGGGAGAACTTTCACTGCATACCCCCTCAAGCCACGTTAATGTATTACCAAATGAACAAAACCCCAAATCAAAGGAAATTATTGGTAGGGGGAGGCCCATTTCCTGGACCTCTCTGGCTTCCATCTCAGCCTTTTCCAATCTCCATGCCTCCATCGCCTCTAGTCAGGGAATTTCATGGGCAGTTGCCAGTGCTCGGCCTTACCCATCTGGCTGAGAAGACTACTAACTCTGGACATCAATGTGCAATAAAACACTTCTTGTTTCAAACATCTAGGGAAGTGTTTGCTGTTTCAGTGTCATGATTTTGTTTTCAAGCATAAAGAGGCAGTAAATTATTTTACTATCCAAGAAGGCAAAAAAAATCCAGTCTACTTCAACAGAAACTACCACCAAACCAACACTGTTACAATTAAAAGGCCAAGTGTTAATGATCCTACTGGAAATATATGTGCATTTGTTAAATGTCAAGGATAATGTACACAAAGTTTAGAAACATAGTTATCCTTATTATGATTATTAGGTCATGTTTTTAGACTTTATGGACACCCTGTATATTTATTGTTTTCTACTCCCTTCCCTGGTAAACATAATTCATCTTTTTCTTTATCAGATAGACATCAGAAGTTAGCAGAACTTCCCTCTTTTATCAGAAAAGAAAACAAAAACATAAAAAAAGAACCTTATTTGGAATGGAAATATCCCCACTGCATTGTCAGCAATGAGTGGGATGCTATTTATTACTAAGCATCTAAATTTATCATCCTTAAAGAATGCTGAGAAAGGAAGAATGTCTTCCTGGGTGGTTAAAGGATGTGTGGGTTCTGAGAGCAGCCTGCAAGCTGTTGATGCCTAAGAGGCTAAAGTCATGTGCCGCTGTATTTATGGTAGATTTTGGGCACATGTAACCAGCAGCACCTCTCTGTAGGAAGAACCCTGATTTTTTTTCTCAAAGAGTAAAAACGACCATTTAGGTGTTGAGGCTCCAGGTATACAGATGTGATCATTAAAAGTGATCATCAGAAATGTCAACACAACAGTCAATGTCCATCTTTTTCTGTGTTCAGAAATCCAATGTAATCCAATCCATGGAACAAACTGTGAAGCTGTGAGCTTCCCATATTTACATATATTATATTGCTTGCTCTTTAAAACCTGTAAGTGAATTTAGATCCTAAAGACCAGTTACTGAAAAGGTTTTGATAAAGACAATAAATCTTTTGCATTAAGCCATTACTCTAATCCCCATTAAAGAGATCACTTTATCTTTAAACCAAGGTGTGAAATCCTCCCAGCTTTCCCCAGGTTAATGATAAATTGAAACGATTCCATTAATAATCGATGGTGTGGGACTTGGAAAGGCTGGGGGTAAGGACAGGGACAGGTGCATAGAAGAGGTCTGGTCTCTCGTGAAGCCATTCTGTTTGCCACAGAGGACATGTAGATTTATCACTTCTTCCCAATATTCCCATTTGAGATCTAAGCAAAGGAAAGTGCTAGGTTACTTCTAATCAGAGCTAGCCACCCCTCATTCAATGGCCACATGCCAGGGCTACGCACACTCTTCACTCTCCACAGCCGCGTAGTTGCCAACTTCTTTGAAGCTGATGTTTCCCAGGTGGAGAATACCCGCCACTATCTGCAACACCAGCGTTTGCTCTTCTGCAAAGATCCCAATCACATTCATGGCGTGCTGGAAGAGAAAAGAGAAACTATCCAGAGAAGCTGGTCACCAGCTTTAAAAGCACCTTAGGAAGAAGCCAAGGCACAGCAGCTGCTCTAAATAAGGATGTGACAAGTACAGACGAGTTACAAAGAAAAAAAAAAAAAAAAGCCAAAACATAAGATTGGGTTGTGCAGTCACATGTGGCTTAGCTTGTGATGACAGCAGGACGTTCTTGTACAACATGGTCACTGCCCAATGCACACATTCTTCTCACGTCTCAAAGTCATGCTGGAAGGGCACTTCTGTCTCTAAGCATAGCATGCCATCCTCCAGGAATAAGAGAATACTCCAGGAGGAAAGAGACTCGGAAGAGTGGTAGTTGTACACAAAGTCTCCAAGTCCTGTCTTCATCCTTTGATGTGTTCTTGTTGCCAGCTTCCCCTCGAAGGTCGCTGCTGACCTTTCCACCTACTCAAAGTGGACTCGAGATCTTTCCCTTCATCAGGAGGGATAAGAATATATTGTACTTGCAAAAGGATCTTAATGAAAAATCTCCAGGAAATCCAATAAAAGCATCATTTAAAAGTCCAGTTTCTGAGGTCCCTTAAATGCAATAAATACCGCTAAAATGTCTAAATCTTAAGAGAAACATCTCCTAAGAAAACTACACTCTAGGACCAGTGTGCAGACTCCTTATTGGCACTTTTCCCCGCAGCTGCTTTGAGGCCATGTGACCTGTTGATACCATTTTGTTTCCTGGCACCCAGGACACAGTCTGTTTGAACTTTCTGTCCCTTTCAACCACAAATGTACTGAACCCACGCTGCTCATTCAGAGTCTACTGCTCAGTTCTGGATCTGGGTTGAGGAATAGTCCCCAGCTTGAAACAGACTCAAAGGGCAGTGGGTGGCAATGAAGGCCTTTGAGGCCAAGTGGGTGTTCAGCCTACCTCCAGAAAGTTCTACATTATTGCCCCCAGGATGGAACCCCTCCATAATCTACCTAGTTTCACAGCTTGGACCATAACATACATGCAATGTGAAGGGCATGGCACAGAAAAAGGGTCCTCTGCCCTAAACAATACAGAGGGGAAGAGAGTCTTCAAAACCAGAAAAGAAATAAGAGAAAAGACTAAAGACGTTCCAAAATGTCTAAACCTATTCAGTCCATAGACGTGCGGTTTGCTTAGCTTTTCTAAGGAAATAGCTCACGAATAGAGTAGGCCATCAGCAAACAGGTATGCTCAACGTATGAATCATTTTTGCCTATTTATCAGAGCTCCTGCAGGGTGATAATGATGAATTCATTTCTTTTTACCCATCTCAAATCATTAAGTGGTCCTCAGGCAACTGGCACATGGCTGTTTAAGGATACTGAAACATGTATGAGCATACAGAGTGCTCACAGAGAAAGAGGCGGACATTTCATGCAGCTCTTTGCTTTATTAACCTTCACTGCCCTTTTGGCCACAGGAAATGGCCAGTTGGGAGAGCAGATCCTGCCTGGCCCTGCGCCAGCACTTACCAGAGTTTCCTGAAACTCCCGCCTGTCGTCAATGTCATCAACCTTGTATGAGCCCGAGAGGCTCAGGTAGTAATAATAGTCCATGCTGGTGATGCCAAGGCTGTGTTTCTGCTCTGCAGAGGCGCCCTCGATGAGCTGGAGCAAGAGAACACAGGTTGAGCCATGATGTGGACCACAAGGCACCCGAAGTCACTCCTGCATCCTGCAGCCACCATCCCTAAGGACTTTCTATCTCTGCTTTCTAAAATTACAGGCAGTCCTGGCCCCCAAATATGTACTTGTAGTAGCCCCAGGTCATCTCTGCAAATTTTGATTCCTAACTCTGGAAAGACCTGCAAGAGCTGAGGATTTTCCATTGTCCACTGAAAGGAACTGGACTGCCACCCTCGGAAGAGTGGAAAGCAAAACAGATTTTAATTACTTAGTTCCTGCCCAACTTGCTATGGCTTTTTAAGCTGGCTTTTCCATGTTTCTCACTGCAGGGTGCATGTTAAAAAACTGCCATGCAGCTTCCTGCTCTCTGGTACTCTTTGCCTTCTTTAGAAGCTTTTCCTTGACTGTGAACTTCTCCAAGCTGCAGGATCTACTTCCTTGCCATGACATAACCACTTGCATTCTAGCTTCTCCCCTCACCACTCTGGCGGAACCCTTGCATGGCTATTTTTCAGTGCCTAAATCCAACAGCCTTTTTTTTGGCCCCCACACCCCAGCTCGTCCCTTTTGCCCAAGAGCTCTGACCATTTGATCCTGTCGATGTCGCCCTGAGGCTTCCCTGGCTTGGTGACACTGCAGGATCCTGGCTTTCCTCCTTATCCTTCAACTACTTCCCTGCTGGCTCTTCAATGCCTCCCGATCCTACATATCTAGAAAGTCCCCTGGTCCTGTGTGGCAGGATTTTCTCCCCACATCCACTCCCAAGTATTTCGTAGCTTCAAGAATTTCTTTTTCTTTCTTTTCTTTTCTTTTTTTTTTTTTTGAGACGGAGTCTCACTCTGTCGCCCAGGCTGGAGTGCACTGGTGCGATCTCCGCTCCCTGCAAGCTCCGCCTCCCAGGTTCACGCCATTCTCCTGCCTCAGCCTCCTGAGTAGCTGGGACTACAGGCGCCCACCACCACGGCCAGCTAATTTTTTGTATTTTTAGTAGAGACAGGGTTTCACTGTGTTAGCCAGGATGGTCTCGATCTCCTGACCTCGTGATTCACCCACCTTGGCATCCCAAAGTGCTGGGATTACAGGCGTGAGCCACCGCACCCAGCCAAGAATTACTTTCATGTCAGAATCTTGAACCCCTGCGCCCATCAGTTCCCAGCCTCTATTCTGGTGGTTTCTGACTTAAGGGCAGAGAACTCCTGGGGGAGGGTTGGGGCTTGCATTTATTTAAAGAAGTCCTGACATCCATTATACACTTCCATCTAGCACTGGGTATTATTTATGTGAAATATATAATTATTTTTCACTTATCTATATATGTTGCTTTAATACAATTTTAAAAATGACTGAATTCACAGAAGTTTTAATCATTTATATACTTTTTCAACCAACAGGTACAAACTAAAAGAATTATTTGGCATTGCCTAAGATGTGTGTGTAATTGAAAAGATTGAATGTGAGCTACTTCCACAGTTTAATGTCCTTCTAATCCAGTGATCCACAAACTAAACACGAAATGAAACAAAACAAAACAAAAAACAGTGACCAGGTCTTTCTTCGAAGAAAGTCTAATGTGGATCTTCAATATAAAATACTAATAAGTAAATAGAACATAAAAAATTTGGTTATTAACATCATTATATTTTTTAAGTACTTAAAAACCTTTTACAAAAGTACCTGAATCAGGGCCAGGTGCAATGGCTCACGCCTGTAATCCTAGCACTTTGGGAGGCTGAGGTGGGTGGGTCACTTGAGTCCGAGAGTTAGAGACCAACCTGGGTAACATGGTGAAACCCCACCTCTACGAAAAATACAAAAATTAGCCAGGTGTGGTGGCATGTGCCTATAGTCCCAGCTACTTGGGAGGGTGAGGCAGGGGGATCATTTGAGCCCAGGATGCAGAGGTTGCAGTGAGCCAAGATTGTGCCACTGCACTCCAGCCTGGGCAAGAGAGCAAGACACTGTCTCAAATAAAAAAATAAATAAAATAAAAGTAGCTGACTCAGATGACTGCTGAAGCCTGTAACATAATCAAAAAGCACCCTGCAAGCTGCTCTGGCCCCAAACTCTCCATGACTTCTGAGGGTCTAGGTGGCAACTTTTCAATTTGGCATTAAAGATCCCAAACCTATCTCAAATCTTTCCTCCGGTAGCTCACGTTCTGGAGACGCCTGCCCTGCAGGCAGGCTGAGGCCGGGCTCCCTGACTGGCTTTCCCTCTCCCACCTCCACTGCTTTGGTGCAGGTCACCTGTCTTCCCTCATCAATCCCCTCCACTTTCCATCCGGGCTCTACCTCCTTCACACCTCTCCTACTATCCGGCCAAACCTGCCCACCTGAATTCCTTTGGCAAAGACTCCAACACTCCTCGTTTTGTTTTGAAGTTACATCAATACTTTCTTGATGATTTAGCTTTGGAGGAATTTCTGTCTTATCACTCCAATTAGAACTCACTCTCCTTGAGGGCAGGACATTCTCACAATTCTGCACATTGACTTGTACATGGTATCATCATCAGTCCTCCCTGGCTTCCTAGACTATAGTCTATGCCTGAAGTCTGAGAAATATTTTAATGTAGAGAAGGGACAGGAAGTGGGTAGGAAAAAAGTAAACAGGAAAACCTGGTAAAATATGTGAAAACTCCGCTCTCCTGGGTTCCTCATCACCACCCTAGATTTTTCCAGAAGGAAGTTGGAGATCTTTCCACCATCTGGTTCCCCACCTGGACTGAACTGGATTTCAAAGTATTTTCCCTGCAAGAAAGTTAGGGATTTCCTTCAATGGTTGGTGAACAAAACATGATGTCCCAAACAGGCTTTGAATACAGTATATAATTCAAGGAAATTCATTAATAAAATACACATTCTGAATTACTCCTAATTTGAGTCTAGACTTCCTTAGTTTTCAATCAGACAATAACCCGTGCTTTTGTCCAGCCACACGATTCTGTTAGAGAGAGCACCTATCATTCCAGCATGACTAAATAAGGATATGCTCTATTCCTTGCTCATTTTCCCCCAGTAGGTGCCTGTCTGCTCAACCAGAAGGTGTAAATCATGAGGCAGAAAAATGGCATGGCACCCTTTCAGAGGAAGAGCACTCTTGCTCTGTCAGGCTTCATCTCATGGCTTTGAGCAAAAACACTCAATCTCTCTTACCTACGGAGCATCTAAAATGTTTATCTAGAACGGAAACACTTTATTAAAAGTAAAGTTCTTTCTAGCTACTGACGGGCCTAGGGATTTTTGTCACTGTCATTGTTATGAAAATTCCTCTTTAAATGACTGCTAATAGGGAACAAAGGAGAATAAAAACCTAGACTGTAGTTGAAAAGGTATCTAGGTTGTTATATTAATTATATATAGCCAGGCGCGGTGGCTCACGCCTGTAATCCCAGCACTTTGAAGGCTGAGGCAGGTGGATCACTGGAGGTCAGGAGTTCGCAACCAGCCTGGTCAACATGGTGAAACCCCATCTCTGCTAAAAATACAAAAAATTAGCTGGGCATGGTGGCGGGTGCCTGCAGTCCCAGCGAGGCAGGAGAATCGCTTGAACCTGGGAGGTGGAGGATGCAGTGAGCCGAGATCATGCCACTGAACTCCAGCCTGGGCCAGAGAGCGAGACTCTGTCCAAAAACCAAAATAAAATGAATCAAAATTATATATATAATTATTATAACAATTATTATATATATTTCATATGTATATTTAAATTGGTTTTTTTTTCTCACTAGAACTTAATTTGTCTCCTGTGCTTAGAAACTTAAGCACCCTCAGAGGCCAGAAGGGTAAATACGGATAAAGGAAAAGAGGGAGTGGTGTGGTCTATGGTCAAACTGGAGAAGATGCCCAGCCTCATCGCATTCACATTTAATAACATAAAAATGTGTATGCTGACTAAATCCACCCATCTCAGGGATGAATTCAGCTGGGTTTTATGTCTGTGACTGGAGCTGTAAACTCATTAAGGGCAAGAAAAGTACTGTGCACACTGCAAATGTGTGAGTACATGCCGTGTTCCTGTTCGTAATTATTCTAGGTGTCAAGAAAGACCACCGAAGGCGGCCAGCCTCTAACTGTCTATGTGTCTTAATCTGATGATTCTTTTCCTCCAGGCAAAAAACAAAAACACCCAGCAGCACCAGGCACAGAGAACCACCAGCCATCGCTCTGCGGAATGTCAGTGGCACCTGAGAAAAGCTCACTGAAAGAGAGCTCCCGTGCTTCCTTTGGCGGCCACCTTCACCACCCTTTCCTTTTGGCATGTGATAGAGGGAATACTTCAGTGCCTGTCCCCCATTCCTCAACAGTTGAGGGAAAATGAAACCAAACAGAACATCTGACCCAGGAAGGGCAGGTGTTGGACAGGCAAGCTCCCAAGTCCTCCTAGCAGCAGTGCTCAACCTTGGATGCCCCTTAGAAACACCTGGGGAGCCTTTCCAACATGCTGTCAGCCCAGGCCACGCACATCAGACTCTAGGACCAGGGCCCGGAGCTGTGTGGTTTTCAAAAAGCACCCAGCTGATTTTTATGTGTGGTCAAGGTTGAGAACCACTGCTCTAACATAATAAAATGCATATGCATGGCTCATAATTGTCATATAAAAGTTAAAATTTCTAACAAAAGGTTAACATATTTAGGACTGCTGTATAGCAGCCTGGGGGGGATGACAGGAAATTTTATAAAGGGAATAAAAGGTTGCATTTGCATTTTGATAATGAAATGAAAAGAAGTTTCACCTCGACTCTTGGTAATGATTTATTTCCTAAGCTGGGTGCCAGATACATAGATGTTCATTGCATTGTTTTTAAATCGTGTTTGAAGTATTTCGTAATACATTCTTTAACTTGAAAAGATTTGTAAGTGTTAAATATATACATTCTTATGCTTCATAATACCTGTGCATTTTTTAAAGTGAAATTACTCATAATTCTACCCTGATGCCACTTCTTCATTCTCTTGCTAAATAATTACTGTCATAGATGTCAAACTTTGATTTACATACCTCTTAGTTACCTTTCATATAATGTGCACATTAAAAAAAAACAAGAACATATTGTAAATATTGTTCTGTAATCTGTTTTTTTAATTTAACAATATATTATGAATATCTTTTAAAATAAGTAGTTATTTAAGCAGGAAGCTTATGTAATTTATTCTAAAAGTATTGTTGGGCAAAGATAATGAACGATTAAAATTTTAATAACAATTGCCCAATCACTTTCCTGGAAGAATGTGTCAGTTCTCAACCAATAGCGTGTTTTCTCGATTATTATCAATCAACTTAATGTTTGCCCATTTGAGAGACAGAAAATTATATGTGGTTTTCATTTACATTTCTCTCATCCATGATGGTGAATAGTGAGAGAGAGAGAGACAGTGTGTGTTTGTGTGTGTGTGTGTGTGTGTGTGTGTGTGCAGGTGAATGTGTGTCTGAATTGTCTCTTCCAATCTTTCTATCAGGGTTGTATAAAATTTTGCAATTAGAAAAATAATAAATGTTGAGTGTTTTTGTTATTTACAGAAACTGATATATCCTCCAAATATAATGAATAATTTATATTGCAAAAATCAATGAAAATATCAATTTAATTGTTTTTTTTTTCTGGTCTCCAAGGAATCCAAGACAGGGGAAAAGGTAAATAAAGAGTTAAATTTGGTCAAGTCCATTTTTATAAGATTTAGATTGAAAATTAATTCAAGTGGAAAATTTGTTTAATTCTTCTTTCCTATTTTATTATCTGGAAAACTTCTTCAGGATAACACAACTCAGGCATTGGGCCCAAATATGAGAGACAAACAAATGAGTAGTTTGAATAATATTGGAAAGCAAAGAAAGTAAGGGCAAGTCTAACAGATAGAACCCACCAGGGAACTTGACAGTTATTATATGAGCACATAGTAAAAATTCTCTTGGAAATAGAAGCTTCTTTCCAAAATAGACAGTGGAAAAGAAAATTGTTTTTCTCCAAAATTCCCACTTATTTATTTTAAAACGTTCCAGAATCAGCCTCACAGATGGCTCCGTGAATGCTTTAGTGCCAGACATGATCTATGGTTGAAATAAGATGCAAAATCTATATAAATCAAGGTTACTGGATAAACATTTGTTTCTTTGTAAATGTGGCTTTTGTCAAGGGGAACATATTCATATTCAGCCTTGCCAGCTTTCCTATTTACCCCCTCTGGAGACACCCAGACAGAAACATGACTAAATGAGCATTCATAACAATGCACTTGGTTGACATTTTCATTACCAGTTAGGTAAGCCAGTTAAGAGGCAACCTGTGAGGCCAGGTCCAGTCACTTTGGGATGTCGTTAGGTTACATGAGTAGGGCATAAGACAGATGCACAAAGCCAGAGGGCTGCGGTGGGCAGGCAGCTCGCTCTGAGGGATGGAGAGGAGGAAGTTTCTCTCCAAGGTGCCAGATCAGTCTAACTCTGTGCACCCTTCAGAGTCTATGGACCAAGTTCTAAGAAGCAAAACCACTGCCAGTGGGAAATGATACCTGGGATACCCCTCTACTCTAGTTATTTCTTGGTCTGGGAAAGAAGGTCTTTTCTCTAGGGCATAAAGACAACTCCTCCAAGGCCAAAGCTGCCACTTTCATCATTTATTTTCCTTAGTAAGGCAACTGATGTGGAAAATGATTTTCAAAATTATCTTGTTTGTATCCCCGGGGCGCAAAAAAAGGCAAACTGCAGCTTGGCGGCATGCTGCTATAGAAAATGAAGGAAAGATCGAAGAGGTGGCCTCCTGATGATATGTGAAAGGCTCCCATTTCCTGTGGGATACTAGACTTCAGTCAGAAGCATCAACATCATCAATCAAGCGACACTCTCTGAAACAGGGAAGGGACTTACAAATCGGCTGGAGTTGTTGTTCCGGACGGTCTTGGCGTTCCCGAAGGCCTCCAGCAGCGGGTTGGACTGCAGGATAATGTCCTTCACGTGCTGTCCCAGCAAATAGACCGGAGGTTAGGAAGGTGTGAACACCTACCACACAGTGTACGCCAAACTTTCTCTAAGGACCTGGTTTCTGAATGCATTAAGGTGAGGGGCCCCACACCCGTGTGTCACTGGTGGGGTTTCTGGAGGATTTATTCTTTCACCATGACAGACCTCAACCTGTTTGTGTATTTGGGTCTTCCAATTCCCATGGCTTGATGCAGAGTCCCCAGGAGCCAGGGCCCCACTGTCAATCAGGAACTATTCATACAAACGTTCTCAGTGTCCAAATTGATTGCTGCAACTTCACCAAAAGTGAAGTGGTACCTGAAGGGGCGTGTCCTTGCTGTTCTGGCCAGGGTCTTTCTTCTCACTACCCCTTCCCAACTACTCTACCAACCCATCTCATCCCATCTCCACCTGCTTCACTGCAAGTTACCTTAAGGAAAATTAATCCACTTCTCCTCCCCAAACAAGGTTATGGAAATATAGCCTGGTGTTTCTCAAACTTTAATATTCATGAATCACCTGGGGATCTTGTCAAAATGCAGATGTGGACTTAGTAGGTTGGGGTAGGCCCAAGAATCTGCATTTGTAGCCAGCTCCCTGGTGTTGCTGGTTTTGCCAGCACTGATACACACTTTAAGCAGCAAGGGTCAACAGTGGATCGTGTGGAACGAGTCCTGGCCTGGGGGGAAGGATTTGTTTTTCAAACATCCCAGTTCTATGCAGAAGTGTGCAAAACACACCATAGACATGAGACAGCTCAATAGATAGAATTTGATGTTGGAGAAGTCTTTCAACAAGTGAGTCATTCCTTGTACTTCTAATTATTCACATGCTATGGTTAAACATGTTCCAGAAATAACAAGTCTTCTGGCTTGTGCTCTTTAGCTACTGACTAATTCCAAGCCAAGGGCTCTGTATCATTGTCCTCATAGGAAAACAGGAAGAGAAAAATCAACATTAACTGTCTGCAGTCTGGCTACTAGGTCGTAGGGGTGTAGCAAAGAGGAGTAAATTAATGAACTACTAACTGACTATGTAACAGCCAAAGTGTTACAAAGGGTGTAACAGGCACCCTCCTGAACATTCAGAAGAGAAACTGCCATGAGAAATGAGAACTGGGCTTTCATTGTGACGAGGGAATCATCCTTAGCCATGGCACCAAGGGCAATTCTGGGTGGTCCTTTCATGGGTCAGTTTCAAAGCTTAGAAACATACTCCCAACCTGCCTACTCTCTTTTAAAAACTCATGGATTTATATAAACTCTGCTTTTCTTTGTAAAATCTATTTTGAGTTTGTGGATCTTCATTAACTCTTTCTATCTTTTTTTTTGCTGGCCAGACATGCCCATACCACTTAACAAAACTCAGCTTCTCTCAGGAAGAGAACAAAAGCCAGAATCTTCTTCTATCTTTTCCCTTTTTAAATTACAGTGTTTAAAATGAGAATCTTTATGTATCCATTCATCCATCCATCCGTCCGTCCATATGTATTCATCAACAATCGGTGATGTTCAACAGAATTTTGTGGCATGTGGCGGGCATATTAGGGAAAAGAGAAAGAGCAAACTGAGGTAAAAGAGTAGCCCATCGGCCGGGCGCGGTGGCTCACGCCTGTAATCCCAGCACTTTGGGAAGCCAAGGCGGGCGGATCATGAGGTCAACAGATCAAGACCATCCTGGCCAGCATGGTGAAACCCCATCTCTACTAAAAATACAAAAATTAGCTGGGCATAGTGGTGCACGCCTGTAGTCCCAGCTACTCGGGAGGCTGAGGCAGGAGAATCGCTTGAACCCAGAAGACAGAGGTTGCAGTGAGCTGAGATCGCACCACTGCACTCCAGCCTGGCGACAGAGCGAGACTCCGTCTAAAAAAAAAAAAAAAAAAAAAAAAGGCAGCAAAACAGCATCCTGGATTCTTGTCTCCATGTCAACCCTCTCAGGATCCAGTACAATCACAGGAATAGAGAAAAGCAAGTGGACTGAACCACATGAACCTAGGTTCTATAGCTGCCCTTACTGTCCAATAGGGAAGCCATAAGCTACCCCAACTGAGGTGTAACTGTAGAATACACACTGTATTTCAAAGACTTAGTACCAAAAAAAAAAAATCTCATTAATTTTGTTATATTAATTATATAATAAAATCTTTTTTTACATATTGGGTTAAATAATACTGTTTTAAAAAGTAATTTCCTTTTTCTCTTTTTACTTCTTTTAACATGGCTACTAGAAAATTTAGAATTACACATATGGCTTGCTTCATCTTTCTACTGCACAGAGCTGCTCTCCATCTTCCTTTCATTCAGAGAAAGAGGCCACTTTAAGGACCCTTCACTCTGCAACCTTAGTTTGCTCTTTCTCTTTTCCCTGATATGCTCACCACATGCCACAAAATTCTGTTGGACATCACTGATCACTGATGGATGGATGGATGGATGGATGGATGGATGGGTGCATGGATGGATGGGTGCATGGATGGATGGATGCACGGATGGATGGATGGATGGATCCATAAATATTCTCAGTTTTAAAGTCTGTAATTAAAGAAGGGAAGAGATAGAGAAGATTCTGTCCTTTGTTCTCTCCCTGACAGAAGCTGTCGTTAAATGGTATAGGCACGTCTGGCCCGCAAACAAAAGATAGAAAGAGTTGATCCACAAACTCAAAGGAGGAATGTTTGGCTCTACCTTAAGCTTTCTGATCTACCAGTACATGATAGAACACTATTTAATTAATAGAAAGGGGCCAGACATGGTGGCTCATGCCTGTAATCCCAGCTCTTTGGGAGGCCCAGGTGGGTGGATCGCTTCAGCTCAGGAGTTTGAGACCAGCCTGGGCAATGTGGTGAAACCCTGTCCCTACCAAAAACAAACAAAAATTAGCCAGGCATGGTGGCACACACCTGTGGTCCCAGCTACTTGGGAGGTTGAGGTGGAAGGGAATGCATAAGCCCAGGAGCAGGAGGCTACAGTGAGCTGAGATCATGCCACTGCACTTCAGCCTGGGTGACAGAGTGAGACCCCATCTCAAAAAAAAAAAAAAAAAAAAGGGAACCACAATAAAGAGAATTTTATGTGTCTTTTGAAAGTCTACAGCTGACCATGGCAATAACATTACATAATTCTGATTTAAAAAACTAATCTTTGGAAGGAATTCTGTCACCAGCGGTGCATACTGGTGATGAGCGCCAAGCTTGGGCTGCCCCTTATGGACCTTAGCTCGCCATCACCCTCATCCATGGCTCTGGGGAGCAGGCTTTACTCATTCCTGCCAATGCTGATTTTAATTTTCACCTCTTGAGTATCCTCATTCTCTGGATCTTTTCTCTTTCCCAACACTCCTTTACACTCTTTAATCTCTCTTTTTTCCTTCTCTTAAATCCTTTCTCTGTCTACGTCCTTTAAAATTTTTATAAGTTTCTTGAATTGGCAAGTGGTTCACATAGCTCAAACCATGCAAGTTTCTAAAGGGTATACAGGAAGGGTAGGCCCTTCTCCCAACCTCCCAGCTCCCCTCCCTCAAGACAACCATTGTTGACAGTTTCTTGTGTATACTTCGAGGGATATGTGATAACATACCCAAACAAATACAAATGTGCACTCTCTTTTGATCCCTCAAATGGCAGCATATATTACAAACAATGTTCTGAACCTTGTCTTTTGTAATTAATGATACATCTTGGAGACCATTCTCTATCAGTACAATCGGTACATGAAGCCTCATTTTTATTGCTGTATAATATTCTATTATATAAAGAACCACAAATTATTTCACCAGTTGCCTAGTGATGAACACTTAAGTTGTTTCCAGTCTTTTGCATTACCAAAATTGACAGAAATAACTTTATACATGTATTATTTTGTATACATTTCAGCATATCTAAAGAATAAATTCTTTTCAGCAGAACTGCTGAGTCGAATGGCATACATGTGTAAGTTTAACAGATTTTGCTGAAATGTTCTTCATTAAAATGTACTAGTTCATCTCCTACCAGCAATGTATGAGAACAACTGTGTCCCTACTTCCTACCAATCAAGCGTTTAAAACATGGTAAGATTCTGGCCAATCTGATAGGCAAAAAATAGTTTTCTAATGCAGTTTTAATTTGCATTTTTCTTCTTATCATGATGGTGAACATACTTTCATGTTTTGTGAGTAATTTATATTTCCTTTTCTATGAGTTGTCTTTCATGTCCTTTGTTTATTTTCCTTTTGGGCTGCTGATCTTTTTATTGATTTGTAGGAGTTCATTATATATTAGGCACATCTACCTTAAAATATGCTATTCCTTAATCCCAGCACTTTGGGAGGCCGAGGAGGGCAGATCACCTGAGGTCAGGAGTTCGAGACCAGACTGGCCAACATAGTGAAACCCCCGTCTCTACTAAAAATACAAAAATTAGCTGGGCATGGTGGGGCACACCTGTAATCCCAGCTACTCAGGAGGCTGAGGCAGGAGAATCTCTTGAACCCGGGAGGCAGAGGTTGTGGTGAGCCGAGATCGCGCCACTGCACTACTCCAGCCTGGGCAACAGAGCAAGACTCTGTCTCAAAAAAGAAAAAAAAAAAATATATACACACACACACACACACACACACACACACACACACACACACACACACACAAACACACATACATATGCTATTCCTTTCCATTCCAGATTTCAAGTTTCACAGTTATAGAAGAACCAGTGTCTTTTCTGTGGAAGAAAAATTCTTTTCTAACAGCAAATGGAGCCTCTTACATTTCCCATAACATAAGGTATCATAATGGGCCACTGCCCACTCACCTGGACTTTGGTCCCTCCTCCAGACACTCTGGAGATGTAGCTCATGATATATTTGGCAGCCACTGTTTTTCCAGCACCACTTTCACCACTAAAGAAAGACAGACAAAGAATCCACCTGAGAAGTGGATTGCGACCAGCTCCCTTCCTTGTCTCCCCCATCACACAAAACAAACAAACAAACAAAAAAACAAAAAAAACAGGCAGAAAAGAATTTTTTTTTTTAAGTACAATACCAGTAGAGAAAGGCAAGTTACAGCAGGATTAGGTCGCCCATGTGACCCGTGTGAGCCGGATTAACATGGTGTGGATAATTACCACTGTGCACACCACTGACCATTAAGCATTTTACATGCCCAATAATGGGGGATATGATTAGGAAAATTATGGAGTATCACAAGGGTGGAATTCTACATAAATTACAACTGACATGAAGACTGTAAACACAGGAAACAAGCAAATGAAATCATGTTAAGTGAAATAAGTCATTCAAGTTATATACAAAACATGATTACAATTTTTTTTTCTTAAAAAAAAGACTGGAACTACCACAAAATATTAACAAAGGCTTTGGTCAAGCCAGAGACTAGAGAAACTTGTTTTAATTCATTAGTTTTCAAACATTTTATAATGCATATGCTATTTTTGTAATTTAAAAAAAGAAAAGAAAAAGTGGGCACTCTGAGGTTTCAAACCATGTGCCTTGAATTGATGCAAGCTTCCTTATTTTAGAAGTTCTAAAATTAAACCTTGAAGCAATATTAATCACATCCGGAGTAACAAAGGCCACCTTCCGCTGGGTAGCCTTCCTGCATGGGGAGAGCCTTTTGTTAATAATATATAGTCTGCTCTTCAAAATCCCCATTCTTCCTACAAAATCCCCCTGAATTGATAATGACCTCAATTCAAAACATGCTTAAGTCAGTCAGATTTTTCATCTTTCTATTGGTACCCTTTGTGTTACCAGGATAGAATTAAAGAACCCCATATCATATAAAATGATGGTGGGAGTTAGTATGAAAAATGCAGACTGCTACAAGTTCATAGGACAATATTTTTGTTCGCGCTTCGCGATAAAAAATTTTAGGGCGCAGAGCAAATGTTCTTCTATGAATATCCAGCCCAAATTAATTGTTATCGATTGCTGAGTTACTCAAGGAAAGAGAAAACATTTGCTTGGGGAACAACCAAGCAAGGTGACACTCCTATTCCCAAAAGGAAACTGAAATTTGAAATAATTTTACATTTCAAAACAAAACAAAAGAAACAAATGAACAGAGAATTGAGCTGGCCATATAGCGAAACTCAGAACTTTGCTGAATTTCCTTGAACTAATAATACGGTTTTAAAGAAATTATGGGGAGGCGGGAACCATCCTCTGTTCAGAGCTCATGACCTGCAAAAGTCTGAACCCACCTATGCAAGTCACTCACCATCCTAGTGCTATGCTCCTGGCTTCCTGGTCACATGAATAAGAAAACCAAACTGAAATTTCGTAAGCTACAGTAGCAAGTAGAAAACCAGCAAGCCTGGGACGAGGTGTCACACTCTTCCAGAGGACATGCTTACTCACAGGCAGCAACTAGGTCGGGCAAATTCAACTCCATGGGGAAATTATCTTTTCAAATGGTTGACATACTCAGATGATGTATTTACTAGATCCAGGGTCAACACACACACTCTCTCATTGGAATTACACGGTTTGGCAACAATGAAACTCCATTTTAGAAGTTGTAAACAATGTAAACATTCAAGAATATTGGAAAGTCCAAGCTTACAATGGCACAACCACCCAATATAATACTGCACAGGCATTTGAAGTACTTACAAAGAGTATGTAGCAACATAAAGATAATGCAGCCTAAGTTAAGTGGTAATGTGAATAGAAGATACTATATTTATAACAAGTTTACAACTATGTGAAAATAATGTATGGGCAAAAACAAATTGACAAGGAAAAAGAAATATTCCTTACTTGTTAGGAGGCTGGTATAGGAATGGTTTTTTTGAAATGGAGTCTCACTTTGTCACCCAGGCTGGAGTGCAGTGGCACAATCTTGGCTCACTGCAATCTCTACCTCCTAGGTTCAAATGATTCTCCTGCCTCAGCCTCCCAAGTATCTGGGATTACAGGTGTGCACCACCATGCCTAGCTAATTTTTTAATTTTTAGTAGAGACGGGGTTTCACCATGTTAGCCAGACTGGTCCCAACTCCTGACCCCAGGTGATCCGCCTGCCTTGGCCTCCCAAAGTGCTGGGATTACAGGTGTGAGCCACGACACCTGGCTCTTTTTCCTTTTCATGTGCTTTCTCATAATTTTCTATTTTTTTTAGATTTTTATGCCGGGTACAATGGCTCGTGCCTGTAATCCTAGCACTTTGGGAGGCCAAGGTGGACGGATCATTTGAGGTCAGGAGTTCGAGACCAGCCTGGCCAACATGGTGAATCCCCGTCTCTACTAAAAATACAAAAACTAGCTGGGCGTGATGGCAGGTGCCTGTAATCCCAGCTACTCAGGAGGCTGAGGCAGGAGAATCTCTTGAACCCGGGAGGCAGAGGTTGCATTGAGCCAAGATTGTGCCACTGCACTCCATCCTGGGCAACAAGAATGAAACTGTGTCAAAAAATATATATATATATATTTTTTTTATTTTTTAAAATTTGTGTATTTCAGATTTTTTAAAACAGCTTTTCCAGAGAAAAGGGAGGGATCACACCTCACAATAATCACCACTGATCAATTTCATTACATTATTATTATTCAACTTCCTACATATCACCATAAGTATGTATATTTTCCTTAAGTTTACACTGTCACATTTAAACTTTACTAGAACAAGCTGGGAAAGAGAGAGAGAGCAAGCGTGAGCAAACCCTATAAGAATTATAAAATAATATATATAAAGGGGAATTTATTAAATTTAAAAAAGAATTATAAAAGGACAGTAATCCCAGTAATCCTCCCACTGTGTCTTTGGTTAATACTGTATTCAGACATGAAATATTTTGTCTCTTTTGTTGGAAACAAAAGCAAGTAATAATAATGGAAAGTAGCTCTTTTAATATATCAAAATAAGTATACCAGTTCCAAAAATAGGATATCTGCATTCTCAGCAACTATGATCTTTTCCAGCAGACTTAAAATAATTAGTTCTCACTAAACATTGATCGGAATTTTCATTACTTGGTTTCAATTTACAGACACTTAAGAAGAATTTTTATTGATCAGAGGCTGGTGAGTTGGTCAAAATATGGTACAATAATGGAATGTTACAGAATGACTTGAAACCTACAGTATATGCAACCATAATTATGCTGGCCTGTTTGGGATGAGAACATATTGTTTCTTCTCCGGCACTAAAACCCAAGTTAAAAGAAAGTGAAGGTCTTAGACAAAATAATATATCCCAAATTATTTACTTTGCATCTCACAGCAGTTATTGTACAGCAATTTGCTTTGTTTACGCTTCCAGGCAGCCCGTCCTAATTTAATTGACTTATAAAATGGACACACACACACAAATACTCTAGAAATTAGGAAAATATCCCAGTGGTTCCCAAATCTGGCAGTCTATCAGAATCGTCAGAGTACTTTTTAATTGCCCATGTCTGGGCCCGTCTTCTGACCTGCTGGATCCCAGTCTCCAGGGACAGAGTCTAGGAATAGGAATTTCTAACAAACTCCCTAGTTCTTGTATAGCCAGCTGGGAACAAGCCAAGCAATTTTAAATCAAAGTCATAACAGACTTTATAGGAAATATTAATTCAAATAGGAAGTATTGTAGAGTGTGTGTCTGTGTGTGGGGGGGGTCTGTGTACTAACTATAGAAATGGAAACATACGGTAAAATATCAACGAAATGGAAAGAATGTTCTGGGGAAAAAAAGCCATTTACAATGGTATAATCCAAGGACCATAATTATTTTTCTGAGAAAGGTTATTCCTCACTTAAAAGTCAATAGTATTTTCTATTCACTTCAACTTATTCAGCAAATGTAAAAATATTTCAGTTCTTTTTTATTTTGATTTTTTGAGATATTCCCTAAAATAAGTAGGATCCGCTGTTACCACTGTTGGACGACTCACCAATGCACCCCCATCCCCCATTTCTGATCTAAAAATCTCTCTCCTGGCTCTGTACCACAGGAACTGGTGTTCCCTTGTAACTGGCTGAATCAACGTAATTGAAATATCACTTTTCCAACTTTTTGTTTGTGGTTTAAAAAGGACAAACACTTAAAACAAAAATGATGTCTACTTTTGTTCATGCAACACACACTGTCTAACAACCCCCTCTGCCCCAGTGTGTTAAGCCGAAGGCCAGAATGAGATGTGGCTCCTGTCAGAGAAGAGCTCACTCACTGTCTTACAGGGAAGTCGAGTATACAAAGGCTATTAATAACACAGTGGAGATGTGGGTATGGCTTTAGGGATTTGGGGGTGGCAGCTATCCCTGATCAGAAGATTACTAAACGAAGTCACAACTAGTTACATCTCAATAAGGACAATCAAATCAGCCAGGTGTGTTGCGTGTGTGTATGTGTACTTGTGTGTATACATGTCAGGGGCTGGGATGAAGCCTGAGCCATACATAAGAGGCAAAAATTCTGTGGGGTACACATGAAGGGAACCATGGGTAGTTAAACAGGACTTGAGGAGACAGTGGCTCACACCTGTAATCTCAGCAATGTGGGAGGCCACGGGAGTTGGAGAACCAGCCTTAGCAAACAGCAAGATCTCGTTTCTTAAAAAGAACAAAAACAAAACCCCAAAACACAAAAGAAACAACAACTATAATAATAAAACAAATAAAAATAAAAACAATTGGCTGGGTGCAGTGGCTCACGCCTATAATCCCAGCACTTTGGGAGGCCAAGGCGGGTGGATCACCTTAAGTCAGGAGTTCAAGAGCAGCAAGAGCAGCCTGGCCGACATGGTAAAACCCCGTCTCTACTAAAAACACAAAAAAATTAGCCAGGTGTGGTGGCATGCGCCTGTAGTCCCAGCTGCTCAAGAGATCCGAGGCAGGAGAATCACTTGAACCTAGGGGACAGAGGTTGCAGTGAGCTGAGACTGCACGACTGCACTCCAGCCTCGGTGACAGAGCAAGACTCCATCTCAAAAATAAATAGATAAATAAATAAAAATAAAAATAAAAATTTTTAAATAAAAACAATTAAAAATAATTAGCTGGGTGTGGTAGTGTGCTCCTGTGGTCCTAGTTACTTTGGAGGCTGAGGTGGGAGGATTGTTTGAGTCCAGGAGGTTGAGGCTGCAGTGAGCTATTGTTGAGCTACTGCACTCCAGCCTGGGTAACAAAGTGAGATCCTGTCTCTAAAAAATAAAATAAAATAAAATAAAATAAACAAGTAAATAAATAATAGGCCTTGACTGTGATGTGGGAAGCTGGGAGGGGTAGGGAGTGGAGCTGGAAGGCAGTGCAGAGATCCAAGACAGTGACCTTGGGTTCAGGTTTGGGGATGCACCAAGGGTTCTGGCCTGTGCCATTTCGTGCTACATTTTATATAGACTCTAGACTTCCATTTTCTCAAGGCAGCATACCGACAAACTTGCCTTTACCTATACAGAACAACTGATATATTATTTACTTAGTTTTCAAAATTGACACACTTTTTGTTGGTCTCTGAATACTATTCTTCAATAAAAAGAACAAGGGCTGCTTTGGGAAATGACCAATGCCAGGGCTGGAGTGGGGAAAATTCAAACTGGGCGTGGAACATATAACTGTGCCAAAAGGTAAGGAAATGTACAGTGACTGGTGTGGACGTGTCAAGCATATAAGAGCCAGCTGGAAGGGGTTCCCACTGGCCAAATCAAAATAAGTAATGATAATAATGGATTACGATCCTTTGAATAAAATAGGAAGCCATAATTCCATAGTGCCATACGAAAGTAAACGAGTCAATCAGTAAATAGGAGAGAAAGGAAAGCTCTTCCTCACAGTGGAATACCAACTAATAAATGTGGAAGGAATGATGGAAACAGATATATCACCATTTGGCAGCCATCATACAGGTGTCCAGGAGTCATTAATGGATGCTAAGGCTGGTAGGTGGAGGTTTGGATGTGGAGAAGGATGTTGTCATGATCTGAGAATATATCCCCACAAAATACACATCCTAAAAGAAAATAAAATTAATTTAATGAGAAGAAACCTAGCAGATGCCTACAGAACCAGGTGATCAAGAGCCCTGCATTGTTTCTATGGTAGTCCAGCCTAGAATGCATGACCTGAGCCTGGTCACGAGGAAATGGGTAGACTCAGCCTGAAGTCATCCCACAAAATTTAATGCCTGAACTCTTTAAAGCTGTAAAGGGCAAAAAACATGGCAAACACAGAGAACAAGATAGAAAAGTCAGAGAGGTACACAGAGAAGCAGGAAGATGCATGTGGCTTCATGGGGGCCAACGGAGTTGGGATTAACCATGTCAATGTGTCAGGGAGATAAACAAGACAGTGGAAATTCCCACTGGACTTATTTAATTAGACCCTGCTTTTTTTTTTTTTTTTCAAATATAGAGAGATATAGTATTGAACACAACTCTTATTTCAAAAGGTATAACCCAAGGATTAAAAATATAGTGATAGTTTTTAAAAACCAATTTTTGTAATTCTAGAGTTATAAAAGATGAACGCAGTTGTTCATCTATTAAAACATAGTCTAGACGATGAGAAATAACATCAATTCCAAAGGAGGCTTGAAAGGAACACACTGAAATATTGTGGCTATGATAATTGGAGGTACGATGTGTTCATTGTGTGTATCATGCATGTCAGAGACTGTTATAAGTGCTTTACATGTGTCAATCACTTGGTCCACATAAGAGTCCTGTGTGGTAGGTGCTTTTATAATCTCCATTATTTGAAGTGAGAAAAGGTAAGAAACTTGCTGAAGGACACTTAGCTAGTGAGTGGAAGAGCTAGAAAAGGAGGTGAGAGAGTCTGTGTCAGGGGCAAGAGCTCTACTGCTCAGAGGACGGTAAACCTTTAAGACCCTCATATGGGTTGACTAGTCAATAAAAATCAACAAGGTTTCACAAAGGAACCCCATGAACAGCACAGTTCATAGTATCAGCAAACTTTTAGCTACTCCTGAGTCTTTACTGATACACACCCATTTAAGCAAGCCTTCTGCCAACAACATTTATTACCTCACGCAGAGTTGGAACTAACAAATAATAAATAGCCTACATCACTGTGATCATAAGACAAAGTAATTCTGCGAGAATGAGAAACCACATCAAAGAAGGTCCTGGACAGTCTTCTCCAATGGCTCAATTCACAGACTCCGCTTCCTGGCAGCCCTACTAGATCTGGAACAGAAACAAGTCGGAGGTGAAGCACATCTGGGAGGTTCCAGGGTCATGGAGAGAGGGGTCCTCCATCGGACTTTAGAATTACACTAAAAAACTAATTCTCAAATACATGCCATGGCTAATGGTATAAAAGACAAAAACAAACAGCCATGCTGAAACCACTGGCTAAATAAGACAAATTCATTCCTTAACAGATTGAGGAAAGTGTGAATAAGACCAACAGCTGTTATTTCTTCCCAACCCCAGACAAATATCTAGTTAATTGGTGTTGTCAAGCAAACAAAATTTTCACCTACTCTGCCAAGAATATGGATGGCCCCATGGCAATGCTCATCTTGGCCCAGCCTGATGCAGTCAGAGGAACCCAATGTTGAGTATGAAGACCAAGTTTGAGTCCCAGCCCAGCTACTTCCCAGCTCTGAAATTCCTTTGAATGTTACTAGCAGATCTTTTACATTACTCTTTAAGAGTTAAAAAATGTTTTCCATGTATATTTCCTCATTACACTTTCTTTATATTCCTTTAAGGTATAAATTCCCAATTTATAGATGAAGTAACTGAGGCTTGCAGGGGTCACACGCCTTAGACAGAGAGAATAGAGTCTACCCTATGACTCACCCCAGAGGTCTTTCCACTGCACCTCATGACTGAAAGTGGTAATGGATTATTAACCAGTTAACCTAACACCTGCTGGCTCAAAGCAGCAGAGAAAAGTATAAAGACTGCTGTATCGGAGGCGGGCAGCTCTGGCTGGGAGCACAACTTTGTCACATTTCAAATGCAAGATTTTAACAGTTTCATTACCTCTTTGAGACTCAGTTTCTTGATCTGCAAAAGTAGGGGACAGCAATACCTAGTTTGCTAGGCTGACGTAAAGATGAAAAATGATACAATTAAAAGGATGCAAAGCAAGTACTCGAAAAAGAGTTGCTGTTATGTTTATGGGTAATATATTAATTAGGCAGCCCTCCTGAATAGCACTCCTTGGCTGATGATAAAGGAATTTTAGCAACCAGACTAGAATGTAAGATTTGCAGAAAGCTTGGGGAACAGGGTCAATCTAGGCCCTTGCTCTTCAGATTTACAGCCAGCGGCAGCCCCATGCAACCCCGTCATAGTCAGAGGTATGGGCTGACAGGGCCTCCCAAAGCCAGGCCAGGGGGATGGCGAGGTCAAAGGCCGGTGCTGCTGGGATAAACAAGAAATTGGGTGGACCCACAGCAACTCAGGAGAGCCCTGAAAAGCGTCCCCATGCTAATAATAAAAGGTTCCTGAAATACATCAAAGGCAGGAAGATAGCTTGAGAATCCGGAGACACCTGATGGTGCCACAGCAAAGAGCACGAGAGACCCACGAGCCAAATATGAGCGGCACTGGGAATTTTTCCCTTTTATCTTTACTACTGCAAAAATTACATATTTCAAATCTAAAATATATGTTGAAGCACACGGGTCAGAAATCTTAGCTCCAGTGATGACTACTATCTCCTTTTCCTCTATGAAAACTCTCTTACTCAATCAGTCAGCAAATCCCACTGATGTACCTTCAAAATATCTCTCGCCTCTATTTATTATTTAAAAAAGTATTTATTTAGCTTCTATGCAGGATGCACCTGACAAAGACTTTGCAAACTGGTATTGGATATATTTAGGACAGATGGTCTACTCACCAGAAAACAACTGCGTCAGGATACTTCAAATAAAAAAAGTAGAAACAGCACCAAATGGGATGCTTTCCAATTGACATCATATTTTTTAAACAGCCTAAGGTGCAAGAGCTGATTTAGGCCAAAAGTGATAAGAATTCACTTTTGATGGCAGCAATAAAACTGCCACATAAATGTTCTCCAAGGCCCGATGATTCTCCATGGGTCAGTTGGCAAGGGCTTCAGAAATGCCTCTGGCCACATTGTCAAGATCTTGTCTGGTGATGGAGAGATGGTAGAGATCATGAACAAAGCTTGCCAGTTCTTCCTTTACCACATCATGACCTTTTTGTTAAACAGATTTGCAGAGATGTCTCTTGACATCCAAAGGTATCACATATGTGGTTTTAATGCACAAATCCAAATTCTGGATTTTGGAGAACAGATTAATGAGCTAAGCAGATATGGGTGGCTCATTTACTGGGCTCACAGGTACCTACCAAGCCTTCAGGTGCTCATTATCATTCTTTTTTTAAATTTTTTAAATTTTTAATCTTTTTTTATTTTTTGAGATAGAGTCTTGCTCTGTCATCCAGGCTGGAGTGCAGTGGTGCCATCTTGGCTCACTGCAACCTCTGCCTCCTGGGTTCAAGTGATTCTCCTGCCTCAGCTTTCCAAGTAGCTGGGATTACAGGTGCCTGCCACCACACCCAGCTAATTTTTATATTTTTAGTAGAGATGGGGTTTCACCATGTTGGCCAGGCTGGTCTCGAACTCCTGACCTCAGGTGATCTGCCCACCTGCTGGGATTACAGGCGTGAGCCACCATGCCCAGCTTCACTATCATTCTTAATGATGCTAATGTAGCTATTGCTGTTGCATTTTTCTGTTGGCACTGCCCAGAGTCTACCTTCACACTTGCCCATTCCTTTATTTCTTTACAGGCTTACTGAAAGTCATACGTCGGCTTCCTCCTCGCCTTTCTAACTCAGGTCAGGCCCTCACTGCTGCAATAGATTTCCATATTCCCTCAACATCCCATCTCTTTTCTACCAATAACCTTATCTTTTTGAACCAGGTGTCAGTGCTATCATGTCTCTGCTCAGAGGCCTGCTATAATATAGAAATAGGCCATAGAGAACCATGAAAAGAAGGGGAAGACTGAGCTCTGGCCCCCAGACAAATCCACTGGATAACAAGTCAGGTAAAATACAGAAACTGCCCAGGTATGGCCATTTGGTGTATAAATGCATCTTCACCTCTTGGTAAGAAATCAAAGCTAATGTGTCAATAAGGTCATGTTCTTCTGTTAACTAAGTCTGTGCGTCATTTATCCTCCGTTGATGACAAGCCCAATCATCATCCTCCTGGGTATGCAGAGAGCATCACGGCCAACAATGACAAAGGGTTAGTTTTAAAAAGCACCTGAGTCCAGCCTGGGCAACATAAGAAGACCCTGTCGCTACAAAAAATTTAAAAATTAGCCAGGCATGATGGTGCGCATCTGTGGTCCCAGCTACTCGCGAGGCTGAGGTGGGAGGATCGCTTGAGCCTGAGAGGCGGAGGTTGCAGTGTGTTGAAATTGTGCCACTGCACTCCAGCCTAGGTGACAGAGCGAGACTCTTTTTCAAAAACTAAAATAAAAAAGCACCTGTATTTGTGGGGACAGAGTGAGAGACTTTAATCCTAGGAGCTCAAGTCCAGGGGTAACTAACCTGGCGAACCTGTCCTGACCTCTGTCCTATGGTATATGGTAGCTATTACATCTCCATTAAAATATGGGAAATTTGAGACCTAGAGAGACATCACTGCTAATAGGTATAAAGAAAGTGCATAAGGTTTGAAGTCAGACAGGGCTAAATTCAAATAGAGGCTCTGCCATCTACTAGTTTTGGATCTTGGAATTCTCTTAAGCCTCATTTTTTAGATGCAGCTTCAAAAAACAATGCCAACAGAGTGGTAAGGATTAAGAGACAACCTATACGAAAGCAACCAGCAGAGGGCAGGCACTCAGGAAGTCTATCTTGCGGGGTCTGATGGTGCTAACAGCAAGAGGTGACCTGAAATCAGGATTTCAAGAGCCTTAGCCCTGGCTTTTAAGCAGAGTGAGCTGGGGGAGCTTGAAAAAAGGTATTAATGCTCCAAGGCCACCACAAATCAGTTGAAACAGAATCTCTGGAGGTGGAGCCTACATATCTGTAGAGCCACTGAACTAGTAAGGCAATTCAGGAATCAGAAATACTTATCCCTAGAAAGTTAAATTGGTGAACCTAGGCCAGCCATGGCAGCTCACGCCTATAATCAGAGCACTTTGGGAGGCTGAGGCAGGCAGATCACTTGAGGTCAGGGGTTCAAGACCAGCCTGGCCAACAGGGCGAAACCCCTTCTATACTAAAAAATACAAACAAAAAATTAGCCAGGTGTCATGGCACACCCCTGTAATCCCAGCTACTCAGAAGGCTGAGGCAAGAGAATCACTTGAACCCAGGAAGCACAGGTTGTGGTGAGCCAAGAGTGTGCCACTGCACTCCAGCTTGGGTGACAGAATGAGACTCCGTCTCAAAAAAAAAAAAAAAAAAAAAAAAAAAGATAAATTAGTGAACACAAGGCATGGTAGATAAAATTAGCATCTATAGGCCGGGTGCGGTGGCTCATAACTGTAATCCTAGCATTTTGGGCGGCCAAGGCAGGTGGATCACTTGAGGTCTGGAGCTCATAACCAGCCTGGCCAACATGGTGAAACCCTGTCTCTACTAAAAATACAAAAAAATTAGCCAGGCAAGGTGGTGGGCGCCTGTAGTCCCAGCTACTTGGGATGCTGAGGCAGGAGAATCGCTTGAACCCGGGGGGATGGAGGTTGCAGTGAGCCGAGATCACACCACTGAACTCCAGCCTGAACGACAGGGTGAGACTCCATCTCAAAAAAAAAAAAAAAAAAAAAAAAGTTAGCATCCATAGAAGCCACTCTTCCTGATTTGTCTGCCAGTGGGCTGAGGAGGAAGGCATAGGAAATATCCAAGGTCAACCCCAGGTGTTTATTCCTTACTAGAAGTTGGCCTAATAGACATCAGGGCTTGGCAGGAGAGAGTGTAGGTTAATGAAAGGGGGTTGACTTACAGCAGAGTCAGGACAGGAAAGTAAACAGCAGAGATGGGGGGTTTTCTCCAAGTAAAAAGACTGTTCTGCAGACTAGAGCAACACCCTTAGTTCATGTGTTCACATCTTCAGATAGAGGTGACTGCTGTGAGCTGATTTAGCAAATACGATCATCCCTTCGCTCAGAATTCACCCCTCTATCCAGCGTTCTCGTGGTAATCTAGCTCCCTTCGTGGACTGTGTTCCAGGGCACATAATCGGCTGTCCACAGGCAGAATTCTGCCTATGCAATAATGAATTGGGGTCTGATTCACACTTCCTTGTGAGTTTGCTTGGCAAGTCAGTCTACCCAAGGCTGCTCAACTCCAGCTGTTTTGACAAATCAAGTTTGTAGATGGACCTAGGCTTCCATGGAGCCCTGTGCTTGAGAAAGCAGCACGTCTCCTTCCTTGATTTATTTCTTTCAAAATCCACTTTGTGGCCAGGCGCGGTGGCTCACGCCTGTAATCCCAGCACTTTGGGAGGCTGAGGCGGGTGGATCACGAGATCAAGAGATCAAGACCACCCTGGCCAACATGGTGAAACCCAGTCTCTACTAAAAATACAAAAAAAATTAGCTGGGTGTGGTGGCAGGTGCCTGTAGTCCCAGCTACTCAGAAGGCTGAGGCAAGAAAATCACTTGTACCTGGGAGGCAGAGGTTGCAGTGAGCTGAGATCACGCCATTGCACTCCAGCCTGGTGACAGAGCAAGACTCTGTCTCAAAAAAAAAAAAAAAATCCGATTTGTTACACTCATTTCTAGTCTTGAAATGGTCAGGTGCCTGTCCATCCTGTCACCGTATCCACTGCGTTGGAAAATATGAGTAAGACTGACAGGAAACTAGAAACGCCGCCTTTATGGGCTGCATTATGCCATCTAAAGTGTCATTTAGACAAAGTCACACCAGGGAAACTGGGAGGTGGAAGTCTAAAACACCACCATAGAAATTAGGTCATCGCTCACTTTTTATTTCCTAATTAAATGACACTAAAGATTCCTAGTCTTTCCAGCCATGCCAGAATCCCTTAGCATGAGGAGCAGGCTTCTCTTCCAGCCTCCAAGAAAATGGTTTTTTCGTTTGTTTTCTGCTCACAAACACATTTTAAAAGGCACCATTCAACTCGGCCCCTAACAGATGGAGCACCTGCCCCATCCAGTGTCAGGGGCTACAAACTTGGCCTTTCCACCCAGAACAGGATTTCCCTGCCTTTCCTCCTCTCCAACATTATTTGGAAGGAAGAGTTCCAAAACCAGTTCCTTCACAGGTGAAAAAGCCAAGGCCCAGACAGGTGTGAGGCGTGCTGCCCAGGGTCAGGTGAGCATGAACCACGGCATGCCAGAGGTTTCCAATTTGCTTTCTCAAAGCAGACAAACCACAGCCCTGGTGCAGAAGAGAATTAACTCAAGGGCTCAGGCTTTTGCCCTCGGTGACTGGGCGGTGATGTCTATGCCCCTGGAATGTCCTACCTAAGAGGAGTGCTTTTCCTTTCTTGGGGGCTTTGACCATAGGAGAGTCTGACGATATGATTTATGTCGGGGGCTTTGGGACATACCATCGCAATTCTGACCTCCAACTGGAAACTAAAGGCATTTGCACAAGCCTTCGAGAGCAGCTGGAAACTGAAGGTGGGCCAGGCAGGCGGTGCGTGATCGAGGCCAAACATCAGAGGCTCAGGTGATGTTTTCTGGTCGGCAATACTGTGAGTATTGTCACACCTCATACCGGTAGGAGGTAGCGCTGTCCATGACTCCACAGGGAGAGGAAAACCAGAAACTCCACCTCGGGACCCTCCCAGACCTCGCCCTCAACCTCTTTTGTTTGGCTTTAATTTGTATCCTCCTTTTGCCAGAACGAAACTGTAATCCTAAGTGTAGGGCTTTTCTGAGTTTTGTGAGTTGTTCTAGTGAACTACTGAACCTGGCGGGGGCGGGGGGTAGTGGGAACCCCTGAATTGATGAGGGTGGCCTGGGGAGCCCTGAACATGCAGCTGATGTCTGCAGGGTGGGCAGTCTACCGAGGAGGCCTGTGTCCTTAACCTGGAGTTTGGCCCAACTCCAGGTAGCTCCTAAATTAAAGCACATCTCCTAAATGAAAACACAGCCACTGCAACAGAAATCCTTGGGAGCAGGTCCTTGAAATCTCTGCCACCTGAACAGCTGGAAACAAGGATCTGAAGTGGGCATCATCCCGCTTCAGTGCAGGTGGACCTTGCAGTGCAGGTGGAGGGAGACACGTGGGCTGCAGAAGACTGAGGGGGCCTCCAGACTAGCAAGCTCATGTAAGAAGACCATTCCCATCCCACTCGTTTTGGCACACACCCAGAAGAGGGAAAATGTGAGGAAAGAGAAAGGGCAGAGGACTCTATCAGAAAACTCATCCTGGACCCTCATTAAATTCCAGCTAGGAAAATACCTCCTGCCTCTCTAGTAGTCGGTGACCTCCGCTTAGTATCAAACAGAAGCATTTCCTATTAAGCAACCAAATTCAACATGACCCAGGTGTTCCTCCTCATAAAATTTAACTTGCACCTGCATCTGATCAAGTCATTAGATATAACCTTAAACTTGTAGAAAATCCAACTGAAGGAATAAGTATAGTGAGACCAGGAAGAAGCAATTAGACAAATGTAAATGATGTCTGTAGGAAAACTAGTTTTGGTCTCTTCAAAAAGTCAGTGTCATGAAAAAAAACAGCAGTAATAGGGCAATTGTGGTAGGATAAAAATAAATTTATGATTCATAACCAAATGCAGTCAGCGTTACTTGATTTGCATAAACCAGCAGAAAAGGACGTTTGCGACTATTAGAGAAGTTTGAAGTTTTTAGATGATGTTGAAAATGTACTATTAATTACTGAGTTATGATAATGGTCTTCGGATCAGTAAGAAAATGTTTCAATTTCTCAGAGATGCATGTGGAAATATTTAGGGGTAAAATGTCATGAAGTCTATATTTACCTCCAAATACTTCAGATATGTATTTACCTTGAAATGCTTCAGTGCTCATGTTTTGCAGTACTGACTTGGGAACCATGTAAATGTTTTGCATAATTATAAAAACAAAATTACATTTAAAAATGCAAAACAACTGAAATTGTAAATGAAATAAATGAACCCAACTGTAGGTCAGGTTGACATAGAAAAGGATTATTTTAAGTGACTTTTATGAAACCCAGTATTTTGACTGCAAATATTGGATATTTGGACAAAAACCAGAAAAGAAATTTTAAAATGAATTCAGTATTGCTACTAATAATATTGGTATTGTTACTTTAACAGCATTAACAAACTTATTCTATCTGTCTAAAACGCATACAATGCAATGCAAATAATTGCTAATGTAATCAGGAACTAAGATTGTTCAGCATAAGATAAATGGGATACAAAAATTAAAATCAAAGAAATAAAAACTCTGAAATCTTAAAAATTAATTGAAAACAGTTAATTTTTCAACTTCATTTTTCTCTTAAAAAGCTCATATTCCCTAGCTTTGTACTTTTAAAGAACTATAGGCACTGAAAACACAGGGCAGTGAGCACTCTTGGTGTCTAGTTTAGTGGTCTCTTAATGCCATTTCCCATTAAAATGAACCAAGGCCTAGCGGGGTGCGGTGCCTCGTGCCTGTAATCCCAGCACTTTCGGAAGCTGAGGTAGGCAGATAACTTGAGGTCAGGAGTTCAAGACCAGCCTGGCTAACATGGTGAAACCCTGTCTACTAAAAATGCAAAAGAGGCTGGGTGCAGTGGCTCATGCCTGTAATCCTAGCAATTTGGGAGGCTAAGACAGGCGGATTACCTGAGGTCAGGAGTTTGAGACCAGCCTGGCCAACATGGGGAAACCCCGTCTCTACTGAAAATACAAAAATTAGCCAGATGTGGTGGCGTGTGCCTGTAATCCCAGCTACTCGGGAGGCTGAGGCAGGAGAACTGCTTGAACCCAGGAGGCGGAGGTTGCAATGAGCCAAGATCGTGCCACTGCACTCCAGCCTGGGCGACAGAGTGAGACTCTGTCTCAAAAAAAAAAAAAAGCGAAAGAATTAGCCAGGCATGGTGGTGCATGCCTTAACCCCAGCCACTCAGGAGGCTGAGGCAGGAGAATCGCTTGAACCCAGGAGGCGGAGGTTGCGGTGAGCTGAGATCACACCACTGCACTCCAGCCTGGATGACAGAATGAGACTTGGTCTCAAAAGAAAAGGAAAAGCAAAGGAAAAAGAAAAGAACCAAGGCCCCTGAAGAGACTGTGGATTCTACGCAGGAAATATACAAGATGAGCTAGAAGATCTTAAAGAAGGAAACCAACAGAGCCTACTGCGGTCATGTCCAAAGGACATAAGAGCTAAGAAAAAAGAGTGTCACTGTTCAACAACAGGATCATTTCAGCCTTGAAAAGTATAACTGCAATGTAAACAGGTACAATATTAAAAGTCCACTAGTTTGAGTAATACTGAAAATAAAACACATCACCTTGGGAGACTGCTAGGGCAACAATTAATTGTTTTGAAAATAGGTGAGTAATGGCAGTGAATCCAGTGTTTTGTCTAATTTTCCCACATAGTTTTTATTTGAAGGTGACCAAGCAAAAGAACTAATAACTGCAGAAAAATAATAGAATTAGAAAACAACGATTTTTCAACCACTAATTAAACAATGGCTCTGAAATGATTTATAACAGACGGGTTCACTGACAATCTGGACACACGAAGAGAGAGCAACAGGCATGAAGTGCACAGCATCACTGATGAAGTTTCCTTTGCCAAAAACGGAATCTGAGTCTGATCGAGTTTTTTTTTTTTTTTTTTTGAGACAGAGTCTCACTCTGTCGCCAGGCTTGAGTGCAGTGGCGCAATCTCAGCTCACTGAAAACTCTGCTTCCTGGGTTCAAGCGATTTCCCTGCCTCAGCCTCCCAAGTAGCTGGGACTACAGGCATGCGCCGCCATGCCCGGCTAATTTTTTGTATTTTAGTAGAGATGGGGTTTCACCATGTTGGCCAGGATGGTCTTGATCTCCTGACCTCGTAATCTGCCCACCCAAGAGTGCTGGGATCACAGGTGTGAACCACCACTCCCGGCGTCTAATGAAGTTTTTAGATATAACTATTAATTTACAGAAAATGTAGGGGACAATGGAATACTTAAGCAACATCATAGGATACAATTAGGCAATGCCAGACTGTATAGTAAGATCTACAGGACAAACAACCTTTTTTTTTTTTTTTTAACAAAGCCAAGAAAACAAAAAGGGGAAGGGAAAATTGTTAAAGACCGAGACACCTAAGAGACACAGCAACCAGGTGCGGTGTGTAGGCCTTGTTTGGATCCTAAATAAAAATAAACCAACTATAAAAAAGAATTTATAGGAAAATCATGGAATTGGAATACTGATATTAGATACTATAAAAGAATTCTTCCTGTTTAAGGTGTGATAAGAATGATTTCTTAGAGGCACATACTAATTATTGAGGAATAAAGGGGATCTTTGGGTTTGCTTTATTAAAAAAACAAAACAAAACAAAACACCATCTCTGTCGCCTGGCTAGAGTGCAGTGGTTCAAGCACAGCTCACTGTAATCTCAAACTCCTGAGCTCAAGCGATCTCCCTGCCTCAGCCTCCCTAGTAGCTAGGGCTACAGGTGTGCACCACCACACCCAGCTAATTAAAAAAACTTTTTTATGGAGACAGGGTTTGCTATGTTGTCCGGGCTGATCTCCAATTCCTGGCCTCAAGTGATCCTCCTGCCCCCTGGCTTCCCAAAGTGCTAGTATTACATATACTCTTTTCTTGACCTTGGAAATGAATCTACTGCCATGCCCTGCCAGATTTGCTTTAAGTAATCAAGTGGGACAGAATGGGAGGACCAAATAAAACAGAATTGGCCATATACTGACAACAGTGCAAAATGGATAATAGATATACAGGGACACATTCTACTATTCTTTCTCATTTTGTGTATATTTGTAATTATCCACAATAAAAGGTTTTTTTTTTCCCAAAAATGTCTCAGAAAAATTAACTAAAAAAGATGAACACAAATACGTATGATAAGATTGTGAACTGTCAAATTCTAGGTGATGAGAATATGGATGCTTATACTTTCTAGTGTTTGAAAATATTCACAATAGTAAGCAGAGCTTTTTTTTTTCTTGATATGGAGTCTCAGTCTGTCGCCCAGGCTGGACTGCAGTGGCGTGATCTTGGCTCACTGCAGCTTCCGCCTCCTGGGTTCAAGTGATTCTCCTGCCTCAGCCTCCTGAGTATCTGGGACTACAGGCATGTACCACCACACCTGGCTAATTTTTGTATTTTTAGTAGAGACAGGGTTTCCCCATGTTGCCAAGGCTGGTCTTGAACTCCTGACTTCAAGTGATCTGCCTGTCTCAGCCTCCACTAAGGTATAAGCCTTTTTTTTTGGTTTGGTTTGGTTTGGTTTTTTTGAGACAGGGTCTTGCTCTGTTACCCAGGCTGGAATGCAATGGCACAATCTCAGCTCAATGCAGCCTTGACTTCCCTGGCTCAAGTGATCCTCCCCACTCAGCCTCCTCAGTAGCTGGGACTACAGACAAATGACACCAGACGCCTGGCTAATTTTTATATTTTTTTGTAGAGATGGGGTTTCGCCATGTTGCCCAGGCTGGTCTCAAACTCTGCGGCTTACAGGTGTGAGCCACCCCAACTGGAGTTAGTAAGCAGAATTTTATTTTATTATTTTTTTTCAAGATGGAGTCTCACTCTGTCACTCAGGCTGGAGTACAGTGGCACGATCTCAGCTCACTGCAACCTCCTCATCCCAGGCTCAAGCGATTCTCCCACCTCAGTCTCCCTAGTATCTGGGATTAGAGGCGTGCGCCACCATGCCCAGCTAATTTTTGTAAATAAGCAGAATTTTAAAAGCACTTAAGGCAGGAGTATCCAATCTTTTGGCTTCCCTGGGCCACACTGGAAGAAGAAGAATTGTCTTGGGCCACACATAAAATACACTAACACAAACGATAGCTGAAGAGCTTAAAAAAAATTGCAAAAAAATCTCATAATGTTTTAAGAAAGTTTACGAATTTGCTTTGGGCCACACTGAAAGCTGTCCTAGGCCGCATGTGGCC
Organism: Homo sapiens; assembly: GCF_000001405.40. Lineage (NCBI taxonomy): Eukaryota > Metazoa > Chordata > Mammalia > Primates > Hominidae > Homo > Homo sapiens. Next base: position 59,255,796 of record NC_000015.10, read on the forward strand.
CATGGCCTGCAGCCCACAGGTTGGACAAGCTTGACTTAAACCCAGCCAGGATTCAGAGCCATGTCAGACTAGAGGGATTATGAAATGTGGCTACAGACACCTAATGCTGGCAATTACCAGTAATCTTCCCCCAAATTCAATGCAAATGACAAAGTTCACCAAAAATGTTCAAACATGAACTACTAAATTATGAAGGGAATGAAAAAATAGGGACCTACAGAAAAGGAATTCATCTGACTAAACAGTGAAAACATGTTTATTATACTTACTGCAATCCCATGGAAGCTCAAAAGTTTTATGATATGGAGCTCTATTATATAGAGTTATAAATAAAGCAAGATAAAGCAGCTAACCTGCTTGCTACTCAGACACATTAACCAGGCTGTGACATCAGTAGCTGTTGCAAAACCACTGCTTATCGACCGAAATCCATAACCACAGCATAGTCTCATATCTTCCACGCCCACTGATAAGGATCTTCTTCATACCTGATAATGACGCACTGGTTCTCTCTGTCAATGATCATGTTTCTGTACATATTATCTGCAAGGGCATAGATATGTGGTGGGTTTTCATACTGTGCCTAGAAAAGCAAAAAATAATAATACATAAATAATAATAAAAATTTAAAAATAAAAACAAAATCATGGTCAGATAGGCAATACACTCAATTTCTTTTCCTGAATTTGGAAACGAATCGTGCACTATAGTTCCAATGCCTATCATTACATCTTAAAGGTTGCATGATACAAGAATTCATAAAACTTCCTAGGTCATCAAGGTTACACCCTCACAAAATTAAGACGGAATTTGGAAGCAGTCTCCCGTAGGCATATCCATGATTCAGCCTTCCGGATGTGCCCCGTGTCTTTAGACACTCCAACACCCCACCCTTCCACCCATACACGCCTCTGCAGGTGACAGTCCATTTCTAAATGTTTCTGTAGACACTTGGGCAACAGGTCTTTGGAGAGGCCTGCCAAACACCTAGATCTGACTTCTACCAGAATTCTAAACTCTTACATAATTTTTTCTAAGAGGCCACGTTGTAGATTCTGGGGCCTCAGAGGGAATTAGGTGAGATTATCTATGGATCAGAAAAAATACTTAAATCTTTCCATAAGAAGAGGGCAAGAAGGTGTGGTTCTTTAAAGGGATAAGCTAGTTTGGCCAGTTTGTTTCATCTCTATTGGAAAAAAAAATCCTACCACGCTAAGATATTCTCCTGGGTTTGTGATTTCATCTTATGGGATATCTTAGCTATGCACAAATATCAAACTAAATACATTTTCCATGCTTAATAAATTATCAGGCTGACTTCAGCCCTGCTTTATACAATTTCTTGACACCTACCTTTACCACAACCTCAAAAATTACTAAAAAGAGAAATACTTTGTTGAGTATATATGGAGAAAGAACACTCCTAGCCTGTAATCACTCCAAGCTACTTGGTAGGCTGAGGCAGAAGAGTTGTTTAACCCTAGGACTTGGAGTCTAGTCTCCACACACACACACAAATTTAATTAGCTGGGTGTGGTAGCACATGCCTGCAGTCCTAGCTACTTGGGAGGCTGAGGTGGGAGGACAGCTTGAGTCCAGGAGTTGGAGGACGCAGTGAGCTACAATTGTGGGAATAATAGCGTCCAAGCTGCAAGTCTCACAGTGTAAATGACGGATGGGAAAGCAATTTGAAAAGACAGAGTGATATACAAAGGTGAAGCTTAACGTACTTAATCCATCTTTGGATTAATTTACTTAATCCATTTCATTGTGCAGTGACTTACTGTAGAAAAGGGGGCCTGGCTGAGAAGTTGCTGCTCACTGCCATGCTCTGGAAGATGAGAGTTTGGTGGGGAGGGGTTAGGATGAGGGGGCTTTGTATCCGATACCCAGTGTTCTTCCCATGCTGTAGGCAGGGGGCTCATAGGGGGAGCTACCCAGTGAGGGCTGCAAGCTATGCCTAGGACTGGTCACCTAAAGAACCCTATGCAGGAACCAGAATATGTGATCTCTGCCTTAACCTTATGGTTAGGAGTGGATACCTGGATAGGACCTCAGGATATGGTTTTAAATGGACTTCTAGTCCACAATAAGATTGTGCAGGATTATTATAATTATTATTTTAATTTAACAGAGTTTAACTGAGCAAAGAATGCTTCGTGAATAAGGCCGCCCTGGAACAAGAATAGATTCACAGAGCCTCCAGTGCTGCCATATGCCATAAGATTTTTGGGCAGAAAAAGGAAAGTGATATACAGAAAATGGAAGTGAGGGCTGGCCCTGGCTCAGGCCTGTAATCTCAGCACTTTGGGAGGCTGAGGTGGGAGGATCACTTGAGGTCAGGAGTCCGAGACCAGTCTGGCCAACGTGGCAAAACCCAGTATCTACTAAAAACACAAAAATTAGCCAGGCGTGTTGGCAGATGCCTGTAATCCCAGCTACTCAGGAGGCTGAGGCAGGAGAATTGCTTGAATCCAGGAGGTGGAGGTTGCAGTGAGCTGAGATTGCAGTATTGCACTCCAGTCTGGTGAAGAGCGAGACTCCGTCTCAAAACAAAACAAACAAACAAAAAAATATATATCTAGAAAATGGAAGTGAGGTACAGAAACAGCCAGATTAGTTACAGATTAGTTTAGAATTTGCCTTATTTGAACACAGTTTGAATAGTTGGCCACCTTTGATTGGCCAAAACTCAGTGACTGGCAGAAAAGTAGGTTATAGTTTGTTTATACATCTGGTTAGGCTACAGTTCACTGTGCACAGAGAAACATTTAGCGCTGGGTGTGATGGCTAATGCCTGTAATCCCAGCACTTTCTGAGGCAAGGCCAGAGGATCACTCGAACCCAGCAGTTCCAGATCAACCTGGGCAACATAGTGAGACCTCCTCTCTACAAAAAAGAAACAAAATTAGCTGGACATGGTGGTGTGTGCCTGTAGTCCCAGCTATTTGCTTGGGAAGCTGCGGTCGGGGGATCGCTTGAGTCCTGGAGGTGGAGGTTCCTGTGAGCCAAGATCACAGCACTGCGCTTCAGCATGGGTGACAGAGTGAGACTTTGTTTCAAAAGAAAAAAAAAAAAGAAGAAAACATTTAGATCCAACTTAAAATATGTAAGGAGGCAGCTTTAGGCTAAACTTAATTTAACAATTCCCCTCTCTTGTTTTTTTTTGTTTTTGTTTTTAAATAGAGACAGGGTCTCACCATGTTGCCCAGGCTGGTCTTGAACTCCTGGGCTCCAGTGATCCTCCCACCTTGGCTTCCCAATGTGCTGGGATTATAGGCATGAGCCACCATGCCCAGTCCAATTTCCCTCTTTTGGTCATCCTCTCAATTTTGAGACACTGACCAAAACTTTAGGCACTGATGTCACTCTGTCACCATTGTAAAAATGTACTTACTTGTTCTCAAATATCATTGAGAAATAACAGAACAGTAGGGTTTGTAAGATTGGAACAAAGACTCTAGGTTACTTTTTGTAAGGGTTAGAGTAGAGCGGACCTCCTCCTGCTGGCATCTCCTGGTCTGTTTCTTTAAAGTTTCGATTATGTCACATGTAACATGAGTGATTCCATGTTGGTTTGGTTTGGTCTGGTCTGTTAGGGGCTACTGCATGAGATCAGTCCAAAACAATGGACTCTCATAATTTTGTTTAAAAATTCCCCTCTTTAGGTCAGGTTCTCACTTAGGTGAGAGTGTCACCAAAACTTAGCCCTTAGCACCCCTCTCAGTTACCCTCATTTTGGGTTTCTGGTCTCAAGTGCACAAACAACATTAATGACTCTTTGAAAATGAGAAAGTAGAGGACTGTAAGAAAGACACGAAGATGGAAAATGGAAGGAAATGGAGTGAAAAGCAAGCTATGGGCAGTGGGGGAAAGTCATTGCCCAGTAAGGCTTCAACGCTGCTGAACTGTCATACTTGACCTTTGCATGTCACTCTATATTTTCCAAACTCGTTTCCTATCTGTGGTCTTACTGAACCTCTCAGCTATCTGTGACAAAACTATAGAGTGGGCATTTCCTTTACCTGATTCTTCCCTCCCCTGAGACTCTCAAAGTCATTAGGACCTGACTTCAACTCCTAGCTCCATCACTCAGTAGATTTTAGTACTTCATCTCTCTGAGCCTCAGTTTCCTCATCTGTGAAATGGAGATAGATGTTATGACACAGCCAGCATCCAGGGCTGTTTTATTATTGCTGCAAGTATAACATAGTACATGGCACTCAGTAAATACCAGTTTTACAATAATCTGTTACTATTAGCAGTAAAATTGAGCATATTTTTTAGAAATTCTACATTTCCTTAAAGAGAACACTTCAAAAGATAAATGGTCTAAAAGGGATGTGTATACAGCAACCCTTTTCAGAAAACTGGAGAGAAACACACATGCACAGCACTACCATCTACAGCGCCTTGGCTGTCATTGAGGACGCCAAGCCAGCTCTGTGCGCCTGCTGATCAGGGCACTAGGGCAGGGCCAGCCTCTGCTGACAGTGTTTCCCTTGTGCTGGGCTCCCATAAAGGCAGCATTATCAAAGGTCTTTCGCGTGGCAGCCTCCTTCGGCTCCAGCTACCAGCACCATTCATCTGGCAACAATGGGGTGGGCTCTTGCTCTGGGTAAATTGCCTTCCACTTCAACTGATGAATTTGTGTGGGCTCTCTTTTGTTTGCTTTTTAGGGGTCAGGATTAATGAATACTCTTGTGCTTCTGCTGCAGTGGGAAGGAAAAGGAAAGGAAAAAGATGCAGAGATGGGGAGGCCTGGGGAAGTGATGAACCACAGAATAAAATATATTAAGGAGAATTACAGCTTCCATTTTTACTATACAACTGAAATGGCTATGGAGCTGATTATGAATAGGAACCAGGGTCAAATTAATAAATGAAGTAATACAAGATTCATTTTTCATGTTGAAGTCATAGTCATAGTTTAACAATGGTTCTGATTCTGCAAATCAGTACCCATTGCTCTATTTTTTTACCCATAACTGATTTTTATTCCTTAGATTTTTGTGGCATATATGGAAGCAGGAAGATCCCTAAGCTGTAGGTCCTACATCCTATTTAACTAATTTTCTATGCAAATAAGGCTCAAATATTAGACAGTCCTAAGCTTTTTTGAGCTCTGCTCTAAAAAGCAGATCATTGGCCAGGCGTGGTGGCTCACCAGCACTTTGGGAGGCTGAGGCAGGTGGATCACCTGAGGTCAGGCGTTCAAGACTAGCCTGACCAACATGGTGAAATACCGTCTCTACTAAAAATACAAAATTAGCCAGGTGTGGTGGTGCATGCCTGTAATCTCAGCTACTTGGGAGGCTGAGGCAGGAGAATTGTTTGAACCCGGAAGGCGGAGGTTGCAGTGAGCGGAGATCATGCCCAGCCTGGGCAACAAGAGCAAAATTCTGTCTCAAAAAAAATAATAATAATAAAATAAAAATAAAATAATAAAAATTAAAAAATAAAAATAAAAAGCAGATCATTAAAAATCAAACAATGTCACTCAAGTTTCTCCAATAAAAAATTCATAATAGAAAAGTGCAAAAGTACTGCTAACTTCAAGAAAAACCATGTCTGCATCATAAAAGCCCTAAATAAGGCAGTAATTTATGTGACACGTAACTTACCGCTCCTTGGTACATTTCAATTTCCTTTTCCCCAAAATATGGCATCTGCTTGAAAGGGTTGACTGAGATTAATACAGATCCTATATATGTCTGAATTTAACTCAGTTAAGGTCCATCATTAATATTCATAGCTACACATTTTTCAAATTAAGTAACCAGATGTTATCAAGAATTCACAATGACTGTCCAAGTGGAAAGTTTGTGTACTTGTTTTCTAAAAGATTACAAGTAAAGACGAAAGCAATCATCCAACTAGCACAGGCTTTATTCCTCCTAAGGAAGAGTAATAAATTACCAAGGTGCTACAAAATGAAATCATTATTTTAAATGAACTAAAGCACATTCTTTCAAGATGGGTGACACGTACAGCAAGGAGAAAAGAAAACAAAGGAAAAATGGCCAAAGAGTGAAAAAAGCAGTTATCAGTCCTCCCCTCAAATGATATGCATTTTTTCCTTTGAACTTTCGTATCCGTTAGGTACACTAAAAACATATTCATCAGCCGGGCGTGATGGCTCATGCCTGTAATCCCAGCACTTTGGGAGGCTGAGGTGGGGAGATCATTTGAGGTCAGGAGCTCGAGACTAGCCTGGCCGACATGGTGAAACTCCGTCTCTACTAAAAATACAAAAATTAGCCAGCTGTGGTGGCACACGCCTGTAGTCCCTGCTACTGTACTCAGGAGGCTGAGGCAGGAGAATCGTCTGAACCCATGAGGCGGAGGTTGCAGTGAGCCAAGATCATGTCACTGCACTCCAGCCTGGGCAACATAGTGAGACTCTTGTCTCCAAAAAAAAAATAAAAAAAAATATTCATCTACTTATTTAACAAATACAGGGATACAAGATGAACTAACAGCTCTGTTCTCCAGAAGCTTAGAGGAATTAAAAGGCATCAATGAGGTAATTTTCTGGCCAGGTGCAGTGGCTCATGCCTGTCTGTACTCCCAGCATGTTAGAAGGCCAAGGGGGTGGATCGCTTTAGGCCAGGAGTTTGAGGCCGGCCTGGGCAACATAGCAAAACTCCATCTCTAAAAAAACAAAAACAAAAACAAAAACATTAGCCAGGCATGGGGGCGTGTGCCTGCAGTCCCAGCTACTGGGCAGGCTGAGGCGGGAGGATTGCTTGAGGCCAGGAGTCGGAGGTTGCAGTGAGCCCAGATCAGAGGTTACAGCAAGCCAAGATCACGTCACCGCATTCCAGCCTGGGTGACAGAAAGAGACCTTGTCTCAAAATAACAGTAATAATCATAAATAAGGTAGTTTTCAGAGAAGAAAATTATAAACCCACCTACATCAGGTTTAGGGAAAGAAGGTATTATTTCTGCTTGGGGAATACAAGATGGCCTCTCAGAGAGGCTATGCTTATGCTGGGCCTTAAAAATTTTACACATTTTAATATATGAAAATAAATGAAGACTTATGATCACATGAAAAATATTTCCAATTATTCATTCAACAATCAACTAATTTGAATTGGGTGCTTACTTAACATGCCAGGCACTGTTTTAGATGCTCGGGATATGACAGTGAACAAAATAAATAGAATATATATAACTTCTTGACTTCATGGAGAGAATAAATATAACTTCTTGACTTCATGGAGAAAAAAAATCTAAACAACACACAGAGACATTCAAAACTGTTTCTTTCAATGATCAATTTCAAGGTGTTTAGAAATTTTACAAATAAATTGTTAAACAGAAAGTTATTTACAAATATATAGTTTTAGATAAAGACTTAAAACTATGAGATTTCCTCCCACAGGAGAACATTTTTATATTTACATATTAAGACCTGTGTACCATGAAAACCAGCCCAGGTGTTCAGTCAGATTGGCTGGTGCTGATGGAGATAAAATAGGACCTACCTGATAGTCTCATTTTACTTAAATAAAATAATTATAGAACACTCAGCACTGTGAGCACAGCACATAGTAATGGCTTTTCCTTAATTAATATCCTCTAAGGCACATGTTTTATCATGTAATATCTCAAATCATGATGCATGTTTCAAGTGTGGCTTAACATGCCAGGTGCTGTTTTAGAGGCAATGGTTTGTTAGTTTCTATTAGACACAGTGTTATTACTACTTAATACAAATCAATGTGAGATGGATCATATAATCATATAATTTTTTTAAAGATAATATTTTAGATTATTGTGCATATACAAAGGTAAGCATGCAGAATGACATGATTATGCTTTTACTTCTCTTTGTCACTGACCAGAAAGATCTTCATACTTGAAGGGGTGGAACATGAATTGCTATTAGGGAAGATGAAGTGGTTTTAAGACCACTTCAGCAGTGCCCAGTTCTGGTCTAAGGGCAGGCCATAGTGCTAAGAGAAAATGCTGATGAGACAGTGATTGAGCCATAACTGAAAATTACTGAAGAGTTATGGAAGAAGGGCCATGGAAAATGTATTCCCAATTGCCAAAGTCAGATGAGGCCAATGATAGATTAGTGAAAATTTAGGACACATACATGTACTGTTAAAATTATCAAGCAGGTAAGACGTCCATGATGCCGTAGCCAAGACTCAATAAGGCGTCATAAAATTAATTAAACACATATACATTTACATCTTAGCACCAAATAACAACCTATTTGACTTCAGGTTGACTGTCCCTTATCCAAAATGCTTTTTGCAGATTGTGCTTTTTTTCATATTTTGGAACGTTTGCATTACACTCACCACCAGTTCAGCATCCCTAACCCAAAAATCCAAAATCGAAATGCTCTGAAGAGCATCGTGTCGATTATCAAAACATTTCAAACTTTGCAGCATTTCAAATTTGGAATTTTCAGATTAAGGATACTCAGCCTGTACAGGGAAACTGAGGCACGGAGAAATTTTTAAAAGTTGCTTAAGGTCACACACTATAAGTGGCAGAGCTAGGATTCAAACTCAGGCAGTCTGGATCCCACGCCCATACTCTTAATCAAAAGCTAGAATGTCTAAGATAAGCAGGTACTGTTGCGTTAATATTATTACTGGTAGCCAGATTTAGCAAATAAAAACACAGAAAACTAGTTAAATTGGAAAGTCATTCAAACAAGAATTTTTTTAAGTATGTTCCAAATAAGTATGTTCCCCAGTAATATTTGGTACATACTTATAGTAAAAAGTAACTTGTTGTTTATCTGAAATTCAAACTTAACCAGCAGTCCTGAATTTTATCTGGCAACCCTAAATTGGCAGCCTCTTCTAACTTAGATTCTCTGATGCTTTGCATACTCGAAAACCTAATTCCCTTAGGTGGATTTTTAAAGTATCTTTTCTAATTGGTAAGGACCTAATCAAAATTGAATGAACGAGCAGGTTGTGGTGGCTCAAGCCTGTAGTCCTAGCACTTCGGGAGAATAAGGTGGGTGGACCCCTTGAGCTCAGGAGTTCGAAACCAGCCTGGGCAATCTAGTGAGACCTCATCTCTACAAAAAATTTTTTTAAAATTAGCCAAGCATGTTGGTTGGTACGTGCCTGTAGTTCCTGCTGAGGTGGGAGGATTGCTTAAGCCAAGCAGGTCGAGGTTGCAGTGAGCCATGATCATGCCACTGCACTCCAGCCTGGGCAACAGAGCCAGACCCTGGCTCCCAAAAAAGAAAACAAACAAACAATTAATGAATGAAGTAATAATGATTCTTATGGTAAACCCAATTTTAAAGAAACACAGCACTGCTAGAACCATCTTCACTTCAGAAGAGGAAGATGTTTATTTCATGTCTACATCTATCCCCAGGGAAAAACAAACAGGCAAATAAGCTCCTTCCATGGAGGAGGGTACTTGTTCCCTTAGTTGTAAAGGGAATGTGGTTACTGCCGCCTTGTCCTAGACAAATTGATCACTGCACACAAAGAATAAAGGGCTGCCCTCAGGACAACAGACAAAGGTACCACCTCCCCACCAATCCCTTGGTTACTCAATAAATATGAATTCAGTTGCATATGAGCTCCTAAAGTGACCAACATTTTAAAAACTGTTAATTTGCTATATAAAGAGATATCTCATTAAGTCTTGATTTTTCACCAAGTAGATTACATAAATTCTGATTAGGGCCTGGTTAAGGAGATATTCAGGAAAAAAAACAAAAACAAAAATTTATTTTGGACTATTCTAGGCCAATCGTGAATCAATGACTCAGGTCAGAATGAAATGAAGAGGGAAATTTGTACCTGCTCCCTAAATTTATCAGTAGGGTTCTTGGGGATAATACTATTTGGGAAGACACCTAAAAAATAAAGTTTGGTTTAAAATGGCTGTTTCTGGTTGGGTGCTATAATCACAACACTGTGGGAGGACAAGTGGGATGATTGCTTGAGTCCAGGAGTTCGAGACCAGCCTGGGCAATATACTGAGACCCCATCTCCTTAAAAAAAAAAAAAAAAAAAAAAAAAATTGCCAGGCATGGTGGTCTTCACATGTAGTCCCAGCTACTTGGGAGGCTGAGGTGGGAGGATCACTTAGGCCTGGGAAGGCAAGGCTGCAGCGAACTGTGATCACACCATTGCTCTCCAGCTTAGGTGACAGAGCAAATAAAATAAAATAAAAAATTTAAAAAAAAGTCTCAAAAAATAAAATGGCTGTTTCTACAGAAAAACTAAGGAGAATTTAATTGATTTAAAGAAAATAAACATATCGTAGTTATTTCCGGTGAGAGTTTGGAATAATTGTTTATCTAAACAATTCTCACCTTTTCCACCTTGCTATGTCTGCAGAGACCTTAGCTATTTTCCGGACACCTGTGCTCTCCTGCTGCTTTGGGAACTCCAGGTAATTCCAACAATGCTCACTCCCACTCCTGTTGCATAATTCAGGTGTGCCTCTGGGAAAAGCCGTTCGGATCATTGTCTTTACCCACATAATCCTTGGTGGTGAAGGTGTGGCCTAAGGTTAATTTTCAAACTGCATAAAGATATGAAGCTATGATACCAAAAAACAGAAGGAAAAAAATGCCAATTATTTAAAAGACTCTGGGAGACAGAAGAAACCCAAGATATCTTTAACTGATGGGTTCCCAAATGCCTGCCCGTGGATCTATCAGTTTTCATTGACCTGCAGCAAGAATGACAAAAAAACAAACAATGCACTGAATTTTTCATAAAGCTTAATTTATTCAAAATAAAGAAACTGTCCTTTATTCTTAGATTATGTCCTTCCTACGTTTTTGGTGTAAAAATATTTTCTTTTATGAAATGTGATGGCAGTACAACTTTCAAATTTTGTTTTTTGTTTTGCTGTTCTTTTTTTTTTTTTTTTTGAGACGGAGTCTCAGTCTGTCACCCGGATGGAGTGCAGTGGTGTGATATTGGCTCATTGCAAGCTCCGCCTCCCAGGTTCACACCATTCTCCTGCCTCAGCCTGCGGAGTAGCTGGGACTACAGGCACCCGCCACCACGCCCGGCTAATTTTTTACATTTTTAGTAGAGACGGAGTTTCACCTTGTTAGCCAGGATGATCTCGATCTCCTGACCTTGTGATCCGCCCGCCTTGGCCTCCCAAAGTGCTAGGATTACAGGCGTGAGCCACCGTGCCCAGCCTCAAATGTTTGTTTTTAATAGTCTTATTAGGCAATGCTAAGAGTTGAACTTTTAAAATCTTTTTTTTTTTTTTTTTTTTTTTTTGAGGTGGAGTCTTGCTCTGTCACCAGGCCGGAGTGCAGTGGTGCAATCTCGGCTCACTGCAACCTCCGCCTCCCGGGTTCAAGCAATTCTCCTGCCTCAGCCTCCCGAGTAGCCGGGACTACAGGCATGCGCCACTACGCCCGGCTAATTTTTGTATTTATAGTAGAGACGGGGTTTTCACCATGTTGGCCAAGATGGTCTCAATCTCCTGACCTCATGATCCACCTGCCTCAGCCTCCCAAAGTGCTGGGATTACAGGCATGAGCCACTGTGCCCAGCCGGTTAAAATCTATTTGAATAGTCAGTGAATTTCCCAAAACCACCTACGCTGGTCGAGTGGACTTCCTTGGGTTCATCCCTGAGGTGGCACAGGGAGGTGAGTTGACTTCCCCAGAGTCACGTGGAGAGTGGGTGGCCTGGAACTCGAAGCTTTGGCTCCAGCCCGGCATCTGTCTTGCTATATAGCATGCTGCCCCTCCAGTGAACTGGATGCCAAGGGCCAGACCTCACTCGGAACAACTACGCTGCTTTGAAATCTAGTGGGTCTGGCACGAAAATCTGGACTCCTAATTCAAGGATTAAAAATGCCAAACACACCTGAGTGTGGTCTTTGAGTAAAAACAAGTTTGGAGAAAGTTGGACCGAATGAGCACAGAGTGCTTTGCGCAGGAACTCTTTTCGTCGGCCAAGTGGTCAGAAGTGCTCTCTCCCTATGCACAATAGACAACACTGTAATGTTTTCCTCATAGATCTTACAATGTAATTGTAAAAAGTGTGGCAACATTGATGACAAACAGATGGCAAATTAAACCTTGTCATAGGACAAATAACTCAAAAATAGGGAGTTTTATTGGTAAACGATGTCAGCATTTTCTAAGTGGATTTTTTTTTCCTAATGTAGAAGAAATGTGCATTCAGCCTGAATGCATTAACAATCGATCGCCCCAAATGCTGACTTTCAACACAAGACAATGTGCAGGAATTAGATATAGAAGGGATAAAGTGAGCAATTTTATAACTCAATGTGAAATCAAGTCTCTTCTCGTCTTAACAATTAAACATAGGAGAGGAAAAAACCCAACTCTTACTTACAGTAATGCCATTCTATTATAATATTCCCTTAACATTGAAGTGTTAAAGGATGCTTTTACCACTTAGCAGAGGAAGACTTGCAGCAGAGCCCCTGTATTATTTCACAAACATCCATCAAGCTCCCTCAAAGCTGAAAGCTACTCTGTGCTAATGATAGAAAGCACATTTATGCTGGGCTTCCCATATATTCAGTGGGTAGAGATTTCTAAAACATAAAGTCATTAGTGGTCAAGTAACTCATTTCCTTGGTAGAACACACGATTAGTCAGTCATCGATTCAAAGGCATTAATTCAAAGGCGCATAAACAGCCCTCTCTGTGTGAGTCATTTAAAAATTCTGTTGTCTGAATTTAAAAAGCAAGTCTTAACAGTCAACAAATTGTCAATGAATACTTAATACAATGCACCATGCCAAAAATTATGCAGAAAACCAAGAAATACATGAGGCAGGATGATGCCATTTTTGTTAAAATTAACAAGAAAGCACACATATATGCATGGCCATATGTGGTTAAACTGAAAGCTCTACACCAAGAGATTAATAAGAACTAACCTTTGGTGATGGGTTCTGGGTGACTTTGGTATTTTTTTTTTTTTTTTTTTTTGCTTCACTGCATGGTATGAGCCATGTTAAATGAACCTACATTGCTCTAAAGGGTTTTTATATGCTGCTTTTTGAAGAAGATATATAAGACATAGTCCCTGCTTCTGGTGTTTTGGGAGTAAACAATCGTGATTGGGAGGAGTGAGGCCGCCTGGAGTTATGAAGGACTGACTACGGACATCATTTGTTTGTTTTTATACTCAGCTTACCAAAAAACCGTATTTCCATCTTTATAATGCAGTAAGTCCAGCCCACATTCCAAGAACATTTCAAAATATAATTTGTACAACTACTACATTCAGCGGAAATGAAGACTTCTATGGGCTTGTCAATACTCCATTTATAACGGTTTCTGTGGCAAAATGCATTTTAATTTCCAATAAACAAGTTTACAGTGGAATTTTTGGAAAATAACTCGGAAATATGGGAAGCACTTACACACCTGCATGGTAATAATGACTCATACTTACTGTTTACTTGCTGCATTCTTTATTTGGTTTCACCCTACAACAGCCTTATGTGGGAGATTTTATTATTACTCCCATTTTACAGGTACGGAAAGCAAGGCACAGAGGTCACAAAACGTTTCGGTCACCAAATCTATGCAGAGCAAGGTTTGAAGCCAGACAGTCCAGATCCACATCCTGCCACCCAGCTCCTTCTAATCAATTAACTGCCAGTTTTCATGTGCTGTGGGTGCTGCACGTAAAAGTGATTAACATTTTTTGACGGTGTTAAGTCCGGATAAAGTAAGCATATTTCAGTATTTTGACCAAATAAAATAAAAACCTGCAACTGAACATAACTGTTTTTGTACAATTCAATTAAATGAAGCTGCTGGGCGCAGTGGCTCACGCCTGTAATCCCAGCACTTTGGGAGGCTGAGGTGGACAGATCATGAGGTGAAGAGATTGAGACCATCCCGGCCAACATGGTGAATGAAACCCCACCTCTACTAAAAATACAAAAATTAGCTGGGCGTGGTGGTGCACACCTGTAGTCCCAGCTACTCGGGAGGCTGAGGAAGGAGTGAATCTGGGAGGCGAAGGTTGCAGTGAGCCAAGATTTCGCCAACTGCACTTCAGCCTGGCGAGAGAGCAAGACTCCATCTCAAAAAAAAAAAAGGAAGCCCTGCACAGGTATCTGGAGCAGAAGTCAGCAAATTTTTTTCTGCAAAGGGCCAGAAAGTAAATATTTGAGACTTTGCAGAGAGTCTGTTACAACTACTTAGCTCTGCCACCATAGTGTGAAAACAACCCTAAACAATAACTAAACAAATGAGCATGGCTGTGTTCCAACAAAACTGCTGTCCAAAAAATGGTGGTAAGTAAGATTTTGTCTGTCAGCCATAGGTCACCACCCTGATCCAGAAGTTATATAAGTAAATAATAACGTAATGTATATTTCAAAATTGTGGAGTATAGATTTTAAATGTTTGCACCACACACAATAAGTATGTGAAGTGATGGATATGTTAATTAGCTTGATTTTATTATTCCAAAATGTATATACATATTAAAACATCACATTGCCAGGCGCAGTGGCTCATACGTGTAGTCCTAGCACTTTGGAAGGCCGAGGCAGGTGGGTTGCTTGAGCTCAAGAGTTTGAGACCAGCCTGGGCAACATGGTGAAACCCTACCTCTACAAAAAATCAGCCAGGCATCGTGGTGTCTGCCTGTAGTCCAGCTACTTGGGAGGCTGAGGTGGGAAGATCACCTGAGCCGGGGAGGCGGAGGTTGCAGTGAGCTGGGATCGTGCCACTGCACTCCAGCCTGGGTGACAGAGGGAGACCCTGTCTTAAAAAAAAAAAAAAAAAGAAAAGAAAAAAGAAAAAAAAATCACATTATATCCCACAACTATATACAATTACTATTTGTCATTTAAAAATACAATAAATTCACTTTTTTTTTTTGGAGACAGAGTCTTGCTCTGTCACCCAGGCTGAAGTGCAGTGGTGCGATTTTGGCTTGCTGCAATCTCTGCCTCCCAAACTTAAGCAATTCTCCTGCCTCAACCTCCCAAGTTACAAGTTATGCCTTGTAACTGGGATTACAAGGCATATGCCACCATACCCCGCTAATTTTGCATTTTTAGTAGAGGTAGGGTTTCACCATGTTGGCCAGCCTGGTCTCAAACTCCTGACCTCAAGTGATCCACCCGCCTCTGCCTCCCAAAGTGCTATAAAAAGAAAATAAATGTTTTAAATGATGCAATTATAATGTAGCCAATAAATCCAACTATATCTGTTAATCCTTGAAAACAGAGGTTCAGAGGTTTAACTACAGATATTGGTAAAATTCCCTTATAGTAAATAAGAAACAGCAGAGTACTGGTCAGAATGGTCCAAATGCCTTGGAATAATGCTGTTAATTATTTAACAGTATTGTTTGTTAAATACCTGATAAGTTGAACCCGACCCCCCACGACTTACCAGTGATGGGATAGGCAGCCGCTGCAAAAGTTATTACTGCAAAGGTTCCCGTGCTTTTAGCTAATAGTCAAAAAACCAGTTTAAGTAATCATAATAAGCCACTGATGTGAAAACTATTCTTCCCCAAGCTTTTTGGGTAAAAATCTAAGATGTATATTACATCAGAAGCAAAGACTCCACTTTTTAATAAGTCATCCATGATACCATACTTTCAGAAGGCACTATTGGCATCAAAGTTAAACTTTTTGGTACTATTATATAGATTTGACACAGAGTTTTGCATGTCCATGACTAACTCTCACAATAGTTCCACCAGGATATCTTTACATAGTTGCATCAAACAAAATTCCTATAGAACTTAAGCAAATATCACAGTTCCCTGTTGATAATGAAGTCAACCCATATTTGAATCAAATTTCCATTCTGCATTTTTTAAAGCCCCATAAAAAATGGCATCCGGCAAGCTAAAATTGAAACATAAAGAACAACTGAAGAACGTCAAGCATTTTCAATAGTCCATCTTCACTTCTCACATTTCCTTTAGTAAACATTAAAATGCAGAAAAACTGGCAACATTTTTAAGTCTTTTAAGTGCAGACTCAAATGTCTCTGCTTTGCAGTCAGGATGCATTATTGATAGAACTCTTTGCAAACCAGGACTTCCTCTAGGAAGAGCAGAGGTTTCAGATACCACGTGCATGACTAGAGCATGTCAAAGGGACGATATTATAGATTAAAGTAGATGAATACTGGCTGCATCTTTACTTTGTGAAATGCCAGGAGAATAACCGGGCATCATCTTTGCCCTTTGCACAGCCTGAACCAAGTGATATAAACATACAAAACCTCATTCTGAAACGGTGAAAACAATGTGAGCACACAGCATCTGTTCGGACTTTCAGATAGCTCTTCTCAAGCCAGGAATAAAGCCACAAGTTCAGTTTTTATTTTTATTTTTTATAATAGAGATGGGGTCTCCCTGTGTTGCCAGGATGGTCTGGAACTCCTGCCTTAGCCTTCCAAAGTGCTGGGATTACACACGTGAGCCACTGCACCCAGCATAAAGCCACAATTTAACTGTGGACACTGTAATATCACTTAGAAATGTCCAAAGCAGCCAATAAAGGATACAAAAATGTAGTCATCCATGTATCTCTTCTTCAGATTCTCCACGATGGAGTTCTCTGTGATCTTGGACAGTAGCACCATGTCGTCCACACCACTGTGCTTGACATTGTGGCTTTGCCAGTGGTACTGGTAGACACCTTTGCTTCCCTGGGAACATAAAACATACAATTACTAGGATAGTTTGTTTTCCCCTGTAGTAACAAAGACAAAATGCTGTTAATTTCCCAAATATTCTTAAAATAAAATGTAGCAGAAAGAGCAGTGCAGAGAAAGATTCTGCAATCAATAAGATGAGGATTCAAGTTCCAGCTTTGCTACCTACAGACTAAGTTAAGTGGGGAAAAGCTACCTAAGCTCATGTGTCCCTGAAGTGACACAAAGTGACTTCTCTTTTCTCATTTGTAAAATGGGAGACAGACCCATTTCACAACGCTGCTGTAAGGATTAAATAAAATAATATGTGTGAAGTGCTAAACAGTGTCAGGAATACAGCACAACACACGGTTGACAGTCTCGGATGAGACTATCCTTCAACCATACTGTTGTGTTGAATTTGTCGGTGAAAATAAGCAACGACATAGAAACTTTCTAGTCTTGTTTTGCAAACTACATGACAGAATCCAGAAATGGAAAGAATATGTATCACACAAAGGCTATGTCACACGGTCATAATTTCTCAAGTCATCTAAATTACTTTCCCTTCATAAACTTATCACTGTCATACGTGTAATACTGGCTTTCCATATTCAAAAGATAGGCTACATTTTTATGACTGATCACTGCTCCAATAACGAGGATGTGGACAGGACAGACGAAACGAGATCACGGAACATGCCCAGGAGGGGAAGGCCTCATCCCCGCATGGCCCCCTTGGGTAGATGAAGCTGTGGCCCTCATCTACGTCTGGGATTTTTCAGCTTCACACCAGGGGCGGCCTCTGAACACTCTGTGGGCTGCAGGGCTTCCTTTCATTTGGCATTTCTGTAGTGGGGTCCCCCATGTGTTCAGCTACGTGACAAGTTCTTATGGCACACTTGGGGAGCTTAAAGTCCTATGAAGACACCTAGATAATGATGGAACAAAGTGACTCATGAGCACTTGGGGAGCTGAGCACTTGGGCAGTTCAAAGTCCCTTGAAGGACACCTAGATAATGATGGAATAAAGTGATTCATGCGTCAATAACAGTCAACATAAACACACACAAAATGGGTGTTCCAGGAGTGGAGGTTAGGCCACTTTGTCCTGGGAGAGGCAGAAGAAATGACTTCCCAGAAAAGGAGCCATTTGAAGTAGGTCTAAGATATTTAGAATTTGCCGGAGGAGACCAGAGGAGGAAGGACATTCATTATAATCTATGCCGGAGGAGACCAGAGGAGGAAGGACATTCATTATAATCTACACTTATCAGCAAAAAAGCTAATAAATATGAAGTAATGGCAAATATTACATGACAATATTGGAAGATCCTCCCTTACCTTCAAATGCTTGCATTCTACTGGGAGTGTCGCCAGTGGGTAAGTGCAGTGGGCACTGCACTGGGTGAGACTCGCCCCTGCCCCCTCCCTGCTCACTGCTCGGGGGACTTCGAATGAAGAAGAGAAAAATTCTAAATAAGGGTATCTAGAAAGGCCAACTGCTCAGACATCAAAACTAGGATGAAAAAAGGGAAAAGGAGGCTTTTTGAGAGGAGAAGATGACAAGAAACAAGATGGAAGCCATTCCAAATTTTATTTTAAAAATTTATTAAATGGTTTACTTTTTTTTCGATGGGAAACACAGATCCTTTGCTAAGAGCAAGTTCTAAGAAGCTCTGGGAAAAGCCATCTTTTAAAATCAGCCAAGAAGGAGCTACCACAGGAAAAGTGTACAGTGTCATGGGCTCCTGCTCTGGAAAGGGATTCTGGAAGGCCTGCCACCCATGCTGTCTTGCAGAAGGAAACTCTCTATATCTGGCATTCTCAGAACCACATACAGCATCAATTCTACAAAATTACCTCAGACCTCACCACTCCTTCTTCCTCTTGTGGCAAAGCAGAAAGAGAAAAAAGCACTGGCCACAGCATGACTCACTAGATTTCCATTGAATGCCCATGGTCTACTTCCAGCCAGATAATTCCCAGTGATTCCTCCTCTCCTCACCTCCCCACCTTTTCCAGCTTTCTGGGCACCCACGGTTACTCTGCACAGAAAACTAGGGTCCCAGAGTAACCAACCTGCAGATTGGTTGGTTGGTTTTTAACCCCCATAGACATCTAAAAATGGAAGCAGAGTTGAATAAAACACAAGGGCTGTTAATAAGTACTTATTCAACTTCTATAAAGGACAAGAAACAGAGAAGCTCTGTGTCATGGTGCGTATGTTTGTATTGATCCGAAGAAACTGCCTTCCTAGCGTAACCCAAGTTTGTCTCAGTATCAAACCCATTGGTCTTTCTCTGTCTCACTGCACAGAGACACATTCCTGACTGCCCCACCTCAGAGGCTGTTTCCTCCTTTTTCTCATGGTAGTTATTTCCTAGCAGAAAAGCACTCACGGTAGAGTTCATTGATTCTCATAGTTCCAAGTATCACTCGATACTGAAGATTCCTAGCCCCAGTCTCTAATGCTCAAAGAGGACTCATTTTCCAGTCTGCTGTCTATATAACAAGGTGACAGTGGTTACAATATGCAAAGGAATTAGTTATTTGATTTGTGGAGGGTGTTCTACTTACTACTGCAAGCAATCCTAGGAGAGAGGGGTTAACATTCCCATGCCATATAGGAGGAAACTGAGATCTCCCGACTAGTAAGTAGCAAAAGCCAAGATGTGAACCGAAGATTCGATGACTATGGACGCATCCAAACGTGGTTTCTTCACAGTCTCATACATGAATGACTGACTTATTGGATATTTCTACCCGTTAAGTTTAACATGACAATGGAATGACAGACTGTCTCCAAAACCAAATGTATCATTAAAAAGACATACAATTTTTATTCATGACCACCTCCTCTTAGCATTAGAGACTAAAACACCAAAGTTATTTTTGATTTGATACGTTTTTTATATCCAATAGGTCACATATCAGTTTCTGTATCTCTCTCTCCCTCTCCCTCTCTCTCTTCCGCCCTCCCTCCCTGTCTCCCTTCCCTGTCTCTCCCTCCCTCTGCCAGGCAATTATAGTTACATATGTGAACTCATTCAACCTTCACAACCATCCCCCCATACTATGTATTACTATCTCTATTTTACTGCTGAAAAAACTGTAAACTGCCCAAGGTTTTCTAATGGTAACTTCTGTCTTTAGTGACCACTCCTCACTATGCATTTATTCTCCCCACTCCCCTAAAAACCCACCCAGATGAGGCAAAGGGAGAGAGTAAAGAACCTGGAGGTGGGAGCAACTCAGAGCCTTTGGGAGAACCTGACCTGCCCAGATCGTCAAGGACAAGGTGGATCAATGAAAGCTGGGAAGCTTTAGCAGAGGGTGATATGGTTATCAGCAAAGCTGGAAACCAAACATGGATGTGCAGACCCTCAGCCCAGCCAGGGAAGCTGAAAAGTTCCCCACAGTGAAACAAAAACCATTTTCTGTTGCTGGGTAGGGGACAACAGAATTTGCTACTAGTGTGACTTGTCCAGAGGCACACAGCCTCTGCACACAGCCGCTGAATGCCAGGAGTTACATGGGCGGTGTGGTGGGGCATTGTTACCACGCACTATCCTACGCTCTAGGGAGCAGAGGCTGAAAGTTGTTCTAAGACACAAACTACCGCCCTAGAATTGTGAGAATATGCAATAGGGCTCTGGGGCAACTAACCCTTCGCACCCGTTTTGCCCCTCATTTCTTCCTCTACCCCTGCTGAGAGGCAGGGGCAGGTTTGGCTGCCATGTGTGCTGGGAGAGGGGCAGCAGAGATGGTTCCTCATCAGTGTGAGGGCAGCCATTCTCTTCAGAGGGCAAAGGCATTGTTTATTGGGCTACTACTTCATGACTCTCAGGCGAGCTTCATTTTTGAGTAATTCCCTTTTGCTCCCCCCACTAAAAATGGTACCATTTTAAACAGGTGGATACTCAGCAAGGTATTGCATTTTACAGCAGCTCCTGGTGAGCGCAGCACACTGTACAAAGGGAGGAGGGCAGTGGCGGGCGTGCCAGCTACGACATGAACGTAATAATAACAATAATGAAAAGTTACTCTTATCCCTGACACTTCCTACAAATTATGACGGAGAAATTTCCATTAGATAGAGATTGAGTGCAGACACTCTCAGATCCACATTCCGTTTCTAAGGATGACGTAGTTTATTAAAAAGCAGTTGATTCATGTGCAAGTTCTGGAAAGTAGGGTACGCCCCTATCCACATAATAGCCTGGTTTGTTGCTAACATTTAAGAGGTGGAACCCAAACACCAGAGTCCCTCACACACAGGAAGAACTCGGCCTTGAGGCTGGGAACCTCAGATGGGTGATTCCCTGACTGATTTTTTCAAAGGTGGAACCTCACTGACTGGTGTCTGTTTACCAGGGTGGGGACCAGGAAGAGCAAAGGTGAGTCAGCATACACAGGAAGGATTATTCTCTCCTGAAAGTCCACCTTCATTGCCCAGGAGACAGCCCCAGGGTAGGCCTGGCCCCACGCGGCAGCGGTTCTGCAAACACTTCATTAGTGTCCCAGGGAGCACTGTTCTTTGATGCATCTGGGAGAAAGGAGGAGTTACCCATATACTTGGTAACCACTATCTTCAAATGCCTTCAAATGCCCAGAAAAGGGAGACAATTAAGTGTGTTGTGTAAATACAACAAGGTCCCCCACCCCGTACAGGGCAGTGGGGAGGAGGTGACCATCAATACTCTTACAAACTTCTACAAAGAGTAAACTGCACAGTATTTTTAGGTAGCAATTTAGAAATCGGTATTGAAATTTTAGACACACAGACCAATATATAAACATAGTTAACTAAATAAAAATCAAAGTCTGGGCCAGGCGCGGTGGCTCATACCTGTAATTCCAGAACTTTGGGAGGCCAAGGTGGGCGGATCACAAGCTCAAGAGATCAAGACCATCCCAGCCAACATAGTGAAACCCTGTTTCTACTAAAAATACAAAATTTAGCTGGGCATGGTGGCATGAGCTTGTAGTCCCGGCTACTCGGGAGGCTGAGGCAGGAGAATTGCTTGAACCCAGGAGGCGGAGGTTGCAGTGAGCTGAGATCGGGCCACTGCACTCCAGCCTGGCAACAGAGCAAGACTCCATCCCCCCACAAAAAAAAAAAAAAAAAAAAAAAAACATCAAAGCCTCATCCTCTTTGAGCCAGCAACTGTATTTTTTAGGAAACTACCTCAAGATACACCTGCAAAAGATACATGTGCAAGGTTGTTCACTGTAGCAAAGTTTGTAATAGGGAAACAGAAGCATCATTAAGGGACTGATTAGAATACAGAATGCTCTGCAAAGGAGTACTTTGCAGTCATTAAAGGAACTTGCATGTCCTGATATGGAAAGAGCTTGAAGATACTGTTTCATTGAAAGAGTAGTCAATATGTGGAATACATATGGAATTACTGAATTTGTGTAATTTTTTTAAAACGGCATGTTTGCTATAATTGTTTTGTTGGTACTTTTGGGGAGAAGACCTGGAGTTTTAGGAGAAATGTAACCTTTATTTTCCATTTTAGACCTTTCTGTACAGTTTACATTTTTTAATCATATGCATGTGTTAGTAAAATCTTAAAATAAATAGAAACATCAATATAATTGAGCATTTTCTGGGTTGCTGTTGGGCACTGACCAGGCTCTCAAAGTCAAAAGCCAGGACTGTCCTAAGACTGGATTCTATGCTAAGTCCAGGTTTGAAAGGTGATTGGAAGACGCTGTGTGGACAGTAAGATAGTATCATGTCTGAGCCATTTAGTTGGCCCATGAGCACAACAGGACAGCAGATTTGATTTCAGAAAACCTGGGACTAGAATGCCCCCAGTGTTATAAGTAGATCACCCTGAGAAGCAGATAAACCATATTCTTACGGTGAACAATGGACAATGGGTAACACTCTGGCCTGCAGTCAAACTGAGCTTGTTTTGTAATGGGATTTTTCTGTCTCCGTGAGTAATAACAGGAAAGGGACTACCTATTTTAATTTTAAGACATTCTGGAATTCCACCTTTTACATTTCTGCCATTTTACTGGACTGAAACATTTACTTCCACTGCAAATGATGAAAAATCAACCAAAAATATTTGTCTGTCTGCTACATACAAGGCACTGGGCTTGCAAACTGGTCTACAAACCAGCATTGGGCTTGCACTTTATTTCAACTTTATGAAATTTAAACCCCTAATATTTTGGTGATGGGAAGATGTGTCTCTGAAGCAAGTATGTGTGTGCTGGACTTCAGTGCACAGAGTACAATATGAGGAAAAAGTGTTCCTGAAACAGTGCATGGGGGACAGGGTAGTCAGTAGCCAACAACCCACTCTCAACCCCTTACACTCCTAGATAATTGGAACATTTACTGAAACCAGAAATACGTGCCAATGCTTTTTACATAATTATCTCATTTAATTCTCACAACACTTGCAAGACACAAGTATTATAATTTCTGCACTATTTTACAAATGGAGAAACTGAAGCTTGGGGTCATAATGTACCATGTTGCCTCTGCTTGGAGTGGGTGGAAAAGTGCACTGAGGGGGTGGCACGTGAGGCTCGGGGAAGGGAATACTCAATGAATATGGAGTATGTGCTTATTCATAAAGTTTCATCCATTTAAATATATGTGACCATACCACAGATTCATTATTTGTGTAGCATTTTCACATACACGTGGTCTCCTTTCATCCCTGAGACCTGACACAGGGATTTCTGACTTCCTTTTCTCTGCTCTTTCTGCGATACCAAAGCTCACTTCCAATATCATCGTTAAGTCCAAGTGTAGACACAGGCTCCAGGTCTACTGTGGGTCCAGTGATCTCTTAGTCAGTGGTGCCTGGAATCAACCTTCCTAGAAGAGCTGGCCCCCGGTGGAGAAGTGTTCCACCACTAGAGCAAACATATAATGTATCATTCAGCCCGGGACACTTTTGATGCAGAAGAGAGTGTTGTTAATGATAAAGCTGGAGGAAGGCACATAAACTGGGACTGTCTCAGGCTGCTAGGTTGCATCTGTGACCAACTTGATCTCAAAAAAGCCAAGGACAACTCTCAAAGACTAGCCCTCCCAGCCAAGACCCTGTGCCACTTAGCCATAGGGTGTCACACAAATCAGTCAACCTCTTGGAGCCTGTCCCCTCCTCAGCAAAAAGGGGTTCATAACACTACACTCCCCCCTGGGCCACTGGGAAGATCAAATAAGACTGACCATCAAACCACCCCCAATCCTTTTAGGGGTAGAGCTGGTTTTACATGATGACATGATCCAGTGCATGGAAGGTGCACACCAAGCCAGCAACATTGGCTGAGTGGGTTAGAAGGGGGAGGGAAAAAAAGGTTTGTTGAAAATAACAAGGGATGGTAAGGAGCCCCAATTTTGTTTTGATTGAACGTATGATAGTATTTATATGCACTATCTCTGTACAAAAATACAGTTGTTAAAATGTTGTGGTTGTTTATCTCAGTGTACTTTCTGCACTGTTTTATTTTTCTGAGTATGTATATATAAAATATACACACACAGAGCTGTTTTCATTGTGAAAAAAGTTAGATCAAATAAGATAATGGATGTGAAAGTCTTGCTAAGCAGAATGAAATATATAAATGTCTGACACTGTTTTCCATATTTTTTATTATTTCATGTCAACTCAGTCTCCAATTCTTTTTGTTTATTCCAGCTTGCAGATATAGCAAACTTTTTTTAACAATAGGCTCCCAGAAAGAAGAGACACGACAGCTTTCTTTTACTTTCTCTGCCTGAAATGTCAATCTCAAAAGGATCATTTTCTATATCAATGAACAGTTCAAAGATAAGATGTTGTAAATGAACAGTTAATGTATTCCATCAACTCTAAGATGCATTCTTTTTCACATTTTCACATTTTGAAATTAGGATGTCTTATAATCAACTGGACGCAGCAGCTCATGCCTGTAATCCCAGCACTTTGGGAAGCCAAGGTGGGCAGATCACTTGAGGTCAGGAGTTCAAGACCAGCCTGGTCAACATTGTGAAACCCCGTCCCTGCTAAAAATACAAAATTAGCCTCGTGGTGGTGCACTCCTGTAATCCCAGCTACTCCAGAGGCTGAGTCAGGAGAATTGCTTAAACCTGGGAGGCAGAGGTTGCAGTGAGCTGAGATCGCGCCATTGCACTCCAGCCTGGGCAACAAGAGCGAAAGTCCATCTCAAAAAAAAAAAAAAAAGGATGTCTTATAATCAATGATGTGTTATAGCTTAACTGGCAGTTTTTTTTTATTTTTCAATACTGTAAATAAAATAATGATGCTCCTTTTATAACCAGTAGCATCTTAGGTGTGATATATTCTGGCGCATGACATTTACTAAGGGCCAGGTACTCTTCAAATATCACTGTTTAATATCATCACAGATGAAAAAATATTATAAAAATTTTGATTACTCTGGAAGCATTGTACCAAATACTAATCTCACGTCAGGAACTGTGTAGTGGCTTTACTGGTGAGGCTGATGATCACCCAGTTTTAGAGGCTTTGTTGCAGAAATTTTTGTAGCTGCCACCCCCTCCCCCATCCTCACCTCCAACCCACTAGAGGATGAGGACAAGGGTCCTGGATGACAAGCTGCCCAAGAGAAGCCACCCATCACCAGACCACAGCTCGCAAAGCAAGGTCTTTACGTAATTTCCTCTTCGCTTTGTAAAGACATGTTCAAGTTTGTATCTCTTTCAGCCTACAGGTTCTTTCAATATTAACACCATTTGAAGCAGAAAGGTGTCCCACCCTCCATGCGATATGTCTGCCCTGGGATTACTATGATGTCTGACTTTCCCCATGACTTTTCCTTTTCTTTTCTTTTTCTTTTCTTTCTTTTTTTTTTTCTGAGAAAGAGTCTTGCTCTGTCACCTAGGCTGGAGTGTAATGGCATGATCTTGGCTCACTGCAACCTCCACCTCCCTGGTTCAAGTGATTCTCCTGCCTCAGTCTCCCGAATAGCTGGGACTACAGGCGTGCACTACCACACCAAGCTTATTTTTGTATTTTTAGTAGAGACGGGTTTTCACTATGTTGCCCAGGCTGGTCTCAAACTCCTGACCTCAGGTGATCTGCCCGCCTCGGCCTCCGAGAGGGTTAGGATTACAGGCGTGAGCCACCGCGCCCGGCCCCCATGACTTTTCTGACATACACCACACCATATTGCAATCTTTCCTAAACCTCAGTCATTTTCAACTATTTTAACAAGTTTCCTATAACCACATTCCACAGCACTTGCTTCAAATTTTTCTATAAATGGTCCTTAATAATTTTGATTAAACCTACACAACAATCTTCATAAAATCCACCAGTTTGGTGTGCTAGTTTTGTTTCTTCAACATGTAAAAATAGCTACGAAGACAAATGTTGTAAGCCGGTCGCGGTGGCTCATGCCTGTAATCCCAGGGCTTTGGGAAGCAAAGGTGAAAGGATTGCTTGAGCCCAGGAGTTCAAGGCTGCAGTAAGCTATGATTGCACCACTGCACTCCAGCCTGGTGACAAAGCAAGACCCTGTTCAAAAAAAAAAAAGGAAAAGAAAAAGAGAAATATTGTAAAATACACCAGTGTGGGGTTGTACATACCGATGTTAAGGTCTACCCTGGTGCCATGTTCCACACCTGGGGACACACTGGCATTCCCTATTGGGCCTTTTCTTGTCAATTTCAAGTCCAGCCATAGGGAATTTAAATAACTTCTGTTCGATTTCCCAAATGCATTTTACTCTGCTGTGGAAAATCTCACATGGTAAGACCAGATTTCCCTTTTAGTTTGCAGGCGAGAGTCTAGGTTGTGTTCTCACAAGTAGAACCTACCCTATGTTTGTGTTCTGAATTCCCTGCACTTTCCATCAGGGCTCCCAAGCCCCCTGCTCTGTCTAGACCTCCCACCTCAGAAAACCCTCCCAGCCACAGGTGGGACATGTCAGTAGTCCCCAGGGTCAGGGCTTGTCTTGAGGCTGAGCAGGAAATTCTCTTGGGTAACTGCTTTTTATTCTTTCTCTCTCAGGAAGTGCTTCCCGTAAGCATTACCAAAACGGTTCTGTCCTCTTTCCCTCACAAACTCCAGGAACCCTAGAATGGTGGCTCCTATCTCTGATCCTCACCAAAAGTCCCTTTGAAGACCAGGTGTGGTGGCTCATGCCTATAATCCCAGCACTTTGGGAGGCCAAGGAGGGAGGACTGCTTGAGCCCGGGAGTTAGAGGCCAGCCTGGACAACATAGCGAGACCCCATCTCTACACAAAATCAAAACATTAGCTGGACGTGGTGGCACATGCCTGTGGTCCAGGCTACTCTCGAGAGCCGGAGGCAGGAGGATCGCTTAAGCTCAGGAGGTCAAGGCTGCAGTGAGCCGTGACTGCGTTACTGCACTACAGCCTGCGTAACAGAGCAAGACAAAGAAAGAGAAGGGAAGGAAAGGGAAGGGGGAGTGGGAGAGGGAGGGGAGGGGGGAGGGGGGGAGGGGGGAGGGGGAGGGGGAGGGGGAGGGGGAGGGGGAGGGGGAGGGGGGAGAGGGGAGGGGAAAGGGGAAAGGGGAAAGGGGAAAGGGGAAAGGGAAAGGCCTGGGCAGCCCAGGCTCTCTGAGATGCTCAGGGCATCCATCCTCCAGGGCACAAAAAGGGCTCTGGTTGCCCTCATCCCAGGGAGACGGGCGGTCAGAGGACAGTGGCTGCCTTCACAAGCCTGGTCTGGAACCCCTCAAGGTAGCTGCGCATGCATTTGAAGTGCAAATCTTAGCGAGGCTTCCCTGACCTGTCCTTGTCCATCTCTAACCCCTGCTTTCTCCGTTTTGAGGTTCCCACCACACCATTTTCTGTGCATACCATGCTGTGCTTTGTTTCTGTTTTTCCACAGTGTGTGTGTGAGGTGGGATCTTCAGTACCTACATTCCCACTGTCCCCCAGCTTAGGGTATTCTTCTATGAACTCCTCCCTACCTCAACCCAACTCTATGCCTACTAAACTCTCACCCAGCACAGGTCAGGCATCATCTTGCTAAGAAGCCTGCTCTAACAGCATTACCTGAGTGCCTGGCTCCCTGATTAAACTGACCCCTAGGACCAAGTCTTATTCACCATTCTGCCCCAAGACCTAGTAGAGTGCCATGATGCATGGCATGGGCAGCCCCCAAGTATTTGTTGAATGAATGAAATACATTATTATTATTCTCACGTAACAGCTAATTCTTATTACATACCAAGCACTGCTCTAAGCATTTTACATATAACTTATCTAATCCTTACAACTTCACGAGGCAGGAAACTGAGTGAAGCACAGAGAAGTTAAGTAACTTGCTCAGCTCCCACAGCTGGGCTTCAAACCCAGGCAGTCTGCTTCAGATCTTTGCCCTTAAACATTGTACCTACTGCCTCTCATAATAAAGTAACAGCAGTTGGAAACAGCAATAATTCTAAAGTTCATAGTAACTGCTTTATTGCATGTTTACTATGTGTCACGTATCAACTTCTTTCATCTGCCCAATGACACCACCAAGTACTTGTATTATCCTTTTTTTTACAGAAGAAAAAGAAGTACCACGTGGTAAACAGAATACCTGGTACAAAGCCCTGCAAGCTAGGAGCTCACGGAGCAGCCTGGCTCTGCACAGCCTTGCATAATGCAGAGGAAGTTCCGTGCCCTGGAGTCAGCCTTGGGATGATGTCTGCCCCCTGCCATGTCCCCACCAGGGTGGTGCCTGGGGC
Organism: Homo sapiens; assembly: GCF_000001405.40. Taxonomy (NCBI): domain Eukaryota; kingdom Metazoa; phylum Chordata; class Mammalia; order Primates; family Hominidae; genus Homo; species Homo sapiens. The sequence continues at coordinate 59,284,145 of NC_000015.10, forward strand.
ATGGGAGTGCCCAATCTTTACTAGCTGGGTGAATAAATTCCAGGCTACACTGACTCACCTCACAACATGTTTGCTGTAGGTACACGGCAGCACTGTGGCAGCAGCTATCGTGGGGCAAATAGGAGTCCTGGGCCCAGAGTCTGCTCCAAGGAAGAAATAAGTTTCCAAGGCGTTCCTATTTGCCCCCAACTCAGGAGATCAAAGGGAAGAGATATTGCCCCTAAACACAGTTCTCCTTCTCTTAACCATGTAAGTAGTCCAGTTAAGAGTAACAGATATTTGAGGTTGGATGATTACTATTTTATTTTTATTTTTATTTTTTTGAGACAGGGTCTCACTTTGTCACCCAGGCTGGAGTGCTGTGGCGCAAACATAGCTCACTGAGGCCTCAACCTCCAGGGCTCAATTAATCCTCCCTCCTCAGCTTCCCTAGTAGCCAGGGCTACAGGTGTGCACCACCATACCTGGCTGTGTTTCTCTACCAAAAAAAAAAAAAATTTTTTTTTTTTTTGTAGAGACAGGGTCCCACTGTGTTGCCCAGGCTAGTCTCAAACTCTTGGGCTTGAGCAATCCTCCTGCCTCAGCCTCCCAAAGTGCTGGGATTATAGGTGTAAGCCACCGTGCCCAGCCTGGATGATTAACTTTTTAAACAGAATAACAGGCAATTAATCTTCACCACATCATTAGTGAGGTAAGGACATTTCAAGCTACAGAATAATATGAATCAAATGCTTGAGATTCCTTAATATGACAAATGCTCATTTCACTTCTGCTCTGATTATATTTTAATCAAACAAGTGACAAGAGAGTCACACTGATGTTAGTCCCTGTCTTTTCAGCTGTGGCTCTGCTAGCATGTCACATACATCAAGCACTTAACAGTCCCTTAAGAGAGCTCCCACATCACCACTCTTGTTTTTAAGTGCAAAGCTCTTAGACATTCGGTAATACGATTCAGGAATGTAACTTTTCTTCCTAATCTAGCAAACTGATTAAAATCAACAGACTTGGGTACAAGCTCTACCTCTCACATGCCTCTGTGCCTTGGGCAAGGCCAGTTTCACAGAATTTTATTATTTACAGTTTTAAAGCAATCTTGCAAGGTGTGGCGGTTCATGTCCTTCATCTCAGTGGAGGCTGAGACAGAAAGATCACGTAAGGCCAGGAGTTTGAGAACAGCCTGGGCAACACGCAAGACACTGTCTCTTTTTTTTTTTTTTTTTTTTTTTTTGAGACGGAGTCTGGCTCTGTCGCCCAGGCTGGAGTGCAGTGGCACAATCTTGGCTCACTATAACCTCTGCCCCCCGGCTTCACGCCATTCTCCTGCCTCAGCCCCCCGAGTGGCTGGGCTTACAGAAGGTGCCCACCGCCACGCCCAGCTAATTCTTTTTTGTGTGTGTTTTTAGTAGAGAACTCCTGATCTTGAACTCCTGACGTCAAGTGATCCACCCACCTTGGCCTCCTCAAGTGCTGGGATTACAGGCGTGAGCCACCACGCCCGACTAGACACTGTCTTTAAAAAAAATAATAAAATCAATTAATTAATTAGCTGAAATGAATTTTAAAAATAAAAGTGAAAAAAATTTTTAAGAAAAAGAAAAGAAAAAATTAAGTCAGCCTATTAAATGCATACCAAATTAGTGTGTGCATGTCCATTAAGATTTTTATTAATCATACAGGTCGGCACAAAAGTAATTGCGGTTTTTGCCATTAATGGCACCGGCCTAATAGATTCATAAGTCAAAAATCCTACCAGACTCTGTGTCCTAATTTGTGGTTTGAAAATGATAGTCTCTGAAGTAGTAGCTGCTCAATACCTTTTTCTAATTCAATTACACAGCCAAGGTAATGAGGCAGGAAGACTAGCTAGAAACACCAGCAGCTGTGCATATAAATAAAGACAGGGAGGTAACTGAACAATTTCTTGTGACATAATATGAACTATCACCCTGTACCATGGAACAAAGAAACTCTAATTTAAATGCTATTCTGAGAAAAAGAACAGTATGCAAAGAGTTATCAGCAGGCTGTGGCAGAGTTGATATCAACCTGCCAAAAAGTCAGGACTTCCTATCCTTGGAAGAATCTCTCCTATACTGCTTGCAAAATACGCATTATTTATAAGTCATGCAAAATGCTGGAGGTATGCTGACATGAGTTAACCAACTACTCACATGTTATGGTTTTCTCAGATTGCCCTATTTTTCTGAAAAATGTTTGGGGCATATCTGAATAAGAACTCAATTTTTAAAAGTTTTATAAGGTTGATGAAATTATTTTCTCATCTCTGTCTTTTAAAAGCCAACGTGGAAACTCCACAAGAGTATAAAGAGTTGGATTTTAAGGAGCGGTGACACAGGTAAGGTGTTGGTGTGTCATCTCTCACTTAGGGGTACTGTGTCTGGACGTGCTAAGCGGGGGAAGGGTCTGGATGTGATCAGGGGTGTCTTGATGTGGGCACAGCCTTTGTTGTGGGTTTGCTATAGGGATACGGAGTCCAGGGAAACAAGCCAAGCTCAGGGGCAAGGAGCATTCCCTGAACAACCACTAGCCAACGCTGAACCAAATGCAGAAGTGAGGAATGCCTGTTTCTGGCATGGTTACTTCTGGACCCTTGGCTTGCCTGATCTGCTCTGATCTATGGCACAGTGGCACCATGTCCCTCTTGGGGCAAAATGTAACCATAAGGGCATTGGTCTAGGGGCCTTTAGGGTATCAATGACACATGTTTACAAACAGAGATCTCAGACCACAGCTGGTTGATGGGTGGCAGAGATGAGAGTCCCGTGGGCACATCTCAGGGAGAAGCCACAAGAGCAGCCACTAATCCACATGGCAGATCAGTGTCGCCAAGGGTCCTGCAGGCTCAGGGCCGCTCAATGTGTGATCACAAACAAGTTCATCCTCTCACTCCCTTCCACCACCTGACAGAGGATGCAGGGCTATCTTGCTGTTTCTTCTGATCCATACCTTGGACTTTAGGAGTGGGCTTGGGGAACTTAGAAGGGGTGGGGAAAATTAAGAACAAGCTTGATAATTCAACTAAAAGCCCTAGGATAGACATGAAGGGAGGCACTGTCTTCTAATGGGCCTGCTAGGGGCTTGTCTCTCGGAACCCACACCCAAATCGCAAGCCCAGTTTGCAGAAGGCAAGCACTGCAGCATGCAGAGACGGGAGCCTTATCTTCTATTGATGTGTCCTTCCCGACAGACTTTCTGAGGGCTACCTGCAGTTGCTGCCACCTCCCCAGCCCCAAGTTCAATCAGCAAGCTCTAGAATGAATTTGCAATAAAAACCAATTTGGAAGATCAGCACGGCTTCACTGATCTTACCAGGACCCTCACTGTTGTATGCTTCTAGGGTGGCCACAAATAGGTAGATTCTGCCTTCCTTTGATCAGCTTAGATCTTTATTAAAGGTTCAACAGCAAGCCAATAGAGCAGGTCCTCGGATGACGCCATTTTGTGATAAAGATAATGAGGAAGAAAAATGGATTCCTGGTCCAGCCAGTGAGGAGTCTGCATGTTTTTCCCATGTCTGTGAGGGTTTCCTCCCACATGCCAAAGACATGCACATTGAGTACATTGGGGTGTTGACATGGTCTCAGTCTGAGTGAATGTGGGGGATTGTGTGAGCACCCTAAGATAGGATGGCCTCCTGTCCAGGCCTGGTTCCTGCCATGCTCCCTGAGCTGCCGGGATAGACTCTGGCCACCTGCAACCCTCAACTAGAAGGAGTGGATCAGAAAATGCGTGAATGAATGATTATAAGTTATTGTCAAATGAAAACTTTTAAAGTAGATGATAGTCATACAAATACATGACAATCAACAATGTGCAGCGAAGGCGCTCAGCGAGCCTGCCATGTTCCTGATGGGTTTTGAACTGCGTGGTGCACAGAGGCACTCCTTACAGTTCTCACTTTGCAAACAATTATTCCTTAACTCAAACCCCACTACTACTACCACTGTCACTCACCGACTCACCAAATATTGGGCAAATAATTCTATTACTTTTTTTAAATTAATCTTTCTTTTCTTTTCTTTTTTGAGACAGGGTCTCACTCTGTCACCCAGGCTAGAGTGCAGTGGTGTGATCACAGCTCACTGCAGCCTGGGCCTCCTGGGCTCAAGTGATTCTTCTGCCTCGGCCTACCGAGTAGCTGGGACTACAGGTGTGTGCCACCATGTCTGGCTAATTTCTTTAGTTTTTGTAGGGATGGGGGTCTCACTATGTTGCCCAGGATGGTCTCGAACTCCTGGGTTCAAGCGATCTTCCTGCCTTGGCCTCCCAAAGTGTTGGGATTACAGGTGTGAGCTGTCATACCCAGCCCCGTTCAGTGCTTTTGAGTACATTAAAAGAGATAACGCACAGAGATTTCATATTACCCAAGCTCACAGTACCAGATGAGTAAAGTTTTGCATTGGTTATTAATAAGTGAACTGGGATACTACTAGCCACTAATATAGCTCTGATTGGATGTATGATATTTCAAGAAAGAGACTGGGTACTGTCATCTCATCTGGCTAATAAGATAATAGGAGGGACAGGATTCAAATAAAAAATATAGAACTTTTAAAGTTTCATGATGCTCAAGTGATGTATAACTGGACACTATAAATGTGAGTCAATTTGAATATGGGATTCTGAGAATAGGGATCCGCCACAGAAAAGAAGACGACAGACAGTAGCTGCAGAGAAGATACATAGGGAGTTCAGCAGGCTAACCAAAATGGAAGCCAGTGACAAAGACCATTTGAGCAACAGACTGATGCCTTGTAGGCAAAAAATTAAGGTGTTTAAACAAACAACAAAGTGGCAGGGATAAGGAAGGGGCAGAATACTTACATATTTACATTCAGAACCCTAAAATATTGTAGCTGGAAGGGGCCTGGCCTATCGATTAAGCAGTGCAAAACTTTTACTTTACAGATGAGGGACCTGAGGGCCAGAGAGGTGAAAGGATGTGTCCACGGGGCCATCCTGGACTGGAACCAGGACTAGAACTCGGGTCCTCTGACTCCCAGCCCAGCACTGTGCAGCTCTCTGCTTCCAGTCCCTCCTGAGCAAATCTGTACCAAAAGTTTTTTGTTTCTGGGAAGAAAAATAAGGCACTATTTTGGATGCTTACCATAAAATAATCAGCTGAATCCAGGCATTTATATAATTTGAATTTCTCAAATAATAAGTAATACCATTTGTGAGCCCTGACCCTCTGGCAATCAAACTGCATGAGGAGACTGGGGTCCATCCAAATATTATATATGGGAGCAGCTCAATTTCATCTTAGTTTTTAATGTAAAGATAAATACAAATTAGGTTTTAATATTTTCTTTCCAGTGAGTTTCCTTGCACATAAAAGTGCATAGACCCCACTTTGGAGATCTCTTTCCCAGAACCCCTTGTCATCCACCCAAGACACAGGTGTCTGCTTATGGGAAGAAAGTAAGAGTTAAGGCATTGGCTTGAAATCTAGAAACAAGACAGACAGAAAGGAAAAAGGCAATCTCCAGAAGATGAGGGGCAATGCCAGCAGAAATTAGAAAGCTGTCATCTAGTTAGAGATCTCTGGCTGTAGCATTTCAAGGTGTTCCTTCTGCCAGTAACTCTCTCCTGCCAGAATCACTAAAACTGAAAGCAAAACACAAACTGACCATGTCTGATGTGATTATGGACATGGTTGGGTCACACCAGTTTAAAACTCACAACTCCCTAGAAAATCCAAGGAAATTTTTGCATTTCCTTCTCCAAGAATACTTACTTCTCATTGTATCTGTGAAATATAATATGGCATCAAAAGGGCAACCCACATCAAGAAGTGTGCCCCACAATGTTTGGGGATCGGGGAACGGGCATCACTTTTCTTGAGCACCAACCATGTTCCCAATGCTACGTTAGGTGCTTTGCGTACATTGTTTCATTTGGTTTCAAAAGAATTCTAGAAACAGGGAGGTACTGTGATCCCCATTTAACAGATGAAAAACTTGGTGACAGAGTGTGTGTGTCCATGGAATCCAGATTTGTACTGGTTTGGTGGCTTTAGAAACCTGGCAGCTTCTATTAAGGCTACGGTAGAAGACAGAAGAAATGGATTCCCCACTCGGTGAAAATATCTCACGGGAGATGTCCTCTGAGAGCCAGGTTTCATATGCAACCCTTGAAGCTGCCTTTAGATCCCACAGTGGTAAACTGGATGAAGTGTTACCTTGGCTACGGAACAGAGCTACCCTTTCTAAACAGAGGGACATTTTGGGTACCTTGAATGACTGACTCTTAGAAAGATCACGGGCACAGGAGATGCCTCAGCAAAGCTGAGATCAGAGCTTTGGAGCCACCCTGCGACATCTTTGGGCCTCTGCCTTGTCTCCTTGAAAGCATGCCTCGTAGCCAGCTTCAAAGTCAGACTCCCCATGCCTGGTGTTCAGTAACAGCGGGCTTCTCATTCAAAAATTTTGCAGAGGTAATAGACTGTGACTTTCTTTTGTGACAACGGTGCCTCAGCACAATCAGACAACTTGAATATGTTTAAAATAACCTTGCAGAAATCCTCAGAAAAAGTAGGCAAGATAGACATCAATTGCCAAAACAGTCCCAGCTAGGGATCCACTGGAGGAATTTTTAACATAGTTTCCAAAGTCAAACAGCATGCCACTCTCAACCCTGCAAAGTCAGAGCTGGTAGTAAATGCTGGGTTCCCTTGCTGTACTGACAGGAATGAGAGTCAAAGGTGCTGAGATAAACACACAAATTATCTCAAAGCAGTAATAGTAAAAATCATTTTATGCAAGGAATGGAGACCAACTGATACCCACTCTCCGCATTAGGTAGAAAAGAGTGTGCTCACACAATTAAAGTACAAGACGGCATGCTCGATTTGGGGCAGGACAGTGAATAGAAAACAGAAGTCAACATCACCACCTCAAACAGAGCGTTGTGCTCACAAACTGCCAGCAAGACCACAAGCATATCTGCAAAAACATTTGCATGGTTTCTGGTTGCAAAAATGCTGAAAGGATTTGTACGATACTCTGTTCCCAAGTGCACAAAAGTCTCTTTCTACCTGAGCCCAGCGACCCAAAATATGAAGAAAAGCAGCACCAGTACTCCTGATATTCTTTGCTGGTCTGTGACCCCTTCCTTTCCTTGGAGTTGGACCAAAAACACAGTATTACCTCCTAATCAAATAACCAACACCCAAAGATACCTGGGTGTGACTACATGTCAATTCAAGTTCACCGGAGTTAAAAGGAAAAGGTTTCACCGATTGTTTGTTGGTGTTTGTTGGAGGCTGGTGTGTTTAAGATACAGAAGTAGCTGCTAGCTTTGCACTAAAACAAACAAACAAAAGCACATTTCAATTATTTTTTATTTATTTTTTAAATTTAGTGCAGCAAAAAGAGAACAAAGGTGGCCAGGCGTGGTGGCTCACACCTGTAATCCCAGCACTTTGGGAGGTCAAGGCGTGCGGATCACCTGAGATCAGGAGTTTGAGATTAGCCTGGCCAACATGGTGAAATCCCGTCTCTACTAAAAATACTAAAAAAAAAAAAAAAAAAAAAAAAAAAAAAGAGAGAGAGAGAGAGAAAACAAAGATTAACAAAAAGAGAAATAGCTTGAGATGCCGAGGAAGATAAAAAGCAAATGATTTAAATTAAACATGAGGGAAACATTAAAGAAGGGAAGGAAATAAAACAACCCTAGGGATCTAAATAGACAACAAAGAAAAGTTGTTTGATCACAGGGCAAGCAGTATGAATAAATCAAATACCATAAATGCTCTAAAGGAAAAAAAAATTTTAAAAAGTTTCCTTCCAACTCTCATTCTAAGGAAACCACAGCTCTTTTGCTTAGTATAACTATAGTTCACATGCTAAATAGCTAAATTCAGCTTTTTAAAATCTACCCAACACTCTCTAGATTTAAAAATGTAAGTAAACCGTTCAGATCCTATTGTTAAGTAAATTTTGTTTGGTGAGTGGATTTGTTTTGAGTGGCTGTGGATAAAGGCAAGGGGTGATTTTATTTTACTGGTCATTTAAAGATTACATTCTTTTTAAAGAAAAAAATCTATGATAGTTTTACAGGATTTCAAGGCAAATTCATCAGTTTTGTTTCAAACACACCCAATGGGTGTTTCCCTTGTCTCCAAATGAAAAGCCTTAATCCACCTTTTCCTACATGTGTTTCTACAGCATCTTCTGGCTGTGAGTTTGTACACCACTACAGAATTATTATTACTATTTCAACTCCCATGAAATGTACTACGACTGGCAGGCATATGAGTTCTGAAATTTAAAGTGCGTTACTAGAGAAACTAAAACTCATGTTGGCCGCAAGGATGGACAACAATACGAAATGCTACAGATGGCAATGGGAGGCCTAAAACAATGTGCAGTTCCTTTCTATTCTGGTTTGCCCCATTGTGTTCTGAATAGACTGAATCACTGCCCAGCTTCAGGGCCAGCCTCTGAAAGGCCCCATTGTAAGGGCTATGCTTTCCAGAGCAGAGTTAAGGTTGCTGTAGTAACCTTCACTATGAATTTCCTGACCAGTGTGATGAAAATCTCAACTGAACTGCGACAGTACTACAGCTACAAACAAGACCGCGAAATGAGCGTGGGTCTACCCATTTAGGGGGTCTTTCTTATCTGAACATAGCCCACTATCTACTACTTCAGGCATCCACATTGCCAAAGAAGGGACTAAATTTCTACAAGCCAGAGCTTGAGAGGTGACCTTGTTGTATAAAGTCTCAGGGGGATCTATCCCATAGGATTTGAGGTGGCAGGCAAATGGGAGTTTGTAGACAAAGGGGAGGCCTCGGCTCATAAACTGTTTAAGCTGTCCTGTGTGCTGGGCTGGGGAAGCCACTTTTCTGGAGTTGCACAGGGAGGCATGGGGGTACCATTGGTCCAAACACCACAGGTAAGGAATAAGTCTGCACTGAGTGGGAGAAAACAGTTTAGAATTCAGCAAGGCACCCTTTTTATTCTGCTAGGAAAAGAAGGGCAACGGACAATCACCCCCATCTACCAGATGGAAGGCACACTGGCTTAGAATGAAACCCCCTCCCAGTTAAGTTTATTGAGGGTTCCCTATCTGCCAAGCAACATTCTAAGCACTTTACTTATACTAACTCATTCAATTGTCCCAACAGTCCATAATGCTGGCATGATTATTAACTTGAGGTCAGGAGTTTGAGACCAGCCTGGCCAACATGGTGAAACCCCATCTCTACTAAAAATACAAAAATTAGCCAGGCGTGGTGGCAGGCACCTGTAATCCCAGCTACTTGGGAGACCAAGGCAGGAGAATCGCTTGAACCTGGGAGGTGGAGGTTGCAGTGAGCCAAGATCACACCACTGCACTCCAGCCTGGGTGACAGAGTGAGACTCCCTCTAAAAAAAAAAACAAAATAAAATAAATAATTTTTGTGAAATTAAAAAATATGTATAAAGCTAATGAAATTCAGCTGAATCTAAAATATTAAGCCCCTAACATATGTACAGTGTTGTTTTAGGCATCACAGTGAATTCAGAAAAGGTAAATGAAGCCCTCAAAAGTTTTTTCATCTGATGTAGCAAAAACAAAACAAAACAAAAAACCCTGATATATGGGCCAGCTGTGGTGGCTCACGCCTGTAATCCCAGCACTTTGAGAGGTTGAAGTGGGTGGATCACTTGAGCCTAGGAGTTTGAGACTAGCCTGGGAAACATGGTGAAACCCTGTCTCTACTAAAAATGCAAAAGTTAGCCAGGCATGGTGGCGCATGCCTGTGGTCCCTGCTACTTGGGAAGCTGAGGTGGAGAAATGCTTGAGCCTGAGAAGTCAAAGCTGCAGTGAGCCATGATTGTACCACTGCATTCCAGCCTGGGCAACAGAGCAAGACCCTGTCTCAAACAAAACAAAATAACAACAGAAACCCTGACATATATACAGAACTGATACTCAGTTCCCACTGGAAAGAGCGTCTGGCTGGCTTCCACCCTGATTGTTCGGTATTCATGTTGCTAACTATTTAAACATTTTATATCACCCCTGCTTATGTTAACCAACTAGACAAACTGTAACAGTCTGAGATGGTTTGGTGTGAGTTCTATCTCATGATCGTGCCCCTTAGAGGTCTCTCGGATTTTCCTGGGCCAGCTGCTTCAAAGGCAGATATCCCTCATTCTCTGAGGTCCAAAATCAGGAACTAAATAGATCTGTATAAAATTTTTGATAAATCACCTCTTATCTGGAATCTCACTACTTCCTATTCCAAATAGATTTGGACAAAGGAGCATTCCTTATTCCCAAATGTCCTACCCAAACCCCATTGAACTTGGAAATAAACAGCTTTGGATAGTGAGAGATAGCTGTGCTTGGTCACGTCATGCCATATACCACAAAATGTCCTGGAAATGCCAGTATCTTTGCCCTCCCGCTTTCAATTGTCAATGGCAGCCACAGGAACTCAAGGGAGAACACAGGCCTTCTTGGCTCCCTTGCCCCTGTCGTTTCAGCCCCCACAGGACGGGGGTTTGACTCTTCCTAACAGCCAGGGTTTCTCTTGCCCTCAGGGGAGCTCCTCCCTACCAGTCAGTGAGGTTCAAATTCCTTAGCCTAGCTCATAGCCCACTCTCCTTGCCAGTGCTATTTCCCACAATGCCTCATGCTCCTGCCACCAGTCTGCCTGGGGCTCTTTGCATGGAACATCTGACCTCTGCATCTTAGTCCATGATGTTCTCACCACCTGGACCAAATATCCTGCATGTTCAATCTAGTCCATCCTTGAAGACCCCATGCAAATGCTACCTCTTTAAAGCCTGCAAGTTCCCAGATTATCGGTAATCTTGTCTGTCCTCTGACCCCCACTGTTGGCTTATTTATATCTCCTCTCCCTCCCTTTCTCAACTGTAAGTGACCTGAGGATGGGGCATGCCTCATCTCTGAACTCTCCTTGTCCTAATAAAGAGCCATGCACATAAGTGGCTTTATAAATGCCTGTTCAATGAAGTAATGAATGAGACAAAATCACTAAAAGTTGAGTCATCCTAGGAGGCTTCAGGGAGATCAGATTTGAGTTAGGACTGAAAAAAGCTTAAGCACTGAATTGGGAGAGAGGAGGAAAAAAAAGGCATTCCTGAGAGGGAAACAAGGAGAGTAAAGGCATGGACGAGGGTAACAACATCGCTTGTGTTTGCACTGAGCTTTTCACCACGTGAAAACCCCCTAAAAAGACCAACTGGACTAGAAAGGCGGATTTGTGTTGAGGAAACGGTAGCCTCGGTTAAGTAGGAAAATAGAGCTGACCGAAGGAGGGCCAGGAAGGCAAGGCTGAGTACTTGGCACTACAGACAGGAAACAGGCAGCCAAGATGGAATCTCCATCAGAGGGTGCAGCCCAGGTCATGCAGAAAAACTGTCTTCTTTCCAGAGGGAAAGGGACCAACTACTGTAGTCAGATCCCCATCCAGCGAGAGAAAATAATGCCACCTCGCATTTGCTCCCAGTGTTTCACAACTTAGCCGTTAATCATCCCAGGAGAGTCCTAAAACAACTCTGCCAGGAGGGCGGAGAGCAGGTATAATTATCTCGGTGTTACAGCGTGGAAAGGCTGGCAAAATTCCCCTCCTGCTTTGGAGGACCCCAAAGGAGTGGAAGAGACGGGGAAGGACTGATGTGCAAATTTCCGGTCCAGCTCATCTGCTTTGGAGAACTTACCTCTGTGTATCTGTCTAGTGTAACAATGGCTATGTCACTTACTGCGGGGTTATTATTAAGCTGAGCTGTGAGTCCCTCTGTGTGCTCAATCTCGCCTACTTAGACCTAAAGAGGGGGCAGGAGGAGGGAACCAGAACCAGCAGTGGAGCTAGACTGCTTTTAACCCAGAGACAGAGAAAAAACAAACAGCTCTTTAAAAACACAATTTCTAAGCATACTAAAAGGTAGCAATTCCAGCCTAAAAGCCTGTCAGCTTAGCAATGCACCACCCTAAAGAAAGGGCAAAATTATCAAGGCATAGAAAAGCAAGAGACATCACGCTGTGGATAAAGGACCCTGCTCTATGCCAACTTCTAAGTAAGACGAGGAATTACAGTAATCCAGCCCACAGCAATTTCCCATTTTAACTGATGCTTCCTGTTTTCTATGCTGGGCATCATAAGGATATTCAGAACCAAACACAGCGTTCACAGGCTGTCCCTTCACTGGGGTACATTCTTTTCTGTTCACTCACCAAATTGTGTGCAACATTACAAACCAAAACAGATCTGTTTTCCTACTGACCTCAATTTGCGGCCACCATTACTGTTGCTGAGAAAATTCTTGGCTCTGCATGGCAGAGCGGGGGCTCCTACCAACACAGGCCAGCATGAAGGCCTAGGGAGAACAGCTCATTTGCCCAGCAGTTCCCTGGGCTTAATTGCCCTTGAAACACAGTCGGGACGTGCTGGTAGGTGTCTCTCTGCAGGCACTGTCCACATCAACTGGAGTGACTTGATTTTGGAGGAAGGGTGAGGGGCAGAGGGGATGGAGACCTCTTCCAGTCCTTTTAGTGATTGCTGATCCATCCCAGAGTAAAGCAGACAACTGGGTTTTCTGTTTGTTTTGTGTTTGAGTGCAGGACAATGAAGGTAGGGCTGTTTAAACCATCTATTTTTAAATTCAATACAACAGTTACACAAATATACAAAGAATTCACATACTTTTTTCTTTTTTTTTTTTTTTTTTGAGATGGAATCTCGCTCTGTCGCCCAGGCTGAAGTGCAGTGGCATGATGTCGGCTCACTGCAAGCTCCGCCTCCCGGGTTCACGCCATTCTTCTGCCTCAGCCTCCCGAGTAGGTGGGACTACAGGCGCCCGCTACCACGCCCGGCTAATCGCCCGGCTAATTTTTTGTGTTTTTTTGTAGAGACAGAGTTTCACTGTGTTAGCCAGGATGGTCTCGATCTCCTGACCTCATGATCCACTCGCCTCGGCCTCCCAAAGTGTTGGGATTACGGGCGCGAGCCACCGCACCCGGCCAGGAAATTTAACATCGATAGAATACTTTTTATACAAGTCAATATTCTAATTTTATTATCCCAATCATGTCCTTTATTACTTATTTTTTCCCCTGGTGCAGGATCATGTACCACATTTGTCAGAATTTTTTTTTTTTTAGAGACAGGGTCTTACTCTGTCACCCAGGCTGGAATGCAGTGGCACGATTTCAGCTCACTGCAACCTCCGCCTCCTGGTTCAAATGATTCTCCTGCCTCAGCCTCCTGAGTAGCTGGGATTTCAGGTACGCACCACCACACCCAGCTAATTTTTTTTTTTTTTTTTTTTTTTTAGTAGGGATGGGGTTTTTGCCATGTTGGCCAGGCCAGTCTCAAACTCCTGACCTCAGGTGATCTGCCTGCCTCAGCCTCCCAAAGTGCTGGGATAAAAAGCCACCATGTCTGGCTTTTAAAATTTTTATAATTTTTTGAGACAGGGTCGTGCTCTTGTGGCCTGGGCTGGAGTACAGTGGTGCGATGAGGGCTCACTGCCACCTCGACCTCCTGGGCTCAAGTGATCCTCCCACCTCAGCCCTGGAGTAGCTGGGACTACAGGTGTGCACTACCATGCTTGGCTAATTTTTTTGAATTTTAGTACAGATGAGGTCTCACTATGTTGCCCGGGTTGGTCTTGAACTCCTAAGCTCGAGTGATCCTCCCACCGTGGGCTTTGAAAGTGCTGGGATTACAGGCATGAGTTTTCCTTTGTCTTTTATGATGGTGACATTTTAAACAGTTCAGGCAAGTTATTTTATAGAATTTCCCTCCATTTGAGTTTGCCTGATATTTGTCATACTTAGATTCATCTTTCACATTTTTGACTAGAATTCTAGGCAAATAATTTTGTGTCCTTCTGAGGGCATGATGTCCAGAGGTACATGATATTTGTAGGTGATATTCACTTTCATCATTTGGTTAAGTATTTTCCAACTTCCCCACTGCGTAATTTTTCCTATTACAAATGCAAAGTGATTTGTGGTGAGATACTTTGCGACTATGTAAATATCCTGTTCCTCATCAAACCTTAAGAACTGACTGAAAAAATTTACATTTACAAATCTAGTTATTTGGTACCCTGGGGGAATGTATTAAACTCCGAAACTGAGTTTTTCAGACAGTCAAGGGCCATGGAGTATGTGTTTGGGCTTCTTAGATACATGACTTCCTCACAGCCCGCTGAGTTCCAGAGAGGCTGAGGTTGCCCGATAGCTGTGCCCTGATCAGTGATACTGCGTTCTACCTCCACAAGGTGTGAAATCATGCATTCCTAGAAGCTGAACTGAAAACCAGAACTATGAGTCAAGGTGATTCTTAATGGCCCAGACAGCACTGTGGGAAGAGGCATAGAAGGAAATCAGGTCTGTCCATATGCAAAGCTGCTATGTGTGGGATGTTCACGTCTGGTTTCCTCCCTCGGGGTGCCTGTGAACCTCACCCCTGCTCCAATCCTGTTCCCCCTCTCTTCCTTGACTACAGTGGCATTAAATAAGAACCTATTTAAAGGGTAGAAATGGAAGGAGTTCTTTCAGACCAGATCGCTTAAATCCAGGTGAGGACTGGGGGTAAAGGACAACATGAGTGAAAAGGATGGAGTCCAATCATTCAGTTCAAAGAGGTTGCCAACATCTGTCCTTGAATCACAAAGAGGAAAGTTCTTCTCTATGCCCAACCTTTGATTCCCGCCATTCTTGTTTCCACAAGGGAATCTGCTGCCACCTGGGATAACCATTAAACATTTTCTTTTTGCTAAAAATTATTGTGTGGAAATATTACCTCAGATGACTTTGTTATACAAGAACCACCACTTCCACAACTACAGTGACTGGGATAGATCCTCAGAAAAAAAGCCTGGTCTCTATGGCAAATTATCACAGACATGAAGGCCAGTGAGCTTATTCAGAGGCCAAAGATTCTTGCTCTGCCAATATTACGGCCACATGTTTTACAAGCCTGGAGTCCATTTCTTAAAGGTATGTGTGTAGGTTCGTGATTTTAATATTAATAGCTACTGCTGACACATCACTGGAAAAACACAGGTTTTCCATTTTGACGGTAAAAGGTTTACATTTAGGATTCATTTATCCCTCCCTTAGCTTGAGTAATGAGATACAAATTACTGGTAGTGCCCTCCAAAATTCCTCAGGCTTCATAAACACAAACAGGAATTGGCAATAACAGTAATTACAGGGATGGCATTTTTTAAATAGCCGCCGCACTCTTGTGGTTTTCTTTCCTGAACTGCATCCTATATTTTTCATTTATTCAATCATTCACTGATTCAATCATTTCACCTAGTCAACAAAACTTATGTTAGGCCTTGGGGATAGGATGATGTTTTAAAAAGATACAAAGGTTTACAAATTAATTACTTAAGTCTGCATTTATAGTTCCACTGTGAAGAAATGGGCTTTGTTGCCATAAGATTCAATTCTTTCATCTTCTAAAAATCCTGAGTGAGCTATGAAGAAAAAGAATATAAATGCAATTCACTCCGAAGTGTGAAATATTACCCCTGGCTACCAGGTAAGCTGAGAAGACTGTGAGTTCACACAAATCATTGATCTTTCTTGACAACTGAATCCTAACCTGATGACCCCATTTAAAGAAACTCTGTAGTTTCATTTTAGAAACACCAGCCCAAATTCTGACGATAATTAGCTCTAATCATCATTTATGCCATTTAAATTAAGTTGATTAGATTTTCCCTAACAATTTTCCACTCAGAAGTTGCTATTTTAAAAATCTCAATGCCCAGCTGTGAGACGCACAAATTTGGTGTGAGGTATGTGATACCATCTCCTATCTGGCAAAGGTTTTAAATATCCTAACTGGAACCCCTAAATCTTTAATGTAATGTAAGATCTCCGTGAGATATACTTTGTCACCACTGAGAAGCTAAAAGGGCATTTGAGCAACTGTTCACCACAAACCAGTCAGCTACTTTATAATTTATCATCTGGTGAAATCCTAAGAGCCTGGGCTTTGGGTCCTCTTGAATCTCTTCTAGATGAAAATCTTGGGCAGTTCTTCCCAACCAGCATGCCTGGCAATGAATGCCAGTCCCTAGGAAAAGGCTGAAGGGGGTGCTGGGTTTTCCTGTTCCCATGGCTCTGCCTGCCCAGCACGCGCACACACACACACACACAGACACACACACACACGCACGGTCATTTCTGGTGCACACAGGCACACACACACGGCCATTTCTGGTGTGCACACACACCCCCATTCCCATTTCTGAGTCTTTATTGGCAAAGATACTTCTAGAGGCTTAGAACCACTGGACACTCCCACAAACATCTTCAGACACCACCCTCCCCACCCACTGCTATTTCCCCACTCTGCCCGCTCATTCTCAGACCTAAGCACAAGAGGAAGTGAGTCTACCCATGATGCGGTCACACTTTTTGAAACCTGGAAGTGGGCCACATGTTGTAAAAGGAAGCTGAACGCTGGTGCACTGATCTAGAAACCTGTGATCGCCTTCTAGCTATAAATCTTCCGGGGTTCCCATTAAAAAAGAAATTCCCAAACTGCCCCTCTTTTGTTGGAGCTATGATTATGAAAAATCCTGACAGGCTTTCTTGAAGGTCTCACAGGCTAGCTCTAAGAAGCTAGCCAAACGATAAAATCACAATCATAACAAACTCTTGGAGGAGGGAGCTTATTGTATATCTTTCTTTTTTTCCTTTTTTTTCTTTTTTTTTTTTTTTTTTTGAGACAGAGTATTGCTCTGTTGCCCAGGCTAGAGTGCACTGGCACCATGCCAGCTCATTGCAACCTCTGCCTCCCATGTTCAAGAGATTCTCCTGCCTCAGCCTCTGGAGTAGCTGGGATTACAGGCACATGCCACCATACCTGGCTAATTTTTGTACTTTTAGTAGACATGGTGCTTCACCATGTTGGCCAGGCTGGTCTTGAAATCCTGACTTCAGGTGATACGTCTGCCTCGACCTCCTAAAGTGCTAGGTGTGAGCCACCGCACCTGGCACATTTGTTTTCCTTTTTAAATTTTATCAGTGGCAGCCTCTGAATCCTCAAGATGTATTAAAAATGTCTTCCTAATTAATGTCTCCACTCTCTTTTGAGGAAAATATGGATTCAACAATAAGAATGTATCTTTACATCTGAGCATTTAAAAATAGATTAATTCTCCCATTTATACTATAGCAACTTGTAGTCAACAAAATTTCCCTTCTCTTTTCCTCAGAAATGCCCTCATTCCCAGGAAATTTTACCCCAGTCTGCTGGGAGCAGGAACATCTCTGTGCAATCCTGAAAGCCAGCCTTCTTTTGAGATGCCCTCATCCCCTCACCGACTCAACAGCCCTGCCTTAAGTGAAAGCACCTAGGACCCTCAACTGTGTCTCCTGGGCTAATGCCCGAAGGCTATAATGTTTAATTGAAGAGATCTTCTTGGATGCTGAGAGGAATAAAGTCAGTCAGTAACAACCACTCTCCTCGGTCCTTGAGGCAGCTTTATTGTGGCTAAGTCCATATTCTGCCATGACCTGGCAGAGAGAAGAGGCTTAGCACTGGAGCCTGCTGGAGCCTGAAGAGCGGACTCCAAATTCCTCTTCTGCGACTTACTACTGGCTGGGTGGCCCAGGGGATTCTCTTTAACTCTTTTGTTTCCAACCTCACAGGGTTGACTTCCAAGATAGAGAACGGGAAAGCTAACCTGAAGATGTCATATCAATGAGTTATTTTGATAACATCAAGAGATCATCTGTGATACTACTGATTCGTTTTTCCTAATACATACCCTCATCCTAATTGCTATGCACTCAAATAACTTACCTTCCCCTGCCCTCAAACCCATTTTCAAACTAATGCAAACAGAACACCTACGTAAAGGTAGGTTCGTCCCCTGCCTGGCAGAACTAAAGCCTCTGTTGGAGGTAATAAGAACATGGGGTCTGGCCAATTCTCAGGAAAGTCCCAGGCACCATGAGCATCAGATGTGGGGAGAAAAAAAGGCAGGAAAAGTTAGAAAAGAGTACACCTTGAGGCTAACAGAAACCAGCGTGCCAATGAGGGGATCAGTTTGTGACTCAAGTAAGATTTAGGGACATGTCCAATTAACGAAGGCACTGTCCTAAATGTCTTGAGAAAAAAGGCACCCCAAAATAGACCTTCTATATGATCACAGACATTAACATGCCATCTTGAAATGGCAACATACTGCAAAAGAATGCTGACAAGGTGAGACGCGGGGCAGTGTGCTGGGTAGACAAGGCCAGTATTTAGAAGTCAGAACACCTTAGCTGGGTGACCACTGCAGTCACTTAAGGCCGCTTAGTCTCACTTTCCTCATCCATGACAAGGGTGCCACAATCTAACTCATGAGGCCAGGAGGAAAAGTTCTGTGTCTAGGACTCATCTGTATTATTGGATTTCACATGTCGTCTTGACCTTAATTAGACATAACACAACTGATTTTTTGACTAGGCGCTGCATGCCACCTGAGCAAAGAAATCTGTCTCTTTTTCTCTGAATCTCCAGAGTCCATCTAACACAGTGCCTGACACACCTTGGGGCTTGATCAATTTTATTCCATTTACAACTGAAAAATGAGGTGTAAAGTAATACATTATAAACTCTGGACACTATATAAATTATACAAATATGTTAAAAATTATTGAAAGTAAATAAAAGACACTTGCCAATTTAGAAGCTAAAAATGGCATTGGAAGTTAAGGACTGGTAAAGCTGTCTCCAGTCCTGCCCAGGGGAGAAGGACATTTTGACCAGGGCACCTATGAATACAATCTCTTAGGCCAAGGCATCTCTAGAGTGGAGAAAGGAAACTTTCAGTTGTTGTCTGGTGAGAATACCCCTCAGAATCACTCCAAGCCACCTACATATTAACTGGTTCCCACACAGAAGAAAATGTAATGCCTGGCTGGTATTTTGAGAAGCCAGCTTGGCAGGTGAGTTCCATGCTGCAAATAAAGTCTTCAGCTTCAGACCCTCATCAAGTCTAAATTTGATTGTTAGAATTAGATGTCAGCTTGATAAAATCCATCATCTAAAATGCAAAAGCCAGCCTGAGCAACGTGGCGAAACCCTGTCTCTACCAAAAATACAAAAATTGGCCGGGTGTGGTGGTGGCATGTGCCTGTAGTTCTAGCTACTTGGGAGCCTGAGATGGGAGAATCACCTGAGCCAGGAGGTCGAGGCTGCAGTGAGACGGGATTGTGCCATAGTCCTTCAGCCTGGGCAACACAGTGAGACCCTTTCCTAGCTACTGAGGAGGCTGAGGCAGGAGAATTGCTTGAACCCGAGGGGCAGAAGTTGCAGTGAGCCGAGACCGTACCACTGCACTCCAGCCTGGGTAATAAAGTGAGACTCTGTCTAAAAATAAAGAAAGAAATAAATAAAAAGGAAGAAATTAAAAAAGATAAATAAATAGATACATAAAATGCAAAAGCAAGAGGCAACAGTGCCTTCCAGATCTCTCCTCGGAGTAAGCAGCATAATCCCACAGCGAGATGGTATCTGCGAGTAGTGGCACTGAAGTGTGATCATCTCGCATTTGCCCCTCTCCCTGGCTCACAAATGTGACAGGGAAAGGCGGTGGCACAAAACACCAGGCACAGTGACTGCACACAAAACCATTGCTCAAAAGCTACTTGTTCTACTGAGTCGGCAGTGTAGGACTCTCTTCTGATAAAATTAACAACAACAGCAGGAATATAATGGCCCGTTTCCTGGATATATGGCCTTTCACAGTTAAGAGTTTCCATACACATTAAAGTGATGCCTGGAGGAGTATCAGGCAGGCGTCTCTATTTTCATTTTCTTTTCTTTCTTTTTTTTTTTTTTTTTTAGAGGGAGTTTCGCTCTTGTCACCCAGGCTGGAGTGCAACGGCGCAATCTTGGCTCACTGCAACCTCTGCCTCCTGGGTTCAAGCGATTCTCCTGCGTTAGTCTCTCTAGTAGCTGGGATTACAGGCACACACCGCCACGCCTAGCTAATTTTTGTATTTTTAGTAGAGATGAGGTTTCACCATGTTGGTCAAGCTGGTCTCAAACTCCTGACCTCAGGTGAGTCATCTGCCTTGGCCTCCCACAGTGCTGCGATTACAGGCGTGAGCCACTGCGGCCCGCCTATTTTCTTTTTCTATATGAGAAAGGTGAAGGTCAGGTACGTGGCCAAGGTCACATATAAAGCAAAAGGCAGGGCTGGGTTCCTACGCTACTGTTTCAGTTGGCTTCTTTCCATCTCTTCACAAAACTGAGATGATGGTAACCTTGGATTAACTGGAGCTGAAATATGTGCTAGAATTTCCCTTTAGACCTCCAAAGCCCAGTGAAATTTTTATAGGTGCTACTAGAAAAAGGGGCTTTCTTCTAATTATTTAGGTATGACACAAAATAAATCATGTCATCTTTGCCTTCTTTTTCCTCATTTCAAATGGATGTTGCATCATGGATTCAGCATAACTTTTTTTTCAAGGGGGCTCTGCTGAAACTATGCTCTGTTGCATCCTTAGCCCGTGATCTGGTTAGGGCAGAAATGCCCGGGAATCAGGCTCTTGGTTCAAATTACCCTCCCTAGTACAGATCAAGCGGGACCTAAGACTGCAAAAGTATTTACTGTTGTCAATTAAGCTACAAAATAAGCTATTCATTGACCTTGGCTCAAATCAAATCCTAGAAAATGGAACTTGTCTTTACCCTGTCATAATCAAAATTATGGGTCCTACAGGAAACTTTTTTGTGTCTGTGCTCAGAAAAAAATATGAAGTGGCTTTGCTTTGTCTCTATTTACCATGGTTTCACCATGACCTTGTCCAAGGTCAGTGCTCTGTGAGTCGGCTTATGGCCAACAGGAAGACAACATGGCCGAGCTGTGAGCACCTGACCAGCGTCGAGCAACACTGTGAACGAGTGGTGTATAGCGTCCACTGTCACCAGTTCCTGGAGGTCAGGGCTTGCTTTTTTCTTTCTCAAACAACTGCCTCTAAGCAGCCTTCATATCTAGCAGAATGTCAAAGAAGATCATTCCACAATTTATTTATTATTTATTTATCTATCGAGATGGGGTTTCACTCTGTCGCCCAGGTTGGAGGGCAGTGGCATGATCTCAGCTCACTGCAACCTCTGCCTCCCGGGATCAAGCAATCCTCCCACCTCGGCCTTCTGAGTAGTTGGGACTACAAGCACACACCACCATGCCCGGCTAATTTTTTGTATTTTTAGTAGAGATGGAGTTTTGCCATGTTGCCCAGGCTGGTCTCGAACTCCTGAGCTCAAGTGATCCGCCCACCTCAGCCTCCCAAAGTGCTAGGATTACAGCCATGAGCCACCACGCCCAGCCTATTCCACAGTAACTTAAATGAAACTTCTACTTAGAGAAACGAAAAATACAGCCAGTATTAAACTGCCCCTTGAACTCCCCAGCAGATGAGATAAACCCTGAGTCACAACTTTCTTGCCTGACTTGTCTCTTCCTCTATTCAGATTTCCTCCCATCTGAACAACTGGCTCATGGACAGACAGAGGCTGACCTGTGGCAGCAATTGTGAGCTGTGCTTCCTTTCCTTGAGTTATAAAATCTCGGGCTTTTTATTGGACACACAGTTACCCAGAATAAAAAATTCATTCCCAGCCTACCATGTAGTTTAGATGTGGCCGTGTGACATAAGTGGAAGGGGTGTATTCAAGTTCTAGGACATTCAAAATTAGGAGGTCTTGATCAGAGCTTCACTGGGGGCCCATAAGGATGAGGACAGACCAAGGCCATACCCTAAGGATGGCAGAGCAGGAAAACCAGACAACTGCAGAGCTACACAGCAGCCTTGAACTCCCTCCATCCAGAATGTTAAGTGGGAGAGAAATAAACACATGCCACAGTAACAACCAATAAAACTCCCTCGTAATTACAGCTGCATATTCTCAGGTGGGCATTTTTCTATTTAAATGCGATAAAATTAAATTCAACCCCAGAAGTTTTTCTATGGCACCAGGTTTACACAAATCATTTGCAATTAAATCCCTTTGCAATATGTTAGTGCTCACTTCTCAGAATCCAAAATAAGGGAAAAAATCTGTTGTAGATTATTACATGTACATTATTATAGATTACCTGATTGTATATTTCTGTGCTCACTAATTGTTTTATGAGTATATTTATGGTCTTTTCCATTACATAGAATATTTCTAGTTTTCACCTTTTTGTCTTACTCTTTCTTTCTCAATAGCCTAGGGCACATTAATGAAAGCATAAAAGATACTGAACGAATATATGTTTTAATGAGCATTTAAAGACTCTATAATGTAATCATATTTTAACATTTCTCCTTCATTCACTCACTCCTCATCCTCGTCTGAGATACTCAGGTTGTGGATGGAGGAAAATATATGCCTCAGCTAAATGGCAAATTGCCATGGGGTTGCTCCACAGGTTGGCAAAACCTCAAATGCTAAATTTGTGAGTGCCAAGGATTTAAATATATAAAATGCCTTTATTTGTGAAAGGTCTCAAAGGACTTTGCTCATTGTTGATTCATCATATCCCTTAGGTTTGCAAAACCATTTGCAATTTACAAAGTACTTTCACACTCATCATCTCAGTCCTTGGAGTCAGGCTGGATATTAGGGACTGACACGTTATCAACAAGGAGCCAAGATGGTGAGGCACGCCTGGTGCTCATGCTCATGAGTTGCTCATGATGTCATTCATCTCAAAAACCTGGTGTGTGAATGGCCCTTTGGGTTATTTTCCTGGTCTCCCTGTTATGAGCAGCGTTGCAGCAAGCGTTCTCATTCCTGTATCTTTGCAGCCTTGAGCTAATACTTCTGTGGGATGGACTTCAAAGTGGAACCGCTGGTCAGAGACTTGAGAACGGGATGCAAGCATATAGAAAGAGGCACTGGGAAAGTCTTCCTGGCAGGAAAATGAAGGAGAGCACCAAAGCATGAAGTACAGGAGGCAGGCCTAACGAGATCATCATTTCCAGCTTTTATTTAACTGAAAATGTAGGCTATTGCTTCCCAGCTTCAGAGTGAAACTAAGTCCAAGGGGACATCACCCAGGGAGCTGCTGGTATGGCCTGGGCATTGGAACTCTCCGGGCATCTCCAGTGGCACATGAGCATAGGCTACCTCACCAGATCCCTCAGCAGCTGCACCAACACCCTGGGCCCGGGGAGGATGAGGTTCCGCACAGTCGTTTTCTATTGGAAGGAGAACACGCAGGAGCTTTGGCTTACAGACAACAGCAGCTGGGCAGCTGGGGCTGGCCACCATGGGAAAGGGACAGAGCAAGAACCAGATTCTGTCAACTTTAATCTACGTTAATCCTGCTTATAATTCTGACATTTCCTTCCCACCTTCACTCTCAGGGTTTGCTTCATAGACTCTAAGACCCCTAATCTAGCTATTTGGGTGAGTATATTATTTGTAAATGATTCCAATGAGTTTAGTTTTTGTTTTTGGTTTTGGTTTTTTTAAGACGGAGTTTCGCTCTTGTTGCCCAGGCTGGAGTGCAACGGCGCGATCTTGGCTCACGGCAACCTCTGCCTCCAGGGTTCAAGCCATTCTCCTGTCTCAGCCTCCCGAGTAGCTGGGATTATAGGCATGCACCACTATGGCCGGCTAACTTTCTATCTTTAGTAGAGGTGGGGTTTCTCCATGTTGGTCAGGCTGGTCTTGAACTCCTGACCTCAGGCGATCCACCCGCCTCAGCCTCCCAAAGTGCTGGGATTACAGGCGTGAGCCACCACGCCTGGCTCCAGTGAGTTTAAAACAAATCCTTGGGGCTGGCGCGGTGGCTCACGCCTGTAATCCCAGCACTTGGGGAGGCCAAGGTGAGCGGATCACTTGAGGTCAGGAGTTCAAGGCCATCCTGGCCAACATGGTGAAACCCTGTCTCTATTAAAAAACAAAAAACAAAAATTAGCCGGATGTGGTGGCATGCATCTGTAGTCCCAGCTACTCGGGAGGCTGAGGCATGAGAATCACCTGAACCCAGGAGGCAGAGGTTGCAGTAAGCCAAGATCATGCCACTGCACTCCAGCTTGGGTGACAGAGTGAGACTCTGTCTCAAAAAAAAAAAAAAAAAAAAAAAAAAAAATAGGCTGGGCATGGTGGCTCACACCTGTAATCCCAGCACTTTGGGAGGCTGAGGGGGGCAGATCGCCTGAGGTCAGGAGTTCGAGACCAGCATGGCCAACATGGTGAAACCTCATCTCTACTAAAAATACAAACATTAGGCTGGGCACAATGGCTCACGCCTGTAATCCCAGCACTTTGGGAGGCCAAGGCGGGTGGATCACCTGAGGTCAGCAGTTCGAAACCAGCCTGGCCAACATAGCAAAACCCCGTCTCTACTAAAAATACAAAAATTAGCCAGGTGTGGGGGCCCACACCTGTAATCCCAGCTACATGGGAGGCTGAGGCAGGAGAATCACTTGAACCCGGGAGGTGGAGGTTGCAGTGAGCCGACATTGCACCACTGCTCTCCAGCCTGGGTGACAGAGCAAGACACCATCTCAAAAAAAAAAAAAAAAAATTAGCTGGGCATGGTGGCAGGTGCCCCTAATCCCAGCTACTCGGGAGGCTGAGGCAGAAGAATTGCTTGAACCCAGGAGACGGAGGTCACAGTGAGCGGTAATTGTGCCATTGCACTTCAACCTGGTGACAAGAGCAAAACTCCATCTCAAAAAAAAAAAATCCTCTAGAGGGATTTGTTTATTATTTATTTATTATATATTTATATTTTAGCCCCAGAGAGGCAGAATTGCAGAAAGAGCTCTGGGCCTCAGAGAGTCAGAAAACCTGTTCGATTAGCTGGGCTTGGTGACGCATGCCTGTGGTCCCAGCTACTTGGGAGGCTGAGGTGGGAGGATAGCTTGAGCCTGGGAGTTCGGAAGCTACAGTAAGCCATGATCACACCACTGCACTCCAGCCTGGGTGACAGAGTGAGACCTTGTCTCTAAAAATAAATTAAAAGAAAAAAACCTGGAAGAAAGAAGAGAAGGAAGATTGATGGGGAGGGAGAAAAGGGATGATTGTGTACTATGCACTAGCTCTGAGCCCGGCACCTTACATACATTAACTGATGTCTATCCTCAGAGTAATGCTACAAGAATGGTGTTGCTGCTCCATTTACTGAAAACAAAATGAAGCTTCCATAAGTTAAGTGTCTCCTCACAATACTACAACCCCCAAAAAAGCAACTAAAACAACAACAACAACAAACAGGACTTGAATTTTCTGACTTGTCAAAGGATTTTCCATTGTTCCAAGATTGCTGTGTAAACTAAACAGATGCAAAAACTGTTTACTAAATGCTACTGAAGAATAACAGGACATCATGATGGTGATGCCATGACCTGCAACACAGGTTCACTAAGAATTTTTGAGTCTCCCTGGAGGTCAGCCAGCTGTGTATTCTCAGGCTGGACGACGGCCCTAGAACCGCCTTGTGAGAAGTCCACTCAGTATGGCAGTAGCTGCCATTCCCTGAGACATCTACACTCCGTTTAGAGAAATCTTCCCAGAAAGGCCAAATGTGTGTCTTTCTGCCTTTAAAATATCTTTATTCACATGCATTTCTAAGGTTGCCCTTCGGTTTCTTCCATATCATTTTCACCTTTTTACCCTTCTTGGCAGCACATAAAGCATAACTTAAGTGGGTAGAGACAAAGAGAAGCTTGTCTGGATAGGCCTTCGTATATACTGATAGGGATTATATACCCCACCCACCACATTTGTAAATAGGCTAAGAATCACCCTTGATCCTTCCTCCCACTACATCAGATCTTAGTGGTTCTCCTTCAGACCCACCCCTCGACTACTCCCCTTTCCTCTCTGTTCTCACAGCCACTGCCTTACTTAAGGTCCCCTTATTTCTCACCTGCAATAGCGCCCTAACTCGTCTTTTTGGTCAGTTCTCCACAGCCTGCTGCTTAGGTCCTGTGCACCTTCCCTTCATAATTACTTAAGTGAGCTGCTAGTATTACTTACTCTAGGTCCAGGCAGCTTCCTAGCGCTCACGAAGAACACATGACACTGCCAAGTTGACCAGCTTGAGTGTGGCAGCAAACCCACTGCCCCCTTGAGTCCTAAAATGATAAGGTGCAGCGAAGTGTGTATCTGTTGTGGGTTGCACTGTGTTGCCTCCAAAAAAGACATGTTGAAGTCCTAGGCCACAGTATCTGTGAATGTGACCTAATTTGGAAATAGTCTTTGCGGATAGAATCAAGTTAAGACGAAGTCAGCAAAGCGGGCCTTAATCCAAGATAACTCACGTCCTTAAAGAAGAGAAGAGACACAGAAACAGACACAGGGAGAAGGTCATGTGATGATGGAGGCAGAGATTGGGGCGACACAGCCACAAGCCAAGGAATGCCAAGGCTGGCCAGCAACACTAGAAGCTGAGCAAAAGCATGGAACAGAATCTCCCCAACCTTCGGAAGGAGCGTGGTCCTGATGCCCATGCTGATTTTGAATCCTAGCCTTCGGAATTGTGAGAACACATTTCTGTTGTTTTAAGCCACCAGTTCATAGCAATTTGTTAAGGCAGCCCTAGGAAATGAATTATAGTATCTAAAGAAAGGTGGGAAGGGCTGACCACCAAGATGAAACAAGCCTTCGTGCCCAAATTCCTCTGCTTCACCAAGTTGCCTTTGGTAGTTTCGTATATATACTCTGTAAGAAGCTAGTGGTCTCAGAATTATGGTTCTAAAGAACAAAT
This sequence comes from Homo sapiens, assembly GCF_000001405.40. Taxonomy (NCBI): domain Eukaryota; kingdom Metazoa; phylum Chordata; class Mammalia; order Primates; family Hominidae; genus Homo; species Homo sapiens. Next base: position 59,310,877 of record NC_000015.10, read on the forward strand.
GTGATTTTGTTAAAAACCTCCACTTTCTGTAGGACAAATTCCAAGCAAGCCCTTAGTGTGCCATGTAAGCCCTCTCAAGTCTGGCCCCAACCTGCCTGTCCCACGTACTCATGTACTCATGATCATCTTCCCCCTCCACTTCCCTGCCTGCATGCTGACCTCCAGCCATCACTCTGCCCTGGAGTCCAGCAACTGATTCTCATGCACAGTAGACAACAGGCATGGTCAAGGCAACCATCCAGGGTGGCCCTGGATGTCCATCATAACGAGCAAAACCACAAGGTCCTTACTCTAGAACAGCAGTCTCCAACGTTTTTGACACCAGGGACAGGTTTTGTGGAAGACAATTTTTCCATGACAGTCATAGGAGTGGAACGGTTTCAGGTTGAAACCGTTCCACCTCACATCATCAGGCATTAGATTCTAATAAGGAACACGTCACCTAGGTCCCTCACATGCGCAGTTCATAACAGGGTTCGGGCTCCTATGAGAATCTAATGCCGCCACTGATCTGACAGGAGGCAGAGCTCAGACAGTAATGCTCACTCATGCATGCTTACTTCCTGCTGTGCATCCCAGTTCCTAACAGGCCACGGACCGTATTGCCCAGGGGTTGGGGACCCCTGCTCTAGAAGACCAGAAGTTTGGGCAGTTCTGAAGCAGGCAGAAGGACCTGCAGCTTTGGGCACAGAAATCACATGAGTTTACCATATAAGAACCATAAAGCTTAATTTGGTGGGTATCTCTGGCACTATATATCAGGCAAGCCCAGTTGGTGTTATAGGCAACGTTATGATTTAAACGTGTCTTCCAAAGTTCATGTGCTGAAAACTCAATCCCCAATGCGACAGTGCTGAAGGTAGAAAAAGGGGGAACCTTTAAGAAGTGACTAGGTCATGAGGACTCTGCCCTCATAAATAAATGGATGCTGTTATTGTGGGAGTGGGTTTGTTTTAAAAGTGAGTGTGGCCCTGTCTTGCTATCTCTCACACACTTTCTCACTCTTTCTCGTGCACGCACTTGCCATATGTTGCTTTCTGCCGTGTTGAAGCAGCAAGAAGGCCCTCACTAGATGCAGCCCCTCGATCATGAACTTCCCAGCCTCCAGGACCAGGAGAAATAAAATTCCTTTTCATTATAAATTACCCAGTCTGTGGTATTCAGCTATAGCAAACCAAATGGACTACAACACTCAGCAATATATTTTCTCTCTTAATTCACTTTGAACTTTCATCACAAAATAAATAATTGAGTCCTGTGCTTGGCTCTGTGCTAAGTTCAAGAACACACATAAGAGCATCTAAGGGATGATCGTGTTCACAAATCAAATCAGTTCAGTCTAGTTGGGAAAACAATTATCATGCATCAATCTGAGCATACTACAAGGCAACAAAAGAAATTTTAGGGTTTCATTTTTACAACTGAAAGAGTTCAGAGAAGAGAAAAGATCGTGTGCACTAATCAGGAAAGGTTCCGTGGAGGAACAGGAACTTGGGCCGAGCCTGGAGGAAGCAGAGGACTCAGCCACTGGGACGAGGGGGACTTTCCAGGGACAACACAAATGAAGAAACAGAAGCATAAAGGAGCAGCTGTCACTACTGCTGTGAAAAACCTTGCGTTTAGAGCACCATTCTTTGTTTTTTAAGAGACAGAATCTTGCTCCGTCACCCTGGCTGTTACAATGGCATCATAGCTCCCTGCAGCTTCAAACTCCTGGGCTCAAGCGATCCTCCTGCCTCAGCCTCCCAAAGTGCTGGGATTAGGCGAGAACACCATCCTTGATCATGCTAGTTCACAAAATGGGGCCCCCAAACCAGCAGCATCAGCAACACCAGGAAACTTGTTAGAAATACAAAGTCTTGGCTGGGCGCAGTGGCTCATGCCTTGTAATCCCAGCACTTTGGGAAGCCGAGGCAGGTAGATCATGAGGTCTGGAGATCGAGACCATCTGGCTAACACAATGAAACCCCGACTCTACTAAAAATAATAATAATAATAATAATAATACAAAAAATTAGCCGGGCATGGTGGCATGCCACCTGTAGTCACAGCTAATCAGGAAGCTGAGGCAGGAGAGTCGCTTGAACCCGGGAGGCGGAGATCACGCCATTGCACTGCAACATCTTGGGCCCCACCCTAAACCTGCTAAATGAGATGCTCTGGGCATGGGGGTGGGGCCCAGCAATCTGTGCTTTAACAAGTCCTCCCGTAGATTCTGGTGCTGGCTAAGGCTTTTGAGAACCACTGCTTTAGTGAGAAGACTTATAAATAAGTTTGTAATTATCTATTCCTACAGAAGAAACATTGAAATCATCTCCAACTAGATTTCATTTAGCTCTTGATATAACCCAAATGGGGGTCCACATGAAGGGAGAGTCAGTATATGGACATATGTATCCCCCAACACACACACAGACCAAATCAGCCACCTGACTGCCAGGAAGCAACTGTTAATACGCATCTGAAGGATATTTGGAAAAATTCATTATTTAAGGAAGCAACACAGGTCTGATGTCATGGTTCTATGGGACAAGAAATCTTCTGTACTAACGATAAAGTGACTTAATTGTGGTTATCTAGGACCCTGAAATAATAATGGGAGTACAGATGCAACTACCCCACCCCCGCCCCACCTCCAACACTCCATCATCTTTCAGTGATCATTCTGTGGCATGTTCTCCTATCTCCTATGCTCACATCCTAGAGATGAGGGTACATGCTCTTTTATTTCAAGCTCTTGTTTCTGAGAACCTCCAGCAATTCCCAACTTCCACCATTCCTGCCAAATGAAGGCTGGATTTATTTTGATTTGTGTTGGCTCTGTAGCCCCTTGTTAAGTAAACTAGGACTCTGTGTCTGGCCAATGCATTCACGAAGAGAAAAATAGAAGGAATCAAAGTGAATTATAGGGAGAGAGGGAGGGGGAAGTTCCCTGGAAGTCTAAAAGTAGGAACCAAGGATGGTATTTTTGGCTTGGGACTTTCTGTACCACATGAAATTATGAGAATGACTTAATTGCTCCTGTGCATTCGAAACCTGAGAGAGACCATAATGGCTGGGTTACGCCCAGACTGACTGGAACAGGAGTTAGACAGCGTGGCCTCCTGCCAGCTAAACCTGCTCTGCAAACACAAGTGACTGCATCATTCATGCTTTCAGGCCTGGGCTGAGTCTGATGATGGCCGGTGTTGCTTTTCTTCCTCAATCTCCCTGGACTAGACAGGGCAGAGTATGTTACAGAGGACTGTCATTTTAGGGGTAGCCAGAGGGGCAGAGGTGGGCTCCAGAATCCTTTCTCTACCTCGCTATGTGCACTTAGGCAGCCACTTAAACCATTCTGTGCACCCTAGTTTCCCCATCCCCTGAATATGAATGACAACTCTGTGCCTTAACTATTTCACACAATGCTGGAGAGAATAAACTTGAGAAAACAGATTCAAAGAACTTCTGGGAAGTGAAGATTGTTATACTATTGATAGTTATTCCTGGACTCTCTTGTTTTCACACAGTGTCTTTTGCATCCCTCCTTCCCACATACTGTGAGGGATACCTATTGAGTTGCCTGCCCTGATTCCCTCTCTGCAGGAGGTAGCAGCCATGATGGTTAATGCCACCCTGCCACCTGGTCACAGGAGAAGGCCTCTGACCCAAGCCAGACCAAGTGATCTCACTCCCAGAAATGGTATAATGGAAAGATTTAGGGACTGAGTGGTCAGTGGCTTAGGCTCATTATACAACCCAGTGATTTTCACTCCGGGGCAGCTCTGCTCCCCAGAGGACATTTGGCAGAATATGGATTCATTCTTGGTGGTCAGACTGAGGAGGGGGTACTACTGGTATCTAGTGAGTGGATACCAGGGATGTAGCTAAACATCCTCCTATGCACAGGACAAACCTCCACAACAAATAACTCTCTGGCCTAAAATGTCAGCAGTGTCAATGTTGTAAAACCCTGGCTTAGGTGACTGCTGGAGGTAGAGGGGCTGAGGAGGAGGCAGCTTCCATCTAGCTCCAGCCAATTGTTACCACAGGCGGGGTGGCAGGAGGAATGAGGCCTCAAGGTTGCCTGGTCTGATTTTTCTAGAGAAGCTGGAAATCTGGATTTCCATGAGTAACCTTTTGATTTTTAAGCACCAGCTCAATTTTTAATAAACGTATGGGCCAAATAAATACATCTCCAGGCCTCATGGAGCCTGGGGGCCACCAGCTTACAGCTTCTGATGGGGAGAGGAGACCCAAAGTCTCCTTTACTTGAGCTTTTTGAAGCTATCTGGCTTCTCCCCTTCCTTGGATGTTGTGAGGCAACAGACCATGATTTTTTTAAGTAAGTTCTCTGTGTTGCCTAAACAATAGCTTCCATTACATGTGCCCCCAAAAGCCTTAACTAGTACACAACTCCTACCTGTTTCTCTCCCACTCACTTCTTTGGCTACATGTTTTGACCTGATTGCCATCCCCATCCACGTAAAACATTTTAATCTCAGAACTGGAAGGGGTCTTACGAAAGGTCTACTAGTTAGGGTGGGCGGGGGAGAGTATTAGGAAAAATAGCTAATGCATGCTGGGCTTAATACCTAGGTGATGGGTTGATAGGTGAAGCAAACCACTATGGCACACGTTTACCTATGTAACAAACCTGTACATCTTGCACATGTACCCTAGAACTAAAAATTAAAAAAAAAAAAAAAAAGTCTAGTTCTGATCTGCCAAGAAATAACACTGGGTAAGTTACTTAACCTCTCTGTGCCTCAGTTTCCTCATTTGTAAAACAGACATGATACTTATATCACTTCATCAGACTGTGAGGAAGATTGAATGAGCTCTTGTATGTGCAATGATTAGTTAAAATGATCACATTAACCTCTTCCTTGAATTCTTTGCCTTTGGAAATAATGCCCCAATGCTGCTGCTGTTGCTGTTAATAAAAATATTAAAATAAGCACACTTAGATTAAGATTGGTGTTTATATTTGTCTGAGGCTTAGCATAAAAACTTGCAAAGGTGGAATTAGAGCACTAACTTGAACTTTCTCAGTGACAAATAAGCTGCGATCCATCAGCTTACTCAGACACGTTTTTGTAACATTTTGTAGACACTGAGGAATACTTTTGCACTGAGGCACCCGTGGGCCAACAAGTACCAGAGTGGTTTGGCTCGTGGTGATTCTGAGAAGGAGCCTGAGCAGCAGGAGACAGAGCAAGTAAGGAAAGGGCAGCTGTCAAACCATCAAACCTCCACTTGCAAAAACCGAAAAAGCATACAAGAAATTCTTGGGCCAGAGTGCAACAATCTCTCACCATCTGAAGAATTTAGTGTATCCAGGTTTATGGCTAATCTAACCTGTCACAAGGGCTGTGGCTTTCTTTGCTGAAGCCAAATCATTCTGGCCTGAATTCTTGCCAATACCACTTGACCCTCATAAAAGTCCTTGACAGCAGAGTGGATGCCATTTTTCCCTTGGCTTTGAAAAGCTTCCTTGCCGGCACCCATTACAAAGAGAATAGGGTCTGCTCTCCAGACTGGAGGCCAAAATGCTAATTAACTCATACCCAAGTCTGCCAAAAAAATTTGTGGGCAGCACTCTTTCTTCCCAGCAGTCACTATTATAGCAGTATTATAGAGAGAAGAGAAAGAAAGAAAACGAATGGAAATGAATAAAAGCCAGAAAGAATTCTGATATTAAGACCAAATAACTGCATACGCTTTTTTACATTTGTCTTTCCTACATTATTTATTTTTTATTTTTCGGAAGTCTGATCACTTCTTGCCCATATAAACTGGTCTTTCAATTATAAAATTTATCTTGTCATGTACGGATTAGACATCAATCCTCTTGCTTTCCATAGCGAACTTCACAGAGGATTTATGTGAGGTCTACAGGATCCGTTAGCAAGTCTTTCAAAATATTTCTATGAAAACACTGTGCTTTGTAAGGAAGATATCATACAAAGCAAATAATGCAACTATAGCAGGGAAATAAATCTGGAATCCACCCAAGTACCTGTGAAAGTTGGTATTAGTAAGATACCACTCCTAAATGTAAATAACTTCCCATGGTCTTATCAGCAGCAGAGCTAAATAAGATGCTCTTATTTAGTAACCTCAGTAGCCCAGGAATAATCTAGAGTATTAAGTTGTCTTCTTGCTAGGAATAGCTTCCTCCCTAGGCAGAGAAAAAAGTTCACCTGATGTTTGTATATGCCAAAAGGGGCATGTACATTCCAATCTTTATCCGTCTATCTATCATCCATCCATCTACTCGATAAATATTGAATGCCAATTAATGGTCCAGATACTTTGCTATAAGTTGGCAGATAGAGATGAACAAGGCACACACATTACCTGCCCTCATAGAGCTTACAGTCCAATAAGGCAAACACAGAAGTAAACAAGCAATGCTAACAGTCTGATAAGAGCTGTGTATGCTAAGACATACCCTTTTCTCCCTCCTCCCTAAAGAAACCTGGAACAAGGTGCCAAAAGCTGGTAACTAAGTAGAATTTAATCTGGCATGAGTCATGATAACATGTAGGATGCTTAGGGTAAACTCTAAACTCACAATCACTAAGGGCAACGCAACAGAGAAAGTGATTTGGGAAGACAGCAGCAACAAGAGACCTCCATAAAGAAGGCTCTTGTGGTAGCATATGCAAGATGACCACTCAGGCCAAACCTAGTATGACTATACAAACTGTTATCAGAGGGGCAGTGCTGATAGTTTCAGTTTCAGGACTGCCCCATATTAGTGTGAAAGTCTGGGTACAGGTGGAATTTCTGTTCTTCGGAACAGTAAACCCTGTGTAAGAAAGGGAGGCAGAACTGGGGGACAGATTTAGGAGAACAAATTTTCTGGCTTGTCAGGGCCTAGGGGTGCTAAAGATGAGCAATGGAAGAAGAGATGGAGAGAATGCTGGTGTGACAGAGCGAGGGCGTGAAACAGTCAGGAACTTTTCTAAGTCCTTCATGTGGGCTAATTCAATATTTACAATTGAGCTACATAACCTCATAAGGCAGGCACAATTATTGTCACTTCCATTCTACAGATGTGGAAACTGAGGTAGAAGGTTATGAAATTTGTTTCAAGGTAGCTAGTAAGTCATAGAGCCAGAATTCAAACGCATTCAGCCTGGTTCTCTAGTTCAGTGGGGCAGAAGAGTTTAGATCTGCCTAAACAGTAAATGGGGAGTCACTGAGGATATTTAATCAAGACACTGTGTAATTACAATTGCGATTTCATGAGTGCATGTGGTCACCACATGTAGGACGAACCAGAGGGGAAATGGAAGATAAATGGCATTTAATGAATGCCTCTGGTATACCCAGGCCTCTCCAGCCATTATCTTACAATCCTACCTCATTACCCAACAATCACTCTAGAAGAGGCAGACATGGAGGTCCCATCTTCCTAGTGCTGGAACTAAGTCTCGAAATGCTTCAATGTCTTGCCCATACACTCCTGTATGCAATAGAATTGAGCCCAACGGAGACTACCATGAAAGCCCCTGCTTTTCCCACCACACTGTCCTGGAAATGCTAGACACAACAAACTAGGTAGTGGTTTTTATAATTGTCAAAGCAAGTGGTCATGAGAACTGGAGGACTAAAGGATGGTAGACTTGATAACTGATCAGACATGAAAATCATACAAGAGATTAAAACCAAAAAACAAAAAAGATTTCAAAATTATTAGTCTAGAAGACTTGCATTGCCAGTCATAGACATTTGGAAGTTACAAAAGAGGAAGATGTTTTTGTTTTACTGCAGTTTGGGGGTAGAGAGTAGTAGAAGCCTACCAGAATGTTGACTAAAAATACTAACATTTATTGAGTACTTACTGTTTGCCAGGCAGTGTACTAAGGACTTCACGTGCACCAATTAATTTAATCCTCACAAAACTCTTTGAGACAGATGTTGTTATTATCCCCATTTTAAAGATGAGGAAAATGAGAAAGTCACTCAAGATTACACGAAGAGTAAATTGCAAAGCTGGACTTGAACCCAGGTCTATCTGACTTCCTGTCTTATAGAAACTGGGCATTTTAAGCCTCAGAGAAGACATGACAGTGGGTTAAGAAGACTTGCATGACTGGCTCATGCTAGAGAAGCAGAACCAGTATGAATGGGTAAGTGTCATTTTAAAATATATTTTAGTGGCTGGGTGTGGTGGCTCATGCCTGTAATCCTAGCACTTTGGGAGGTCAAGGCAGGTGGATCACTTGAGGTCAGGAGTTTGAAACCAGCCTGGCCAACATGGTGAAACCCCATCTTTACCAAAAATACAAAAAAAAGCCTGGCATGGTGACAGGCACCTGTAATCCCAGCTACTTGGGAGGCTGAGGCAGGAGAACTGCTTGAACCCAGAAGCCGGAGGTTGCAGTGAGCTGAGATCGTGCCACTGCACTCTAGCCTGGGCAACAGAGCAAGTCTCCATCTGAAAAAACGAAAAAAAGAAAATTTAGTTCAAACATGAAGTTTCTGTAATAACTTTTCTGTATTCTACCTTGAAAAGAAAATAAATGCATATTTTATAATTATTATAAAATAATGCAATTGCCCTGACATTTCTAGTAAGTTTAGCTGCTCAAAAATAAGCAGGCTTGGAAGTTTTAGCCAGAGCTATCAGGCAAGAGAAAGAAAGAAAAGGCACCAAGATAGGAAAAGAAGTCAAACTACCTTTTTTTTTTTTTTTTTTTTTTTTTTTTTTTGGCTGATGTTATGATTCTGCACCTAAAAAACCCCAGAGACAGCCAGGCACGGGGGTTCATGCCTGTGATCCCAGCACTTTGAGAGGCCGAGGCATGCGGATCACCTGAGGTCAGGAGTTTGAGACCAGCCTGACCAATATGGATAAACCCTATCTCTACTAAAAATAAAAAATTAGCCGGGCATGGGGGCATATGCCTGTAATCCCAGCTACTCAGGAGGTTGAGGCAGGAGAATCACTTGAACACAGAGGCAGAGGTTGCAGTGAGCCGAGACCATGCCATTGCACTCCAGCCTGGGCAACAAGAGCAAAACTCCGTCTCAAAGCAAACAAACAAACAAAGAAAGAAACACCCTAGAGACTCCTCCACCTCGAACTGACAAGTGACTTCAGTGAAGTTCACGATACAATATCAGCATACAGAAATCAGTAGCATTTCTATACACCAATGACATTCAAGTTGTGAGCCAAATCAAGAATGCAATCCCATTGACAATAGCAAAAAAACTAAAATACTTAGGAATACATCTAACCAAGGAGGTGAAAGACAACTATAAGAACTACAAAACACTGTTGAAAGAAATCACAGATGACACAAACGAATGGAAAAAACATTCCATGCTCATCCATTGGAAGAATCAATATCGTTAAAATGGCCATACTGCCCAAAGCAATCTACAGATTCTATGCTATTTCTATCAAACAACCAACGTCATTTTTCACATAACTAAAAAAAACTATTCCAAAATTCCTATGAAACCAAAAAAGGGCCCAAATACAAAAGCAATCCTAAGCAAAAAAGAATAAAGCCAGAGACATCACATTAACTGACTTTAAACTATAGTATAAGGGTACAATAACCAAAACAGCATGGTACTAGTACAAAAATAGACACATTGACCAATATTCTGTTCTCTGTTCTGTTCAACAGAGAACCCAGAAATAAAGCTGTACACCTATAACCATCTGATCTTCAACAAAGTTGACAAAAATAAGCAATGTGGAAAGAACTTCCTATTCAATAAATGGTGCTAGGGTGCTTGGCTAGCCATATGCAGAAGAATAAAACTTGACCCTACCTTTCACCACATACAAAAATTAACCCAAGATGGATTAAAGATTTAAATGTAAGACCTCAAACTATAAGAATAATAGAAGACAACCTAGGAAACACCACTCTGGATATCAATCTTGGAAAAGAATCTATGATTAAGTCCTCAAAACAACTGCAACAAAAACAAAAATTGACAGGTGGAACCTGATTAAACTAAAGAGCTTCTGTACAGCAGAAGAAACTATTAACAAAGTAAAAAGACAACCTACAGAATAGGAGAAAATATTCACAAACTATGCATCTGACAGAAGTCTAATATCCAGAATCCTTAAGGAACTTTTAACAATTGAACAAGCAAAAAAACAAACAATCCCATTAAAAAATGGCCAAAAGACATGAACAGATACTTCTCCAAACAAGACGTACAAACTGTTAAAAAAATGAAAAAATGCTCAACATCACTAATTATCATAGAAATACAAATCAAAACCACAATGAGATACAATCTCACACCAGTCAGAATGGTTATTAGAAAGTCAAAAAACAACAGATGGTGGTAAGGCTGAGGAGAAAAGAGAACAATTACACACTGTAGGTGGGAGTGTAAGTTAGTTCAGTCACTGTGGAAAGCAGCTGGGAGATTTCTCAAAGAACCTAAAACAGAACTATCATTCAACTCAGCAATCCCATTACTGGGTATACATCGAAAAGAAAATAAATTGTTCTACCAAAACGACACATGTACTTGTATGTTTACCACAGCACTATTCACAATAGCAAAGACATGGAATCAACCTAGGTGCCCATCAACAGTGAATTGGATAAAGGAAATGTGGTACATATATACCATGGAGTACTATGCAGCCATAAAGAAGAGCGAAATCATGTCCTTTGAAGCAACATGGATGAAACTGGGGGCTATTATCATAAGCAAATTAATGCAGGAACAGAAATTCAAATACCCTATGTTCTCACTTAAAAGTGGGAGCTAAACATTGGGTACTCATGGACATAAAGATGGCACCAATAGACATGGGGACTACTAGAGGCAGGAGAGAGGGAGGTGGGTAAGAACTGAAAAACTAGTTATACCCCATATCTACAAAAAATACAAAAATTTGCCAGAAGGCTATGTGGGAGGCTGACCTGGGAGAATCTCTTGAGCCCAGGAGGTTGAGCCGAGATCACACCACTGCACTCCAGCCTGGGTGACAGAGTGAGACCCTGGCTCAAAAAAAGAAAAGAAAAGAAAAACTGGCAGGGTGCAGTGGCAGGTGCCTGTAATCCCAGCACTTTGGGGAGGCCAAGGCAGGCAGACCACCTGAGGTCAGGAATTGGAGACTAGCCTGGCCAACATGGCAAAACCCCAACTTTACAAAAGTACGAAAAAAATAGCTGGGTGTGGTGGCGGGCACCTGTAATCCCAGCTACTTGGAAGGCTGAGGCAGGATAATTGTTTGGACCTGGGAGGTGGAGGTTGCAGTGAGCCAAGTTCACACCACTGCACTCCAGCCCGGGCAACAGAGTAAGACTCTGTCTCAAAAATTAAAAAAAAAAAAAATAGAAAGAAAAGAAAAACTAACTATTGGGTATTATGCTCAGTACCTGGATGACAGTACCCCAAACCTCAGCATCACGCAATATACCCAAGTAACAAATCTGCACATGTACCCCTTGAATCTAAAGTAAAAGATAATGTGTTTTGTGTCACCTTTTCAACATAAGAAACTGTCACCATGAAACTGTATCTATACTTACAAATTGCTCTGAAAATTTTGACCTTAAAAGCTATTTTTTAACTTGAAAAGTAAAATTAAAGGTAAAAAAGAAACCCACAGCATTTTTCACTAGAGAAGACCAAATCTTTTGTGGTTAAACAATCCAGATCATATGAGTGTTTAGTCAAGTGTTTTTCAAGTTCAAAGTGCTTACCTAGCATGTGTAAGAAGGAAGCCATGAGAGCCAGAGATGGGCTGAAAGGAAATTGTCCTGCTTACCTGGCTATTTTAAAAGCATAAGTGGCTCTGTCAGAGGGAAAGTGAAATCTAATAGAGTCCTGACACAGATTGTATTGATTCTAAAAAGCACATTGGGAAAAAGAAAAAGGTACATGGGTTTTGAGTTTGTTTGTTTTTTTTCCATTTAACATATCTTAAACCAGAATATGTCTTACAACAGAAGACATGTCTTAATTTAGTTAGCAATATTTTTCTTTTTTAAAGGTATATAAGAAATGGTGCTTTCTGGCCGGGCACGGTGGCTTACGCCTACAATTCCAGCACTTTGGGAGGACGAGGTGGGCGGATCACGAGGTCAGGAGATCAAGACCATCCTGGCTAACACGGTGAAACTCCGTCTCTACTAAAAATACAAAAAAAAAAAAAAATAGCCTGGTATGGTGGTGGGCACCTGTAGTCCCAGCTACTCAGGAGGCTGAGGCAGGAGAATGGTGTGAACCCAGGAGGCAGAGCTTGCAGTGAGCCGAGATCGCACCACTGCACTCCAGCCTGGGCGACAGAGCAAGACCCCATCACAAAAAAAAAAAAAAAAAAAAAAGGTGCCTTTTGAAATATCAATGGCAACCAAAAATGGAAATAAGATTGACAGAAAAGAAACATCTGTTCCTAAAACCAAACTAAACCAATGGTTTTGATGAAATATGGTAATTTCTGAACATGAAACATAAACAATTTCAACAAGGGAATTGACATTCAGATTTAAAATTAAGGGTGATATGGGCCAGGCACAGTGGCTCACACCTGTAATCCTAGCACTTTGGGAGGCCGAGGTGGGAGATGGCAAGGTCAGGAGATCGAGACCATCCTGGTTAACATGGTGAAACCCCGTCTCTACTAAAAATACACACAAAAAAATAGCCAGGCACGGTGGTGGGCGCTTGCAGTCCCAGCTACTCGGGAGGCTGAGGCAGGAGAATGGCATGACCCCGGGAGGTGGAGCTTACAAGAAGCCGAGATCGCACCACTGCACTCCAGCCTGGGTGACAGAATGAGACTCCGCCTCAAAAAAGAAAAAAAAAAAATTAAGGGTGATTTGGAGAACGGCTGTGTGCATTTGTCTGATGACTGCACTGATGTTGCTGTGTGCTACAGGGCCCCAGCACACTGGAGGGGAGGAGGACCTGGAAGTTAAGGGAAAATAGCAGGCTTGGGACAAAGGGTGCAGCCAGAGAGGGGTCTGGCTGCCCATAAGAGCCCCTGGGGGGCTGTCACCTTATATTATTACTAGAGCTTGCGGGATGTGTGTTCTGAGTTTGAAGCAGCAAAGACCCTTCATGAGCCCACAGTGACTTCTCCAGCTCCATGGTGAGAAAGCCACCAAAGGCAGGAAAAAAAAAAACAAAAACGGAATCCTCGAGAGAGCTGAGATTCAAGATCTAATCTGGGCAAAGTGAGGGATCCTCCCTTGTGCCCTCAGTTCTCAAGAACAGGACCCACTTTGGCCACAAATCATAAGTAAGAAAAGAAGGCTCAGCCGACAGAACGTGAGACAAGTACATATATCCGTGTGGGCAGTGAGGCAGTGAATGACATCTAAACTGTTAGAAAACCCAGACTCCAATTAATTCTATTCTGCAGTGTCCTAGGTCTGCAAGCATCCAAAAGTGCAAGCATCAGTCACATCCGTTAAGAGAGAATATGTTTTCAAATTAAAAAAAAAGGGAGAATATCCAAAAGAAAATCAATGACACTATCGGAAAGGGGGCCACCCCTCGCCTATGAGCAACACAAGTCTGTGGAGAGCCTTGTGCTAAACCACCCCAAAATGACCTGCTTCTGGGTCTGGGTTTTAAAAGAAAAAAATCAGGCTGTCTTTGGAGTTGGGCATGTTCTGGGGAGCATCGGGGATGCTAGAGTATCTGGGTTGGTTCAAGGGGAGGAAAAGGTAGAGAAGAAGCACACCTCAGAGATGCTGCCAGATAGAGCTCCTCAAGTTCAAGGTGACATTCTTCTCCCTGAAACCCAGGTGGGAGAAAGAGCTGTGTCTCGCCGTATTTATCCCCATCCCAAGCCCCCCCCCCACAGAGGGCAGCATACAGCAGAGCCTGAGAATTATTGGTTGGATGAATGCTCAAGTGCTGCACCTGCTTCTTTCAGACTGAGGGGACCTGAGGAGTAAAATTGAGCCTTATGTCCTAAAGACATTAAAAGACTCCTAAAGGCCTTGCTTCTATCAGGGAGTAATTAAGACACAAAGAAAAATCCAGATAGTCTCAACTACAAGTACATTTCCCATTTACAAAACTTCAAGTAATAGCTGGATTTGTTTTTACTTTTAGCACTCTAAGGCTTTTTAGAAAAAAAAAAAAAAAAGCCTTTTGACTGAAGAACTATCTTCCCTTCAGTAGGGTTTAACAATTTAAATGAATTCAATTTCCTTTTCTTTTTTTTTTTTATTTCTGGGACAGAATCTCGCTCTATCGCCAGGCTGGAGTGCAGTGGCACAATCTCAGCTCACTGCAACCTCCACCTCCTGGGTTCAAGCGATTCTCCTGCCTCAGCCCTTCCGAGGAGCTGTGACTACAGGCGCCCGTCACCATGCCCAGCTAATTGTTGTATTTTTAGTAGAGAGAGGGTTTCACCATGTTGGCCAGGATGGTCTCCATCTCTTGAACTCGTTGATCCACCTACCTTGGCCTCCCAAAGTGCTGTGATTACAGGTGTGAGCCACAGTGCCCGGCCAATTGTCCTTTTTAGTTAGGGGATAAAAGATCTCCAAATGACATAACCAGGGATTTCGTGGAAGTGATCACAGCTTGACTAAAGGACTTAAATTCGTGCACAATGAGTCCCAGTCAGTAGGCTGTGACATCAGCTGACCAGCACCTAACTGCACCACAGGTTGAGATTATTTATTTATTTCAACTCCAGATTTTATGGAGTTTGATAGTGCAATCCAATAACACATCTTTTAAACAATAAACACTAAAATGTATACATGTCCAATCATTTTGTTAGCTTTTTTCCATGAAGGAATACTAAGATTTTTAAAAATTAATTTAGCATTTCTTCATTATCTTTTTAAAATTAAATTAGTTAAGATTAAACCATTAATTCCTCCATCCACTGGCCCAGGCTGGGGGAATACTGCTGTGCTTGGTGAGCACAGGAGCAGGTGTCCATTTCCATGGCATCTGTAGTGCTCAATGTCAGCCCACGCAAGTCCTTGAGCTCTCAATATCTGTTTTTCAGTGTCTGACCTGTCAAATGCGGGACATGGATTGACTCCCACAGACCCTTCCAGCTCTAACCCCCATGGCCTATAATCAGGGCTGTCCAGTGAATCAGAATGTGGAGGCATCAAGAATCTTCCCAAAGCACAAAAAGCAACAGCTACGACATTTAAAGTAATGGGAATAGGAAGAGGGAAGTCACCACACATTCTTCATGATCCTGAATTCTTTAAACACCAAAACTCTCATTAAACTCAAAGGTTCAGTTCCTCTTCCATTTGAGTACATTTGTATTATCAGATGCTTAAAGGAAAAACAAAACAGAAAAAAAAAAAACCCAGACAGCTATGTATTTCCCTGAAGACACAAATAATTCACACTTCTCTGGAAAAGCGCACAGTAGAATTGGGTGGGACGGGCATGGTGGCTCACGCCCGTAATTCCAGCACTTTGGGAGGCCGAGGCAGGCAGAAGACGAGGTCAGGAGATCGAGACCATCCTGGCCAACATGGTGAAACCCCATCTGTACTAAAATACAAAAAAAAAAATTAGCCAGGTGTGGTGGAGCATGCCTATAATCCCAGCTACTCAGGAGGCTGAGGCACGGGAATTGCTTGAACCTGGGAGGTGGAGGCTGCAGTGAGCCGAGACTGCGCCACTGCACTCCAGCCTGGCGACAGAGCAAGACTCCATCTCAAAAAAAGGATTATTTGGGTGGTCAGTCTGAACCCATTTTTCAATTTAAAATCACAAGATGTTTTTCAATGTCGTATCGACACGTGATAACTGTTGATTTTTTAATTATTATTTTGAGCCTAAATGTCTCCTAACCAAGAGATTTACATTTTCATGATTTTACCATTCCATTTTTGTCTATGAACCTTGCTTTTGTGTTAAAATATGTACTGCTACTTGCATAATTTATAGCTATGCTTTAATTAAAGATGATGTATTCCTACATAAATTCTTCCCTTTGTCAATATGGTAAAAAGGACATTGGAAACACAACTCGAAAGCGACCTGTTCAGAGTCTACCTCTTATGGGCTGAGTGACCAAGACCTGCCCCCTGCCCCCGACTCTACTGTATGTAAAAAGGTTTTATAAAACAGCAAGTCAGGGAACCACTCAGGGAACAGTGGGGAGAATGTAGGACAATCCTGAGCACCAGGCTTCAGGCAATCAGGCACCTGCACCCAGAGGAACTGGAACCTAGGTGGGGCTTTTCGGGTGGGGTCGCAGTAGGGAAAGAGAACTGAAGAGGTAATGATACCATCTCCCTTTATGGGTAAGGCGTTTTCTCACTTGACTCTTCCACAGAGTGCACACCTCCATGCAGGAGTCTCCCATGTAATCCTCCACCTTGTGTGGACCCAAGACTTTGCTTTCTATTCCCATGGACCCACCAGTGCAGCCGTGGCTCACCGCTGGGCACTGCTAGCCTTGATGCCTGCTTACATCTCCATATACCTGCTTTTTAAAAGGCACTTTGTACATTTTTCTTTTTTTTTTTTTATTTCAGAGATGGGGTCTCACTCTATCACCCAGGCTGGAGTGCAGTGCCAGCCTCGACCTCCCAGGCTCAAGCAATCCTCTCACTTCAGCCTCCTGAGTAGCTGGGACCACAAGTGTGCATCACCACATCTGGCTATTTTTATTATTATTATTATTTATAGACATGGGGTCTCCCTATGTTTCCCAGGCTTGTCTCAAACTCCTGGCCTTAAGCAATTCTCCTTCCTCTGCCTCCAAAAGTATTGGGATTGCAGGTATGAGCCAGCACGCCCAGCCATTTATTTACTTTTTAAACATCACTGTTAAGTGGACAGTGCAGGAGGGTATAGTGGGATGGCAGAGAGACCAGTTAGGAATATCCTAAATCATCCTGACCGAGAATTGCCTCTCCAGCTCGCTGAATTAGGAGGGCAGCTATAGAGTGGGGCAAAGCTGTCAGATTCGATGTATTTTTATAAGCAGAAATAACAAGATGTGCTGACAACTTGTACATGAAGGGGCTGAGGGATGGAGTGAAGTTAAGGAAAGGCCAGGGTGGACTGCCATTTCCAGACATGTCTTGGGAAGGGCTGAAACTTCTCATCAGTGGGCAAAGGAACGTTTGCCACATTGACACCCTCTCCATCCCCAGCACTTCGGAAGCTGTGTTAAAAGAGGAGATGGTGGGCCCAACAGCCTGGGCAGAAGTGTGGAGGCTTACCCTGCTAAAAGGAGGAAGTGGAGGAAAACACAAAGCTCCATGGTGGGGGGGTTCCCCCTCTCAAAGGAGATGGGGCTGGGTGGCAGAGGTGTCAGCAGAGGGTGAGAGAAAGTTCACCCTGACAGATTAACTGGGCAGCAAACGGGCTTGCAAAATGTGGCCTTTGCTCAAACCAAAGGTAGAATGTGAGAGTGGAGTAGTACATTTTCTTGCACTGGGGAAGTGACCTTCTGCTTAGTCCCGTCTACCTCCCAGAGTGTGGACCAGAAGAGAGATTCTGCAGGAGGAAAGAGAACTTGATCCATTGCCAGGCTCAAACCTTCAAGACTTCTGAAAAGGAACCCACCTTCATTGGGGTGGCAAATTGACCAGACAATGAACTTTCTGGCCCCTCTCCCAATACACGCTTGGTACTGGGAGAGGGGCCAAAAAGTTCATTTTTACAACCTCTATGAAACCCCAGTTGTGTTGTTGGTATCTCTTCATTTCATGAGACATAAATTCATAAATTAGTATTACTATACTTAGTATTTTATAATGACCAGTTATAGAAACTTAAAGGACATACACAACTCCAGCTGTGCAGAGATGACCCTGATCAGAATACAGATGTTTTGATCAACCTGCTACACATAGCTGTTCTGTGTGGAGGGGACCTCATCAGCCCTCAATATATTGGGCAATCTGTAGAAGACTCTGGTGTGGAGCATGCAAGGCCTATAGAGTTAAGCATTTAGGGCATGTGAAAAATCTAAGACACTGGTAAGTGAGTAGGTCCCAGGGCTACTTCTACCCATACGTTTGAGAAAACTAAGGCAGGGGTGTGTTACCCTCTTAGACTCTGTGGGAGGGCATTATCATCACAATTTACAGACAAGGAAACTAGTTCAGAGAGGTTAAGAAACTTTGCCCACAGCTAATCAGGACAGGGTTAGAATTTGAACTCAGCATCCTATCAATGACACCATAGCTGCTTCACGAAGATGACTGTTATCAACAGAAGGTACGGAGGACTCAAAATGGGTAATGTAAGTAATAATGAGAATATTATTCATGACAACAGTAACAATTAACATTGACTGAATGCTTACTGTTAATTTAACAAATGTGTGTTGAGCTCCTCACTATATGCCAGACACTGCTGGAGGCACTGGGAAGACAGCTCCTCCATGGAGCTTACAATCTAGTAAAGACTCATGCCAAGTCCCATGAATTATTCCTCTTAATCCTCAAGCAACACTATGACGTAGATACTGTTCTAACCTATATTCAGTGTGAGAGTCAGAGTGGTTAAAGGACTTACCTAACGTGCCATAGCTAGAAAGTGGTGTCGAGCTGGGGCCAGAGATCCTGAGAATCTTATGATCAATCCAGTTCATTAGGTACCCAATAGCAATCCTAAATGTGCATTGTTGGAGGAAAATGGACCAACGACTCAGAATGTAAACATTTCGGGTAGCCCCAAACCAAAAGAGATTTGACATCCATTCAAAAACTGCAGGAATACTCTAAAGAACATTCTAGGACCTCTGAAAATCACAGGGTGGTGAGCAGCCCACCCAAACTTTCCCACAGTCTAGTGTGCCTTCCAAGTTCATGGTCTCATATGACTCCATATGAAAACTGCCAGCCGTCAAATGCTGGACAGGCCAACTTCCTGAATAACCACCACTTTTTGATTCTCTCCTAAGGTCTTTAAAAGAGCAAACCACAGCTATTCTCACTTCCCAGAACCCTTTGCTGATTACAGCGTGAGATCAAATCCCCATGGACAGGGCGGACTGGTATTTCAAACATGAAACACTGGAATGCAGATTAATAATTTACCAATGACTGTAAACGAATATTATTCATGGAGGGAAAAAACTTCTCTCTTTTAAATGGGAACCCAGTCAGATTATCTCAGTACTTTAAGAAGCAAACTGCAAAATACCTTCTTAGAATTCAATATTTATTAACGCTGATGCTTTATTTTTTAAGAATTAACCATTCCCAGCTTCAATATTCTGCTTCAGCATAAAGTTCACTTTATTCTGCATGTGGATTTCTGTATTCTCTGCCCAGATAAATTAATACATATTCCAGAGTCTGGGGCCACGGTCAATGAAAAACCACAGCAAATTCCTAAGCAGTAAGAGATATTCCACATGGCTTGAAATGGCTGAAGGAGAATTTTTTTAAGGTTAAGAATCAAAGTGCTGTAATTGAAGATCTTAAAATCAAGCAGCAAGGCATTCTCAAGGTACCTAATGTTGACTTCAAGGATCATTTAAGGTAAACTTCCCTCTCCTCATCCTTCCTTGCTCACCCTCGAATCCAGTTTCCAGCTTTAAGAGTGGAACATTGCTGACATTAGGTCGGTGATGTTAACTTAAATTGGCAATGCAATGTAAAAAGTGGCAGGCAAAGTACGTATAACTCAATTACTTGAAAAAGTAAATATCCCCAAATATTCCCAAGGTCTGTTGTCAGGTTTTTGCCTAAGTCAATCTATAGGTACATGGCACAGGGAGGTACTGTAATAATAGTCTTTTGTAGGTAAATTTCTAAGCAAACTGCTTTAAAAAGCTATCCTTGATTCAACTTGCAGGTATTTACAATAGCACCCTCCATTCCATTTAATATTATAAGTGCACCTGTCCCACCTTTATGAAAATCATGTAGAACAGGAGTCAGCAAACTACAGCCCGTGAGCCAAATCTGGCTCAATGATTATTTTTAATTTTTATTTATTTGTGTTGGTTTTTTGAGACCGAGTCTTGCTCTGTCACCTAGGCTGAAGTGCAGTGGTGCAATCATGGCTCACTGCAACTTTGACCTCCCAACCTCAGACGATCCTCCTGCCTCAGCCCCTGCAGGTAGCTGGGACCACAGGCATGCACCATCACGCCCAGCTAACTTTTTAAAAATCTGCGGAGATGGAGTCTCCCTACGTTGCCCATGCTGCTCTCGAACTCCTGGGCTCAAGCAATCCTCCTGTGTCGTCCTCCCACAGTGCTGAGATTACAGGTGTGAGCCACGACGCCCAGTCTGATTGTTTTTGTAAACCAAGTTTTATTAGAAGACAGCCACGTGATTTCATGCTACAATGGCAGAGTTGAGTAGCTGTGACAGAGACTGTATGGTCCACAAAGCCTAAAATATTTACTATCTAGCCTTTTACAGAAGAATTTTGCTAAACCGATGTAGGATCAATGAGGAAAACCTTGAAAGATGTGACAGCAGCCTTGCTCAGTCCACAGGTGGACTCACTATATTATGGACACAGTAAGTGACAGGGCTTTTAAATCACAAGCACCTTCCTTTTCCAACCCCCATCTACAACTGGGGAAACATCTCTGAACTAAGGGAAGAGCACTGATATGAGAAATCAGAGGTCAGCAACATATCAGAAAAGAAACAACTGAGAACCAAGAAACTGCCCCATATTTCAGATGAGATGGGAGAGGTAGAACAATATATACAAACGGCAAGAAAAAGATCAGATAGACTCTCCTCTCCTAGAGATCGCAATCAACTTGATTATCAACACCAGCCCCAAATTGTTTTTTATTACAAAGGTATGTAGACACAGCACTCTACCACTCCAAAAATACTAAGATGGAAAGAAATGAATCCCAAATTTTCAACAACTTATATCCCTTCCACCATCTAAATTTCATTAGGTTAACAGGTCAGTAGCACATCTTTAAAAAGTATAAATAACTCTGTTAAAGTAATACCTGTCAGTCATTTTCACCTTGATGAAAATTATTAATGTTTCAATCAAATTTTCTTTTCTGTTTATATGTAGCTAGTTCTGGCTCTACAATTCTATAATTTCATGGTTTGATTTCACTGCATGCAGCTCTCTTTTATTATTGCAGGGCAAGGGTGATATTCAAAAGAGATGAAAGGAAACAAAGACTAATTTCACAGTAAGGGTAACGTGAGGCTACTACAAGTGGAATGAAGCCCAACGGCTCTCTTCTTTAGCCTGAAATCTAGGTTCTAGATAAAAATTGGGATGCGTATAAATTAAATTTAAAAGCAAAAGTATCCTACCATGTTGCAGTAACTTAGCTTTTCCTTCCTTTACCATTTTGTGTCCTAAAACAACTCTGTGAGTAGAAATAGATAATGTAGACATTATTTCCATTTTGCAAATGAGGAACTGTGTTGTCTGAGAGGTTAAATCACTTGCTCAAAGTCACGGGTAAGGGAGAATTCAAAGTCTTCTAACTGCCGCTACTTCTTTTGTGAGACAAAAGTGTGTGATAGGATTTACTGTGTCCAAGAATGCTGCCGATTTAACGGGAAGGAATCCTGGGCTTTTGTACAGCAACACATTTACCTTCTCAAAATTAAAAAGTAAACCCATTATTTACAAATTACAACTTGCAATTAGATGGGAAGAAGTAAGCATGCTGATCTAGGATTTCCATTATGTGGCTGACACTAGGGAGGCCACGTCCATTCTCATTAGAATACACAGATTACTAACCTGACAGCAGCAGCAGTCCACAGACAGGTGTTTCTAGATGTAGTGTCCCCTGTGCTATAAATCCACAGCAGGATTGTCAGTGATGTGTCTGATGCTACAGCCACATAAACTAACTTTCCCCATCACTTAGATCAGGCATTTTTGCTACTACTGAACAGAAGAGAGTTCAGGAATTGACTTTGCTGGCGCTCTATTTTTTTTTTTAATTTAATTTTTTAGAGACGAGGTCTCACTATGCTGTCCAGGCTGGTCTCAAAGCCCTGAGACCAAAGCTCAAGTGATCCTCCCACCTCGGCCGCCCAAAGTGTTGGGATTACAGGCATGAGCCACCACGACCGGCCCTGGGATTCTATTGGATGCAGCCAATTTCTTTGTCAAGATTGGCTCCATGCTGTTATTTAATCAGGTGTTTCCTACTGTGTAGACAAACCTAACAGCTCTCCATCTTAAAAAAGGAGTGAGGAATTGAGCTGGACAGAGATGTGCATTCCAAATTTTTCTTTCCTTTTCATAAAGACTTGATCGTCTTATTTATCTGGATTGGCCATACACAGTAATCTCACTAGCTGACAGTTGCTTAGTAAACACAACTGAAGGACAATCCACTAAGAAATGTCACATTTCTTTTAAACTCTGAAATCCTATATCCCAGTTCCACATCTTGCTTTTCAAGTTTCTGTTTTAACTATCCAGCTTCATCACTATCTACTTTCTTTCTTTTTCTTTTTCTTTTTTGGAGACAGGGCCTCGCTCTGTTACCCAGGCTGGAGTGCAGTGGTGCAATCTTGGCTGGCTGCAGCCTTGAACTCCCAGGCTCAAGTGATCCTCCACCACAGCAACCCCCGGAGTAGCTGGGATTACAGGCACTCCACCACCGCGCCTGGGTAATTTTTGTATTTTTTGTAGAGATGGAGTTTTGCCATGTTGGCCAGGCTAATCTCAAACTTCTGGGCTCAAGCGATCCTCCTGTCTCGGCCTCCCAAACTGCTAGGCTATAGGTGAGAGCGAGGTATCTACTTTTGAATCTAGTCCATCTACTCACCAACCTCCCACACCCATTGTGAAATTACTACTACTACCCACAACCCTACCACACAACACTGGACCTATTTCCCATTGGTGAGTGGGTATCCTTCCTCTGAGCAAATGGACTTCCTACTTCTTTCTAGATCCATTCTCTTCCTGCCTGGCTTTCAGCTTCTAGTTTTTCATGCTTTTTTCTCCCTTTATTCCTATGTTTATAGTTGAAAGCTAAACCACAAGAGTGAGTTCAGTAAATATTTTTTGAGCTTCCACTATGCATCTAAGTAAACACTTCAGAACCAGCATATATCCTCATAGGAAAGAGCTACTTCTTCCTCTGAAACCCCCTGGAAATATGCCCAGGTAATAGGGAAGCACATGAAAGGTAAGCGACTTCCTGACTGAATAGACCAATTGCACTCAGTTTTGTGGCAGTGGATATAAAAGAAATATGAAGAACCTCTCGTCAGTGGGGCACAATGACTCACACCTGTAATAGCAATGTTTTGGGAGACCAAAGTGGAAGGATCGCTTGAGACCCGGCTGGGCAACATAGTGACACTCCATCTGTACAAAAACTTTAAAAATTAGCCTGGCATGGTGGCACACGCCTGTAGTTCCAGCGACTCAGGAAGCTGAAGCAGGAGGGTCACCTGAGCCCAGGAGGTCAAGGCTGCAGTGAACCATGATTATTGCATCACTGCACTCCAGCCTGGGTAACCAAATGAGACCCTGTCTCAAAATAAATAAATAAGTAAAAATAACTAAAAGTATAATTGGAATGTTTGTAACACAAAGAAATTATAAAGGCTTAAGGTGATGGATACCCCATTTATCCTGATGTGATTATTATGCATTGTAGGACTGTATCAAAATATTGCATGTACCCCATAAATATATACACCTACTTTGTACGCATATGTTGTTTTTCTTAAAAAAAAAAAAAAATGACCATTTTAGACGACTCCTGACATAAACACAGAAAAATGCTACCAAATGTCCTCCTTTTCCATTATGGTAACAGCATATTCCCCCCACTGGTGACAAAGTGGCAGAAACTGCTACAGGACCAAAGTAGAATCAGATGGTATCAATAAAACTGCCAACTTCATCCAAATATTCTCCAAAGCTTATTAAGTCTCTGAAAGACGATTATACAGAGATCACTTGGCAAGGGCTTTCTTTCGCAGGCCCTTCCAGTCACAATGCTGGGTCTTTGGGTTCAGCCTGGCAGGGTCAAAAACAGAAGGAAATCAGAGAGAAATTTGCCAACTCTTCCACACTGACTACAAGAATGATTTACTTATCAGACTGGCATATATGTCTCCCTCATTTTGCTCCATCCACTTAGATGTCTCACGTACAGGTCACACTTTCAGAAACCTCATAGAGAATTGCCAAGCAGACAAAGGAAGCCTATTTGCAAAAAACACATCCACCAACTCCTCCTCGCTAAGAATATCCCTGAAGAAGTTCTAACACATTTATTAGTGTAAAGATTTAACACAAAGATTGTCTCAAAGAGAACATTCACACCACACTGGGTCAAACCGTGAAAGAGAAAAACAAGGGCATTCTTGTGGCATCTAAGCCTACTCAGAATAATCTTTATTCATTATTTGCATAGCTCATGGCTTTATATTTTTATTATTAAAGTGCAATTTTGACGTTCAAATTTAAGAAGAATAAAGAACAAGATTTGGCACCACTTGGTGGATATATGTACTATCCTTGGTATGTAGTAAAAGGTGGACTAGCATCAAAGAGTGTGAAAACGACTCCAAGCTACTTTCAGACACTTCAGCTGGCAAGCGCAGGCTGCTACAGTATGAGATGTAATCTGCCAAATACCACAGAATGCAAGATTTTACGGATTTTGAAAGAAGCAAGTGATGATTCTGTGGCCACATCAGGAGAGCATGTTTTCTGCATCAATAAATCTGTGCCGAATATGAATAAAAAAAAAACCCACTTGGTTCTACCTCAAGGGCTGCTTTTCACCATTGTCCCACACATAAGCCAGGGCTGGAAAAGTACAAGAGACCCGGCCAGGCTTGCTCTCAGATCTCTTTGAAGTCCCCCACCTGTTTTCCTAGCTACTTGGAGGCCACGATGGACTTACATTTAAACTATATTAGACCTCATGCCTCAGAGATAGGCCACTGCTAAGCAGCCTGAGCATTTATTTACCAATTAACTTAGTCCGGCATTTTGAGAGGTAGTGGGAGAGACACGGACGCATTCAAATGACTCCCCTTGAGATGTCAGGAAAGAACCTGTATCATCTGAAGCCATGTGTGGCCCTGATTCATGCGGAGGAATGAGTGTCACGGACTATAAGCGGTGCTGTCTGCACACACTTGTTCTGATGCCTTTCCAATGAGAAC
This sequence comes from Homo sapiens, assembly GCF_000001405.40. Lineage (NCBI taxonomy): Eukaryota > Metazoa > Chordata > Mammalia > Primates > Hominidae > Homo > Homo sapiens. The sequence continues at coordinate 59,335,932 of NC_000015.10, forward strand.
CCGGCTGTGTGCTGTGGGCTCTCTCTGGTCACACAAAAAAACAAGTCCTGCAGCAACTCAAGTGTGCTACCCCCTCTCCCACTACACCCAAAATATTAACACAAAAGCAAAAAAAAAAAAAAATCTTGAAACTTTTTCTGGAATTAAAAAAAAACTAGGCCGAGTGCAGTAGCTCAGGCCTGTAATCCCAACATTTTGGGAGGCTGAAGCGGGCAGATCACTTGAGGCTAGGAGTTTGAGACCAGCCTGGACAACATGCCAAAACGCCATGTCTAAAAAAAATACAAAAATTAGCTGGGTGCGATGGCGTGGCCCTGTAGTCCCAGCTACTCAGAGGCTGAGGCAGGAGAATTGCTTGAGCCCAGGAGATGGAGGTTGCAGTGAGCCGAGATCATGCCACTGCACTCCAGTCTCGGTGATGGGAGTGAAACGCTGTCTCAAAAAAAAGAAAAGAAAAAACCCTAGATTCAAAGGGACATACATAAATAAGGTAAATAAGGTTTATTTATGTCCCTTTAAAACTAGCAGTCAGGCTTTCATAAGTAACTTTTATTTTTAAAATTATGTGTTTTTAATAGTACTTGAATTTTGGACATGTGTTGGATCATCTGAGAATTCTCTGATACCTCCAGTAATTCACATAGTACACCCCTGGTCTTTTTTTGTTTTGTTTTGTTTTTTAATTATACTTTAAGTTCTGGGATACATTTGCAGAACGTGCGGGTTTGTTACATAGGTATACACGTGCCATGATGGTTTGCTGCATCCATCAACCCATCATCTACATCAGATAATTCTCCTACCCCTCCCCTAGCCCCCCACCCCCTGACAGGCCCCAGTGTGTGATGTTCCCCTCCCTGGTCCACGTGTTCTCATTGTTCAGCTCCCACTTGTCAGTGAGAACATGCGGTGTTTGGTTTTCTGCTCCTAGGCTGGTTTGCTGAGAATGACGGTTTCCAGCTTCATCCATGTCCCTGCAAAGGACATGAACTCATCCTTTTTTATGGCTGCATAGTATTCCACAGTATATATGTGCCACGTTTTCTTTATCCTGTCTATCATTGATGGACATTTGGGTTGACAACTCCTAGTTTTAAAAAAAAAAATCTATGCTTATATAATACCTCCTTGCAGTTACTGAATTGTACAGTTATTGAATTGTTTATCTTTTACAAAGCACTTCTACTTTATTTCATTTGATTCTTATGGAGGTGTTTTATTATTATGAATATTTCCGTTTTACAGATGTAAAAATGGAGGGAACTGATTAAGATGACAAGAGCCAGGATTCAAACCAGGGCTCCACACTCTAAATTTCTATTGAATAATTTTTAAGTTTCCTAAGTTTACTACAGGTATGAAAACAAAACATAAGGCAGGCAATTATGATGAAACCTGCTCTGCTCAGGAATGGAGTTGTGTTATCCATATCTACAACTGCTGAGCTTGATTGTGATTTTTCTAAACATGAACATTCATCAGATATAATTCGTATAATATAAAGCACATGGTTTTATTCTGTTCTACAATTTCGCATTTGGCAGAAAATAGAGCTTTAGCCTACATTATGAAACTTAAAAGAACATTCAGACTACTATAGTCAAAAATATTTCGCTCGGCTGGGCACAGTGGCTCACGCCTGTAATCCCAGCACTTTGGGCAGCCAAGGCAGACAAATCACTTGAGGTCAAGAGTTCGAAACCAGCCTGACCAACATGGAGAAACCCCGTCTCTACTAAAAGTATAAAAAATTAGCCGGGCGTGGTGGTTTGCTCCTGTAATCCCAGCTACTCGGGAGGCTGAGGCAGGAGAATCGCTTGAACCCAGGAGGTGGAGGTTGCAGTGAGCTGGGATCGTGCCACTGCACTCCAGCCTAGGCAACAGAGCAAGACTCCATCTCAAAAAAGAAAAAAAAATCTCGCTCACAGAGTTCTTATAGGACAAAGTAAAATCTAAGCTTAGATATATCTTTACTCAATAAGGCAAATCACTTAAACATCCTCCATACATTTCCCTGTCCATGATGTGGCTAATATGGTTAAATTAAACTCCTTTTTTTCCTCCTACTCAACTGAGAAATGTCAGCGAAGAGTGTAAATTAATCAAACAAAATCCTTCTAAAGGAAATAAGCTCTGTGGTCTTTGCAGAGTCAGGTAATAGGTGTAACTAAAGTGGCCCTATATTGACAACTGCATTGTGAGGCAAGGCAAGAAAAAGTGTTCAAGTCTAAAAAAAAAAACAAAAATGAATAGATTGCTTAGGAATTTGGTAGCTGTCTCTACTTACAAATGAATTTCTATTTTCATTAATATAATTTTTTATAATAGCTATATAAACTAGATCAGTATTGACTTTTTTTTTTTTTTTTTGCTTGAAAGAGGAGTTGAAATGTCTTCCACAGCACATAGTACGTTCCTGACTCCCAGATCTGTGCTGAGCAAACTTTCTGAGTTTTTCAACCTTGGTCAATGAGAGGACTGTGTTTATTATAAATCCATGAAGGGATATCACCTGCTGAATTGCAGAGAACAGAGAAAAATGTTTCCTCTCTGGTTTTAGAACATCTCCTCTTAAGCTCGCTCCATAAAACACTCAGCCAACCCTGCCTGCAAGATGTCCTCAGTGCTGAGCCAGGACTGTCTCTATGGGCTCTCAGGAGTATTGGGGCTGGTCTCCAACCACCCTGCTAAGCTGGGAAAAACAGTAGGGGAGTTTCAACTATTGCTAACCTGTAACCACTTCCCACAGGCAGGAGGAGCAAGGTCCTTGAAAACCCATTTGGGTAAAAATTTAGAATGATATGGGGCAAACAGTGCAAGAGAACCAAAGACAGGGGTGAAACTACCTACAAAGGTCTATCAACATCTAAAAATAGACATTTAAACAATGAAGAGTGCACCCTATAAATAAAACATCAGGCTGGGCGCTGTGGCTCATGCCTGTAATCCCAGCATTTTTGGAGGCCGAGGCAGGTGGATCACCTGAGGCCAGGAGTTCAAAACCAGCCTGGCCAACATGGCGAGACCTCATCTCTATTAAAAATACAAAAATTAGCCAGGCGTGGTGGCACATGCCTGTAATCCCTGCTACTGGGGAGGCTGAGGCATGAGAATTGCTTGAACCTGGGATACAGAGGTTGCAGTGAGCCAAGATTGTGCCACTGCACTCCAGCCTGGGTGGCAGAGCAAGACTCTGTCTCAAAAAAAGAAAATGTCAATGACACATTTTATTCAACTTGAAGTAGTAATAATGGGTACTAAACTCTTCCATTTTATCAAACCTCAATAGACAGAAACCTTTCAGAGCCTTCCTCTCCACTGGTTCTAATGGATGGTGTGGAATGATACACAGTGCTTGGATACAGATTTTATGTGTAACAAGAGATGTTTTCCTGTTCCTGGTTTTCTAACCAAATATTTGACTGACCTTCTGGTTTCCAAATGGAGACAGAAATGTAAGATAGCTTGGTTATTTGACGTACAAAACCTTTGACCTAACTGACTCCATACTGTAGAATTGGTATTTCTCAACTTCACTACCCCGATATTCACAGTAGTCCAGCCTCCTATTGACTGCCTTCATCCAGAACACAGCCCCTCCCAAGAGACACAAAAGGGCAGCTCTGGGCATGTTAGGCTCCCATCCCAGACATTCTTCATGTTGATTCATCTGTGTTTCTCTCCTAATAGGGTTGTTCAGTCACCCAGTTTCCTTCTCGTTCCTATAGTCAACTTCCAATTAAAAGGTCTCCCTACTAAGAATTTTAAAAATTCAGTCCATGTATGGTGGCTCCAGCCTGTAATCCCAGCAGTTTTGCGGCCAAGGCCTGAAGACTGCTTGAGCCCAGGAGTTAAAGACCAGCCTAGACAATATAGCGAGATACCTTCTCTACAAAATTTTATATATACATACTTTTTTTTGTTTTTTTTTTTTTTGACAGAGTCTTGCTCTGTCGCCTAGCCTGGAATGCGGTGGCACAATCCCGGCTTACTGCAACCTCTGCCTTCTGGGTTCAAGCAATTCTCCTGTCTCAGCCTCCCTAGTAGCTGGGATTACAGGTGTCCGCTACCACATCTGGCTAATTTTTTTGTTGTTGTATTTTTAGTAGAGACAGAATTTTGCCATGTTGGCCAGGCTAGTCTCAAACTCCTGACCTCAGGTGATCTGCCTGTCTCGGCCTCCCAAAGTGCTGGGATTACAGGCATGAGCCACTGCATCTGACCTCTACAAAATATTTTTTAAATTGGCTGGGCATGGTGGTGTGCAACCTATAATCGAGAAGCATGAGGATCGCTTGAACCCAGGAGATCGAGGCTGCAGTGAGCCATGATCGTGCCACTGAACTCCAGCCAGGATGACAAGCGACACCTTGTCTCAAAAAAAATAGCAATTTTTTAAACCCCGCCTGATCGTTAAATTAAATAAGGCAAACTTTTCACATTAACCTTTTTTTTTTTGAGGTTCTATTTCCGTGATGTGCTGTGTTTTTGTTTTACTTTCTCTAGACAGTCTAATTTCTATGGACTATTGGAAGGAGGAGGAAAATTGTCAGGAAAAAGTAATACTTGAGTTGGTTTTCTATGACGTCACTCACTGTGTTTTTACCATGTGTAGTATCAAATAACAGTAGCATCAAATGACATGTTTACAATTGCCTTTGCAAATAACTGCCGTTTCTAAGTTCATTACTCCTCTTACTATTTTTTATTTCTAATTTGCTTGGACATTTAATGTCCAAAGTAAAACTAACTTTATAATATTTGGTTTTTATTCAGGAATAAAATCAGGAAGGATTTAAGAAAAATCTTCAGCCAGGCATGGTGGCTCATGCCTGTAATCCCAGCACTTTGGGAGGCTGAGGCGGGAGGATCACGAGGTCAGCAGTTCAAGACCAGCCTGGCCAACATGGTGAAACCCCATCTCTACTAAAAATACAAAAATCAGCTGGGCGTGGTGGCACACACCTGTAATCCCAGCTACTCGGGAGGCTGAGGTAGAAAAGCTTGAACAGGGGAGGCAGAGGTTGCAGTGAGCTGAGATCCCGCCACAGCACTCCAGCCTGGGACAGAGCGAGACTCCATCTCAAAAAAAAAAAAAAAAAAGAAAAAAAAGAAAAAAAGAAAAATCTTCAAAGAACATAAAATTCATTTTAATTTTTAATTTTTGGGCATATATAAGTAGGTGTATATGGATATTTTGATACAGGCATGCAATGTGTAATAATCACATGATCGAAAATGGGGTATCCACACCCTCAAGGATTTATCCTTTGTGTTTCAAAAAATCCAGTAATACTCTTTTAGTTATTTTTAAATGCACAAATTATTATTGACTATAGTCTTTCTGTTGTGCTAGCAAACACTAGATTTTTTTTTTCAATAACATTTAAAATACACTTCATGAATTTGCATGACATCCTTGCTCAGGAGCCATGCTAATCTTCTCTGTGTCATTCCAATTTTAGTATACGTGTTACTGTGAGCATGCAAATGCTAGCTCTTATTCATTCTATTATTTCTAACTATTTCTTTGTACCCATTAACCATAACCCCTGTCTCCCCAGTTCTCCTTCCCAGCCTCTGGTAACCATCATTCTATTCCCTATCTCTATGAGTTCAATACTTTTAATTTTTAGCTCCCACAAATAAGTGAGAAAATATGAAATCTGTCTTTCTGTGCCTAGCTTATTTCACTTAACATAATGACCTCCAGTTCCATTCATATTCTTGCAAATGACAAATGACAGGGTTTCATTCTTTTTTATTGCTGATTAGTACTCTGTTGTGTATCTGTACCACATCTTCTTTATGTGATGAATGATTTCATTCATCATTTGATGGACACTTAGGTTGATTCCAAATATTTGCTATTGTGAATAGTGCTAGGATAAACATGGGAGTGCAGCTATCTCTTCCATATGCTTATATCCTTTCTTTAAGGTATACACCTACCAATGGAATTGCTGGATCATAAGGTAGCTAGCTCTGTTTTTAGTTTTTAAGGAACCGCCCTTCTGTTCTCCACAGTGGCTATACTCATTTATATTTCCACCAACGGTGTATGAGAGTTCCCTTTTCCCCTTTTCTTCACATCCTTGCCAGCATTCATTATTGCCCGTCTTCTGGATAAAAGCCATTTTTACTTGGGTGAGATGATACCTCATTGTAGTTTTCATTGGCATGTCTCTGATTTTCAGTGGTGTTGAGCACCTTTTCATACACCTGTTTGCCATTTGTATGTCTTCTTTTGAGAAATGTCTATTGATATCTTTTGCCCATTTTAAAATCAGATTAGATTTTTTCCTACAGAGTTATTTGAGTTCCTTCTGTATTCTGGTGATTAAACCCTTGTGAGATGGAAAGTTTGCAAATATTTTCTCCCATTCTGTGGGTTGTCTCTTCATTTTGTTGATTTTTTCTTTTGCTGTGTGGAAGGAAGCTTTTTAACTTGATGTGATCCCATTTGTCCAAAAAATCTTTGCTTAGACCAATGTCCTGGAGTCTTCCCAATGTTTTCTTTTAGTAGTTTCATAGTTTGAAGTCTTAGATTTAGGTCATTCATCCATTTTCATTTGATTTGGTGAAGTGTGTTGCTTGTAGGCAACAGATCCTTGGGTCTTGCTTTTTATCCATTCAGCTATTCTATGTCTTTTGATTGCAGAGTTTAGTCTATTTACATTCAATGTTATTACTGATAAGTGAGGCCTTACTCCTGCCACTTTGTTATTTGTTGTCTGGTTGTTTTGTGGTCTTCTCTTCCTTCTGTCCTTCTTTCCTATCTTCCTTTAAGGTGATTTTCTCAGTTGGCACATTTTAAATTCTTCCTTTTTATTTTCTGTGTACCTGTTGTATGTTTTTTAGATTTGAGGTTACCATGAGGCTTGCAAATAACATCTTATAACCCATTATTTTAAACTGATCACAACTTAACATCGATTGCATAAACAAAAAGCAAAAAGACAACCAATAAAAACTCTATAATTTTGTCTCCCCACTTTTTAACATTTTGTTGTTTCTATTTATCTTACTGTACTGTCTATGCCTTGAAAAGTTATTATTTTTTATGGGTTCATCCTTTCATCTTTCTATTTGAGATATGTATAGTTTACACACTACTATTATACTGTTATAATATTCTGTGTTTTTCTGTGTACTTACTATTACCAGTGAGTTTTGTACCTTCAGATGATTTCTCATTGCTTGTTAACATCCTTTTCTTTCAGATTGAAGAACTCCCTTTAGCATTTCTTGTAGGATAGGCCTGGGGTTGATAAATCCCTCAGCTTTTGTTTGTCTGGGAAGGTCTTAATTTTTCCTTCATGTTTGGAGGATATTTTTGCCAGATATACCATTCTAGAGTGAACTCTTTTTTTTTTTTTAATGCTTCAGCACTTTATGCCACTCTCTCCTGGCCTGTACAGTTTCCACTGAAAAGTCTGCTGCCAGACGTGTTGGAGCTCCATCATATGTTATTTGTTTATTTTCTGTTACTGCTTTTAGGATCCTTTCTTTATCCTTGACCTTTGGGAGTTTTGTTATTACATGCCTTGAGGTAATTTCCTTTTAGTTAAATCTGCTTGGTGTTCTATAACCTTCTTGTACTTAAACTTTGATATCTTTTGTTTGGGAAGTTATCTTATTATCCCTTTGAATAAACTTTCCACCATTATCTCTCTCTCTCTACCTCCTTTAAGGCCAATAATTCTTGGATTTGCCCTTCTGAAGCTATTTTCTAGATCTTGTAGGTGGGCTTCATTCTTTTTTATTCTTTTTTCTTTTGTCTCCTCTGACTGTGTATTTTCAAATAGTCTGTCTTCAAGCTCACTAATTCTTTCTTCTGCTTGATCAGTTCTGCTACTAACAGACTCTGACGCATTCTTCAGTACGTCAATTGCATTCAGCAGCTCGAGAATTTCTGCCTGATTCTCTTAACTTACTTCAATTCCTTTGTTAAATGTATCTGATAATATTCTGAGTTCCTCCTCTGTGTTACCTTGAATTTGAGTTTCCTCAAAACAGCTATTTTAAGCTCTCTTTCTGAAAGGTCCCATATCTCTGTCTCTCTGGGATTGACCCCTGGTCAATTTATTTCATTTGGTAAGGCCATGTTTTCCCAGATGGTTTTGATGCTTGTGGATATTCATGGATGTCTAGGCACTGAAGAGTTAAGAATTTATTGTAGGCTTCACAATCTGGAGTTGTTTGTACCCATCCTTCTTGGGAAGGCTTTCCAAGTATTCAAAGGGACTTGGTTGTTATGATCTAAGTTTGTGGACACCACAGCCGTATCTGCATTATGGGGTACCCCAAGCCCAGTAACACTGTAGTTCTTGCGGACTCGTAGAGGTACTGCCTTGGTGGTCTTGTGTAAGATCCAAAAGAACTCTCTGGATTACCAGGCAGAGACTCTTGTTCTTTTCCTTTACTTTTTCCCAAACAGAGTTTTGCTCTCTGTGCTGAGATGTGTGGAGCTAGGGGAAGGGTGACAAAAGCACCCCTATGGCCACCACCACTGGGGACTGCAGGTCTGACCTGAAGCCAGCACAACACTGGGTCTTGCCCAAGGCCTGTATAATTATCTGGCCTATGTTCCCTCAAGGCCCTAGGGCTCTACAATCATCAAGTAGTGAAGCCAGCTAGGCTTGTGTCCTTTCCTTCAGGACAGCCCTGGGCCCAGGTAGGTCCAGAGATGCTATCAGGGAACCAGGGTCTGGAGTCAGAAATGTTAGAAATCTACTGAGTACTTTATTCTACTGTGGCTAAGCTGGCACCAAAACCACCAAAGTCCTTCCCACTCTTACCTCCCACCTTTCCCCAAGCAGGTATCTCTTCCCGTGTTCTCCACCCCACAGGCCCACGGGGAGTGCTGCCAGGGCACCACCAATCAAAGAGCATAATATTTAGATTCAATAAATACAAGCAGCCATTAGCCAGTCAATAGGCACTAGAATCAATAGGTACTAAAAGACCAAGAACTCAAACCAGCATGTCATTTTTTAAAAATCAACTCATCTGTTTGCATATTGATAGGATATGACCAGAGCTTTCAAAATAACTTGAAGTACTTTATTTAGAAAGACAAACAGAAAAAATTTTAAATGCCTAACTTTTTATGAAGAAAAAACATCAAGAAAGAAAGAGGCTTGACCAATCGGGTAGACAGAAGAGCCACTTCTCCCTGAAGATGAGGGACTTCAGAAGCCACAGCAGATTAAACACATTGAGCCCACTGGAAGCTCTTTTCTAAAAGCAATCAGATAATGGTACACAGAATGGCTAACAGATCAGACAGGCAGTTGAAGTATTTAAATGAGAGAGAGAGAAAAAAAAAAAACCTAAGCAAAGTGCAGAATATTGCAGAAGAAATACAGCATAAAAAAGCAAAGGTATCAGGACTGAGAGTTTAACTCTTACCACACATTACCCTCTCTGAGCCTCAGCTTTCTCTTGGGGAGCCTCAAAATCCTGTGCTCAAGGGATTCTCCTGCCTCTGCCTCCTGATTAGCTGGGACTACAGGCACATGTGCCACCACACTCAGCTAATTAAAAAAATGTTTTTAGAAATAGGGGTCTTACTATATTGCCCAGCTTTACCAGCTTATTAGAAGCCAGTGGGTTAAGCATTGACCTTTAACTTTGGCTTTTCATCTGCTGTCAAAAAATAGAACTGCCTAACTACTTTTATACTTCCTGTGATACAAGATGATTGAGGAAAGACAGGGAAATGCAAAGAGAGAGGTACCAGGAATAGAACATTGTTAACAGCTGGCATGCCCTGACTCAGGGAATGGAGGGGTATTTAGCCTGTGGATGCTAAGGATGTATAGAATATTTACCAATTCTCAGAGTCTCTAAGGCCTTCTGTGAGTTATCCATGGTTTAGACACATGTCTGGATTAAAGAGTTACTGTTACTTTCCTCTGCTTTCACATAAAACTTCCTTAAAGCTGTGACAACAATTCTGGGGTAGAGGGATGAGGTTTTATCCAGCAGTTGCATTGCTTTCTTTCTAAAAGACTTTCAAATGCAGCTAAAACACGTGGAGGTAGTACTTCCGAATGCATGTGAGTGAATATCACTTTATAGTTTGCAAAACACTTTTTATATAATTGGTTCTTAGAATTACTTGATTCCTGGAATCAACATTTTTTCCTTCTGAGATTGTAAGCAAAGGTCTGGCTCCCACTTCTGAATCCCTCATTCAGCTAGGCAGAATTAACACATCTTTCCCCTTCTTCCACTTGTGCTTTCTTGACCTCAGGATGACGAGGTGCATCACTGAACATCCAGCCCCCGACCAGGGACCTATTCAGAAGCACGAACTGCAGGCTGTGTCCCACCATGGATCACATTCAGCCCAGACTCAGCTCCTTCTGCAACCCTGCCAAAGAGCCTACGAATGACGGCCCCATAGCCCAGGCCACTCTATTAATGAAGAAGAGTGCACTGGGACACTTGAGGAGAACCTGTTTTGTCTCATGTTTTTGAAGCAAGAGTAAAAAATGGAATGCCTCAAAATGCTACAATCCCTCTATATTCAGGTGAGGGAGATTCTTGTAATTCTGTGGGTTATGACATGATATCCATTAAATTATAAGAACTATGGATAAAATTATTAATATTTTCAAAAGACAATGTTTTAGGAAATATCCCATTCAAATCAGTAACAAGGGTAATAAAATGCCAGTAATAAACTTAAGAAATGGGGAAGATGGCTGGGCATGGTGTCTCACGACTGTAATCCCAGCACTTTTGGAGGATCACTAGAGCCCAGGAGTTCAAGACCAGCCTGGGTAACATGGCAAAACCTTATCTCTACAAAATAAACAAATAAAATTAGCTGGGCATGAAGGCACACAGCTGTAGTTCCAGCTACTCAGGAGGCTGAGATGGGAGGATTGATTGATCCCAGGAGGTGGAGGTTGCAGTGAGCCCTGATCATGCCACTGCATTCCAGCCTGGGTGACAGAGCGAGACCTTGTCTCCCAAAAAGAAAAAAAAAAAAAAGTGAAAGAATTGTGTAAAGAAAAGCATAAAGATGAATGGAGGCCCCTGAAAGAAGGGCTGATGGGGAAGGACACCATGTCTGTGGGTATAAGGCATCAGTTACAAAGACGTTCACCTTCTCAAAGTGCTCTAGAGCACGGGTTCCCAACCCCGGGGCCATGGACCCGTGCTGGCAGTGGCCTGTCAGGAACCGGGCTGCACAGCAGCAGGTGAGTGGCTGGTGAGCAAGCATTACCGCCTGAGCTCCGCCTCCTGTAAGATCAAAGCAGCACTAGATTCCCATAGAAGCACAAAGCCCATTGTGAACCGAATATACGCAGGATCCAGGCTGCGCGCTTCTAATGAGAATCTAATACCGATTATCTGAGGTGGAACAGTTTTCTCCCAAAACCATCCCCACTCCACACCCCAGGCTGCAGAAAAGCTGTCTTCCACGAAACCGGTCCCTGGTGCCAAAAAGGTTGGGGACTGCTGCTCTAGAGGGTTCATGCTACTCCAACCAAAGTTCCAAAGAGATTTTCTTATGGAACTTTGACACATTGATTCTAAATTTTATCTGGAAGAGTAAATGAGTATAAATTGCCAAGAACTCACTTAAAAAGGAATTTAATTAGTAAAGTCTTGCCAAAAATAAAAATTAAAACATATTCCGAAACTAGAGTAATTATAGAATGTGGTACTAGCAACTGGTTTAGGAATAAAGAAAAGGATCAAGGAAACAGAAGAGGCTAGAAACATATGATAGATATGAATTTAACATAAGATAAAGGTGGCACTTCACAACAGGAGACAAAGAATGCACCAGTGAATAAATTATTTTTAAGACCACTAACCATGCATTTGGAAAAAATTATACCCCTCACACCAGAAAAGTAAATTTCGGGTGACATAAGGAGCTAAAATTTAAAAATACAAAAAAGTTCTAGAGAAAATATGTATGTAATTACATAATTTGGGGTTAAGGAAGACAATCTAGGAAAAGAAAAACACCCTGCTGCTTATGATCCAAGACCCACGTCATTTTCAATTCCACACAGCTGTAAAGCAGCGGCTCTCCTATCAGTTTTTCCACTGGAATCACCTGGAACCCTGGTGAAAAACAGATTTTGAAGCCTCATCCCAAACCTGCTGAATCACCTCCTCAGGTGGTTTTGATGCCTCGCCATGTTTTGGAGGCCTCTGGTCTAGGGTCAATGCCACAGTGGGGAGGAGGTAAGAGAATGCAGGTGGTAAAACTACCATAGCCTTGACAGCGATGAAACCCCCCAGGTGCTAGTCACACAAAGGCTTACCTTTTGTAAAGTCCCCTGGGAACTAGTTTCCTATTTATTCAAGTCAGCTGTATTAAATAATACCCTCCCTAACCAAAAACGCCAAAACCACAAAACTTCCTAAGTTACATGGTGTGTTGCAGCATGGCAAAAATACATCCTGATCAGTTTGCATTTGGTGTTGCATCAAATTATGGCATAGCCCACAATGCTTAAACATCCATCAACAGTGGCTCTCAACCTAGGCTGCTTTTAGGAACCATCCAGGAAGCTTTGAAAAGTAATACAGTTGTGTCTGAATCCTTTTGGTCTAGGATGGTGCCCAAGGGTTGTCATTTTTAAAAAGCACTACGGGTGAATTTTAGCTGGATAAAGACCATTGGCTATATGTCAGAAACAACTTCTGCTCCTTGGAGTTCAATATCATTTTTTTTTTTTTTGAGATGGAGTCTCACTCTGTTGCCCAAGCTGGAGGGCAATGGCACGATCACAGTTCACTGCAACCTCCGGCTCCCAGGTTCAAGTGATTCTCCTGCCTCAGCCTCTCGAGCAGCTGGGATTACAGGCATGCGCCACCATGCCCGGCCAATTTTGTATTTTTAGTAGAGATGGGGTTTCACCATGTTGGTCAGGCTGGTTTCAAACTCCTGACCTCAGGTGATCCGCCCACCTAGGCCTCCCAAAGTGCTGGGATTATAGGCGTGAGCCACCGCACGCAGCCGAGTTCAATATCTTAATGAGACACAAAAGCTTAAAGGGTCTAACACAAGGCAGAACATGATGCATGAGGTAAGAACATTTCAAACTAGGTGCCATGGACATATGGAAGAGGAAGGTGACTATCTGGGAAGGCTTGGGGGTCCAGGGGAGGGAATTTTGTTGAGCCTAGATCTAGAAACTGATCTAAGACTTGGACATGATGGAAGGACACCCAGGCAAGGGGAAAAAAGGGGATCATTTGAAACCTTATTAATAGTAATTATTAATTAGTAATTATTTCATTTTCCTCCCATAACTTCCCATATAAACATCTTAGGTATATATGCATATGCCTCCTATATTTTTTCTATTTGCAATTATAATTTTCTAATGATTTTGTCATACTGCATATGAAATGGATATAATTATGTCTTTAGCTTCTAGACAAGGCTGTGATTCCTCTAGCTCAGGGTTAAGGCAGAAAAGGGTGTCTTTCCTCCACTCCCAGTAATGCACTATTAGCAATCTACCATATAAAAAAGGGTAAACTGAACCCACTCTATTCAGAAAATTTCAACTCACAAACCTTCTTTAAATTACCCAGCGAGTTAGGGAGGAGGATGATGAGAAATCATCCTCATCCTTGCCAAGAATTTTTTCAAATAAGCAAACTATCCTGCCCAAATTCAGTGAATGCATTACTAATTAATTTCGTTCTGTGATGTCTGTTCTACATGATGATGATATAACTTTCTGCAAAACAAAAACTGAGGCACTCTACATCTGCCATCCATCCCTCCCCAAACTAGGAGATATGAAAGTTTGAGGCTGAGCAGGTCAAGCAGGGATGTGTCTGTTTTCTTGAACCATTTCTAACCTTACTCAATTATTTCCAACTGAAGCATTTCCTTAACAGGCAACATGCAACTCTTTCAAAGACAATCTATTAAAAGACTGGAGAGAAATGATATCATTTCCCTAAAATTTAGTGAGCCAGGACTTGAACAGGTTTGTTAGAAAAACACTAATGCGGTAACTCTATTATTGCCTCTAACTTTAGGGCGATGTGGTAGTCAGAAAGGAGGGGTGGCTAGAACAGAGCCTCAGCCACAACCAGGTTGTGGTGCGTTACATAGTCCCAATGGTGGTATCTAAGGCATTTTATAATTTTCTTATTAATTGTCAATACATCACCACTTGAATGAAAAGAGAATGGAAGCTATTCTTACTTCATTTTTTAACAAATGAAACTGAAGTACAGTTAAGTAATTTGTTCTACTCAGTTCCAGGAAACAATGTGGGGAGGAGGGCCTCCTTCCCTGATCACCAGGCAGGCTCCTGCCTTTCCTCAGGGTGGAAGAGATCCACTGCTGCTGTCTGCTGACTCACCTTCACACTCCAGCTAGAGGATACACTGACTCACAGTTTCATTACCTTCTATTCACCATGACTGTAGTCGTAGACACTCAGAAATGGGAGTTCCAAGAACTGAGCAGGAGAAGGAAAAGAATGTAGATGAAATTGAAAAGGATAAAGGGTACAGCCTCTATCATTGAATAAACCAGAAAAGACACAGGAGAATGTAGTGTCTGCCCTCAGAGACTACATGCATTACTGAGAGGAAAGTGGGGAGAGGAGGCCTGATCCACAGCTAACCATAATTCCCCAATATGAACTGCCAGATAACCAGGGAATGTCGAGAGTGTACAGGAATGTGGGAAGGCCAAAGGGAAAGATGGTGAATTCTGAAAAATATAAAGAAATGTAAATTATCTCTGATCTCAAGAGGCTTACAGTCTACTTGGGCTGTAAGAGACTGTGTGAAAACAGATAACAATGCAAGATGACATAGTTTAGTCACAAATAAATAACTCTATGGTAAGGGCCACAATTTGGAGAAGGGAATGATCTCCACGAGTTAAATCAGAGGCTTCCAGGAAATGAGTCTTTATTTGTTGTTGTTGTTGTTTGTTTGGTTGGTTGGTTTTTTGTTTTTTGTCTTTTTTGAGACGGAGTCTCGCTCTGTCACCCAGGCTGGCGTGCAGTGGCGCGATCTCGGCTCAATGCAAGCTCCGCCTCCCAGGTTCACGCCATTCTCCAGCCTCAGCCTCCAGAGTAGCTGGGACTACAGGCGTCCACCACCACGCCCAGCTAATTTTTTTGTGTATTTTTAGTAGACACAGGGTTTCACCGTGTTAGCCAGGATGGTCTCGATCTCCCGACCTCGTGATCGGCCCACCTCGGCCTCCCAAAGTGCTGGGATTACAGGTGTGAGCCACCGCACCCGGCCTTACTTGGTTTTTTAAGGATTCAGATGAACAGGAAAAAAGGGAAGGGAAATCTAGTCACAGGAAATGGCCTGACCAAGGAGTGTATTCTAGGCAGACTATAAAACATAAACCTGAGAATAAGTTCATTCGTTCATTCAATCAATATTTAGTGAAAATCCACTGTGTACAAGCACTGTGCTAGGAGCTAATAGCAGGAACAAGGCATGTAGGCTGCCCTCACGGAATTTATTTGAGAAGGACTACTGGAAAATAGAGTTGGATAAATGCAACCAGTAATTGGTTTAATTTAGACCGTAATGCATTTTGGTCTTTAGACTGTTCCCAGTAGGAACTGAGAGTTTTTGAGGAAGAGTGACAGATGCAAAGCCGTGTTACTAGAAGATGATTGCGCTGATGCTATTTCTGTGAATTACCGGGGGATAAGAGTGAAGACCACTTAAGAAACGCTTATAATGTTCCCAGTGTAAGACAATGCACATCCAAACTAGGGTGGCCACTGTGAAAAGGAAGGGGGAGTCCTGTGAAGATATACTCACAGGACGTTGGAAATGGCAGGAGCAAGGCAGGGATGGGAACAACAGACAAAGACACTACTGTCTCCAGCATAGATGCCTGGGGGAATTCTAAAAGGAAAACCAGGTAGGAGTAAAAGGTAAGGTGCAGTTCTCCAGCGCCAGGACTGGAGTGTTCTGAAGGCTGGGCTCTTTTCAATGCCCTTCTCTATTTTCATGCTATTGATCGTCCCCATTCTGGATCTCTTTCTTCCTCTCTGGCCTGACAAAATCTGTTCTCACCCTCTTTAGGAGAAGGTTTGATAGACTAGTTCAGAGGGATCAGTAATGGGAGAAAGTATAGCATGGACAGCAGCCGTGGAAGAGGCACCCCGGGTTGATAGGTTTTCCAAGCATGCTGTCGGCAACAGCCTATTCTGTGCATCTCCTTAAGGATAGCTGGACTCCCTCCAGAATTGTCCAGGAGAAAAGTTTCCCTCGATTCCACTTGGAAGAATCGCTCTTTAATTTTTGGTTGAGCAGGATAATTAGAGATGATTGAGTCGCATATCTGAAAGCTTGGGATATTTGGCACGTCCCTAACCTTGGAAGATGATATCCTGGAGGGCGGCCATCACACTTCCTCTGGGGAAGTGTCCCTGTGCCGTAGTGCTTTGCAATCATCTAGAGACCTTGTTAAAACACAGATCTGCAATCAGGTGTGGGTGGGACCTGAAGTTCTGCATTTCTAATAATATCCCAGGGATGCCCACGCTATTAGTCCGTGGACCCACAACCTAAATACGCATGTGTCTAGAAGCAAACAGCTCCTCTTCTAAGCAGACCTTAGATTCAGATGACCAGGAGTTTAAATCCCCTCTCTGCCACTTTTCAGATGGGTAACCTTAAACACGGTACCTAACTCATTTTCCTCATCTGTAAACCAAGGAAAATACTAATATGTACTTTAAAGTAGATACAAATGCTGGATGATATAGAAGTGGTTTCTTAGTAATCGCTAGTTCCAATAGCAGATTCTCTTCTATTCAACAGTGTGTTAAACTGTTAAATTCACGGAAGCATACCCAGCCCCCCTCAAAGGCTCTAAGGTCTGCAGAAGGAATTACCAAGAAAGCAAAGCACAGAACTCCCTCAGAAACTGGAGGAGCCATTGAAAACTCTTTATCACCATGTAATCCTGTACAATCACAAGCACTTCCGAAAACAGCATTATCCTGTATTTGTCTGAGTGATTTATAACGTTAAGATCGACCACATGATTTCCTAGCTCTAAATTTCCCAAACTCCGGTTTGCAGGGAAAGGAAGCATTTCTTTTCTAAGGAAGTCAGCACACCTAGATCTAGCCAACGGCAGTTGATTTTTAAGTTTCTTCAACCTTCACATTTCCCTTTCTCAAAAGTTGGATCCCACCTGCATTAAAAACTACTGTCCTAGCACATTACAAAGTTATTCAATCTAAAATGTCTTGTTTATACTAAAATTATAAAAATGCATTTAAGCCAGGTGTAGTGGTGCGCGCCTGTAGTCCCAGCTACTTGGGAGGCTGAGGTAAGAGGATTGCTTGACCCCAGGAGTTTAAGGCTGCAGTGAGCTGTGATGGCACCACTGTACTCCAGCCTGGGTGACAGATAGAGACCCTGTCTCAAAAAAAAAAAAAAAAAGAAAAGAAAAGAAAAGAAAAGAAAAAAAAGAAAAAAAAATCCATTTACAACACGAACCAGAATAGTCTTATACTGGATTCTTTGTCAAAGGTGAAGAAACAGGCCAGGTGCGGTGGCTCACACCTGTAATCTCAGCACTTTGGGAGGCTGAGGCGGGTGGATTACCTGAGGTCAGGAGTTCAAGACCATCTGGCTAACATGGAGAAACCCCGTTTCTACTAAAAATACAAAAAAATAGCCGGGTGTGGTGGCGCACGCCTGTAATCCCAGCTACTCGGAAGGCTGAGGCAGAAGAATCACTTGAACCCAGGAGGTGGAGGATGCAGTGAGCTGAAATCATGCCATTGCACCCCAGCTTGAGCAACAAGAGCAAAACTCCGTCTCAAAAAAAAAAAAAAACAAAGAAAGAAAAAAACGCAAAGGTAAAGAAACCTCTACATTTTGAAAAGCAAACCACAGCTCTGTAAAAGCGAAATTTTTGTCCTGTTAAATATCACCATTCCCTTGTACACATTAATCTTTTAACTCCCAAAACCTAAAGCATGTGAACATAAATAGGCTCCAAAATAATCTAGAGTTTGTGTGTACAGATAGAAAAAATGTGCATATTTTATTTTTAAAATTACTCTCACTTTCTCTACCACACACTAAGAAAAACCCCCATTTGGAGAAAGCCACACCCTTCACTAACGGCTCGATCAACCTTTCAAAACAACATGAAGGGCAAACATTAAGAGCCATTCAAAACCAAGGGAAATGACAATACAGTTGAAAAAAGTTCTCTGAATGTAAATGAAGCTACTGGAATTTGTGGGGAGCAGAATAAACAAAACAATTAAGCCATTAGCCTGTCTCCTTTGAGACCGTCCTGGCCTTTGGAGGAGAGCAATACCAGATTCCTCTAGCACAGGTGGATGGCACGTTGGCTTAAGGAAAAACAAAGGCAGCAAATCCTCGTCTTTAAACCAGAACAGACACAACCTTGGTCAGGAAATTTCACATTCTGAAAGTCCGTATCACCTAACAAGGAAAACCTTCTTATCCTGGCCATGAATCTAGCAGTGATCTTTCATATCAGCAAAAGCAGCCTAACCACTCCCCCACAAACGTCAGAAAAGCCCTCGCTTGGGGTCACAGGCCTGGGTGTCCTCAGGTGGCAGAACTCGAACAGACTGCTGCCTCCATGCCAGGTGGGCACCTGGCATGTGAACCTAAATGTGATAATAAATATCAGGCTCCAAAATGGTGCCCAGGTGGGCACCATTGCAATGGCTCTTTGTTCGGAGTTGGGAGCTTTTGAACGGATAGTGGTGAATTTGGTTTCCATTTTGACCTGGAAAGAGTAGCTCCACCCCTTGTGGGGACAGGTCAGGACTGGTTGTGTGATCTCAGGTAATTATAATTACCTAGCCTCTCAATTGAAGGGGCGTTAGTAGGAAAGGAGTGAGAAACAGGTAGAAACCTTCCCAGCCTACCAGCTTCCCTCCACAGCTACCCCCTCCTGCAGGAGCCCCACCGAACCACTAATATCCTGTTCTGTGAAAAGAAAACTCAAAAGGAAGCCCTAGTGGTTTTATCTGAGGGGGCTACTTTTATCTTTGAAAACTATTTCCAGTTTACAATTAGTTGTCTCCTTTAATCCGCTGGCTCTCATCAATCACTCATTCACTGGCGGCTGCCTTGCTGCCACCAAGTTGAATTGGAGGGTTTTCAGTCCTCTGGGCACTTTTGGTCTAGTGGGGAACAGTTGTTCAATTCAGCAAAGTTGCCAATTCTACCCCATGCCAGAAATACAAACACAAACCATGAGCATGACAGTGTCCCTCTCCGTCGTGACTTTCCAACCAAGGAGGATGGAATAATAAATATTAAAAATATCACTCAAAAACTTCCAATTGGCAGGAGGGCCCCAATTTACCTTGCCTGTCTCAACTCCTCCATTCCTTGTCTACAAGCCACTGGCAATTCCTCCTTCCAAATGTTCTAACTGGTGGTGATCTACATATCTTTCCAGATACTACAGGTTACCTACTCCTGCCACTCACGTGGGAGGCTATTTCTTTTACCCTTCTGTAGAGCTTAGGATACTTCACCCAGCCACCTGGAGCTGGAAATGGACTCTAAAAAGCTCAAAAAGTGCAAATCTGCCAATTTTTCACTTGAGTTCCAGAACAAAGATTTTATGCGCACAGTTTGACCCTGCCAGTCTTAGTTTCACTAAGCATTTTAAACATCCAAATTCAACCTGTCCTTCAAAACCACATGCAATTTTAAAAAGCAAATTGTCTAATGCGCAATCCCATGGCAATTCTTTCGATTCCTTTTTCCATCTCTTGTATTTGCCTATTTCTTTTTTTTTTGAGACAGGCTCTGACTCTGTCACCCAGGCTGGAGTACAGTGGCATGATCAGGGCTCACGGCAGCCTCAACCTGCCAGGATCAAGCAATCTTCCCACCTCAGCCTCCCAAGTAGCTGGAACTACAGGCACACACCACGATGTCTGGCTAATTTTCGTTTATTTTTTTGTAGAGACGGGGTCTCACAATGTTGCCCAGGCTGGTTTCGAATGCCTGGGCTCAAGCAATCCACCTGCCTAGGCCTCCCAAAGTGCTGGGATTATAAGTGTGAGCCACCACGCTCAGCATATTTGCCTATTTCTTAGGCATCTACACTTGTGAAAATCACTGGCAACATATACAACAGATTCTGTTTTCTAGGAGAACTACCTTTTGTTAAACAGTTGCACGGGGAAGGCGTTTGCCCCATTTTCAACATTATAGCTGCTGCTGAGTGAAGAAAGGCATCATGACTGCAGATTGCTTTCTACTGCCTTCCAGGGACAAGCCACCTGGCTTTCAGGTGCCCTTTTAAGTGTCTTTTTATCACCTGTCTCCTCTCTGTCCTCACCATTCCATCTTTCCGAAGGGCAAGCACAACGGAGTGGGGAGTGACACACATCAGACAAGGTTCCAACGAAAATGAAAGGCTTGCGACATTCAAATCACAGGGTGCTTTCACCTATTCATTCACTCCTGTTCATTCTATCAGCTGAGTACCCACGAGCAGCAGTTTTTTGGAGTAGATTTTAAGAATGCTCCACCTTGTAGGCAGTTCTGCATCCTACTTTTGTCCCTCAAGGAAAAGACCTGGGGGTAGTTTTAAAGATTGTATACTGATGCATAACAAAAAGAAATACAAACATTTTTCCCATTAAGTTTTTTGGGGTTTTTTGTTGTTGTTTTTCCTGAAACAGGGTCTCTCTCTGCAATCTCGGCTCACTGCACCCTCTGCCTCCCGGGCTCCAGCAATCCTCCCACATAAGCCTCCCAAGTAGCTGGGACTACAAGTGTGTAACACCACAACCGGCTATTTTCTGTATTGGCAGGTCTTTGCCATGTTGCCCAGACTGGTCCTGAACTCCTAAGCTCAAGGGATCTGCCTCCCTTGGCCTCTTAAAGTGCTGGGATTACAGGCGTTGCACCACTGTGCCCTGCCTCCTGTTAAGTTTTTTTTTTTGTTTGTTTGTTTGTTTTTGGTTTTTTTTTTTTGAGATGGAGTTTCACTCTTGCTGCCTAGGCTGGAGTGCAATGGCACGATCTCGGCTCACTGCAACCTCCACCTCCCGGGTTCAAGCAATTCTCCTGCCTCAGCCTCTCAAGTAGCTGGGATTACAGGCGCCCACCACCACACCCAGCTAATTCTTGTATTTTCAGTAGAGATGAGGTTTCGCCCTGTTGACCAGGCTGGTCTTGAACTCCTGACCTCAGGTGATCCACCCACCTCAGCCTCTCAAAGTGCTGGGATTACAGGTGTGAGCCACCGTGCCTGGTCCTCTCATTAAGTTTTAAAATAGTATCATATACTCAAGTATTGGAAGTCAAGAAACAACGAGGGGAGGTGGGAATGGGGAGAGGAGAGGCTGGGATACAAAGCTGAACGAGAAAGGATTCTACCTGAAAAGTAACTGATCAGAAGGAAAGACAAAATGCACATTAGCAATTATAAGATCTTTATAGATAAAGTGCTCATGAGATTTTGAAGAAGGAGATAACTTTTTTTTTTTTTTTTTGAGACGAGTCTCACTCTGTCGCCCAGGCTGGAGAGCAGTGGTGCAATCTTGGCTCACTGCAACCTCCGCCTCCCGGGTTCAAGCAGTTCTCTTGTCTCAGCCTCCCGAGTAGCTAGGATTACAGGTGCCTACCACCACGCCTGGCTATTTTTGTTGTTGTTGTTGTTGTTGTTGTTTTGTATTTTTAGTAGAGACAGGGTTTCACCATGTTGGCCAGGATGGTCTGAAACTCCTGACCTCAGGTGATCCACCTACCTTGGCCTCCCAAAGTGCTGGGATTACAGGCGTGAGCCACCATACCTTGCCAAGGAGGTAATTTTCAATGATGAGGCTCAAGAAGGCAGAGTTAAGGCTGGTTTAAAAGAAGAATTAGACTGACGGGATGGAGAGGGGGAGGAATTGATTCCAGCCAGACACAAGCTGAAGATGGAGAACATCTAAGCCTGAAAGGGAAACACCAAGTGGATGAATTTGGTCAGCTGATATAGGTGAGTGTAGCCACACTGCAGAGGTGGAATCACAGGACTTGGCAAGTGGTAGAATGTCACAATTCACTACATCTTAATTGGAGCATATAAAATTCACTTTTGTCAACTGACACTTAAATACAACTGCTGCAAAAAACTGAAGACTCTTGACTCATAGCCCCAAACAAAGAGGATGATGTCTCCTTGTCTCCATAGAGCAGACAATGCTTGCCACATTGTCCTCCATGCTTGCTTGGAGAGTTGCTAAGCAGGGCTGGACCAAGGAGTATCAAGAGAGCCTTAGGGAAGAGGAGGAGGAGGACAAAAAGGAGAAAGAGGAAGAGGAGGATGAGGAGGAAGAGGAGGATGAGGAGGAGGAGAGAGCTCCCTTTGGTTTACTGGCCTTACTTATGTTTCCTCACTTCTCAGCAGGTGCAAACTATGTCTCCTGCCTTCTCCAGCTCTCCTCATCCTTTCCAAGTCCAGATGAATGCTTCAAGGAGAGGATGGACAAGAGGCCTTGTGGGGAAAGAAAAGGACACTAGTTGGAAGATGGGTTTGGGGTGTGAGGGTGTGTGAGAGAAAGAGCTAGAAGGAAAAGGC
Organism: Homo sapiens; assembly: GCF_000001405.40. Classification (NCBI taxonomy): domain Eukaryota; kingdom Metazoa; phylum Chordata; class Mammalia; order Primates; family Hominidae; genus Homo; species Homo sapiens. Next base: position 59,358,514 of record NC_000015.10, read on the forward strand.
CATCCCAGTTTTTCTACACCCCAAGCCCTAGTTCTAGATCATAGAAACAAAGCACAGAAATCTGCTCCAGAGTCCAGATATTAAGGCCCAGCAATTTCTTATGTCAACTATTAAATACTAATTTTCTAATTAATATCAATGTATCCTCACCAGGAAAATGGGTTTTCAATTATTTATATAAAGTAAAAACTTTATGTCCCTGACATATTTATTTGGAGTCTGTATTGAATGCATTTCTCTTTGTGATCACAGAAAAATTTACCACTTTGAACCTCTCTTCTAATACACCATTATGTTTGATTTTCAAACATTTCCAGTAAAAGCAGGTTTACGACCATAATTCCTGAACTGTGGGTTAAGAGACTTGTATTCTAGGGACAACTCTGCTATTAACTTGCCAAGTAACTGAGAGACCTAGGTCAGGCCACCACAGTTCCCTGGACCTTAAAGGGTCACTTGGGGAGACCATGAACCACATTGGGGATTTATGAATCTTTTTCCCAGGAAAAAATTCACTTAAGAATGAATATGGACACAAACAATTTCATAGACTACCCTGGAAGTGGTCTCCAGGATACTTCTCATCTTGACATTCTATATTTAAAGCTATTTGGTCACTGAAAGAAACAAGGTTGGGCACAGTAGCTGTCACCTATAATCCCAGCATTTTGGGCCACCAAGGCAGGAGAATCGCTGGAGACCAGGAGTTCTAGACTAGCCTGAGCAACAAAGTGAGACCCTGTAAAATATATATATATTTTACATACATATATATATATATGTATGTGTATATATATATAATATATATATATATTTTTTTTTTTAATTAGCTAGGCATGGCAGCTCATGCCTGTAGTCCCAGATACTCAAGAGGCTGAGATGGGAGGCTCTCTTGAGCCTAGGAGGTTGAGGCTACAGTGAGACAAGATCACACCACTGCACTTCAGCCTGGATGGCAGAGCAAGACCCTGTCAAAAAAGAAAGAGGCTGCATGCGGTGGCTCACACCTGTAATCCCAGCACTTTGGGAGGCTGAGATAGGAGGATCACTTGAGGCCAGGAGTTTGAGACCAGCCTGGGCAACACAGCAAGACCTCATCTCTAAAAAGAGGAAGAGGGGAAGGGAGGCAGGGAGGGAGGGATATTATTTTCCATAGCCATTACCATGATACATATGATACTGCCTAGGTAGAGCTGGGACTGTAGGGTGGGGAACCAATGCTGTCCTGCACACTGAGACTATGAATGCCAAGATATCACTGCCAGATCCTTCTGTGGATGAGGCTGGGCCAAGCTTGAAGAAGTCCCCTCAGTGGCTGGAGATGCCTACAGCGTTCTATAAAACAAAGCCACTCCTATTAAAACTTAAAGGGAAGCTATTTGCTTTGGTTCTCTGAGTATATCTCTTCTTTCAGTCCAATGAGCAGTTAGTGTCTAGCTTTGCTCTATGTGAAAGCCAATATAATATGGAGATATTTATGGATGAAATGGTATGCTATCTAGGATTTGCTTCTAAAGAAACCAGGGGAAGATAAGAACAGTGAAATCAAGATTGGTCATGAGTTGTCAACGGCTGAAGTTGAGGGATTTGTTTTCTCTCCAACTTACTTATTTTTACATTTTTGATTGAAAGACAGAACAGAAAGTCAAAGTGAAAGATCAGGAGGTCAAGGAATTTTTCACGTCCTGTACAAGTCCTGGGCACGAAGCTAAACTAATCCTACTCGATTCACGTCTTGACGAGCCCACAGATAGCAAAATCTGTGGCTCACAGAATATGGAATTGACACAGGGTTATTTTGAGAACCATCTTACAGTCCAAAAGACATGACTTTCAACCAAGGGGAAAAAAAAAAGAATTTTTGTCTGTGTGTGGAATGTCTTTCTTCACATGGACAGCTCAGAGGTGGGCGAAAATGCAGAATTGGGCAGCAAGAAGTATTGTCCCCACCTTGGAAGGCCTGCATTCCCCTTTCTGTCCAGCAGGCCATCGAGCCCAGCATGGTTTGGCATGATTCATTGCTCTCTAACTTTGGACTTAATGTAAAATGTTTGTTATTCTTGTAAAGCACCCTTTAGCAGATAGAAAATGATTTTCCTTCTTGTTGTTAGCTTCTGTTTTTGCCCTTTTTTTCCCCCAACAAAAGACAGCAGTTTTAGAATGAGACTGAGCCTCATCACTACAAAAGGACTTCAGCTCCGATTCCTCATGCCTTGCTTGGGAAAGCAGCAGCAGACAGAGCAGGAGCCATGCTGGCTTCTGTCAAACAAAGGGGTTCAGGGGATCAGCCAGAGAAAACTGGAGCTACCACTCAATCTATTCCTGCCTCCAAGTATTCCCGCAATGTAGGAAAGTTGACAGAAAAGGTTGAGGGTAGGGAACTGAATCTGAGCCTTTGGGCAGTCCTCTTCCACAGTGACTCTGGACTTGACAGTGTGACTTGCTTCAGCCAATGGGGATAATAGCAAGCATGACGCAAGCAAGGGTTGAAAAATGTGTGTGCCCTGGAGCTTGTACCCTTGCTTTTCTTGGGAACCCTGTGGTGTGACCACTACTATGTAAACAAGCCAGAGCTAGACTGTTGTGACAAGAGACACATGGCCAAGCCATCCCATGGCCCCAGCTGAGACTGGACCAACTACCAGACATGTGAGTGAGGCCACCCTAGATCATCCATTCCCAGCCAAGCCACTAGCTGACCACAGTGATTGAATGAACCAGCTGAGACCAGAACTGCCACGCCAGTGCACAAAATCATAAGAAAGTATAAACATTTATTATTTAAGTTACTGAGTTTGGGTGATTGGTCACACCAAAAGCTAACACAAGAAAAGGTGGCTAAGCAGAGCTAAGATGTATTGAACATTGGGAGACATATCCCCTAATGGCTCTTTACACAATAGTCAGTGGGACTCACTATTGATGCGACTGTATGTCAACTGTCATTGAAATAACCTGACATAGATCCAAAATTGACCATACTCCCTAATACTCATTTCAAGACAATGTTAGTTGTAATTCTTGGAATGCTACTGTATGGGCTTCAGGGGTTTATAAACCTCCTGAAGTTAAATGAAGAATTATATGTATTTTTTCATCTGAACTGAGAAAAGATGTTAAAACTACAGAGGATAACAAAGAAATATATATGTACAACTGCCTAGAATTAATAATATCTCATCATATTTGCTTTGGATTTTTCTATATGTAAAGCAAATAAAACATTACTGACTCAGTCGTCTCCCTTTCCTCTTTCCCCCTTCAGTATTTTGAACTTGGTGTGGATCTTTCTAGTCTGTGGATTTTTTTAATTAATTTATTAATTAATTTATTTATTTTTTGAGATGGAGTCTGGCTGTATCGCCCAGGCTGGAGTACAGTGGAATGATCTCAGCTTACTGCAACCTCCTCCTCCTGGGTTCAAACGATTCTCCTGCCTCAGCCTCCCGAGTAGCTGGGATTACGGGCGTCTACCACCACGCCAGGCTAATTTTTGTATTTTTAATAGAGATGGGGTTTCGCTATGTTGGCTAGGCTGGTCTCGAACTCCTGACCTCAGGTGATCCACCCGCCTCGGCCTTCCAAAGTGCTAGGATTACAAGCATGAGCCACCACGCCCAGCCTATATTTTTTAAAATAATATCCACACAAATACATATATGTACACATACACAAATAAATGTATAGACCCCCAAATAGCAGTCTTATTTTGTGTTTTTGACATTTTTCTTACATGGTTTCAGATATGCGTCTTTCTACAACTTGCTTCTTTACCAAACACTACCCTTGTGACACCTATGCATATTGATACCATATTATCAAACAAGCCACATGTATTTCTCTTCCAATGAACATTTAGATTGTTCCTGTTTTGTTTGTTCTCGTGATCTGCGGAATGTTTATTTGTTATTATAAACACTGTCAGGGAAAAGGTCAGTAGCTTCCAACATATTCTCAGAGGACTCAGGACATTCTCCCATCCAAATGTTAGGAATCTCTGATAATCTGATGTGGAGAAAGGGCACTGTCATCATTTTGCATTGATGCATATTTCTGCATTACAGCATTCCCAAGCCTTGAAGGAAGCTATCTTTACTTACATTCTTAAAATAGCTTATTAGATTCTTCTGCATTTAAATCTAAAATTTTCTATAAGGTCTGCATCTTCCTAGGACACCAAAAACAGCCCTATTATTTTTTCATTGAAAATTTCTTAGAATCAGATAATACTGTCCAAAATATTCTGTGACCATGTAATGTTATCCTAAATTGCTGTCAACATCAAATGGTGGTCACACCGAAGAAATTATTAGGAGACTAACAATGTGATATTCTAATTTTGTTGTTGTATTCTGTAATGTATTTAAGAATTAAACAACTAAATCTCTGTTGTTCTCACATTTTCCTATTTTCTATTTTTTTTAATCCTAGTTAAGATTAGAGAGCCTTCTAGTATGACTTTCTTTTTTTTTTTTTTTTTGAGACGGAGTCTCGCTGTGTCACCCAGGCTGGAATGCAGTGGCACGATCTCGGCTCACTGCAAGCTCCGCCTCCCAGGCTCACGCCATTCTCCCACCTCAGCCTCCTGAGTAGCTGGGACTACTGGTGCCCACCACCATGCCTGGCTAATTTTTTTTGCATTGTTAGTAGAGACGGGGTTTCACCATGTTAGCCAGGATGGTCTCGATCTCCTGACCTCGTGATCCACCCGCCTCGGCCTCCCAAGGTGCTGGGATTACAGGCGTGAGCCACCATGCCCGGCCAGTATTACTTTCTTTTACTTTTATGCTTGCTCTCACTATGACATCTTCTAGTCTCTATGGCAAAGTCCCAAAGCAAGGAAATTAAAACTCAGAACACTACTACTCATAACAGACAATGTTCTTAAGTCTAAATTATCCCCTCTGGTATTACTGAATAAAATCAACCAAAATTGGTGATTTTCTATCAGCCTTACCTTCCCTCAGGAGTATGTGAAATAATGAAAAAGTATACAAATACGTGGACTCGGCATTGTCAAATTTAGAAATAATTTATTGAACCACTTTTCAAAGAGCATGGACTTAGCAGATCTGGCTGGTCACATACAAATTGTGTGGCCCTAAGTAATTCCCCTCCCCTCACTACACTTTGATTTTCTTACCTGTAAAATGGCAATAAAAACCAACACTGGTGCTAGAATGAAATGAAATCATGTATATGGAAGCCTTTTGTTATCATTTCTCCACTATATGGGGAGCTTCTCATAAGCAGAGGCAGAGAGACTAATTCATCTTTTTGGAGACGGAATCTTGCTCTGTCGCCCAGACTGGAGTGCAGTGGCAAGATCTTGGTTCACCACAACCTCTGCCTCCCATTTCAAGCGATTCTCCTGCCTCAGCCTCCCGAGTAGCTGGGATTACAGGTGCCCGCCACCCCACCCAGCTAATTTTTTTGTATTTTTAGTAGAGACGGGGGTTTTGACATGTTGGCCAGGCTGGTCTCGAACTCCTGACCTCAAGTGATCTGCCCTCCTCGGCCTCCCAAAGTGCTGGGATAACAGGCCTGAGCCACCATGCCCAGCTCTAATTCACCAAGCCTGTATGCTAACCTCCTTTGCCATGGCAATGTCTTCTCTCCACTTTGAGGTTCAAAGCTCTCCATCTCCATCCACTCCCGTTCTCTGGTAAGACCACTCATATTTGCCAAGGAAGACCTAGAGGTCTGAGTACCCACTGGTGTCACATATTTGAGTGTCAACGCCAGAATCCAGGGGGAGCACCAATGGTAGGTACCTTTGGGCTAGAACCTGGGAATGTGGAGTATGCATCCCAAGCTCACCCAAAGAGGGGGCTTCTTATCTCAGGAGCCAAAGATTAAGCAGCCCATTACTGACCACAGCGGTTCTAGTGGGTGGAAGGAGGAACTCTCCCCTGTACACACTTCTGGAGGAAGTCTCCATACAGTTATGACACACAGTGAGTAATCCGGCTACATGGGATTATAATACTGCCACCAAAATATAACAAATATGCTTATCAAGAAAAAGGATTTGTAAAACAAGTGGAAAAATAACAGAACACAAATTGTATATTTGCCCCATAATTACAACCACATAAAAACAATGTGTTTGAGGCCCGGTGTGGTGGCTCATGCCTATAATCCCAGCACTTTGGGAGGTCAAGGTGGGTCACTTGAGGCCAGGAGTTCAAGACCAGCCTGGCCAACATGGTGAAACCCTGTCCCTACTAAAAATAAAACAGTTGGCCGGGCATGGTAGTGTGTACCTATAATCCCAGCTACTCAGGAGGTTGAGGCAGGAGAATCGCTTGAAACTGGGAGGCAGAAGGAGGTTACAGTGAGCCGAGATTATGCCACTGCACTCCAGCCTGGGCGACAGAGTGAGACTCCATCTCAAGAAAAACAAACAAACAAAGAAACAATGCATTTGAACAGACTGAAAGGAAACCCAGAGACAAAAATAATTACTGTGTTAGGGTGTGGGGGTACTTTGGGTGAATTATTCTAAATTTCTTTTTCTTTTTTTTTTTCTTTTTTGAGATGTGCCCCAGGCTGTAGTGCAATGGTGTGATCTCGGCTCACTGCAACCTCGGCCTCCCAGGTTCAAGCAGTTCTCCTGCCTCAGCCTCCCAAGTAGCTGAGATTACAGGTGCCTGCCACCACACTCGGCTAATTTTTTATTTTTAGTAGAGACAGGGTTTCACCATGTTGGCCAGGCTGGTCTCGGACTTCTGACCTCAGGTGATCCCTCCACCTCAGCCTTCCAAAGTGCTGGGATTACGGGCGTTAGCCACCGCGCCCGGCTGAATTCTTCTAAATTTCTTATAATGAAGTTAGTACAGTAACCTTCCACCTACAAGCAGACTTTCTTGAAAAGTCCCAGAAAGAAAACTATCTGGTCACGTCCAGACTCTTAAAGAATTATTCCCACCACTGTTTGGTAAGAAAAACCTTATTAGACTGGGATCTAATAAGGTTAGATCTGCACTGGATCAGATCTAACTTGGATTCTGGCACCAGCTCAGCTAAAAACTAGCTATGAGACTTTGGAAGTAATTTAACCTCTCTAGATCTCTCTGTGAAGTTAACAAATGGATTTAGGATAGAATTTTTAAGCTCTCTTCTGGGCTTTCTACAATGTAGCCTATGTTTTACTTTCTATAATGTAACGTATGACCATAAAGTGCTATAAATGAATTTGTAACAAACATTATCAGAGCTCAAAAGACCCAAGAGAGTGTGCCTCCTTCAGAGCAGTTCTTATACTTATTCCAGGAAAAAGGGACCTGCTGGATACTGCATATCTTTAGTGGGGCTAATTGTTCCGCCTTTGAGGCACAATGTAACTTCTGGAAACACCTGAGAGGGATGTAATACAAAGTCTGGTGAGTAATAGGAATGATCACACTGGGCACTAAGGAGTTAAAAAATAAAAAATAAGGCCCTCCCTCCTTCCCTCTTCTTCCCTTCTTTCTCTCTTTTGAGACAGAGTTTCACTCTTGTTGCCCAGGCTGGAGTGCAATGGCGTGATCTAGGCTCACTGCAACCTCCGCCTCCCAAGTTCAAGTGATTCTCTCTGCCTCAGCCTCCCAAGTAGCTGCGATTACAGGCATGCACCACCACACCTGGCTACTTTTGTATTTTTAGTAGAGACGGGGTTTCACCAGGTTGGCCAAGCTGGTCTCAAACTCCTGACCTCAGGTGATCTGCCCACCTCGGCCCCCCAAAGTGCTGGGATTACAGGCGTGAACCACAGGGCCCAGCCCTGTCTCTTTCTTTTTTTTCTCTCTCTCTCTTTCTCTCTCTCTCTCTCACTCTCACCCAGGCTGCAGTGCCACAGTTACAGCTCACTGCATACTTGAACTCCTCAGTTCAAGAAATCCTCCCACCTCAGCCTCCCAAGTAGCTGGGACTATAGTGCATGACACCACACGTGGCTAATTTTTAAAATTTTTTTTGGTAAAGGCCTGAACGACCACACCCGGCAAAAAAATAGGTTTTATTACATAGCTCATAAATGACCATTCAAAAGTGCTTTGAACAACGGCAATGACGTCATTCTCATGGTGGTAACTCAGAAGGGCGGGCCAACTTCATTCACATGTACAGTTTGAGTTCTATGGGTTGTCAAAGTTCATGTCACTATGTTAGGGCTGGCTTTTACAGTTGTACTTCTCTTAAGTGTGGCTGTCCCAAAGATATATGAAAAAAATACTTTGCTAGGATGCCCCAAAACCTTTTGTCTCTGCCAACATAAATTCTGAAACTGAAATTCAAAACACAATTTGTTTACCACTATTACAGAATGTGCTTATAAGGCTGAGATGTTTATTTTAATACCTTTGGCATTTAACCTTTAACCTCTTATTTACTTTGTAAATATTTCAGCATGGTGAGAAAAAGAAAAAAAAAGTTTTTAAAAACTCACCATTAAGAAACATTTTAATCACAGATTGGTAAAAACACAAGTTGCTGCATTTTCGCAAAAAAAAAAAAAAAAAAAAAAAAAGAGATGACTCAAACTTGGAAAACCATGACTGTACATAATTCCTATATATCCTACCATGAAGCTTATAATACCTTGCACTTACACAGAAGATTTAAAATATTTCTGCTTGTTGAAGCAGATAAAAAGAGATTTCTCAAATTCCTAATGAATAATAAGGCCCCACACTTGGCTCATGAGGAAACGCAAGGTACTATATGTTCTTTCACTGAGTCTCACAGGGGCTCATCACATGCCCACACTAGGCACAGAGGCAAAATGTTGTATTCTAAGTTATCAGAATGCACGCCGCTGCTCATTATCTAACCCTCAGGAAAACGCCTGAGACAGACCGCCAATTCATGAGATTCAACTGAAAAAGGAGTGAAAAACAAGAAGTCCATCATGTGACATTGGAGGCCATGGCATTTTCAGTGGAGGAAGGAGTTGAAGGGTTGAAGAGAAAAGCTCAATTTGCAGCCTCACCACTCGTGGAACCATCCTACACAGGTGTTGAGATAGCGCCAAACAGTAGCAGCTGGATGCAGATTTTCCCTGTTATAATAGCTTAGAGAATGCATAGGCTGAAAATACCAGGCTATTCCCTCTCTTTAGGGAGACCCAGTAGGAAGGTGTGGATGTATGGATAAATACTGAATGCCACTACTGGGTATGCAGTGAACGTTTAGACATTCTTCCTGGTGAGTGAATGAGAAGAATCACTGTGGTTCACAGAAGGACACCATGTTAAGACTTACAATAAAGTGGCTGCAAACAGCTAATCTGCAGCTGTGTTTGGCCCCTCTGAGATGATCAAATCACATATAAAAATTGGCAGAGGCCGGGCGTGGTGGCTCACGTCTATAATCCCAGAACTTTGGGAGGCTGAGGCGGGCAGATCACCTGAGGTCAGGAGTTTGAGACCAGCCTGGCCAACATGGTAAAACCCTGTCTCTACTAAAAATACAAAAATTAGGCGGGTGTGGTGGTGGGGCCTGTAATCCCAGCTACTCAGGGGGCTGAGGCAGGAGAATTGCTTGAACCTGGGAGGCAGAGGTTATAGTGAACCGAGATCGCGCCAGTGCACTCCAGCCTGGGCGACAAGAGCAAAACTCTGTCTCAAAATAAATAAAAATAAGAACTGGCAGATATAGCATAAAAATCTAGATTTCTAGTTTCTCTTGAAAAACAAGATAATTTGGTAATATGGTCGATATAACCATGGCCTAGAATCAAGTAGTGGTGCCTCCTAGAATGGCACATATATTCCATATTTACTCTCTAGAGGCCAGCCTCCCTCCACCAAATTATAAGACATTTAAGTTTGCAACCACTGGCCGGGCACAGTGGCTCATGCCTGTAATCACTTTGGGAGGCCGAGGCAGGAGGATCACGAGGTCAGGACTTTGAGACCAGCCTGGCCAACATAGTGGAACCCCGTCTCCACTAAAAAATACAAAATATTAGCTGGGCATTGTGGCAGGCACCTGTAATCCCAGCACTTTGGGAGGCCGAGGCAGGAGGATCACGAGGTCAGGACTTTGAGACCAGCCTGGCCAACATAGTGGAACCCCGTCTCCACTAAAAAATACAAAATATTAGCTGGGCGTTGTGGCAGGCACCTGTAATCCCAGCTGCTTGGGAGGCTGAGGCAGGAGAATCGTTTGAAACCGGGAGGCGGAGGTTGCAGTGAGTTGAGATCGCGCCAGTGCACTCCAGCCCGGGCGACAGTGAGAGACTCCAACTCAAAAAAAAAAAGTTTGCAACCACTGACAAGACTGTAGTCCTCAGCAAAAGTGTGGTGGAGGTGACTTTCAACTTCAGTAAATGTCTGCTTCTTATACTTCTCCATCCCTCTCCATCCACTGCTCCACCCATTTTCTCTCCAAGGAGATGCCTGGGCTGTCAAATATTTCCCACTAGGATGGCCCACTCACACTTGTCCCTAGATAATGTCCCGGACTCTAGGTATTTCCCCAACGCTTTGCCTCCATCAAAACTTTTTTTGTGCTTGATCCCATTCCTTTCTGGTTTTGTTTTGTTGTATTGTGTTGTTTTGACTAGGAGACTACTAGCAATCTGATAAACTAATCTGTGGAAATCAAGTAGGTTACCTTCCCAGGAAACATTTGAAATGTATTCCAGACTTTCTAAATACATGCCATGCCATCACCTAAAGGAACTTACCTACCTTATCATCAGCTATCCATCAGATTTCTAGGTTGTAAATCTATTCCTGGGTATTCTTATGTGTCATATCTATAATTTCCTCACAAGTATATGCAAGTAAGGAAAAGGGAACAGCTCTTGAACATGTTTTGAGGTGATGGTCAATTCAGATTTGCTCAAATATTTCTGTATATTTAATGCACAGAAACCTTGCATAAAAATCAATCACAATTTCTGGATCCAAAGCACATAGCGGACCTACAGCCATGGGTTTCAGTCTATCAGAGAGTCCAAACTGGTCATGGCCACAAAAGCAGAACTTCCTTTGCAGATGATGATAAGCCCAGATTCTACGAAGGAAGCCTTAGATGGGTATTACGGTTAAAGTCAACAGAGATTTTTTTGTACTCTGCTAAACAACCTCCACTAAATTATAAAGATGTGCAGGGTTTTTTTTAACTTCTTCAAGTCTCCTTAGGAAAAAGACACAAGTAACTATTGCCTGGTAGTGTTCCTAGTTTTCTCAAGATAGAAAAGTGTCCCAAAGTGAGTTTTCAGGAGGAAGATAGAAGGTGAACTACAAGCTGTACACTGTGTTCATGAGTCAGAAAATGAAAATGGCTATTTTCCTTATGAGTCACAACTGAATGAGTCTTAGTAGGGCCTCAGGTACAGATGGAGAGCCCTCCTACTATGCTACCAGACTTCCTAAAAGACACACGCACACACACACACTCACACAGAAGAAGTCCACGGTATAGGTGTTCTCCCTATAGCCCAGCCAAGGGCCTTCTTTTTCTTCTTCTTCTTCTTAATATTTTTTAACTGAAACAGGGTCTCACTATGTTACCCAGGATGGTCTTGAACTCCTGGGCTCAAGTATTCCTCCTGCCTCAGCCTCCCAAAGTGCTGGGATTACAGGCGTGAGCCACTGCGCCTGGCCGCCAAGGGCCTTCTGATGAATTTTAGCCTCCATGCTAATCTTCAGCCACACCCAAAGAAGGTAATGTCCTTTCCCTTCCTGTTCTAAGCAGCTGAAGGGATACAACTTGGGCAGGCCTGGGCAGATGTGGAACACAAAATGAAGTATCATTTGGCTTGACAGAGTCTGACATAAACATTAAATATTGTAACTTGGGTTTCTGATTATTTAAGATGATGCTCTATTCTAAGGCAACTTCACATACATAATGAACAATTTTTCAAGTCAGGAAAGAAATGATTAACTTTGGCCAAATCACTCTGGATCCAGTAGATCTATCAATGGCACATCTCCTGTTTCAGGACAGCCAGCTGTTTCAACTTTTCCATCAGTGAATTGTGACTTCAGCAACCATATCTGATGCACAGATAGTCGCCTGGGGGCACACAACATGCCCATCTGTGCTGATGGCAGGGAGCCCATCAATAGGGAAGTCACACACTGTCCTCAGATAGAACCACCTCTTCCCTACAGCATGCCTTCTTCGCATGCATTTGACCAACCCTCTACTTCATCTGCAATGGGGCTGAATTAAGCATGGTATCACAGGTTTCGGAAAAGGCAACCTAGAGTATATTTCAGTCCATTCAGCATGAAAAATGAGTTTAACTGAGGGGAAGTTAATTTCCTCAAGGTACCACTCAAGTACTTAAATTCAGTAAGATTCTTTAAGTTCTTGACATAAACACATTGATTTTTTTAAGAAATATTGACCCACGGAAAATGATTACAGCAATTCTCAAGTACCAGGACTATCACACTGCTTCAAGGGACCAGGTGCCCAGTGAGGTAGCTTCACCCAAACACATGCCCAATGGGAATGGTTCTCTGCTGGGGTGAGGGAAGGGGTCCAAAAGTAACGTAGAGTAGACTGACTTCTTAAACCTTAAAACTAGAAGAGGAAATGTATAGACAAAGTGTTCTCTTAGATGGGGCAAAAGTGACTTAATTTTGGACTATGTAAAAAGAAAAGGCTTTGGCCGAGGATGCCTTGAAAGGTTTCTCGTTGATGTTTGTTTGTAATCATTCTTTGGAATAAACAGCACGGGGCAAGGGGGCTTCTGAGCTTTGTGTGCAGGTTTCGATGGGCCTCTGCTGCACTTCCCTCAGGCTGCTCACCGGGATATCGATTTTTTAATTAGTGTTGTGCTGGTTATCATTTTGACTTGGCTTCTCTTCCACAGCCATTAGAAAACAACAGCAAACCAGAAGAGGACGAGATAATCCACCTAAGCAGGACTACTTGAAAAGAAGCAAGTGTGGAAACTATGAAGCCTTGTAATAGATTTTTTTTTTTTTGATGAACTGCCGATCTCTTCAAAATAGAGTCCTTGCTTTCGTGCCCCGCAAAGAAAAGTACACCACGCCAAAGCCCAAGGGAGGTGGCTAAGGTTATACAGGGAGGGAGGGGAGTGTAGCTGGACTGGGGAGTTGGAATAGCAGAAAAGTCACAAGTCAAAGAGGCGGCCCCTTCCACACATTCCCAAAGTGCCAAAGGGAAAACAGCAACAAACTCGAAACTCGCGAGGGCGTCTTCCCGTGCGAAGCGTCCCCTGGATCCCCGAAAAGCCCCGATCCCCTCGCGCTTGGGAAGGGGTGGGGTCCTCTTCAGGAGGTGTTTACTTGGCGTCCGGGGCGCGGAGACCCTCGGGGCCGGCGCCCGGCACAGGTCCGGGGCGGCGTGGTTGCCGCCCGCGCCCGAGTCTCCCTGGCTCTTGACAGCCCGCCGGCCGCCAGGTGCTCGCCCTACCTGGCGCCCCCGCCTGCCTTTGTGCGGCCCGCGCCGCCCCTCGCCAAGGCGGGCCAGGGACCGCCCCCGCCCGCGTGCCGCTGCCAGGCGGGACAGCTGCGGGCGCTGCCGGGCAGCGGAGCGGCGGCGGGGAGGAGAGGGAGTCGGCGCGAGGGTGCCCGGGGCGGGGCGGGCACGGCCGCGGGGAGGGCAGGGGACGCCGCCAGCGGCTGCGGCGCGAGTCTCCGAGCACCTCCCCTGCCGGCTGCGCCCCCCACGTCCCAGCAGGAGGAGGGGACCCCCTCCCGCGCCGTGCCCCTCGCAGCCGATGCGCCCACACCCTGGCTTCCGACAGCTGGCAGCCATAGCAACCCGGCCACAGAAAGTTTCGCGACGCAGAAACCGACTTGGAATAAAGTTTTCCTTGGCCCCTCGCTCGCTCTCCCCCGGCCCGGGTTTACGGAAAGCGGCAGGAAATCAGAGCTCGCGACGTGCCGGCTCCCGCGTCCACCTTCTCCACCCCTGGCCCCGGCAGCGCGCCCAAGGTGGGTGCACCACGCCGGGGTTTCCTGCCCCGTCCCCGGGTCCGGCGTCCTAGGACGCGGCGCGGCCAACTCACCATGGTGACTCGCGCCGCGGTCGCGTCTTCGCCGGGTCCCGCTGCCGGGGAACTGGGGCTGGAACGCAGTCTTCTGGGCGAACTTCAAAAGTTGGTTCCCCTCGCCAAAAACAGGCTCCCGACACCCAAGCACTCACAGGAGCCAATGGGAACCCAGAGGGGACTCCATCCAGGCGGGATTGGCGGTGCTAGGTGAGGGCGAGACGGCGGCGACTTAGCAGGCGGGGCGCATGCTGCGGAGGGCAAGAGTCCACTCGTACTCGCCGGTCGCCGCCGGCCCAGGTGAGTCCGATGCGCTCGGAGCGTCCGCCTCGCTCCCCTGCCTCACTCCTCTTTCTTCGGCCACTTAATCCGTACTCCTCTGGCTGAGTCTCGGCTCGGGCCGGGCAATCTGTCCATAAATGGAGAACTCAGCTCAGGCCTGACCAATCAGGGTTTGTTTTCGTAGCGTCACTCCTCAGGGAAACCGTAGTAGCCAACAAGCTTGGAGCTGCTGGAGTTTCCAAAGATCTCTGGATCCTGTAGTCCTCCTCCCGCGCCAGCCACCGAAGAACGCTGCGGACCCAGCTCGCTCCTGGTAGCAAGACCCGAACTGTAAGGAACAAAACCCTCGTGAAAGAGGAGCAAACCTTTCACTTCGCTGCGTTTTAAGACGAAAGTTAGGGTGGGTTTCGCTTCCAAGTTGAAGGGGCATGATTTTCCCAGAACTTTTTTTTAAGAAGGAAATATTTTATCAGCATAAAACATCAGAGTCGTGGCAGCAGCCCAAAGGAAATCCTTTTTCTTTCCTACGTCTGGATTGTGAGCAAAGTCAAAAATATCATTTCCCCACCCCTCCTTTTACCTGAATTTCCTTGGAAAACAAAGGAAGACTTCCGGCTGCTTTTTCTTTTCTTTTTTCTGTTTTTCTTTTCTTTCTCTTTCCTTTCTTTCTTGTTTCTTTTTTGCACGTTTTGATGGCAGAAAAGTTGTTGCACGTGCAGTGGGCAGAGGGAAGGAGAGAGGAGAGATAGGTGGGAAGAAACCCCATCCAACCTCAGCCAACACATCTGCTGAAAACAATCAGAACTGTAAAAATGCATTATTCCAGACTGTCGAATATCCAAGGAGAAGATTGGGGTGGGGCGGGGTGGGGGGAAGCAGAATCTTAAAATCAAGGTAGGGAGTTTGATTTTATTGTTCTGGAGGCTGAGGAAGTAAATTTGGTGAGTCTTAACAGGCTGCCTTCCTGGAATCTGTAGAAGATAAAATTGGTAAACTTCAGGGCATAGAGAAACTATGAAGCATAATGATATTATGATACTTTCTGAAATTTGGTTGAGGCAGGGCGCTGTGGCTCACGCCTACAATCCCAGCACTTTGGGAGGCTGAGGTTGGTGGATCACGTGAGGTCAGGAGTTTGAGACCAGCCTGGCCACCAACACGGTGAAACCCCTTCTCTACTAAAAATACAAAAATTAGCCCGGCATGGTTATACATGCCTGTAATCTCAGCTACTCGGGAGGCTGAGGCACGAGAATCGTTTAAACAGGGGAGGCGGAGGTCGCAGGGAGCCGGGATCGTTCCACTCTACTCCAGCCTGGGCGACAGAGCAAGATTCTGTCAAAAAAAAAAAGAAGGAAAGAAAGAAAGAGAGAGAGAGAGAAGAAAGGAAGAAAGGAAAAAGAAATTTGGTTGTAGCTCTTCACTTGACTATCTGAGCATAGAGTTAGAAAGGGTATTAAACTTTATCTTGTCTAAAAGGGTAAACAAAATGTTACAACATGGATGAATCTCGAAAATATCGTGTTAAGCCAGGAGCAAAAGACCACATATTATATAATTCCATTTAAATGAAAGTTGAGGATAGGGAAATCTATAGAGATAAAAAGTAGGTTAGTGGTTTGCTAGGGGCTGGGGGAGAGGGGAGATGGAAGTAATTGCTAACAGGTATGCATTTTCCTATTGAAGTGATGAAAATATTCTGGAATTAGTGGTGATGATTGTACAAGTTTATGAATATACTAAAAACCACTGTGTTATGCTTTTTAAATGGGTGAGTCTTATGGTACGTTCATTATATCTCACTTTTAAAAGTTGAAAGAAAATCATATTGTCCAAATTCTTGTAGTAATCATTTACATAGTTTGGCAACAATATAATCGAATGTGTGTTATAAGACAGCACAGCTAAACACTGGAGCTACAACTGGTCCCTGCCCTCACTGAGCTTACAATTTTAGGATGGGGAAAACAAACGATAAATTTTTAGAAAGAATAAATACAGGAAAGAAGCAAGCATAATGAAATGCGACAGTAGTTTTGTGCAAGGAACTGCCATATTTGGAGCTATAGTTTAGGGCAGGAAATTCATCTGACATAGTTATGTAGTATGAATTGGAAAGAAAACAGCATGCCATCTGTACTAGGCATTGCCTAGGTACACACAGACATGATAAAGTCTCAGATAAGTCTGACTCCATATCTCATAGGGAAATATCAGCTTCAGAATATTATTAGGTCAGCCAAGCTCAGTGGCTCATGCCTACAGTGCTAGCGCTTTAGGAGGCCAAGATGGTAGGATTGCCTGAAGCCAGGCATTCAAGACCAGCCTGGGCATCATAGCAAGACTCTGTCTCTATCAACAAATTATAATAATAAAAATTAGCTGGGCATTATAGTGCATGCCTGTAGTCCCAGCTACTTGGGAGGCTGAGGCAGGAAGATCATGTGAGGCCGGGAATTCGAGGCTGTAGTGAGCTTTGATCGTGCCACTGCACTCCAGCCTGGGCAACAGAGTGAAGCCCTGTCTCAAAACAACAACAACAACAACAACAACAACAAAACCTATCAGGAATTTTAGGAGTGTATGAACAGAGGTTACCAAGACGGAAGTGTCAGCTTACCAGTAACACAAGAAACACTACCTAAGACACCATCCCATCCATGGTCAACCCTCATTAGTAGTCAGATTGACATGGGCTTTGAGATGTACAGACAAAGGCATAGTTTGTTTCCCAAGATTAGCCCAGGTATACAATGAAACACTGAAAATCTCTTAATAAGCCATTGACAGTCGACTGACAATTGATCAGTCTTGGATTTATCAAAAACTACCTTGAGACTATTAGTCCATTATATCATCATTTCTGATTTTTTAAAAAAATGTTTTAGCGTTTACTTTTATTGCCCTAATAATCTATAATCTCTTCCAAGTTTCAAGAGGTACATCTAACTGTAGTAGGCAGGACTTTGATGAAGATGTATGCTTGTGTTCATTTTTTATAATATATATGAGATTTTATATGTACATATGATTTATATATGATTATATATCATTTTATAATATATATGAGCATGAGATTATTATAAAGTCATATATATATATAAAAGCAGTTTTTGCCGGGCGTGGTGGCTCACGCCTGTAATCCCAGCACTTTGGGAGGCCGAGGCGGGTGCATCACGAGGTCAGGAGATCAAGACCATCCTGGGTAACATGGTGAAACCCCGTCTCTACTAAAAAAAAAAAAAAAATACAAAAAATTAGCCAGGCATGGTGGCTGGTGACTGTAGTCCCAGCTACTCGGGAGGCTGAGGCAGGAGAATGGCGTGAACCCAGGAGGCGGAGCTTGCAATGAGCCAAGATCACACCACTGCACTCCAGCCTAGGAGACAGAGCGAGACTCTGTCTCAAAAAAAAAAAGGAACATTTTCCCAATTCTGATTTCCATCTGTTTTTCAGAGGATTCAGTAATATATTGCCAAATATTTATTCTTTCTTTTTTTTTTTTTTTTGAGACGGAGTCTTGCTCTGTCACCCACGCTGGAGTGCGGTGGCGCAATCTCGGCTCACTGCAACCTCTGCCTTCCGGGTTCAAGCTATTCTCTGCTTCAGCCTCCCAAGTAGCTGGAATGACAGGCACCCGCCACCACACCCAGCTAATTTTTGTATTTTTAGTAGAGATGGGGTTTCACCATCTTGGCCAGGCTTGTCTTGAACTGCTGACCTCGTGATCCACCCACCTCGGCCTCCCAAAGTGCTGGGATTACAGGTGTGAGCCACCGTGCCCGGCCTTCTTTCTTTTTTTGAGATGCTCTGTCACCTACACTGGAGTGCAGTGGCTCTATCTCGGCTCACTGCAACCTCTTGCCTCCTGAGTTCAAGTGATTCTCCTGCCTCAGCCTCCAGAGTAGCTAGGAATACAGGCGCCCACCACCACACCTGGTTAATTTTTGTATTTTTAGTAGAGATGAGTTTTCGCCATGTTGACCAGGCTGGTCTCTCAAAGTCCTGATCTCAAATGATCTGCCTACCTCAGCCCCCTAAAGTGCTGGGATTATAGACTTCAGCCACTGAGCCCAGCCAGATATTTATTCTTATTCAAGACCATAGTAGCAGTGAAGTGGAAGCAACTTTTAAAATTGTAAAACTCATTCTAGACACATGATGGAGCTAGTCAGATAAGGCTTTGTAAATACCTTGGCATGATTAATTGCATTTTTTCTGGGGCTGAATGAAAAGGAACAAATAAAAAAATCAAAATGAATACAAAGTAAAATTTTCTGTATAAATCTATCAGTGAACTAAATCATTGTTTATGCATTTTGGAAAGCAGCAAGAAAATAATATCGAGCAATAAAACTAGTTTCCCTGTCAATACCATAAAAAATCATTCAGAATGCACTCACAACACTAAAGTTAATTAATGTGGGGCTGGTGCGGTGGCTCACGCCTGTAATCCCACCACTTTGGGAGGCTGAGGCAGGTAGATCACCTGAAGTCAGGAGTTGGAGAGCAGCCTGGCCAAACATGGTGAAACCCTGTCTCTACTAAAAATACAAAAAAAAATTAGCTGGCTGTGGTGGCAGGCACCTGTAATCCCAGCTACTCGATAGGCTGAGGCAGGAGAATCTCTTGAACCCCGGAGGCGGAGATTGCAGTGAGCCGAGATCAGGCCAGTGCGGGCCAGCCTGGGCAAAAAGAGTGAGATTCCGTCTCAAAAAAAAAAAAAAAGAAAAGAAAAGAAAATTTGGCTGGGCACAGTGGCTCACACCTGTAATCCCAGGACTTTGGGAGGCCAAGGCAGGTGGATCACCCGAGGTCAGGAGTTTGAGACCAGCCTGACCAATATGGTGAAACCCCGTCTCTACTAAAAATACAAAAGTTAGCCAGGCATGGTGTCCTGCACCTGTAGTCCCAACTGTAGTAGAGGCTGAGACAGGAGAATTGTTTGAACCCGGGAGGCGGAGGTTGCAGTGAGCCAAGATCCTGCCACCGCACTCCAGCCTGGGTGGCAGAGCGAGACTCCATCTCCAAAAAAAAAAGAAAATTTGTCAATGGGAAAATTAGAAACCTTTAACAAGACACTAATGAAAGAGAGACTTGTATCATATCAGTGTGAAATGTCCTCTACAATCACTATTTTTATCATAACATACATCATGTATTAGGTTCACTAGCTATTAGCTACTGAGCTAAGTGCTTAATGTGCAATATCTTATGTAATCTTCCATACGACCCTGTTAGCTCCATTTGCAGTTAAGAAACTAAGTTGAGAAGACTTAAAGTAATTTGACCAAGCTATTACTCAGCTATCCTGCATCAAATACATACATTTGTCTGGCTCTGAAGCCTACACTATTACCCTTTAAGCAGTGATTGCGTAATAGAAATGTCCATCAGAAGAAATTGTCCCTAATGCAGGCCCAAAATGAATAGGAACACACTTATTAAAACCCCGTGAGCCTTTCCAAACCAGAGCTCCCAGAAAAATTGTTGCTTTTTAATGGAATATAAAAATTACATTTACACAGTAAGTTTAACTCTAAACACTTTTTCCCCCAGTATGTTGATATTGGTTTATAAAAAGGATGTTGAAGAGAATTTCACCAGTTGTATAATGTAACATGATGCTACTTCTGATTAAGATAAATTAAGGCCAGGCACGGTGGCTCACACCTGTAATCTCAGCACTTTGGGAGGTCGAGGCAGGTGGATCACCTGAGGTCAGGAATTCGAGACCAGCCTGGCCAGCATGGTGAAACCCCATCTCTACCAAAAATACAAAAAAGTAACCGGGCGTGGTGGCAGGTGCCTGTAATCCCAGCTACTCAGGAGGCTGGGGCAGAAGACTCACTTGAACCCAGGAGGCAGAGGTTGCAGTGAACCGAGACAGTGCCATTGCACTCCAGCCTGGGTGACGGAGGGAGACTCTGTCTCAAAAAAAAATAAAATAAAATAAAATTATTTTGCCTTAAGAATTATTTTACTGAAGTAAAGGAATAGAAATGATTTAAATATATGCTTAAATTAGCAGCTTATTAAAAGCATGTTTGTGTAGATTTATTATTATATTTTCTCTGATTTAAATCAATATTTTCTTTTCTTCCAGTTTCAATTTGATTTTTACATTCAGAAGATAAACCTTGATCTTTCTCCAAATCTAAAAAATTTGGAGTTGAAACAATGATTAATACTAGTTATGGTGGTCCATGATCTAGCAAGGAATGAGGAAGTCCATGGAAATGAGCTTTGCAGATAACTAAATCTCTTGTCCATACCTTGATGTTCTTTATTTTCCCCACTCACTGTCAATGTTTACTTTCCTGTTGGATCCTGTGTATTCTTATAAGTCATCTGAGCTCTTTGCTACAACAAGGCAAGGCATGGATCAATAAATATGTGCATTTCAAAAAGTAAAAAATAACAAATCTCTGCATGAACCTTGCCTTTTTTCCTTTTTTCTTTCTTTTCTTTCTTTTTTTTTTTTTGTTTTTGTTTTTTTGTTTGTTTGTTTGACAGCACCACACTGTGTCTCCCAGGCTGGAGTGCAGAGGCACAAACAGGTATCACTGTGCCAGGCTCAAGGGATCCTCCCGTCTCAGCCTCCCAAGTAGCTGGGACCATAGGTACACACTACCTATAGCTCGGCTAATTTTTTTATTTTTTGTAGAGACAGAGTCTCACCATGTTACCCAGGCTGGTCTCGAACTCCGGGCTAAAGCAGTCCTCCAGCCTCAGCCTCCCAAAGTGCTGGGATTAAAGGCATAAACCACTACACCCAGCCAAATCTTGTCATTTTTAGATACCAAGACTTTTTTTTTTAACTTTAAGAAAAGTTTTTTCTGAATGAAACTACACATTTCATGGACTTCTGAAAATACATTGAATGTCAGGCAGCTTTTGCTTTAAGACTCAAGGTCATTACCATAAATATTGATTATTGCACAGGATTGCACGAACCAAGGTCCTGGGGGACTGTCAGATGAAATGACTGTTTGCCACTATCTTTCATGGTCTTGGACTGCTGTACTTATATGGTTCTCCTGTGTTTTTTTTTTTGGTGTGTGTGTGTTTATATCCTCCACTGGCAGAGACTTATTTATTTATTCATTTATTTATTTATTCATTCATTCATTCATTTATTTTGAGATGACATCTTGCTTTGTTGCCCAGACTGGAGTATGATGGCATGATGACAGCTCACTGCTGCCTTAAACTCCCGGCCTCAAGCTGTCCTCCTGCCTCAGCCTCCCAAATTGCTGGAATTACAGGTGAGTGACCACATCTGGCCAAGAGAGACTTTTTTCTGCCGTTATGTGTTGCTCCAATTTAGTCTCTTTTACTAACAAGGATCAGAAGAGCACATGGGTTACTTTAAAGAAAATAATGTTGTTTTTTTTTTTGAGGCGGAGTCTCACTCGGTTGCCCAAACTGGAGTGCAGTGTTGTGATGTCGGTTCACTACAACCTCCGCCTCCCAGGTTCAAGCGATTCTCCTGCCTCAGCCTCCCAAGTAGCTGGGATTACAGGTGCACGTCACCACACCTGGCTAATTTTTGTATTTTTAGTAGAGACAGGGTTTCATCATGTTGGCCAGGCTGGTCTCTAACTCCTGATCTCCAGTGATCCAGCCGCTGCACCCTCACAAAGTGCTGGGATTATAGGCGTGAGCTACCATGCCTGGCCTTTGCTTTATTTTTTTGCTTTTGTTTTTGTTTTTGTTTGAGATAGAGTCTCACTCTGTCACCCAAGCTGGAGTGCACTGGCACGACCTTGGCTCACTGCAACCTCTGCCTCCCAGGTTCAAACGATTCTCATGCCTCAGCCTCCCGAGTAGCTGGGACCATAGGCACGTGCCACCACACCTATCTAATTTTTGAATTTTTAGTAGAGATGGGGTTTTGCCATGTTGGCCAGGCTGGTCTCGAACTCCTGGCCTCAAGTGATCCAAGTGCCTCAGCCTCCCAAAGTGCTGGGATTATAGGCGTGAGCCACTTCACTAGGCCAGAAAGAAATTTTTTTTTAAAGTATACATGCCCAGGAGCCCAGGAAAAACAAGACAAAAGAAGGCAGGGCTGTGCATCTCTGCGTGGTTGGATGTTCTTTTCTTGTCTGTCTCTTGAAGCTTCTCCCACTTAACTCACAGTTGTTCCTCTTCCCCGATTTCAGCTTGCAAAGTGCCTGTAGCCTGTCACGATCTGACTTGGGCCCTAGAATAACGTTTTTTACAATGTTGCCCACAGCTCACTGGAAACTGCCCTCTAGACTTTTGATTCAAGTTCCATAGGGAGAAAGGGACGGAGAGAAAAAAAGAAAGAATCTGACTCACCCAGCTCAACCTTTTAAATCACGCCACCCAGGTCATAGGTCACTGACAAGGAAGGCTCTGCTGGGACCAGGTGCCTGTCCAGTCACATTCCAAGCAAATGCTGTGAGAGGAGTGATGTCCTAAAGCTTACTGCCCCATTAAAAAGAGATGGCAGATGGGGACAGAGTCTCTGGGGAAGGAAGACAGGGTAGACACTCCAAATTTAGGGCATGCAGCAGTTTGCTGACTTTGCCTGTCTGCTGCCTCGATTTCTACACTTAGTGAGTCCAGGAGGGTAATTCCGTTCACCTCTTCAATAGAAAAAAATGTATGGCCTTTGTAATGATCATCATCATTTCCCCTTTATCATCATTGTGCCTGTAAATGTGTTTACATACTTGAGATGTGACATCATTTTTCCTTTATTATCATGTACTTATAAATGTGTTTTTGATTACATGCCTTTAAATATTTGTGTAAACACATAGATGTGTGTGTTGTGTGTGTGTATTTAAGATGACATTTTTTTCTTTTTTTTTTTTTTTTTTGACACAGGGTCTCACTCTGTCACTCAGGCTGGACTCCAGTGGTGTGAACACATATCTCAAGCAATCCTCCTGCCTCTGCCTCCCAAGTAGCCAGAACTACAGGCGGTGCCAACATGGCTAGCTAATTTTTTTTTCTTTTTTTGTAGGACTGGGTCTTGCTATATTGCCCAGGCTGGTCTCAAGCTCCTGGGCTCAAGCGATCCTCCCTCCTCGGCCTCCCAAAGTGCTGGAATTACAGGTGTGAGCCACCATGCTCAGATAGATGACATGTTTTTCAATATATTGTTACAAACACTTGGGGAGATTGAATAGAGTGTTTCTTGGTGTTCAGCATGATGGCAGCATGGTTTCCAACTGACTACTGTTATCACTCACCACCACAACCAACCTTTACTGAGCACTGTTGTAGGTGCTGGAGAAGTAGAAGACAAGTTCCCAGTCCTCATAGGATTCACATGTTTACATGTACATCCAAAACATACAACAATGCAAGAGAGTTCTACCTTCATATAGAACACGTTCCCAAAACACACACCAATGTCAGATATATAAAGTTCAAAGACAAATCCGTGTGCTTTAAGCACAGGTTTCTATTTTCAGAGATCTAAAATGTAGCATAAAATCCCTGATTGTGTGCTGTCCCCTAGACATAGTCTTAAGCTATAATTCCAGCATGCATAGATGTTTTTAAAATCTGAGCATCTCCATCCTAGCTGAGCAAAGTTGACCACCTGAAGTCCAATAGGCAGCTTTAAGATTTGGGTCAGGCTATTTACCTTTATAAATCATGAATTTTTTTTTATCTGTAAAGACAGAGATAATAATAGTACCTTCATCATTTATTTCTCACATAGTGTTGTAAGAATATGAATTAAATCATATAAAGTAATAGCAATGATGAGTGATGCGTAGCAACGTCTCGGTATGAGTTGTCATTATTGAGGCTAAATATTCACTACCTTCTCCACACCTAATGATTCCCTTCTTTGTCTCAATTGTTTTATGTTTATGAGAACAACACTCCCTTTTACTAGTGTTTGCACTTATATTTTCTCCATATTTCACTAATTTTGAAAAAGCGACAAGGCTAAATGGAACCCAGTATGAATGTAATTGAGTAAATACTGTAGTTTGACAATGCTGGTAGCGCAGGTGGACCTGAGCTATGGACTGGCAGGCAGCACCGCCAAGAGATAGCTCAAAAGGTTCCTTTGTTGCCTGGCCCATTGTCCTGATGCCATGTAGGAAACATGGCTCAGGTGCATTTCTATACAATGTCTGTATCTGTGGAAAGGTGAATGTACAAAGGTCAACGGCACAAGGAGATGGCCCCTCTCTTTTATTATATTGAATTCCTGGAAATCCCGAAATAGAGCCAAACATGATAAAGTTGATGACAGTTTCCCATAGGAGGAATGCTTCAATAAGGACTTGATAACAAATGGATTATAAGTTGGACCAAGAATGTGATTCTAAAAACAGCTATGACAATTATAAGCTTCCATAATTTAAAGTAGTACAGTTTTGCTCCAAATTTTATAAAGTAAATATAAATATGCATTTTTATTATAAAAGAGACCTCAGTGAATTGAAAAGTGCATGACACCACATAACCACATAAAAAAATCACACAACTGTCACAAATCCTAGCTATATAAATTCCCTTTAAAAAGTGTCCCAGCTCCGGCCGGGCACGATGGCTCACACCTGTAATCCCAGCACTTTGGGAGGCCGAGGCGGGCGATCACAAGGTCAGGAGATCGAGACCATCCTGGTCTAACTTGGTGAAACCCTGTCTCTACTAAAAATACAAAAAATTAGCCGGGCGTGGTGGCGGGCGCCTGTAGTCCCAGCTACTCGGGAGGCTGAGGCAGGAGAATGGCATGAACCGGGGAGGCGGAGCTTGCAGTGAGCTGAGATCACGCCACCGCACTCCAGCCTGGGCGACAGAGCGAGACTCCATCTCAAAAAAAAAAAAAAAAAGTGTCCTAGCTCCAATAATGATTATGTAAACATTCCAGTTTCTTTTCAGTTTAAAAACTGCGAGTGGGTGTGAGAGTGGTGGCAGGGGGTGATGCTTAGAAATAATTTATAAAGTAGCGAAATTAGCCTGTAATCTCAGCATTTTGGGAGGCAGAGGTGGGAAAATTTCTTGAAGCAAGGAGTTCAAGACCAGCCTGGAAAGGCCGGGCGCGGTGGCTCACGCCTGTAATCCCAGCACTTTGGGAGGCTGAGGAGGGCAGGTCACGAGATCAGGAGATCGAGACCATCCTGGCTAACACGGTGAAACCCCGTCTCTACTAAAAATAGAAAAAAATTAGCCGGGCCTGGTGGCGGGTGCCTGTAGTCCCAGTTACTTAGGAGGCTGAGGCAGGAGAATGGCATGAACCCGGGGGGCAGAGCTTGCAGCGAGCCGAGATTGCGCCACTGCACTCCAGCCTGGGAGACAGAGTGAGACTCTGTATCCAAAAAAAAAAAAAAAAGACCAGTCTGGAGTTCAAGACCAGCCTGGGCAACATAGTGAGACAGACCCTTGTTTCTACAAAAAAAAATTTTTAATTAGCTGGTTGTGGTGGTGTGCATCTTTAGTCCCAGCCACTCAGGAGGCTGAGGCAGGAGGATCACATGAGCCTAGGAGTTGGAGGCTGCAGTGAGCTATGATCTTACCACTGCACTCCAGCTTGGGTGACTGAGTGAGAACCTATCTCTCTCAAAAAAAAAAAAAAAGTGAAATTAATGTTTTTTAAAATAATTTCCCTATAAAGCTACATTATTTAGAAACTATTCTCCTAGGCACCTGTCAGAAAAAAAAAAAAAAACAGAAATGAAAACAAATAGCTCACACAATAGAAAATGTTTGAATGGATAAATAAAAACTAAAAGAAAAATGACTAGACTTTCAAGTTTTTGCAGTATAGTATTATGGGTTTTCAATTCTAAGAGAAATATATGCTTCCTGTAATAAAATAAAGCATAAATATTTAGAGTTTGTGAAGTAAAAACTGAAAGTCTACCTGCTCCCACCCTCTTCTACAAGGTTTTAAATGTGAGAAAATGGTGGTTCCATTGGCAGGAAATGAAAAACCAAGACCAGGGTCTGGTTTCAGCGAGTTCCGTTAGGCCTGTTCAGTTGGTGCTAACAGAGGTTCTAGACATCTCTTGGAGAGACTGGTTGAACCTCAGGGAAGATGTCAGCTCCAACACTGTATGTGCTATTTCCAGTCTTCATCTAATTTTCCTCTTTTTCTCTTTTTCTTTTTTTGAGACAGGGTCTCGCTTTGCCACCCAAGCTGGAATGCAGTGTTTCAAACATGGCTCACTGCAGCCTTGACCTCCTGGGCTCAAGTGATCCTCCCACCTCGGCCTCCTGCATAGCTGGGACTACAGGTGTGTGCCATCGTGCCCGGCCAATTTTTTTGTATTTTTTTTGTAGAGACGGGGTCTTGCCATGTTGCCCAGGCTGGCCTTGAACTCCTGGGCCCAAGCAGTCCTCCCTCCTCTGCCTCCCACAGTGCTGGGATTAAAGGCGTGAGCCACCGCACCCAGCCTCCTTTTGTTTTTGAGGCTGAGCCACCACTTCTTAAATCTTTGCTCTCTCTTTTCCTCTCTTTTGGCAAGGCTGTGGAGAAACAGGTTTCTTGTGTATTTTTGCTGGGAGTATAAACAGCTAGAACTCCTGTGGAAAACAGTTTGGTTCCCTCTATCAACATTACAGAATTATATAGTCTGACCCAGCCCTCCTGCTTTTGGAAATTTATCCAGATATGTACATGCACAATGCAAATTGACATATGACTACAAGGCATCGTCGATGTAGCAAAAGATTGCAAACAATGCAAACGTCCATCATTAGCAGAACTGGTTAAAAACATTAGGAGACAATTTGTAATATGATTCTTTAAGTTTTAAAACGCTTTAGCCAGGCACAGTGGCTCATGCCTGTAATCCCAGCACTTTGGGAGGCCGAGGCATGTGGGTCACTTGAGGTCAGGAGTTGAAGACCAGCCTGGCCAACACGGTGAAACTGTCTCTACTAAAAATACAAAAATTAGCCAGTCACAGTGGCATGAGCCTGTAGTCCCAGCTACTTGGGAAGCTGAGGTGGGAGAATCCCTTGAACCTGGGAGGTGAGGTTGCAGTGAGCCAAGATCATGCCACTGTGCTCCAGCCTGGGCGACGGAGTGAGACTCCATCTCAAAAAACAAAAACAAGCAAACACAACCCTTTAAAAACAGAATAAGGAATTTGTTTCTAAACCTATATGGAAAGATTCCCAAGATCTATTGATAAGTTAAAATGAAAAGAGCAAGGTGGCTGGGCATGCTGGCTCACGCCTGTAATCCCAGCACTTTGGGAAGCCAAGGTGGGCGGATTACCTGAGGTCAGGAGTTCGAGATCAGCCTGGCCAACATGGTGAAACACCATCTCTACTACAAATACAAAACTTGGCCAGGCGTGGTGGTACATGCCTGTAATCCCAGCTACTGGGGAGGCTGAGGCAGGAGAATCACGTGAACCCAGGAAGCAGAGGTTGCAGTGAGCTGAGATCGTGCCATTGCACTCCAGCCTGGGCAAAAAGAGCAAATTCCATCTCAAAAAAAAAAAAAAAAGAGTAAGGTATAAAATTATATGTATATCAGGCTACCTTCTGTGTAAGAAAATAGAGATGGTGAAATAATAGATTTGTATTTATGCTTGCAAGAAGAAACTTTGGAAAAGACACAAGAAACTGACAGCAGTGTTTGTGGCATGTGGGGGCAAGGGTTGGAACAAGACAGTATACTGGAAATGCTTTATGTTGCTCAATTTTTGAACCATTGTAAATATCTTGCCTATCATTTAAAACATTGTTATCAAGCAGAACACTTTGCTACACATGGCAGAACAATATGAATGCTAAATAAAGATCATGCTGGCAAAGATTTTGGAGGGCTTCTTGGAGTGGTGGCCTGTGGTCTGTCTGGCTGTAAAGATCGATTTAGAAAGATGGAGAAGGCTAGGTGTGTGTCGTGGTGCACACCTATAATCCCAGCGCTTTGGGAGGCCGAAGCAGGCAGATGGCAGAGTGCAGTGGCACGTGCCTGTAGTCCCAGTTACTCGGGAGGCTGAGGTGGGAGGATCACTTAAGCCTAGGAGGTCGAGGCTGCAGTAGCCATGATTGTGCCACTGCGCTCAAGCCTGAGTGACAGAGTGACATCCTGTCTGCAAAAAATTTAAAAAACCAAAAAAATAGAAAGGTGGAGGGTTAGGATTGCTATAGGAAAGGGGTCCCGATCCAGATGCCAAGAGAGGGTTCTTGGATCTCGTGCAAGAAAGAATTCAGGGCGAATCCACAGGGCAAGGCAAAAGCAAGTTTATTAAGACAGTAAGTGGTGAAAGAACAGCTACTCCATAGACAGAGTAGGGCATTCCTGAAAGTAACAGGAGGAACATGTCCACCCTAGGTACAATACTTGTTTATATACAGGATAAAAAAGATCATGGAGAGATGTGCTCTGCTACAAGGGTTTGTAATAAAGGATTAATTTTCTTAATTACTATATTTTGTGAGAATCGGTATTATTATCTTTAAAGCAAAATTAGAAATTCTTTTGTTCTCAAGATACTGGGGTATTAGGACACTCCCAAGTCTGGGTCTGTTTAGTAAACATTTACAACCTGAGCCCTTAACTGTAAACATCTAGAGGCTAGGAATACCTAACTTTATGGGAATGCAACCCACTAAGTCCCGGCCTCATTTTCCTAGCCCGTGAGTAAGTAACTCACGATGGAGTTACTTACTCTGGTGCGAATGCCTCTGGCAGGGTGGGACCTTCTAGGTTTTAGGATTCACATAAGCAGTGGCAGGGCGCAATGGCTCATGCGTATAATCCCAGCACTTTGGGAGGCTGAGGCGGGCGGATCACCTGAGGTCAGGAGTTGGAGACCAGCATGGCCAACATGGCGAAACCCCATCTCTACTAAAAATACAAAAAATTAGCCGGGTGTGGTGGCGCATGCCTGTAATCACTTGAGCCTGGGAGGCGGAGGTTGCAGTGAACCGAGATCACACCACTGCACTCCAGCCTGGGTGACAGAACAAAACAAAACAAAGGATTAGCATAAGCAAAAGCCCAGGGGTATGAAGGCTTATTATTAAATTGACTGAAATGTTCCTTCCTAGGACAGTTTCTCAAACTCACTAAGAAAAAAAGAGCTGAGATTTCACTTTTGTCTCTTTGGGACTGTGACAAAATGAGTCTGGTTTCCCAGTCTCTGCTCAATTATAAAAGGTAATTTATGTTGCTCCTTATATACTGCTGATATGCCCTCCTCAAATATGGGAGAGCTGTCTCATCTCTGATTTACCTTTGAGAAAAATCCCCAAGTAAATGCAAAGTTACTTATACCACAAAAATCAAGTCCTAATATAGTTTAGAACAGGATTTACCAGAAGATTCAAATGATTCAACTTGATTTTTTTTTAATTAGAGACTGAGTCTTGCTATGTTTCCTAGGCTGGCCTTGAACCCTGGGCTCAGGTGATCCTCCCACCTCAGCCTCTTGAGTAGCTGGGGCCACAGCCATGTGCCACTGCACCTGGCCTCAAGTTGATTCTTTTCTTTTTTTTGAGACAGGGTCTCACTTTGTCACCCAGGCTGGAATGCAGTGGCACGAACACAGCTCACTGCAGCCTGGAATGCCCAGGCTCAAGTGATCCTCCTGCCCCAGCCCCACAAGTAGCTGGGACTGCAGGTGTGTGCCACCATGTCCTGCTAATTTTTTTTTTTTTTTGTAGAGACAGGGTCTCACTATGTTGCCCAGGCTGGTCTTGAACTCCTGGACTCAAGCGATCTGCCCACTTTGGCCTCCCAAAGTGCTGGGATTGCAGGCGTGAGCCACCATGCCCAGCCTTTCAACTTGATTCTTGAATTCTTTGACTTCAACTTGATTTTTTACCTCTTTAACCTTAGTGCAAAGTGGGACTATTCTGACTAAAAGACTCAGGTGTAAAAATCTGTTTAAGTCTTCAAGTCAATAGCAAGTGCCTTAGTTATATTCCTTACTTTTACATCTCTGATTTGAATCTTGCTATCCTTCTTGCTGAGCATGGACCATGAGAAAAGCAGCTGGATATTAGAGTAGGTAATTCCTAATGACAAAATGAAGGAAAGTCAACCTTGTTTTTACCAAATCTCATGAAGTTGCTCAATAATTCTAAGATGACTCATCTTAGTACTTTAAGATCACATTAACCCTGCTGCCTTGAAAACAGTGCTTAAAGGAAGAGGATCCAATTATGTTAAAATATCTATCTTTTACTCTCCCTGACACACACACACACACACGCATGCACACGCACACACACACACACACCCTATCTATGTAGAGAGGAAGATAAGCCTTGAGGGAAATATGACGAATGTTTACTTGGTTATACTGGATGGTAACACTATAGAGATTTTTATTTTTGCTTTTAACTTTTTCTACATTTCTCATTTTTAAAAAAATAATGAGCCTGGGCACGTTGGCTCGCCTATGTAATCCCAGCACTTGGAAGGCCAAGACGAGCAGGTCACCTGAGGTCAGGAGTTCGAGACCAGCCTGGCCAACATGGTGAAAGCTCATCTCTACTAAAAATACAAAAAAAAATTAGCCGGGCTTGGTAGCAGGTGCCTGTAATCCCAGCCAGTCAGGAGGCTGAGGCAGAAGAATCGCTTGAACCCAGGAGGTGGAGGTTGCAGTGAGCCCAGATCACGCCACTGCACTCCAGCCTGGGTGACAGAGCAAGACTCTGTATCAAAAAAAA
Organism: Homo sapiens; assembly: GCF_000001405.40. NCBI lineage: Eukaryota > Metazoa > Chordata > Mammalia > Primates > Hominidae > Homo > Homo sapiens. The sequence goes on from NC_000015.10 coordinate 59,389,403, forward strand.
AAAAAAAAAAAAAAAAAAAAAAGAAGCAGAGTCTTGAAGCAGTGTCTTGCTATATTGCCCAGGCTGGTCCCGAGCTCCTGGGCTCAAGTTATCCTCCCACCTCGGCCTCCCAAAGTGCTGGGATTACAGGCATAAGCCACCTTGCCTGGCCTACTTCAAATTTTGTTGAATAAACACAAACTCCTTTTTTTGTAAAAACAGAGAACAAAAACAACCAAAGCAGATATCTAAAAACAGGCTTTCGTAGAGCAAGGCCAGGCATGCAGCTCACCTGTCTCTTAGTTCATCTTCCAGGAAGGCCTGAATGAGCCTGCTGCTGCTGCTGCTGTCCCTGTTTCATTTTCAGATGCTTGGGCATCTACTTTGAAGCCTTTACACGGTCAGCTCTGGAGAAAGAGAAATGGGTGCCCAACATTCCATTTAATTAGTTAGCCTGGATGCACGTGGGCCCTTCTGCAGCTCCTGTTGTTACCCGAAGATCAGCTTTGGGCCAGACTAGGCACTTGCTTCCATCCCCTGGTCACCCTCTTCCAGAACAAATGAACAAATCCAACTCTATCAGCCATCTTGAGTAAGATAGCATTTACTGATTTTCTTTGGGAAAGTGAGGCAAGCTCCTCATAACATATGGTAAAATTTCCCTGAGGATACCTGCAAACACTTCTGTTCATCCCTCCAAGTCCCTCTCAGCAGCTGCTGCCTGCCCTTCTTCTTCCCCAAACTGCCTTAAGTGGCTCCTTGAGCCTGACATTGCTCCCTTCTTCCCTTCACTGGCTCGTGCCCCTCCTTAAAAAGAGAGTCAGTGATCCTTTTGTAGTTCATAAGCGTGATGACTGTGGTTTCATGCTTGTGTGTGAGAGATGGGTGGGCCTCCCTCAAACCTTGTTACGACGTAGGCCCATTACCCATCTGACATGGAAAAAATAAAAGAAAGTTGGATTGTCAGCCAAATTTCAACAACCTCTTCTTTTTTTTTTTTTTTTTCTTGAGATGGAGTCTCACTCTGTTGCCCAGGCTGGAGTGCAGTGGCGCCATCTCGGCTCACTGCAACCTTTGCCTCTTGGGTTCAAGCGATTGTCCCACCTCAGCCTCCCGAGCGGCTGGGACTACAGGCATGTGCTATAATGCCTGACTAATTTTTTTGTACCTTTAGTAGAGACAGGGTTTTGCCATGTTGGCCAGGCTGGTCTCAAACTCCTGACCTCAGGTGATCCACCCACCTCGGCTTCCCAAAGTGCTGGGATTGCAGGTGTGAAACACCGCGCCCGGCCCAACCACCTCATCTTTTTCAGGCAAGGCTTCAAGGCCCATAATTCAATTGCATTAAGTTTACTGGTCCCTGAAAGTTGGGCAAAACTCTTATATTTGATTTAATGCCCTCAGCACAGACCAGAAAACTAGTATAGGGCTATTGCAAAACACGTGGCCATAGGATGTGCCCTGTAAGATCTAACCATTCTTAGGGGCCAAAATAGGGCAGAGTGGGACAGATGTGAGGCGGTACAGCATGTGGTTGCAGCTGGACCATGCTCTGAGCCATTTGGACTGTGAAGGTTTCTCTCCCAGAAGGTAGCAGGGTAGGTCATGGGGTATTGTAGGCCTTGACAAGAGTGCAAATGGAGGCCTAAAAACCAGATGTCTAAATGTTTTAAGTTATAAGTAAAGCTCACAAATCATTCAATACAATATGTTCTGTCCTCCTACCTTGACAAAAATACCTTCAGAACAACCTGGAAGTCCAGGTTGGAATTTTAAATTCTTGGATGTCAGAATCTCTTGCTGGAACATGGTGGCATGGGAAGAGCCAGCCCCCAGCTTTGGTCCTCATCCTCCATCCTTTTTTCTTCCCACTCCTGTCTCCAGCCCTTCTTGCATCAGCATAGATCTCTTGCATTCCCATATGGACTTCTCAGCCCATATATCCAACTTCCTCATAATACTCACTCTTTGTTGATCCCTTAAGGTTGGGTTGTACACACCAGCATCTGGGTCACCCTTAGAAGAACTAACCTTGAAAAGGTCAGCACTAGGTCTGGAGACAAACTTGGGGATATTTGGGCAGAGAATTCTGGAGTCCCATGCATTATCCAAAAAAAGTGAGGAGAATGTCAAACAGTTGATTTCTAATTTGTAATCTTTAAAGGCCCTCTCCAAGATGATTTGAGGAAATTCCAGGTTCAGGAATTCAACTTGTCTACTACAATTTGAGGAAATTCCAGGTTCTAATTCCAACGAAAATCATCTCGGAGAGGGAACTGTTTATTAATTGTCAGGGCAGCCAGAAGGTAGGGGGATGGATTTCATAACTTCTAGAGGTCACTTGTCCCACTTCCTCCTCTGCTAAACAGGGTTTTTGGGAGAAGCTCAGTAGACCATGGTCCCTTCACTCTTAGTGCCCTTCGGCCAGCTCCTGACATGAAGCAAAGGCCCTTGTGTTTCTCGAAGCTTTCTGCCTTGTCAGGGATGAGGACTAAGCGGGAGGATCTTTAAAGGCAGAGCATATGCGCAGAAATCTTTGGTTTCTCTCATTAGGTCAAAAATACCCTTTCGGCTGGGCACCGTGGCTCACGCCTGCAATCCCAGCACTTTGGGAGGCTGAGGTGGGCAGATCACCTGAGGTCAGGAGTTCGAGACCAGCCTAACAAACATGGCGAAACCCCGTCTCTACTAAAAAATACAAAAATTAGCTGGGCGTGGTGGCAGTTGCCTATAATCCCAGCTACTCATGAGGCTGAGGCAGGGAGAATTGCTTGAACCTGGGAGGTGGAAGTTGCAGTGAGCCGAGATCACGCTACCGCACTCCAGCCTGGGAGACTCTGTCTTGGAAAAAATATATAAATAAATGAATAAATAAAAAATCTTTCCTGATCCCCAGGCTGGAAGGCAAAGAGTATGAGTAAAAGGAGGACCAAGGGCTTGGAGAAGGGCCACCGTTCATTCTGTCTCTGCATTCATGGTTCAGGTGCTGTCAGTCATGCTGAGAGGAAGGCAGACAAACTGTGTCACCCCAAAGCCTTCTGGCCCCTCTCAGATAGTGTGGTCCCATCCAGGAGCTCTGCAGGCCACGAGTTCAGAGTGGGAAGGGATGTGGGAGGGGCTTAGGAGCTGGGCATGATATCTTGGGGTGAGATGTGCTGCCGCAGTCTCTTCTGTCCCCTGACTCAGGCTGGGAGGGAGACAGGTATGCTCTGAAACCAGGGAAGATAGAAAGCCTCAACTACCCGACCTTAGCGACCAGGATCTAAAACTCTGCAATGAGGGCTGACTCCATATGATCTCAGCTAGTAATGGCATAAAGATTGTACATGAAAATTCCAGACAGGGGCGCGTGTGCACACACACACACACACACACACACACATACACACAGCACCTTACCTTAAGACCTACTCTGCAGGAAAAAAAAAAGGTTTCAGGGTAGGACAGTAAGTGAGATGTCACAGAGAGTTCATAACCTGATCTCTCTCTGAAGTCTGCTCTTCTTGTTACCGAAAAACACAGGTTTTGAGATAAAGGTCATTAATTTGATACTTTGCTCTGCTACTACCTGCATTTTCATTTCAAAAGCAAAGTCACTAGGAAATGCCATTGGAGTTTGGAAAGAGAAACGAAATAACATCTGAATATTATGATTTGAACAAAATGGAGCCCAGGAGGCCTGGTTTGTGTTGTGTTCTCATAATATCATCCTTAGGAAGCCGTAGCTGCCCCATCCCTTAGGCTGTGGAGACTGTGCAGTGTTTCAGTAGTGAGAGAAGGGGCATTGTAGGGCCAAGGAAGGTGTAAGGGGACGGCAGGGAGTGAGGGACAATGAGCAGTGCTCTATTGATAGTAACAGGAAATAATAATGACGAGAAGCCTTGAGGAAGTTAATCCAGGGCCTCCTTACTAAAACCTAACCTCCAGGATCCATTTTGCTTCTATAATACTTAAACCCAACATGACTCATGGGAGAAGATGCCCTTGATAACTGTCTTCCTGAGAAGTTGAGCCTACGTTCTTTTTTTTTTTTTTTTTTTTTTTTGAGATGGAGTTTCGCTCTGTTGCCCAGGCTAGAGTGCAGTAGCACGATCTCAGCTCACTGCAACCTCTGCCTCCTGGGTTCAAGCGATTCTCCTGCCTCAGCCTCCTGAGTAGCTGGAATTACGGGCGCCTGCCACTATGCCCAGCTAATTTTTGTATTTTAGTAGAGATGGGGTTTCACCATCTTTGCCAGGCTGGTCTCGAACTCCTGACCTCGTGATCCACCCACCTCGGCCTCCCAAAGTGTGGGATTAGGGCATGAGCCACTGCGCCCAGCCGAGCCTACATTCTGCAGCATCTCTCTCTCTCGCCGAGAAGCCCTTGAATGTGGATATCGTAAATCACACAAGTTCACAAAACAAGAGTCAATCCTAGCTTGAGTTTACAAGAAGATAAATTGGCATCCATGTATGATAGCCAGATAAAATATTGCGCACCTGTATTTTTATTGCAAAATTTGGCAACCTCACATCCATGTCCCCAAATCTTCAATCCTCTCTGATTTCTTCAGTAATGAAAACTACTTAATGTGTGGGACTGTAAACTCAAGGACATCTGAGGTCTTAGGGAGATGTCCGATGGGACCACACAAAAAAATGAAAATAAGAACTCTCATCAAAAACATGAGAGTCTCTTCCACTGAGTAAACTTTTCCCATCACAGGGACTTTGTTGTCTTCCTTCCTCTGGTATTCGTTCTTCCAAAATACCTGTTTTGACTATCAATCAATAAAGGAAAGCCGTGGAAACCAACAGGAAATAACGCCCACTCAATGAGCGCCTACTATTTGCCAAGCATCATGTTAGATGCTTTATGTGCCTCATTTCATTTCATCCTCGCTATATTCTTGAAGATAATTACGTTTTTTCTTTAATGTAAAGATGAGGAATCCAAGGTTTAGAAATGTTACACAACTTGCCCCAGGTCACAACCCGCATCAGTGGAAGAGCCAGGATGATGGTGATGAAGATGGTGATAATAATGGTGGTGACGATGAACACAGCTCACATTGCTTGAGAATACATTATGAGTCAACCAGTGTGCTGAGCGTGCTACATGCTTTAACTCATTCAATTACCACAACTGCCTTTTGGGGCTGGTACTCTCATTAACTCCATTTTAAAGATGAGAAAACACATTCACTCTTGGTCTGCTCACTCCAAACCGCTGACTCTACTATTAGCCATACTCCTTGGATTGTACCTCTCCACCCACTGGGTCTTGACATCCCACTACCACCCCTCTTATTGCAGGTTGCTGAAGCTGTCTGTAGACTCAGCTTCTTCCTAAAACCTTAACCTCGCGACTGGCTGATTGCTCTTGGGAAGCAGTGCATGGTAAAGCTTGGCAGGCAGATGTCAGGTTGACCAAGGTTCCTATCTTAAATGTTGAAAATTTAGTGTTTCCCACCTTGAAAATACACTCTGACAAGTTTTATGCAAATTACTCCCAAGAGCTGACACATAGCCAACCAATAAAACAGCCTCAGCAAAAACCTTCTCAATCTTACCTCTAGGAAGCTCTTGGCTTTCGCTAACCACAATCTTAGAGAAGCTTCCAACTAGTCAAAGGTGAGTGTAGCTTCGTACTAATATAGCAAATCTGGTTTCTTTCTTTCTTTTTTTTTTGTGGACTCACCCAAAAATGCAGAAATGGCTGGATGGTTGATGACTTATTTATCTTATTTTTTATTTTTATTTTTAGAAATGAGGTCTTGCTTTGTCACCCAGACTGGAGCACACTGGTGCGATCTTGGCTCACTGCAGCCTCCACCTCCTGGTTTCAAGCAATTCTCGTGCCTCAGCCTCCAGAGTAGCTGGGGTTACAGGCGTGCACCACCATGCCCAGATAATTTTTGTATTTTTAGTAGAGATGGGGTTTTGCCTTGTTGGCCAGGCTGGTCTCGGACTCCTGACCTCAGGTGATCTACTTTTCTCGGCCTCCCAAAGTGCTGGGATTACAGGTGTGAGCCACTGCACCTGGCCTATTTATCTTATTTTTTATTTTTATTTTTAGAGATGAGGTCTCGCTCTGTTGCCCAGGCAGTAGCACAACAGTAGTTCACAGCAGCCTCCTGGCTCAAGCTATCCTCTCACCTCAGCCTTCCAAGTAGCTGGCACTACAGTCGTGTATCATCATGACTAGCTAATTTTTAATATTTTTTTAGAGATAGGGTCTTCCTATGTTACCCAGGCTACTCGAACTCCTGGGCTCAAGTGATCCATCGGCCTTCAGCCTCCCAAAGTTCTAGGATTACAGGTGTGAGCTGCTGTGCCTGGCCTGGTTTCTTACTAATGGTGCTGATGGCACAGATCCTTTTTGGTTGACACCCTTGTCACCTGCCCCTGCATAGCTCCCATGCAAGTTCAAGGTTGGAGAGACAAATGGGGGGATGAAGACAAAACTTCCACCCTCCCCCTTTCTCCTAGTCAGCCTGTGCGATATAATTTCCCCCAAATCCAAAGAAAGGGAATAAAACTCTCTCCAAACATCTCAAAAGCCTATCATGTCCTTTTGACTTTTCCTGGCTACATTTCTTCCACTCATTCTTGTCTCTGTCTTCAAGAGGTGATTCTGCTGGCCTGAGAGTGTCTGGTGGACTCACTACCCAGGGTCTCTCTCCTTCCATTTCTGGAGTGAGCACATCAGAGGGCAGTAGGGAGGAGGCCGAGCAATCTGTCCACCTCAGGCTTCCAAAGTGCGGGGGTTATAGACATGAGCCACTGCGCCCAGCCTGGACTTTCACTGCCTTAAGCCAGCAGAGGCTGTAATAATAACTCTTCTTGAAAGAAAAATGTTCAACAATCGAAATGACCAGCAAATTTGCCATGTAATATTCCATCTTATTCTCCTTTTCCAGCTCCAAAACCACAACCATATGCCACAGCTTAGAACAAGAAAGAATCCCTTGCTTAGGGATACTGGCAAGGAACTCCACAAAGTAGCCTCACTCCCCAGAGTACGTCTACAAGGGATTATGCAAGTTTACCCTGTAATGCAGGGATCAGATCATTCAATTTGTCAATATTTATTCATGTACAGTCATCACAGAAGTGATGTAAAATAAATGAGAGTCTAAATAATAATACTGCAGGAGCCCAAATAAAATGACTTCTCTCCTTTAAGCTGTATAAAACCTTCTTTCTCCCCTGCCACTGATCGTGCATAAATTACTCTGGTTAACAACCTTCTACCTAGCAGGCTCCAGGAATCACAGGACCAATGTGTCAGGGATCTCCTTTTTCACATAAACTCTGGGCTGGGATTTTTTCCAGTGTAGCCTTCTTCTTCTTCTTTCTTCTCCTCCTCCTCCTTCTCCTCCTTCTCCTCCTTCTTCCTCTTCTTCCTATTCCTCCTCTTCTTCTTCTTCTTCTTTAAATTTTCCTTTTTCTTTTTGAGACAGGGCTCCCTCTGTTGCCCATGCTGGAGTGCAATAGTGCAATCACAGCTTATTGCAGCCTCAACCTCCCCGGGCTTAGGCAACCCTCCCACCTCAGCCTCTCGAGTAGCTGACCATGCCCAGCCCCGTGTAGCCTTCTAAGGGAAGGGTTATGTTTATAGGAGAGAAGCATTGTACTTAAAGGAGGATCCCAGCAAGAACTCTTTGCATTCAAGGTCCTTCTCATACTCTCAGTTAACATTGATCAGACATTTTAGCGGTGCTTATTACATGTCAGGCACTATGGTAGATACTAGGAATACAATGTGATTTAAAAAAAATGGAGTCCCTCTTTAGGGAGGGAAAGCCCACTGTATAATAGGTAAAATCTATTGATAGCAGCTGTGTGCTTTATATACGCTACCTCATTTAATCTTCAGCCCTGGCAGGGTCCAGTGGCTTACACCTGTAATCCCAGCACTTTGGGAGGCTAAGGCGGGCGGATCACTTGAGGTCAGGAGTTTGAAACCAGCCAGGCCAACAGGCTGTGAAACTTCAAAAATCCAGCATAATTGGAACCTCAAACCTATGAGATTATCAGATTTGTCCAGATATTTGGACAGTATTATATTGATAATGTTTGAATTTTTTAAAATTTCTGACTTTTAAGATATTGTCCAGGTTATGTGCTTCTATCTCTTGGCCATTATTATTTTGGCTCATACTTGAAGACTATCAATTACAGATGAGTCAATTAAGGCAGAAACGCTTGGTATAAAAATATAAAACACCATCATAAACAATATTTGACCTTGGAAAGGTTCTGGGGAAAAAAGTGAATTAATCAGCACAGATTCATTGGCAGAGTCTGTTCAAGGGTGTATCACCAACCTCAATAATGGTGCTAGGTGTGAGCCAATCCACCGGATACACTCACTCCTCTGATCCTACTGAAATTCATCTTGACCATTTGCTTCTTCAGCTAATGATAGAGACACAAATGGACTATTGGGATTTTCCAGATTGCTTTCAACATTCCAAATGCCAAACCATCCGAGTTTTTAAAATTACTTATGGTTTTCCAAATCCTACAACACAGGATGTGTTGACTAGGAGATACAATTTTTAAGATGTTTGTTGTACGTGCTTTTTTTTTGTCTTCCTGTTTTCTGCGGGTTTATTGGTGGTATCAACTGACTATTCCATCCAAGAGACAGAACTTGCACTGGAGGAGAAATGGGCACAATCCTAACCATAGCATCACCTAGCGACTATCAAGCCCGAGACCAGAAAGCAACATTTGAAGTGGTTTGACAGCATTGCCTTTGGATAACTGGCTTTCTGGTTCCTTACTGAACACTTGCAGATATGAGTTATGTTAGGTGAGGACATCTTTGGAGCCATCTGCATAAGAAGAAGAGTGTCAACTCTGGCAGGACAGACTTTTTTTCACTCAGGTAAGTAATTGGTAATGTAGGGTCTAAGTGTTTTCATAGGAATAAACACATGGGAGGAACACTGTGTAAATTTGGATTAGGTTTTTCTGCATGTAACCAAAATAACAGTGCCTTCCACAGGATGGGAGTTGACTTCCCTTTTACACAAATGAAAGCAAGAGGTAGACAGTGCAAAATACCTAATAGCTCCATAAAGTCATTAGAACATGAATCCAGGCCAGGTGTGGCAGCTCATGCCTGTAATCTCAGCACTTTGGGAGGCCAAGGCAGGTGGATCACTTGAGGCTACAAGTTCGAGACTAGCCTGACCAACATGGTGAAACCCAGTCTCTATCAAAAAAAGAAAATTATTGGGGATTGGTGGCACATGCCTGTAGTCCCAGCTATTCAGGAGGCTGAGGCAAGAGAATTGCTTGAACCTGGGAGGTGGAGGTTGCAGTGAGCCAGGATCACGTCACTGCACTCCAGCCTGGGCAACAGAGTGAGACTCTGTCTCAGAAAAAAAAAAAAAAAAAAAAAAAAAAAAAGGAAATGAATCCAGTCTCTTTCTAGTGCAAAACTTCACCATCCCTAGGGTGTGGTCTATGTCTTCCTAGTCCAAGCTAGTGACTAAAAAATCAGCTATCGGCCAGGTATGATGGCTCACGCCTGTAATCCCAGCACTTTGGGAGGCCAAGACAGGTGGATCACGAGGTCAGGAGATCGAGACCATCCTGGCTAACATGGTGAAACCCCGTCTCTACTAAAAATACAAAAAGTTATCCAGATGTGGTGGCGTGTGCCTGTAATCCCAGCTACTCGGTAGGCTGAGGCAGAAGAATCACTTGAACCTGGGAGGCGGAGGTTATGGTAAGACGAGATCACACCACTGCACTCCAGCTTGGGTGACAGAGTGAGACTCCATCTCAAAACAAAAACAAAAACAAAAAAGAAGAACAAAAAGAATCAGCCATCATATTCATATAGAGGAAGGGGAAGAAAGGCATGTCTTCTCCCTATAAAATCATATCCCAGAAGCTGGAAACATTTCCACTTTCACATTACTAGCCAGAGCTTAGCCAAATGGTCTCATCCAGCTGCAAAAGATATTGGACAATGTAGACTTTATACCAAGCACTTTATGCTCAGCCCAATATTAGGGGTTCTTGTACCAAGAAAAAAAGACAAGAGAATGGATGTGTAGACGATTAGCAGTCTCTGCCACAAACATTGAACCCAGCTGTAAGACATCAAAAAAGGCCTCCAGAAAGATATGGTATCTGAGCACTGAATAAAATACGCTGAAGAACCCATGCAGATGAAAGGGATGTACGAGAGGAGGAAGGGCAGGGTGTTTCTGGTGAGGGGGCAGCACATGTGAGGCCACAAGAATGAAGAAGTGTGCTGTGATGGGGGAACTGAAAGTTGCTCCTCTGGCTGATTGAAGATAGGAGGCAGGAGAATTCTCTCCCTATGCGAGGCGCTGGCCAGTCCTCATTCTCAGGTAATGTTCCCAGAGTTCTGGCTCTCCTCCTTTCCTCCTGCTGCAGCTGATTCTCTAAGTTTAGTGTGAGTGGCCAGCCACTCCCTCCAGGGCAGGAGGGGAAAGAGTGGATAGTATGCCATAGCCTTGTTAAGAAAGCCCCATACTTATTTTTCAGAACACATTTGAGTTTCTCCTTCTTCAACTAGACCAAAAAACAAAGTATCTTCAGTGAGTAACTTTCAGAGAGGCTCCAGGGAGGGTGGTGGGGTAAATGGAGAGTCCCCGTCCGAGTCTCTCTTCTGCTCCTCCACACCTAGGAGCTAACTTCCTGCCATTTTTATCGTAACTGTTACAGGTGAGGGATTTGTGAACTGGGAAACAGGCCAGAGGTTCACTCAGAGATTGCAAAGGCACCTCCAAGTCAGGTTGTCCAAGACTGACTCATGCTCTTGCCCCCCAATTCATTCCTCTTCAGTGTTCCTGTCTGGGGGAATGCGTCTGCACACGTCCCAATACCAGAGCGAGAAAGTCAGGAGTCAGCCCAAGCATGGACTCTCCCTCCCCGCCCACATCCAGCCACTCACGGGTCTGATAAATTTACCTCCTCAATAGCTTGCACTTCTGCTTACTCCTCTCCACGTCCACTGCACCCCGCACACTAGCCCAAGCTACTATCATCCTCTCCCGATCATAGCAGTGGTTGCAAGTCTGGTTGCCCCGCACCGGCTCAGACCCCCCTACCCCATGAATCACACTACAGCCAGTGTCATTATCTTCAGCATAAGGCTGATGATGATCCTCCTTCTCCACCTCTTGAAACCCTAGGGTGGCTAACTGCAGTCTACACAGCTCTAATCACTCAGGTTCACACCCCTCCTGCTTCATCAGGCGTCATTCCTTCCCCTGCTCCCTTCACTCCAGCCTCCTTGGCTGACTTTTGCCAATGCTCTGCCCTCCTTTCGGCCTTAGGTCTGTTCCAAGCTGCAATGCTCTTTTCTTCTCCCAGTGAATCCCAGTCTCTTTCTGTTGTCAGTGCCGGTTGCTTTCATGGGGGAAGTCTAAACTCCCAGTCTACTAAAAATCCTTGCACATTCCCTACTTTTCTTTCTCTTAATACACATGTTGGTTTATAATTTTACATTCACTGGTTGATTAGTGTTTCTATTGATGCATTTTTAGTAGGGTGATTCTTCCAGCTAAAGGGCTACAAAGGTTTCAAATTAATTCTGGAAACATTTTCTCTTTGCATATTTAAAGGGAAAGTGATCTTTTCTAACCTTTGCAGATAAGAGGAATGTTTGAAGTTAGAGTCCTAAAGCATTATTATTTTTATAATGATTTTGTATTTTTTTTCCATTTTAATGTTTGCAATTTAATAAATCTCTTGATGATTGCAGACATGTATGGCTGTTTGGTAGTATTCAGAAACATCACAGTAATGGCAGTTTTTTCAATTGGTGCGTAGTCCTCAATAATTATATATGAAATTGCTGTCGAACCAGTAAGACTGCATTTATGCATCCATCATTTTCAGGATTGTTGGTAACCTGGGCATATTTTCCCCAAATAACTGCCGCCTTGCATCACAAGGCCCAATTTGCTCACATTTACCTCCATGGCAGTACCTTTGGTAATAACACCCAAAGTTGTATACAGTGGGGACGACGGGTTCTTCTTTACACCAAATATTGGTAGGCAAAAGGTGACTTTCAGTTCAGGATATGTTACATGGGCTTTCTTGAAACGCAAGCCCATTGGCCTGATGAATCTTTCATACTTAGGTGGTATTCTTGTAAAGCCATCTTGAACAAAGCAGACATTAGTAACCACCCTCTTCCATGCCTTCTTCTTTCTCTTCCTTGTTCGAATAACTTTTAATACTTCTGTTTCTCCCTGGGCACATACTTTAGGCAGAGGGACTTCCCATTTTCCCGCCTTCTCTTTTCGTTTCTGTTTGATCATACTGGAAAGTACTTTAGCTCGAGATTGTCCCTCTCTGTCCAGCAGATAGGCAGGTACTGCTCCCTGTGGAGTCTTTTCAGCATTTTTTTTTTTTTTTGGTGTTTCTCTTTTCATGCATCTTGATAGTCTTTTTTATTTGTATTTTCTCAGCATGGCCCTGTTTATGGTAAGGCTTAGCCTTGAGACCAATCATTTTCTTTGCCTTCTTTGAACATTCATGAGCCTCTCGACTTTCTTTCTTTCTCTTTTTCTCATGGTAATCCAAACAGTATCCATGGTGTTTACAGTGTAATTCAATATATTTGTTCTGTGGCATGTTGACGCCGCAGAGCTGCCAGGAGCAGCCCCTGGGGTGCGAAAAACGCTCTCAATTTTCGGGTCTTAGAGACCCATGAGCTGACGCCGTGCAGGCCTGACAGGAGAGTGATTTTATATTAACTTTGCTATTGCTTTATACTGCTATAAAGTAATAAACTCAAATTTCTATCCCACGTGTTACTGATCAGCCGTGGATAATGTTAGGAGGATGCCCTAGTTTTGGGGGTGGCTATCTTAATATTCCTTAATATCCCTTAACTGTTTTGCAGATCCAGAACATTTCTGCCTTCAACTCCAGCAAGGATCTGAAGGTCCAGGACCTTAGGAAAGCTGCCTGCAGAGAGGTGGAGAGGTAACAGCATGTGGGACGGGGAGAGTCTGCTTGTATTCTTCTGCCTCCCACACCCCAACGTTTAGGAACAAGCCTCATGCCCATTATACTCACAACGAGTTACAGACTAGTGGCTCACAGGCCAACTTAGTCCCTTACATGTGTTTGGCTTGGCTAGAAGGATATTTTAAATTATTATTATTTAATTTTATTTTTATTTCGAGACAGCGTCTCACTCTGTCTTCCAGGTTGGAGGGCAGTGGCTTGATTTTGGCTCACTGCAACCTCTGCTTCCCGGGTTCAAGCGTTTCTCCTGCCTCAGCCTCCCAAGTAGCTGGGATTACAAGCATGTCCCAACAAGCCTGGATATTTTTTTGGGGGGTGGGGGGGATATTTAGTAGAGATGGGGTTTCACCATGTTAGCCAGGCTGGTCTCGAACTCCTGGCCTCAAGTGATCCACCTGCCTTGGCCTCCCAAAGTGCTGGGATTACAGCTGTGAGCCACCACGCCCGGCCTCTATTCCTTTTACAATATGCTTTAATAGCATTTCTAAATCATCTTCATAGGGGTCTTATATATATATTCTTTGTTAGGTAAAATTTGAGATATTATGATTGTTGTTACTACAGTGAACTGAGTCCTACCTGTTATTGCATTTTCTAGTGGGTTATTGCCGATGTAGAGGAACGCTACTGATTTATATAGGTTCTAGTTCATTTAGTTCATGGGTCTATAATTTCTCTGCCTGAGCCACTGTCTTTACCTCATGCTCCATCAGAGGTCTCTGATAGTTTCAGGGTGTCCAGAGAAATCCATTCATTTACCCATATCTTTACTGAATATTTATTGAGAACTTCGGTTATGAAGTGGGCTACCCCCCCATCCCACACCCCCACATTCATATGTTGAAGCCCTAACCCCCAATATGACTGTATTTGGAGATCCGGCATTTAAAGAGGAAATTAAGGTTAAATGAGACCATAAGATTGGAGTCCTAATTAGATAGAACTTGTGTTCTTAAAAGAAGAGAGAGACATCCGAGCTCCCCCAACTCCTAAGCATAGACAGAGAAAAGGCCACACAAGGACACAGTGAGAAGGTGGCTGTCTGCAAGCAGGGGAGAGGGGTCTCGTCAGAACCCAATCCCACTGGCACCTTGGTCTTGGACTTCCAGCCTCGAACTGGGAGAATATACATTTATGTTGCTTAAGACACCCTGACACTGTTATGGCAGCCGAAGCAGATGAGTACAGCCTCTCTATGCCCTAGTTCCTCTGGTTATTTTATGGAAGTGTTATCTCTGGCTAGAAAGCCTTACCTAGGGTCTTCTTTCAATTTAGGCAGTGGAGATCTGGTTAGAGTTGAAGAGATGTTTTAAAAAAACAAAGAGAATTAGCATTCATGGCACACAGGGAGGTAATTGATTTCTTTTCAGTTAAAATACTTTAAATTGCAAATTTCTTCCAAATCTTAATAAACATTTTTTTTCAGTGTTTTCAAGACTCAATATCAGAGAATTGATGGGGACCAAATTGTTTCTTTTCTTTTCTTTTTTTTTTTTTTGAGACAGAGTCTCACTCTGTCACCCAGGCTGGAGTGCAGTAGAGTGATCTCGGCTCACTGCAACCTCTGCCTCCTGGGTTCAAGCGATTCTCCTGCCTTAGCCTCTGAGTAGCTGGGACTACAGGCGTGCGCCACCATAGCTGGCTAGTTTTTGTATTTTTAGTAGAGACGGGGTTTCACCATGTTGGCCAGGATGGTCTCGATCTCTTGACCTCATGATTCGCCCGCCTCGGCCTCCCAAAAGTGCTGGGATTACAGGCCTGAACCACCATGCCCGGCCTGAATTGTTTCTAAAGGTAAACCTCTACAAACAAACCCATTGATTCTCAGGGCAAAAAAGGAGAGGGAGACACACCTATACACGAGGCCTAAGTGGGAAAGAGAAGATCCATCAGGAAGAGAAAATGGGAGGAGAGACCCATCTCCTCATTCCAGCAAGTCAGAGTCCATAGCCCATATTTCTTCCCACCTTAGACAAGGCCATGAGACTTTCTCAGGTAGAAAGGCTGTTCACTTTGGTGTGGAATCCTGTAGCAGTTTGGTGAGAAAGTTTCTATACATTCTTTGTTTTTTTTTAGAGACACAGTCTCGCTCTGTTGCCCAGGCTGGAGAGCAGTGGAGCGACCATAGCTCACTGTAGCCTCCAACTCCTGGGCTCAAGCCGTCCTCCTACCTCAGCCTCCTGATTGAGACGACACATATGCACCACTACACCCACCTCATTTTTGTAGTTTTTGTAGAGATGGAGTCTCACTATGTTGCTCAGGCTGGCCTCCAGCCCCTGGCCTCAAGTGGTCCTCCCACCTTGGCCTCCCAAAGTGCTGGAATTGTAGGCATTAGCCACCATGCCCAGCTCATATTCTTCACAACAGCTGGAATAACCTCAAGATCAGATCACTTGCTATACTGTTCAAAACTCTTCCAATGGCTTTTCAACACATCTGAAATGAAATCCATGTGTTTCTCATGGCCAGTAAAGCTAGTAGGTCTGGGCCCTAACCATCACCCTGAAATAATCTCCTACCACCCTGCTTCCATCTCACTCTGTCCCAGCTACACTGGCTTCTTTGTGCTCTTTGAACACACAGAGCTGACACCAAACCCAGGGCCTTTGCATGCTCTCTTCTGTCTGCCAAGAGTGCTCTTTCTTCCAAGCTTTGTTTCTTTTGCTCCCTCAAAGCCCTGCTAACATGTAACTTCCTCAGAGAGGTCTTCCCTGACCACTCAGTCTAAGCCATCTCGCCTCCTGCACATCCTTTCCTTGTTAGCAGTTAGGTTATAGAGTCATTTGATTATTTCTTTATGATCTGTCTTCCACTACAATATAAGGTCTGTGAGAGCAGGAATTTGGTAATGTATGTGGGATGAATGAATGAACAGGCCTGCCAAGAACAGAGTGGGAGGGGTTTGGGAGGGTACAAAGAATACAACCGTATGCCTCTTTCCGCTAAGAATTAGACCGGGCTCTGTGGCTCACACCTGGAATCCCAGCACTTTAGGAGGCTGAGGCGGGTGGATCTCTTAAGGTCAGGAGTTCGAGACCAGCCAGGACAACATGGCAAAACCCCGTCTGTACTAAAAAGATGAAAATTAGCTGAGCATGGTGGTGCATGCCTGTAATCCCAGCTACTTGGGAGGCTGATGGGGGAGGATCGCTTGAACCCTGGAGGCAGGGGCTGCAGTGAGCCGAGATCACGCCACTGCACACCAGCCTGGGCGACAGAGTGAGACTTCATCTCAAAAAAAAAGAATAATGATAATAATTGCTACTACTTCATCCTGTCCATCCCATGTCCCTAAAAACTTCAGCATAAGTGCACTCCACACACAAGGAGAGAACAAACCCTCTTACTGGCCTTGGGCCCATCCCTCTTTCTCCCACACTGCTACTTTTGAGTTATCTCATTTTGCTCCCAATAGTCAGCCTTGACTTTTCTGGGCTTACCTGGGCATCAGGGACCCATGTTGCACATTCAGTTGTCCCGATTATGTCTGCCTTAGAGCGTCTCCTAGGGCAGCCAGTCTGGAACAGTCAGTCACCTAGGGTCCTGGAGCTCCTGCAGTCTGCCACTCGCTCCTTCTGCCTGATAACAAATACTATTCCTTTTATCCTTGCAACTCGACCCAGAAAGAGGTGGCTGTCAATGTCCAAGGCCCCTGGAAACGAAGACTGGAAATGTGAAACCACTGGGCACAGGGGAATGGGTGGGTCTGAGAGTCTGAAAGACAGTGCTAGAGCATGTGCCTTCCAGATCATTCTCATTGAAAAATTCAGAATGACCTCCCCTCCCCAAGCCAAGAAAGGATAAACACTGACACCTGCCTACCTTCTCACATTCTAATTTCTAAGGTAAAATAAAATGCATTAAGAATCTGTAAGTTATCTCATTTAACTGGCACTCTGCTTTATGAGATACGCACTATCATCACCCACTTACAGATGAGGAGATTGAGGCTGGGGGATGTGAAATCATTTATTTCAGTTCACATGGTTTGCGAGCAGTGGAGTCAGGATCCTAAAGTAGATACTAACCAGTGCTATTTGGCATACCAATTTAAATCAGTTACCTACACTAACTTTAAAACAACATCAGCTTTATTAAGGCAAATTTATATATCATAAAGTTCACCCACTTTAAGTGTACAATTTGATAATTTTAGTAAGTTTGCAGAGTTGTGCAACCATCACCACAATCCAGTTTTAGAACATTTCCACTACCCCAAAATGTTTCCTCATGTCCATTTTCGGTTCATACCCACTCCTACCCCCAGCTCTAGGCAACCGCTGATCTACTTTCTGTCTCTATAAATTTGCTGTTTATAGAGAAATGAAATCATCCTGCACGATCTTTTACTACAAGCTGCATTTGTTTTGTGAAGACTGTTCAGCTCAGTTCTCAACATTCAGTTCAGAGGTGTGCACTGGCTTAGCACAAGAAGGAAGGTATTGTAACTCCACTTTTGCAAGACGTCTGGAGGGAAAGTTTTTTTTTTTTTTTTTTAAGGAGAATTTGTATTATTTTAATTATTTTTATGTGCAGAAAACTCAACAGCGTACATTTAACCCAGTTTGGTGGCAAGTTCTTTAGCCTTGGCTTTTCCAGCTTGGCAATGAGAGCCACAGACTTGGGAGCCAGGACATTGCCTCCCCAGTGATGATGGATCTCATCGTATCTGCTGTTCTAATTGGTTCTGATGGCTTCCTCCAGCTGAGCCGAAGCTTCTTTGTCTTCCAAGTTAGGCTGTGTGGTGACAGTGGTGCAGGTGTTCCTGTGGACTAGACATCCCAGTCTTACCTTCCCCTTGATAATGCAGTCAGTGACCTTTATTTTACAACACAGAAAAATGCACTATCAACTATCATCACCCACTTTCTTTTCTTTTCTTTCCTTTTTTTTTTTTTTTTTTTTTGAGACAGAGTCTCGCTCTGTCGCCCAGGCTGGAGTGCAGTGGCACAATCTCAGCTCCCTGTAAGCTCCACCTCCTGGGTTCACGCTATTCTCCTGCCTCAGCCTCCCCAGTATCTGGGACTACAGGCACCCGCCACCACGCCCGGGTAATTGTTTTGTATTTTTAGTAGAGACGGGGTTTCACCATGTTAGCCAGGATGGTCTTGATCTCCTGACCTCGTGATCTGCCTGCCTCGGCCTCCCAAAGTGCTGGGATTACAGGTGTAAGCCACCACACCCGGCCTATCATCACCCACTTTCCAGATGAGGCGGCTGAGGCTGGGGGCAGGCAGAAGACAACTAGCTCGATGGGATCCACATCATGTCCAGTCACCACCAGCTGAGCCTTCTTATTCTCCACCAAGGTGGCAATGGTGATAACTCCTGCTCGAAAAACAGGTGGTCTCTTAGTGGGGAAGTCCCCTTTGCTGGCAGCTTTCTTCTCAGTCCAGGCCAGCAGCCTCTGCTTCTTCTCTTGCTTTGTCTCTGGTCTGTACTAGTGGGCCAGCTTATGTATTACAGTTGAGTAGCTCTTTGGGGGTCCAAGGCCTGGGTGAACTGGTTCGTTGCAGGAGGCACTTTCAGCCATGTTTAGAGGATCGCTCTTTGCCTCTGCAACCTGATAAAGTGGGGCCATTTGACAAAGCAAGTGAGGTCCCTTTTGGGTTGGGTGTGCTGTCCAATGCCAAGATTCTTAGGCCTTTTCTCCAACACGGGATTCACCACTTTCCTGGCCTCCTGCTTCTTCGCGACAGCAGCAGCTGGAGCCACCTTCTTCCCCTTGGCCTTCTTCCCTTTTGGCATCTTGGGCGGTGGGAGGAAAGAGAGGAACAAATGTTTTTGTTTGATAACTATTCCAGGCTTCTGAGGACAGAGACTAGGCACTACCAGGCTGATAGCAGAAAATCAGGGTGGAGGTGATTGTGGGGTTGGGGAATCATACCTGTTTCTTTTGTTGTTGTTGTTGTTTTACTTCTTAAAATATTTGAAATAGTTTATTTTAATTCATGGACTTTTTAACTCCAAATAATTTCAAGGATGGCTCCATTTAAAATAAAATACAGCTGGGTGCAATGGCTCATGCCTATAATCCTAGCACTTTGGGAGGCTGAGGCGGGTGGATCACCTGAGGTCAAGTGTCCAAGACCAACCTGGCCACGTTGTAAAACCCCATCTCTATTAAAAATACAAAAATTAGCTGGGCACTGTGGCTCACGCCTGTAATCCCAGCAATTTGGGAGGCCAAGGCAGGTGGAT
The DNA here is from genome assembly GCF_000001405.40 of Homo sapiens. NCBI lineage: Eukaryota > Metazoa > Chordata > Mammalia > Primates > Hominidae > Homo > Homo sapiens. Next base: position 59,408,608 of record NC_000015.10, read on the forward strand.
TACGAGGTCAGGAGATAGAGACCATCCTGGCTAACACAGTGAAAACCCATCTGTACTAAAAATACAAAAAAATGAGCTGGGCATGGTGGTGCGCACCTGTAATCCCAGCTACTCCGGAGGCTGAGGCAGGAGACTCTCTTGAACCTGAGAGGCGGAGGTTGCAGTGAGCTGAGATCACGCCATTGCACTCCAGCCTGGGCGACAAGAGTGAAACTCTGTCTTAAAAAAACAAATAAAAATAAATAAAATACAAAGAACAAAATGAAGCCCTAAATATCTGATTTAAAAATGTAATCTGGCTGGTCTGAAGGCAGTGAGTTATCTCACTTTGATTGTTCACAGTCAGTTACAGATAAAACACCTTGTTCTCTTTCCCTACTTCTTGCTACTGTACTTGACTAATCTTTAAAAATAAAATTTAATAAAATTTTAAAAATTAAAACGTCATCAAAAGGGCTGCCCTGAAGTGATTCAGCTCATCTCTATCCAGTCGGATAGCTCCTACCTGAAAGGGGAAGCGAGGAAGATGATACTCCTATTCCCTCCTCCAGACACCCACTTATTCCACTTACAGACATGCAAGGTTTGGAATGTTTGTTTCTACTCCAGGTCTGGGTCCAGTGCAGTGACACTGGGGCTCTCACTCTCCTGCCTCCGGACTCTCCATTATGCCCGAAGATGCCTTTCTCCGGGACAGTCAGAAGTTACCGCCCCAAACCAGAGAATTGGTCTCCTTTCTTCCCTGCCTGATCACCGTCCCTGTCCCTCTGAGAAAAATCCCTCTTCCATCCAGAGAGAAAACAATACCCCCTACTTCATGCTTCATGACCATGTGGTTCATTCCAACCCCTTCATCCCCATTTCTCTTCTTGGCAGGAACAAAGTCTTTTCAAAGCTGGAGAGGTAGTGCCCAGACTCCTTGAAGAGGTCCCAGGGAAAGGGGATGTTCTCCTCTCCTTTCCCCACAGATCACTCACCGGGACTGTCTTTTCTGTACAAGACAGACGTGAAAAAAAGCCAGTTTTCGATTTTCTTTACAAGTTTCTGTAGGTGCAAAGGCTTGGGCAGAATGACTAGAAGACATGTCCTCATCAATAATAATAATAGCTAACATTTATTAACCATGCACTATATGCTATACTCTGAACGTTTTATCTGCTTTTTTTCTCATCCAATAGTCAGAATAACTCTATATTAGCCTCACTTTACAAAAAAATTTAGCATTTTGTTATAGAACAGAAATTATGCAGAATTATTAAATTATTGGTGCCACAGACATTTTACTGTATCTGTATTATTAGTACAGAAATTATTATTAAGGCACAGAAATTATTAGTACAAAGATGATATCAGTACTATTATTATAATATAGAAATCAGTACTATTATTATAATATAGAAATTACTAGTGCAGGCCGGGCATTGTGGCTCACGGCTGTAATCCCAAAACTATGGGAGGCTGAGGCGGCGGATTACGAGGTCAGGAGAGTGAGACCAACCTGGCCAACATGGTGAAATCCCGTCTCTACTAAAAATACAAATTTGTCAGGCATGGTGGCGTGCACCTGTAGTCCCAGCTACCTAGGAGGCTGAGGCAGAGAATAGCTGGAACCCGGGAGGTAGAGGTTGCAGTGAGTTGAGATTGCACCATTGCACTCCAGCCTGGGCAACAAGAGCGAAACTCCATGTCCAAAAAAAAGAAGAAGAAGAAGAAATTACTAGTACAGAAGAAAGTTTCAGAAAACTGAGGCTTAAAGAGGTTAAGCTAACTTATCCAAGGTTACAGAGTTAGTAGAGCTAGCTGAATTCAGTCCACACAAATAACTTAGCTCTTAACCTTAAGTAAACCTTATCCTCCTCTGTGCCTCCCACACTCACCTCTGGCTTCCTCCCTGGGATGAGTGAGGCAAGAAGGAGAATATGAGCTGTGGACTACGAGAAAAAAACCAGAGTGACTGAAGGAGAAGGAACTCCTGGTCCTTCCTGGTGACCCAGAGCCAACAGAGAAATGGGTAACTCATTAACCAGAGAACAGTCCCACATCCTGTGTGTGAAAGAAAGAAACATTTTAAAAGTTAGAAAATGCATTTGAACAATGTTGTATTTAAACCAAGCTCAAGCAACAGATGTTTCTTTACTTTTCTTTGAGACAGTGTCTTGCTCTGTTGGCTCCTTCACCCAGGCTATTGTGCAGTGGCTGATCTCGGCTTACTGATCTTGGCTGAATTCCACCTGCTGAGTTCAAGTAACTCTCCTGCCTCAGCCTCCTGAATAGCTGGGATTACAGGCATGCGTCACCACACCCAGCTAATTTTTGTATTTTTAGTAGAGACGGGTTTCACCATGTTGGTCAGGCTGGTCTCGAACTCCTGGCCTCAAATGATCCTTTTGCCTCGGCCTCCCAAAGTGCTGGGATTACAGAGGTGAGCCACCGCGCCAGGCCCAGATGTTTCTTTAGTATAGATTTTACACCAGGCTTTTCATTCAGCTTTTGAACATTATGTTAAAGTATATTAGCTTTTATAATTACTTTATTCTAAGATCTTGCCCTGTGAATGACCCCAAATATCATAACGCACAGATCAAGGAGGGTTAGGGACCATGCACAGAGCACAGGCTGGGATTTGCTTTGGGAACAGTCGCTGGGGCAGAGGATGCCTGCTGGAGGGAAGGGCTCTTTCTATGTACGGTTGCTGGGAGCCCAGGACTGGACTCAGAGGAGAAGATGAGTATCAATCCATAGCAGAAACAAAGAGGTATATATGCATCTTCCAATAGAGATCACTGGGGTTCCCACAAGAAAAGTTGACAAATAGCTCAGCTGGAAACATGAAGAGGGGAAGTAAATTACTCAGAGTATTGATCAGAATGTATACAGTAGCCCTCAAACGCAACAAACTCAGCACAGCTGCACCCACTTCTCCTTCAGAGCAGGGAAAAGACAAAAGTTTCAGAAACTTTCCATCTTCTCACCCTCATAGGTGTGAAATCATCTCCCTCCACCAGGAGGAAGAAAATACTTTAATTGGCCAGATGCAGTGGTTCACTCCTGTAATCCCAGCACTTTGGGAGGCCGAGATGAAAGGATCGCTTGAGGCCAGGAGTTTGAGACCAGCCTGGCCAACATGGTGAAACCCCATCTCTACTAAAAATACAAAAATTAGCCAGGCATGGCAGGCACCTGTAGTCCCAGCTGAGTCTGGGGGCTGAGGCAGGAGAGTCCCTTGAACCCAGGAGGTGGAGGTTGCAGTGAGCCGAGACTGCACCACTGCAATCCGTCTCAACAACAACAACAACAAAAATACTTTAATCTTTATTTGTCTTAGGTGAGTGCCCTGGGGTGGAACCTGCTGCAGCCTTTACTTGAGTGGGCAGAAAAAGAAACAAACAAAAAAAAAAAACGGGGGATGAGAGGCTATTACAGTGAAGAGAAAGGGGGAGAATGGGATAGAGTGAGGTGGGAGGGGCAGAGGGGAGAGGCCACAAGGAGGGCTTCGATTTTGGGGGCTGTTGGCCTAGATCTGCATGTGGGCCCAGCTTCTCTGTTCCTCTGAGTGGGGAGATTGTGCTATAGAGACAGTCCAGCATAGTGGACTGGGGGCTGGGACTCCTAAGATGGGGCAGTAAGGTTGCAAATTTGGGGCAGTTTAGTGTTTATGATGGCACGGGAGGTTCAGGAGTTTTGTTGGGGAGAGAAAAGACTTGCTGAAACAGAAAAGACTTGCTGTAAAGCAGTTATTCATGAAGGAGAAACTTTCTTCAGTCAGAATTTATGTTGCTACCCCGCAAGCTGGTTTTTGGATTAATCAAAAGACGGTTCCAAAGAATAGTGTTACAAGCCGGGCACAGTGGCTCATGTCTGTAATCCCAACGCTTTGGGAGGCTGAGGCTGGTGGATCTCTTGAGCCCAGGAATTTAAGATTAGCCTCGGCAACATGGCGAAACCCTATCTCTACAAAAAAATACAAAAATTAGCTTGGCGTGGTGGTATGCGTCTGTAGTCCCAGCTATTCTGGAGGTTGAGGTGGGAGAATTGCCTGAGTCCAGGAGGTTGAGGCTGCAGTGAGCTGTGATCGCACCATTGCACTCCAGCCTGGGTGACCCTGTCACAGAAAAAAAAAAAGGTGTTACGGTGTTACAGTGGGTCCCTCCCTGGACTGTCTCTGCTGCCATCTGCTGTGGAGTGGCCCGAGGGAAACTCTGGGCATCGGGGTAGGAAGGCAGAGTGTTGCCCCAGGCCTTTCTGGGCTTTCCTCTGTTGACATTAAAATTAGCCTTGAACTGGTTGAGAAAGGTCCTCCCTGAGCTCCTTTTCAGGGGGAAAGAAATCAATCAAAAATTAAAACGTAAGAAAAACCAAACACACGTACCCTGTGTTGTAAACATGCTACCTTAAGTGAAGGTGCAGATCAAGAGAGAGAAACCAGAATTTCACAGTTTTGTTATACGTGCAGCTCCCTTGGGAGCAACAGCACGCCACACAAGGCCACTCAGGTGAAGCCCCAGGTCAGTCACGTGGCAAAGGGGGAGAAGGGGTGGCTGTGGAAATTCTCCTTTCTTGTGGTCTCTGTGGGAGATGGGGGAACATGGCTTACTACTGGCTAATTTGAATAATTTCACTGGGCTCTGGGACATAGGGGCTGTCCCTCGTTGTCTGGCACCTGGCCCAGGGCAGTTAGGGTGGGTGTGTGGTAGCCCAGAGTGTGAGGGCCCAGTCAGGGAGGTGGTTGAGGTGCGAACGTAACTGGCTGCCCAAGAGGAGGAACTGACCATCTCTAGCCAGGGCCTCAAAACTGGGTTGAGAGCATTAAACACACACACACACACACACACACACACACACACACACACACACAACCACCCACCCTATATCACACCCTGTGAACTGAGGAATTAATAGCTGATTTTCTTATTTCAGGGGATATAATCTTGGGCAAATCAAAAAGTCTCTGTACTTGAGCCTAAATATGCAAACAGAGTTCTAAGCCATTATCTGCTGTTCCTTATTGTAGCATGCAAGAGCTCTTGTTTTGGTCAGGTATGGTGGCTCCTGCCTGTAATCCCAGCACTTTGCAAAGCAGTGGCGGGAGGATAGCTTGAGGCCAGAGTCTGAGACCAGCCTGGGCAGCATAGTGAGACCCCTGTCTCTAAAAAAAAGAGTTCCTGTTTAAGCCATTGGTAGATGGCTGTTTTCATTTCCTCAGCAAACCTATTTGCTTGGGAAGCCACAGCCCACAGCTTCCTCCCAGGTGTTCTTATCATCCTTGAGAAGGGAGAGATGAGGGTCAGGCTGCTGTGAGGCTCTGGCAGGTAGAATGGTAGCCCTCCCAAAGACGTCCACATTCTAATTCTTTTTCTTTTTTTAGAGACAGAATCTCACTCTGTCACCCAGGCTGGAGAGCAGTGGCATGATCTCGGCTCACTGCAACCTCCATCTCCCGGGTTCAAGCGATTCTCTTCCAGCCTCCTGAGTAGCTGGGATTACAGGTGTGCGCCATCACCACGCCCAGCTAATTTTTGTATTTTTAGTAGAGACAGGGTTTCACCATGTTGGCCAGGCTCATCTTGAGCTCCTGGCCTCAAGTGATCCGCCCGCCTTGGCCTCCTAAAGTGCTGGGATTATAGGTGTGAGCCACCACACCTGGCCCACATTCTAATTCTTGGAACTAGTGAATATGCTACTGTAGGAGAGGAAAGACTTCCCCTCACTCTCCGTGGGTTTCATAGCTGAGTCCATGAAATGAACTGACAACAGGCAGATTAACAGGAGAAAAGTTATACAAATGTACTGTGTGCATGGGGCATCACAGGAAAGAAAAGGGAATACCCCCAAAACCAGTGGGATTTAGGAGCTTGTATGCCCTCTTCACAGGGGAGAGAGGAGGAGGTATGTAGGCAATTTAGGAGAGAGTAAGTGATTTTGGAATAAAAATGAATGGGCCCTTCTCTTGGTGTGGTGTTGGCTTCTTGTTTTCTCTCCTGTGATGAGTTAATCTTCCCTAGCTGATGAAACTCCTGAGGAGGGGACTGGTGACAACTGAGTTCTTTTTTGAGGATCTGTATTTAGGCAGATGGGGAATTAAGAGAAAGCCTCCCCTTGCATTTGCTGTTTTTCAAGTACCTCCAGCTCTAAGTAATCAATATAGCAAACTGGTGTATTTAGCGATGGCATTTCCTGAACTCCTTCATTACCTGACGTGGTAAAAGGAAAAAACTTTTTTTTTTTTGAGATGGAGTCTCGCTCTGTCACCCAGGCTGGAGTGCAGTGGTGGGATCTCAGCTCACTGCAAGCTCCGCCTCCCAGGTTCACACCATTCTCCTGCCTCAGCCTCCCAAGTAGCTGGGACTACAGGCGTCCGCCACAATGCCTGGCTAATTTTTTTGTATTTTTAGTAGAGATGGGTTTTCACTGTATTAGCCAGGATGGTCTTGATCTCCTGACCTCACGATCTGCCTGCCTCGGCCTCCCAAAGTGCTGGGATTACAGGCGTGAGCCACCGTGCCCAGCCTGTTTTTTTTTTTTTCTTTTCGTGATGAAATTTTGCTCTGTCACCCAGGCTGGAGTGCAGTGGCACGATCTCGGCTCACTGCAACCTCCGCCTCCTGGGTTCAAGCAATTCTCCTGCCTCAGCCTCCCGAGTAGCTGGGATTACAGGCATGTAACACCACGCCTGGCTAATTTTTGTATTTTTAGTAGAGACGGGGGTTTCACCATGTTGGCCAAGCTGGTCTTGAACTCCTGACCTCGTGATCCTCTTGTCTTGACCTCCTAGAATGCTGGGATTACAGGCGTGAGCCACCGCACCCAGCAAAAGGAAATTAAGATTGCTAATCAGCTGATCTTGAGATGGGGCCAATCTAATCATGAGTGCTTAAAAGTGGAACAGGGAGGCAGACGAGAGGCTTGGAGAGATGCTACGTTGAAAGGACTTGATCTTCTGTCATGTGCCAAAGAATGCAGGCAGCCTCTAGAAGCTGGCAGAGGCAAGGAAACTAAACTTTTTCTAGAGCCTCTAAAAAGAATGCAGCTCTACATACATTTTGATTTTAGCCCAGTGAGGCCTATCTTAGACCCCTGACCTGCAGAACCGTAAGATAATAAGTTTGTGCTGCTTTAAGCCACTAAGTTCATGATTTTTTATTTAATGACAGCAAAAAGAATAATACAGAGGCTGAGAGGAGTTAGCTGCTCTTGAGTGATGGAAGGATTCCACATTCAGAACCACTCTCCTATACCTCTTGCTACTAAAACCATTCAATATCAATGATTTGTTGTTAAGCAGAAATGAACTGATTAAGGGATACTCAGTAGTTTACAGAATCTCTGGGAGGGTCACAGACTGGGTTCTGGAGCACACAGCCAGGTACAATCCCTGAACATACTGTAGGGCTGCTCTTCTAAAACATTTAAACAAATCTGTTTATATGTTTACTTTGGAAAGTTTCAAACCACAGAAAAATGGAAAGAGCACTATAATGAATCCCCATATCTCCTGGACTTGGTTGGGTTTCCCTCAAAGGAGATCCTGAGAGAACTTGGGTACAGGACATTTATTTGGGAGGTGATCCCAGAAAGCACAAGTGAAAGGGTGCAGGACATGGGACAGGAAAGGAAAACACAGTAATAATATGTGCATTCCTGTGGTGGTCACCGCTGTGTGCAACCGGGGCTCCGTCCTGGGGACCTTCTGGGAAACCATGCACGATAAGCTTCCCATTTGTCTCGCCAAAGGATGGAGAGACGGGGGCTTTTGTCCACTGCCTCCTCTCCCCTTTGGTTAAGAGTCAACCCTGAGAAAGTCAGCTGCCTCAGTTTCCAGGTTGTGCCTAACCAGTAGTATTGCACGCTTCTCTGTGCTGGAGAAAGCCCTCTGGCAGAGAAGCCGTGAGATGCGTCATTTGAGGTGTCAAGTCTTCCCATGGCAGAAACTGTGAACCACAGCTGTGAGTGAACTCAAACAGGAGCTGAAGGGATGTGGGGTGGGGCATCAACATCATCTGCTACAATCCCTCCTAAGATTTACTGCTAACATCTTGCCGTCTCTTTCCCTCTCTCTCTATACACCCACACATACGACAAAGATAAAGTATTTATCATGTGCCGGGCACTGTGCCTCTATTCAGCCCTTGAGTCTGCATAATGACCCTATGAAGCAGGTATCCCATACCTGTCATGCTTAGCGGTCACTGGAATCATTCCAAAGGGTGCTGGAACCATTCTATTTTCAAATATCATTATGCTGGAAATTACATTTTGTGCAACTATTTGAACTTATGGTGACAAATTTTAGATGCCAACCTAAAAATATACAGGAAGGTGCATAGTTTTTCAAAGTTCTTTCTGCGAGTAAGCAGCCAAAGAGTCCCCATCCTAGACTTGTGCCGTCGTGTCTGCATCTGGTGCTATGCCCAGAATCACTGAAGAGGATGATGGGGGCTGGGGTAGGGGGAGACATGGGGAAGGAGCTAAGACACTTCTGTGGTTGCCCTGAAAGAATCCTGGGAAATACATTTTTAAAAGAAAAACAAAATGAGGGATGCTATAGATAGAAAGTGAGTTCAGCTTGCTGAAGGTCCAGATGGATGCGTGCTGAATACCCAGGCTGTGCTCTCCACATTCTGATTCTGTCCCTCTCGGAGCCTGAGGATGCTGAGTTAGTGGTCACATGCCGTACCACCCTGTCGCCTCCCCTTTTATATTTACTTCGTTTTCTTAATGTTGCCTCCCCAACCTCTAAATGTTCAACTTACTTTATGATCAAAGTAGCTATTTAAAAACAAACAAACAAACAAACAAACAAAAAAACAAGCTTTTCTGGCTGGATGTGTTGGCTCACACCTGTAATCCCAGCACTTTGGGAGGCCGTGGTGGACAGGTCACTTGAGGTCAGGAGTTCGAGACCAGCCTGGCCAACATGGTGAAACCCCGTCTCTACTAAAAATACAAAAAAAAAAAAAATTAGCCAGGCATAATGGTGCACGCCTGTAATCCCAGCTACTCAGGAAGCTGAGGCAGGAGAATTGCATGAACCTGGGAGGCAGAGGTTTCAGTGAGCCCAGATCATGCCACTACACTCCAGCCTGGGCAACAGAGTGAGACTCTGTCTCCAAAATAAATACATAAATAAATAAAAATAAAAAGATTTTTTTTGCTTGATTATCCCTTTTATTTTTTTTATTATACTTTAAAGTTCTAGGGTACATGTGCACAACATGCAGGTTTGTTACATATGTATACATGTGCCCTGTTGGTGTGCTGCACCCATTAACTCGTCATTTACATTAGGTTTATCTCCTAATGCTATCCCTCCTCCCTCCCCACAACCCACGACAGGCCCCGGTGTGTGATGTTCCCCTTCCTGTGTCCAAGTGTTCTCATTGTTCATTCCCCACCTGTGAGTGAGAACAAGTGGTGTTTGGTTTTCTGTCCTTGTGATAGTTTGCTGAGAATGATGGTTTCCAGTTTCATCCATATCCCTACAAAGGATATGAACTCATCCTTTTAAAATAGGATTTTTTATCTAACTTTGTCGGGAAGACAAGCTGACACTTTCTTCTCTTCTAGAGCACAAATACGGTAGCATTCTCTTCACAGTGCAAGCACATTGAGGGCACGATGTGAGCTGTGAGGTAGTTGTGAGGCTGTGATGAGAAATGAGCTATGGGGGCAGAGGCAACAAACAGTGACAACAGAAAAGCTACCTTACGTGGAGAAGAAGTTCTTTGGATGCAATTTATCTAACTGAGTTTTACAATCAATCAAACTCATCAGCTATAACCCTGCCTTTTCCTGTTTAGAAAACATTTTTACCCCTGTAATTTACAAGGGCAAGCTGGTTGGTTCTCTTGAATCCATTCTCCCCAAAAGTAGAGCAAGAAAGTTTAGAAAGGGTGTTAGAATCTGGTCTAATCAATAGCTCGATCCAGGTTATGAAGGTGTTTCCCAAGCTTGGTGCAATGTTCAGTTTAGTTCATGTATTCAGCTATTTTTTCCTCCCAATTTGTTGTTCATGTTACCCAGGCATGGTAGGAAAAACCGTAAAGGGCGACTTTCCTTGCTCGATTTCCTCTTCATGTCTGCTAACATGGGGAAAGAGCTTAGGCTTTGAAGCCAGACAAGCATGTGTTTAAATCCAGGCTCATCAGTTATTAGTTCTGAAGATGGATAGCTTATTTAAATTATCTGAGCCCCAGTTTCCTTTCCTGCAGAATGGAGGTGATGTCTCCTCCTCACAGAACTGCTGTGAGGAATTAGCAAGGGCATGTGTGCAGACAGCCCTGTCCATTGATATACAATTAATGATGACCAGTGTTAATATTGTCATCATTATCCTTCTGATCTACAATTTGATTTCTGAACAGACTGGCTGTAGAAAAAAAATGTCTTAGGCAGAAGACTGATTCAAATCTCTTGGCTGGTTTCATCCTAAGTTGTAGAAATTAGAAACTGGTATTCTGGTTTTAAGTCACTGGTAGTTGGTTACTAAAATCATTTCATCAGTTCGATTATCTGTAGGCCTAGGGTAATGTCCTGAACACAGTAGGCACGCCCATAACAACGATAATATCAGCAGTAGTAAGGAATAATTTGAATAACCCTTTAATCTATAAAGCAATTACAAAAACCATCTCATTTAACCCTCTCATAAAAACCTATGATTTAACTAAAACAAATCCTGTTATTCTTCTCATTTAGGGAAGTGGAAGATACAATAAGAGATATTAAATAACTCTCACTTTTGTGCCTTTGAACTCCCTGTTTCCTCCCTAGAAACTTCCCCTAATCTCTCTTCTATGTATGAAATTGCAACACGTTCATCAAGGACCATTTTAAGTTTCCTCTCCTCTTTTCATAGGAAAGAACTCATTCTTTTCTGACCTTCTACAGTACTTGAAGTGTGAACCACATTATTTAGTACTTCATTACCCTCTCTTTCATTTCTTCCCAATGGTTTCCTGTGTTTGAATTCTATTAAAAAACAACAGGCCGGGCACGGTGGCTCAAGCTTGTAATCCCAGTACTTTGGGAGGCCGAGGCGGGCAGATTGCTTGAAGTCAGGAGTTCGAGACCAGCCTGGCCAACATGGTGAAACCCTGTCTCTACTGAAAATACAAAAATTGGCCGGGCGTGCTGGCGGACGCCTGTAATCTCAACTACTTGGGAGGCTGAGGCAGGAGAATTGCTTGAGAATCACTCCTGGAGCTGGATTGCAGGGAGCCGAGATCACACCACTGTACTCAAGCCTGGACAACAGAGCGAGACTCCATCTAAAAAACAAAAAAACAAACAAAGAAACCAAAAACCAACTACAGCTCTGCCCCTCTGGAGGTTAGGGATCATGCAGCTGGAATGTATTTTGGGTCTTGCCACCCAGCCCCTTTCCCCTTCACACTCCCTAGCCCAGAGCTGGACTCAGAGCCAATGCCTCATGCATACTGGATTGATTCACAGAGAATTTACCTGAAATCCTGGCATAGAAAATCCATTGCAGGATAAAAATGGAGAATGACTCTTTAGGGACTGCCATCTAAGAAGCAGGGCAAAAATGTTCCTGCTAGGAAATTACAATTCAAGAAACAAACACAAGCAGGAAACACATCTCTTACATGCAGCTTCTAGCGCTGATTCTGGCAATCCCCATTATACCCTGGTAAGTTTAAGTGACTAGGACTTGACTTTAGTCACTGTGTCCCCAGCTTATGCCACTGTAACCATATGTAGGCGGGGACATCTTTTGTGGGTTCATGTCATTGTTCTTCCTGTTGCAGTGATGAGAATTAGCTTCATTGTCTAACAAAATTAAACAACCCTTAACTAAGGGAAGCTAAATAGCAACTGATATTTTTGGAGGCTCTTTCAAATTAGGACAGCTGAGTCTAACGGAAAAACAAACACATTTTATACCAAATACCAGTTGCATGTTGTTGCATACCAAATGTCAGCCTAGAGAGAATTTTTCCTTTCGTTTCTTCATTTTTATCACATTTCTTCCCAGTGCTTTATAAGATTTATTGTATAATCCCAATGATTTTAATGACAGGGTTCCTACCCCCAGTATCACTCATCCAGTGACGAAGCCAAGGAAGGCTCTTTTTTTTTTTTTTTTTTTTTTTTTTTTTTTTTTTTTTTTTGAGACGGAGTCTCGCTGTCGCCCAGGCTGGAGTGCAGTGGCGCAATCTCGGCTCACTGCAGGCTCCGCCCCCTGGGGTTCACGCCATTCTCCTGCCTCAGCCTCCCGAGTAGCTGGGACTACAGGCGCCCGCCACCTCGCCCGGCTAATTTTTTGTATTTTTAGTAGAGACGGGGTTTCACCGTGTTAGCCAGGATGGTCTCGATCTCCTGACCTCGTGATCCGCCCGCCTCGGCCTCCCAAAGTGCTGGGATTACAGGCGTGAGCCACCGCGCCCGGCCAGGAAGGCTCTTGAAGAACGTGCTCTACTGTGTTCTGGTGGGGTCACGTTCTCTAGGCCAGTACTTCTCAGACTTAAATGTGCATACGAATCAGCAGGAGGTCTTGTTAAAATGCAGATTCTGATCCTGTAGACCCAGGTTGGGACCCTTGAACTCTGCATTCCTAACAGTAGAGGGGCTCGTGTTCTTGTGCATAGATCACACTTCGACGGGCAATGTTCTAGGTAGAATTGGAGCTCAGTGGAAAGGCAGATCCCTGACAGCTTGAACAAAGATTCTTGTGTGGGAGTAGATGTGGACCCCATCACTGTAGGTCAGAAAGGTCCTTAAGTCCATGATGGCTCTGCTTTAAAGGCAGGACAACCTGGGGAGGACCTTAGTTTCTGGAGGAAAATGGGCAGCTTAGCGTATAGCAGGAGCGTATATACGACGGGCTGGGAGCTCTCCCTGGTGCTGCTTAAGACTTCCCCCAAGTCTGCTTTCCTCACAGGAGCCTCTCCCGAATTTCTGCTCTTTTGTCTAAAATGTCAGTCTAAATCCTTACTTGTAATTGTGCCCTACTTTGCCGTTGCTGCCTGGCTATACCTTGTATTTATTGCTGGCCTATACCTGGAGTCCTTGGTCCTTCTTGGGAAAAAGTATTGAGGTTTTAAAGCTCTTATCCTTGGGGACAGATTAAACCCTTAAACTATCTATCTGTCTGTCTGTCTGTCTATCTATCTATCTGTCTATCTATCTATCTATCTATCTATCTATCTATCTATCTATCTATCTACCTACCTAACTACCTACCAAAAAAGCATTGAGGTTTTAAAGCTGTTATCCTTGGGGACAGATTAAACCCTCAACCCTCTATCTATCTATCTATCTATCTATCTATCTATCTATCTATCTATCTATCTATCATCTGTCACCTATTTATATCCACTTTAATTTGATATTTTTGACCAGGAAAGGAAAAGAAAGTTCATATGGCCATATCTTTTAAACAAAATAAGGTACATAACAGGTGTTCATTGTATTTTTTTTAATTGAGGTGAAATTTCACATAACATAAAATTAAGCATTTTAAAGTATTTTTAAGTGGGCCAGGCACAGTGGCTCATGTCTGTAATCCTAGCACTTTGGGAGTCCGAGGCAGGAGGATTGCTTGAGTCCAGGAGTTCAAGACTAGCCTGGCCAACATAGTGAGACCCTGTCTCTACACAAAATAAAAAGAATTAGCCAGGCATGGTGACACATGCTTGTAGTACCAGCTTGTAGTATCCCTGAGATTAGGGTATCACTTGAGCCCAGGAGTTCGAGGCTGAAGTGAGCTATGATCAGGCCACTGCACCCCAGCCTGGGTGACAGAGTGAGACCTTGTCTCTAAAATAAATTAAAAATAAAACAAAGTGTTCTATTCAGGGGTGTTTTGTATGTTCACACCTCTATCTAGTTTCTTTCTTTTTATTTTATTTTATTTATTTATTTTTTGAGGTGGAGTCTCGCTCTGTCACCCAGGCTGGAGTGCAGTGGTGTGATCTCAGCTCACTGCAACCTCCGCCTCCCGGGTTCATGCCATTCTCCTGCCTCAGCCTCCGAAGTAGCTGGGACTACAGGTGCCTGCCACCACGCTCAGCTAATTTTTTGGAATTTTAGTAGAGACGGGGTTTCACTGTGTTAACCAGGATGGTCTCAATCTCCTGACCTCATGATCTGTCTGTCTCAGCCTCCCAAAGTGCTGGGATTACAGGCGTGAGCCACATGCCCAGCCACCTCTATCTAGTTTCAAAGCATTTAAAACATAGTTAAATGAAATCTGCATGAAAGTAAAGTTAAAGATTCCTTGAGTGGTTCATAAGAAATTTCTGTCATTTATTGAATTCACAAGTTAATTTAAGTTTTAAATGGTAAATTTCTTAACTGTATGAATATTTTTTCACTTTGCTTTTTTATTTGCCTATGGAATAATGATAATAATGATAGTAACAGCTGTTATTTATGGAATGCTTACTACATGTGAGAGACTTTGTATATATTTTCTTTTCCAATCCTCACAACAACCTAATGAAATAGGTATTATTATTATTTTTTATTTTTTAATTTTTACTTTTTAAGACGGAGTCTCGCACTGTCGCCCAGGCTGGAGTGCAGTGGCGCGATCTCGGCTCACTGCAAGCTCCGCCTCCCAAGTTCACGCCATTCTCCTGCCTCAGCCTCCCTAGCAGCTTGGGACTACAGGCGCCCGCCAACACGCCTGGCTAATTTTTTGTATTTTTAGTAGAGACGGGGTTTCACCCTGTTAGCCAGGATGGTCTCGATCTCCTCACCTCGTGATCCGCCTGCCTCGGCCTCCCAAAGTGCTGGGATTACAGGCGTGAGCCATCGCGCCTGGTCTGAAATGAGTATTATTATTAACTTTTGATAGAAAAGGACACTGCAGCTCAGAGATTTTAGCAAACTTTTCCCAAGGTCACAGAGTTATCGCTTGGCTGAGCTGAGATTTAATCCAAGTCAATCTGACTCCAAGACTTGACCTCTAAATCACAGCACAATAACGTTTCTTGTGGACACAGACTTATTATATGTGACAAAAGGGAATTATGGAGAAACGTAAACTCTTAGGAAGCAATAAAATGGATACACATAAACTCAAGGTTAAATATTTGGAAATAAGGAATGAGAAGCTAACAAAATACAGAAATTTTTATAGAACCATTCACAATTAAGGAGATTTCATGCTGAAAGTTTTTCATATAATGTAAGAGACTTATATTTAATTACTCACGGGTCAGGATTTTTAAACATGATTTATAACTATTACTGCCTCTCTCTTATATCACTGATTTCTCTTCCTTTACTGGATCATTCCTATCTGAAAGGAAACCTAGGTTAACATTTTCCATTTTTTTAAAGAACGAAACAACTTATCTTGACCCCACATCATTTCTTTCTGGCTACCTTCCCATTTGTCTGCTCCTTTCACTGCGGAACTTCTTGAAAGCATTGCCTGTGGTCACTACATTCTCATTCACCTCCCATCTTTTCCTTAGCCCACTCCAGTAGAGATTCTGTCCCCACCATTGCACCCAAACTGCCCTCATTAAGGTCACCAGTGACCTCCTTGTTGCCACGTTCATCACTCACTTTTTGGGCTATACCTTTTGGAACTTTTCAGCAGCCTTTGACCCAGCTGACCAGAGGGTTCATACCCTCCTTGAAACTCTTCTTTTGTCTTCTGTGTTACCACACTCTCCTGGTTTTCTTTCAACTATGAAGGCTCTTTCTTCTCAGTCTCCTTCCTTGGTTCTTGGTTCTTGATTTCTGGCATCTGGTTCTTCCTTCTCTGGCCCAGGGCTTCATTCTGAACCCCATACATTTCCCCATGTGCACATCTTCCCTAGATAATCTCATCCAATCACAGGGCTTTATGTATCTCCTGTATACTAATGCTAATCAAAGGATGGCTTCTGCTCAAATTCTCCCCAAAACTTCAGACTCACAGTTCCAGCTGCCATCTTGATGTTTTTTCCTAGAAGTTGGTAGGCATTACATACTTGACAAGTCCAAAACTAAGCTCTCGATATCCACCACTGAATCTGCTTTTCCCACAGAGTTCTCCATTTCATAAATGGCATCATTATTTACCTATTTGCTTACGTTATAGAAGAAAAGCCAGAAAAAATTCTTGATTTCTCTTTCCTCTTTTCCTGCATCACAAGTTCGCTGAACTCTACCTCTGCATTCTAGTCAAAGTCAGTCCACCGTGTCTATATCTATTTCCTCTGCAGTCATTGTAATCCAAGCCACTGTCATACCTCACTACTACAATAGCCTTAAAACTGGTTTCTCTACTTTCTCTTCCTTCTCTTATGCCCTCGTAATTCGTTCTCAAAACAGCCACCAGAGTAAATCAGATCAGTTACTCCTCTGCTTAAACCATTCCATGGCTTATATCAAATACAACCAAAACTATTTACTGCAACTTTCAAACTTCAACATACATTCTCCTCTGGTACTCCTCTTTTTCCCTCTTTTATTTAATTTTAATTTTAATTTTATTTTATAGAGATGGGGTCTTGCTATGTTGACTAGGCTGGTCTCAAACTCCTGGTCTCAAGAGATCCTCCTGCCTCAACCTCCCAAAGTGTTGGGATAATTTTTCCCCTTAGAATGTAAGCTCCATGAGGGCATAGACCACGCAATGACTACAGTGTCCCTGTGCCTATGATAGTGCCTGATACAGTCTAGGTGCTTGATGGATGAAGAAATTGAGGCTCAAACAAATAAAATGACTTACCCCAAATCATCGACTTGGTGAGAGATGAAGCCAGAATTTGAATGCAAGTCTTTGAATCTTGGAGTCCTTCTTTTTCATTACCATTCATGTAATATGTGTTCAGCAGATAATTATTTTAATTATCTGAGTTATGGAAAAAGGCCCCTGACCTTCTGTTATTCATAAGCCTTATTTAAAAATTGCTAAAATAGTTTTTTTCTTTTTTATTGCTTTATAAAGTATTATTACAGTTACACACAGAAAAATCGTACTTTAAATGAATACTCTATCTGGAAAATATTTTTGTTTTAGTAAAATAGGCTTTGCCTTGGCTATTCTTTTATTTGTTTATTT
Source organism: Homo sapiens (assembly GCF_000001405.40). NCBI lineage: Eukaryota > Metazoa > Chordata > Mammalia > Primates > Hominidae > Homo > Homo sapiens. The sequence goes on from NC_000015.10 coordinate 59,425,634, forward strand.
GTTTGTTTTTGAGACAGGATCTCACTCTGTTGCTTATACTGGAGTACAGTGGCATGATCATAGCTCACTGCAGCTTCAAACTGCCAGGCTTAAGTGAGCCTCCTGCCTCAGCCTCCTGAGTAAGTGGGACTACAGGCCTGCATCACCATGACTGGATAATTATTTTATTTTGTAGAGATGGGGGTCTCACTATGCTGCCCAGGCTTGTCTTGAACTCCTGGCCTCAGGCGATCCTCCTGTCTTGGCCTCCTATTGGGTTTACAGGCATAAGCCACTGCACCCAGCTGGCTATTCTATTTTTAATGGGCTCAAACTGAACTTAAAAGTCATCTTCTGATTTTGTTTGGTCAGAAAGTTATTAAAATATATTTGGAACAATTTGCTATGCAGTCAATGAGTTTATGTTCTTTTGAACAAAATTAGTTTTTAAATTAGTCTTTAGTCCTCTAAAAAAGGCTTCATAATGCCATTCTAAAGTGGAAGAATTGTGGTTTGCTAACCACACTTTTTGAATTGTCTCCAAAACAGAAATACAGAAATTATGTCCTGGGAATAAAGGCAGTAAGACTCTTAAAGAAATAACCAGAAGAATTTCAAAATAATAGGTACAAGTACTTTTAAAATATTCTATAATTTATTTCTCCTAACTCTGGATTAAAAAAAAAAATTGGCTCTAAGAAATACACGTACTGACCAGGTGTGATGGCTCTTGCCTGTAATCCTAGCACTTTGGGAGACCGAGGTGGGCGATCACCTGAGGTTGGGAGTTCAAGACCAGCCTGACCAACATGAAGAAACCCCGTCTCTACTTCTCTACTAAAAATACAAAATTAGCCAGGCGTGGTGGCGCATGCCTGTAATCCCAGCTACTGGGAGGCTGAGGCAGGAGAATCGCTTGAACCCAGGAGGCAGAGGTTGCGGTGAACCGAGATTGCGCCACTGTACTCCAGCGTGGGCAACAAGAGCGAAACTCTGTCTCAAAAACACCCAAACAAACAAACAAAGAAATACATGTACTCAGTTTATAAAATCAAACTTGCTTATACTGATGTTTCTTCATCTTTTACTGTTAGACATTATCTAGTCACTTCCTACTAAGGAAGGTGAGGATTTAGTTCTCCAACACGCCTCGACATACCTCTGCCACATACACTTCCCCCCTAAGCTTCTCAATAGAGTGACATAGCAATCTTTCATTAAACCAACACTCAGTAACATATTTACATTATAACTATTGTTCACAGCTGAGTCAAGTATGATTGAACACATTTCTTTTAACTCTTAGCATTAAGCATTGCCTTTTCTTGGGCTATTAGTTTTTTATGCACATATCACTAGTTCATCTATAAGCTTTCTGACAGAACTGTAATTCCCTTCGCTAAGATCAAACATATCAGACAATCTGTTTCTGTTTCTTTCTCCCATTTGCCTGGGAGTGACCTCCCTATAGTGCTCTACTTCTTGGTTTTATTTTATTTTATTTTTTATTTTTGGGAGCACCGAGTCTCACTCTGTCACCCAGGCTGGAGTGCAGTGGCCTGATCTCGGCTCACTGCAGCCTCCGCCTCCTGGGTTCAAGTGATTCTCCTGCTTCAGCCTCCTGAGCAGCTGGGATCACAGGTGCATGCCACCAAGCCCAGCTAATTTTTGTATTTTTAGTAGAGACGGGGTTTCTCCATGTTGGCCAGGCTGGTCTTAAACTCCTGACCTCAAGTGATTTGCTTGTCTCAGCCTCCCAAAGTGCTGGGATTACAGGCTTGAGCCACCATGCCTCGCCTCTTTTAGCTATTTTTAAATGTGCAATTAAATGATTATTGACCTATTGATAGCAAAAGTTACCCTGTTGTGCTATGAAATACTAGATCTTATTTATTCTGTTTTTTTAATACTCATTAACCATCCACACTGCCCCGCTAGGCCCCACTCTCCTTCCTAGCATCTGGTAACTGCCATTCTACCGTCTATCTCCATGAGTTCAATTGTTTTAATTTTTAGCTCCCACAAATGAGTGAGAACATGCAAAGTTTGTCTTTCTGTGCCTGTTTTATTTTACTTAACATAATGACCTCCAGTTCCATCCATGTTGTTGTAAATGACAGGATCTCATTCTTTTTTATGGCTAAATAGTATTCCATTGTGTATAGGTACCATATTTTCTTTATCCATTCATCTGCTGAATACACTTAGGTTGCTTCCAAATTTTTGTTATTGTGAATAGTGCTGTGATAAACATAAGAGTGCAGATATCTCTTCGATATACTGATTTCCTTTCTTTTGGGTATGTATCTGGCAGTGAAACTGCTGGGTCATATGATAGCTCTATTTTTAGATTTTTGAAGAACTTCCAAACTGTTCTCCATAGTGGCTGTGCTAATTTACATTTCTACCAACAGTGTACGAGGATTCCCTCTTCTGCACATCTTTGCCAGCGTTTGTTATTGCCTTTTAGGATAAAAGCCGTTTTAACTCGGGTGAGATGATGTCTCACTGTAGTTTTGATTTGTGTTTCTCTGATGATCAGTGATGTTGAGCACCTTTTCATACACCTGTTTGCCATTTCTATGTCTTCTTGTGAGAAATGTCTATTCAGATCTTTTGTCCATTTTAAATTGGATTATTAGATATTTTTCCTATAGAGTTGGTTGCATTCCTTACATATTGTGATTATTAATTCCTTGTCAGATGAGTCCTCTACTTAATCCAATCTGCAGTGATTGCTCTCCATCAGACCTGCTTGACATCACTCTGGGGCTTTTCTTAGTCCTGAGAATTCTTTTTGATATTATTATTATTATTATTATTATTATTATTATTATTATTATTTTGAGACAGAGTCTTACTATGTTGCCCAGGCTGGTCTCAAATTCCTGGGCTCAAGTGCTTCTCAGGCCTCAGCCTCCCCAGTAGCTGGGATTATAGGCACCTGCCATGGTTCCTTTCATATTACCTTGAGGTGCATCTTCTACTACCTAGATCCATGTCTACTCCTTTTTTTTTTTTTTTTTTTTTTTTTTTGAGATAGTGTCTCACTCTGTCACCCAGGGTGGAATGCAGTGGTACAATCTCGGCTCATTGCAACTTCTGCCTCCCAAATTCAAGCTATTCTCATGCCTCAACCTCCCAAGTAGCTGGAATTAGAGGCGCAGGCCACCATGCCAAGCTAATTTTTGTATTTTTAGTAGAGATGGGGTTTTGCCATGTTGGCCAGGCTGATCTCGAACTCCTGAGCACAAGTGATCTGCCTGCCTCCGCCTCTGAAAGTGCTGGGATTACAGGCGTGAGCCACCACACCCTTCCCATCTACTCCTTTTTGATCTACTTTCTCATACCTAGAAAATATTTCTCAGTGGATTCCTGAGAAAGGGTGCATATGAGGTACATTGTTGTGAACTGAAATACATGAAAATATTTTATTCTGCTCTCAGCCTTGATGGATAGTTTAGCTGGGTGTAGAATTCTTGAATGGAAATAAGTTTCCCTCAGGATTTTAAAGGTACTATTCTTTCTTCAACTGCTAATATTGGGAAAACTGATGTTATTCGGATTCCTAATTCTTTGTATGTGATATTTAGTGCCTGGAAAATTTTGGATTTTGTTTTTATCTTTGTGTTCTGAAATTTCAAAGTCAGTTGTCTTGGTATGAATCTTTTTTTCGTTTACTTTGCCAGGTTTCTGGTAGTTCTGTTCAATCTAGATACTCATGTCCTTTCATTATAAGAAATTTTCTTCTACAACTTGTGCAACTTTAGGAGTTTTACTCTGAGCACCCTTATTGGTCATCCTGTCCTTCTGTATTGCCTATTAAAAAAATCTGTGTTGAAGATTTTTTAAAGTTTTACTTAGAATTGTTCCTCTCTAAACTTAATAAAAGGAAAGCTGATATCTCCTGTGGAAGTGTTCCTACATATACCACTATTATCTCCCCTTGGAAAAAGGGTTGACTCTTGCTTGGAAAAACAAGAGTCAAATTGATTATGTTAAAGTTAGTATTAGGTATATTTGGGCTTTAAACTTACAATGAATTAGCAATAACTTTGCATATATCACTGGGATTTATTTTAAAAAGAATGTTTTGACTTTTAAGTACTGTAATTAGAAAATTTTATCTCCATGTGTAAAATAAAATAGTTGAATCAGTATCAATTAGACCTTTATTTTTCTCTCTGGATTTGGGATAAAATAAGCCAGGGAAATTTAAGCCCTAATTTCTGATGTAATAGATGTAGGCAGAAGTCCTAGTTAGGAATAGGTGCACTCCTGATGCTGAGAACAGGGCAGGCAGGTGGCGAAGAGTCTTAGAGGGTTGAGTCCAGGCCAGGTAGTAGGACTAGGGAGGTGTGAGTCTTCTTTGTTCTGGGTATGCTTTGTAATTTTACTTTACCATTCATGAGAATAAACCAAAACAATAAAAAAGAAAAATAAACTAAACAGCTGAAAGCAAGGGCCAGATAATTGTCTGGTGGTGGTGATCACGGACTCCTCAGCCATTGCCAGCCACATTTATCCTCAGAGATTTTCACTGGGAGAAAGAATGATTTCAACCAGCAGGGGGATGGGGAGGATAGGACAGTGATGTCACTTCCACCCTTCCTGTGGCACCAAATACACAGACCTATTTCCCTTTTTTTTTTTTTTTTTTTTTTTTTTTTGAGATGGAGTCTTGCTCTGTCACCCAAGCTGGAGTGCAGTGGTACAATCTCAGCTCAGTGCAACCTCCGCCTCCCGGGTTCAAGCAATTCTCCTGCCTCAGCCTCCTGTGTAGCTGGGATTACAGGCATATGCCACCATGCCCGGCTAGTTTTTTGTATTTTTAGTAGAGATGGGGTTTCACCGTGTTAGCCAGGCTGGTCTTGAGCTCCTGACCTCAGGTGATCCACCTGCCTTGGCCTCCCAAAGTGCTGGGATTACAGGTGTGAGCCCTATTCCCCTTTTTAAGGGCTTCATTTGGTACCTAATTTGGTTCAGTCATGTCAGTGGGGCAGGAAGGATTCAGATAAATACAAAGTAGAAACCACACTGTGACAATGTCACTCATTGCTTTAGAAGAAGAGAGACCTTGGAATTTGTATTAGGTACACCCCAAAATGATGCAGGAGATTAGGAGCTGCATGTACATTTGACTATGACGTTGAAAACTACATGTAAGGAAAAGAGATGGTTTGAGTGTGGCTGGGACCAGAAGGATTCTTAGAATTGTTCCAAACCAAGCAATAGCAGTAATATTATATGGAATGAGTTAACCAGATTAATTAACAAACTCTGTCTCCCTGTGTAGGACATAATAGTTGAACCAATATTAATTAAATCTTTACTCTTCTGACTGAGTCTTGGGGGACATTAGTAAATAAATGTGTATGTTAAACATAATAAATAATATAAATAATAACTAAGATGTTATTCTAAGCTCTTTATATGAATTGGTGCCTTTGATCTCCATTTGAACCTGATGAGGTAGGCACTATGTTATCTTCATTTTACAGGTGAGGGCACTACTTAACCCAGTCTGCAGTTACTGCTTTCCATCAGACCTGCTGGACATCACTCTTTCACTCTTGGGGCTTTCTTTTGTCATAGTCCTAACAATTCCCTTTGCTATTATCTTTTTTTTTTCTTTTTTTTGAGATGGAGTCTCGCTTTGTCACCCAGGCTGGAGTGCAGTGGCGCAATCTCAGTTCACTGCAACCTCTGCCTCCTGGGTTCAAGCGATTCTCCTGCCTCAGCCTCCTGAGTAGCTGGGATTACAGGCAAGTGCCACCAAGCCCAGCTAATTTTTGTATTTTTAGTAGAGTTGGGGTTTCACCATGTTGGTCAGGCTGGTCTCGAACTCCTGACCTCATGATCCGCCTGCCTTGGCCTCCCACAGTGCTGGGATTACAGGCGTGAGCCACTGCAACCAGCCTTTTTTTTTTTTTTTTTGAGACAGAGTCTTACTATGTTGCCCAGGCTGGTCTCGAATTCCTGGGCTAAGTGATCCTCTGGCCTCAACCGCCCCAGTAGCTGGGATTATGGGCACCTGCCATGGTTCCTTTGATATTACCTTGGGGTACATCTTCCCCAAGGAAAGTCAAAGAGAGCTTAAATAACTTGCCCAAGCACATACAGATAGTTTCCAGCACCTTTAAAGTATGAATCCCCTTAAGGGGAGAAAGAAAATGTCAATTTTATTATTTATGTTTCCCAGGGGAAGAAAAAGCTGTTTCCTGAGTCTACAGTGATGAAAACCTACTACGTGACTATGTGGGGCTCCAGTGCCTGGTAGAGAATCCTGCAACCCTTTCACATTGCCTTGGGAAACCTGTGTGTGTGCATGAAAATGATTTAAGTGTATTCAAATATGGGAGGGAAAACAAAGACGATTATACCTATTTATCTCTTTAAAAACAACTGCATAATATTAATTTATCTTACTTTGTTATTTTTCTTTTTTCTTTAATTTTATTTTACTTTAAGTACAGGCTATGTATTGTCTATTAATTACAATTTTTAAACACTGCATCACTCTATATGCCTTTACCTGGCAGGCATGTACTCATAAAGCGCTCGTTTCAGTTTAATTAATTAAGAAGATGCTCAAATCCCAAAACATGTTTGGCTCTGTGTATTTTAAACTAACAATTATTTGATTGGATTTATCTGGGTAAGTACACGAATCTTCACTCCTTTGCTAGTGCAGACCTGAGGTGAAGGTGTAAGAAATCAGAGATAATGTTAAAATTAATTTGCTCCCTCAAAATAAATTTTTATAAGTTACTATTCACATTCTTTGATATGTGCTGTCCTTGGGGAAGACAGGGGAATGAAAACAACATTTATTTAGTTCTCACTGTGCCATACACTTTACCTACTGAAGTTTGTAAGGCATTTTTCCTCCTCAGTCTCATTTGGTTTTTATGCGGCAATCTTGCACCTGGTACCTACAAGGCACAGCTGTGACATCAGAGGGGCCCAAGTTCAAATTCTAGCTCTAGAACTTAATAGCTTTGGGACCTTGGACAAGTTACATAATACCTCTAAGCCTAAGTTTATTCATAAGCTGTTGCAAAAAAGAAATAAAGTACTACAAGTAAGCATTTAGCACAGGGTCTGACATAAACATTGGCTATGATTGCAACAGGGCCAGGGCTGAGGGGAGGTGAGTGAGGCAAAATTTAAGGTGCGACATTTAAGGCAAACTCAATGATCAAGATAAATAGTATTTTAATGCAATATTTAAAAAATCAGGCCGGGCATGGTGGCTCACGCCTGTAATCCCAGCACTTTGGGAGGCTGAGGTGGGCAGATCACGAGGTCAGGAGATCGAGACCATCCTCCCTAACACGGTGAAACCCCGTCTCTATTAAAAAAAAAAAATACAAAAAATTAGCTGGGCATGGTGGTGGGTGCCTGTAGTCCCAGCTACTCGGGAGGCTGAGGCAGGAGAATGGTGTGAACTCGGGAGGTGGAATTTGCAGTGAGCCAAGATCGCGCCACTGCGCTCCAGCCTGGGCACAGAGCGAGACTCCGTCTCAAAAAAAAAAAAAAAAAAAAAAAAAATCAAAATTGGGCTGGGTGCAGTGACTCACGCCTGTAATCCCAGCACTTTGGGAGGCCGAGGTGGATGGATCATGAGGTCAGGCTATTTTAGGATTTCTGGCCACAAACTCTTTGTAGAAAGACTTCTTTATTTCAGATTTCACTCTTGAAAGTGTTATGTTGAGGGCTCACTTGTATGCTATATAAATACACCCTGAGGCTGAACTTTCCCTGTTATGTACAACTGCAATTATCTAAGTTAAGACGTAAACATTATTAAAAGGATCTTCTCAATATTTTGTGCTTTCTCTGCTGGTTGTACTTTAGGCATAACTACTTCAAAAACATTATTGCGAGATGGATTAGCCACCAATGAATTCATAAGCAAAACATAATATTTGAGAGAATGAGCCTATACATGAAGAAAAATTACTAGCAAAAACAACAGAGCCAATTGTAGTTTATTCAAAACGTATGAAAAATCTATAATTTCTATAAATAAAAGAGGAAAAAAGGAATTTTCTTAATTCTATTTTACTATTAGCAACAAAGAAACCGATAAAGAACAGCCATAAAGAGTGACGTATTGTGTTAATTGGTTATTAACCCAAGTTTTTAGTTGGTTATTCACAGAATAACGTCCCAAGGTCTGAACCCCACCTTTGTTCAATGTAAGATTTCTCTTATTCGGTGAAACATTTTATTTTTGAGACATAATACCTTTGGGACCTTTTGAGTCTCACTCTGTCACCCAGGCTGAAGTACAGTGGCGCGATCTAGGCTCACTACACCCTCTGCCTCCCAGGTTTGAAAAATTCTCGTGTCTCAGTGTCCCGAGTAGCTGGGATTACAGGCACCTGCCACCATGCCCGGCTAGCTTTTGCATTTTTAGTAGAGACGGGTTTCGCCATGTTGGCCAGGCTGGTCTTGAACTCCTAGCCTCAAGCTATCTGCCCATCTAGGCCTCCCAAAGTGCTGGGATTACAGGTGTGAGGCACCGTAACTGGCCCGATGAAACATTTTTGAAAAGGAAAATGGATATGGCAATAATGAAAGGAATGGTAGAATTTAGATTGAGTTACTCAGTGCAAAACGATGCATTGTGCTCTCCTTGTCTGCAGCCCTACAACTGTATATAAATATGCAGAGACTATTTTCCCTTATCTTAAAAACATCCACTGGCCACTACAGATCTCTATGGATATTATTTCTCACCTTCTTTACACTGCCGAACTTCTCTAAAGAGTGACCTACACCTTTCTTGCATTTCTACAGCATCCAGTCTTTTCTTAACCCACAGCAATCTGATAACTAAAAAACACTCCTGAGGGTCACCAGTGACTTTCTATTCACTAAATTTTCTTGGCTTTCTGCAGGACTTGTCCCCTGGAAACTTTCTGCCCTTGAGCCTTCTCATCTGTGTCTTCTCTGACACTGTCCTCACTCTTACATCTCTGGGTCTTCCTCATTGCTCCCTGTGGGAACCTTCTTTCTCCTGCTAGTTCCTACATATGACTGTTCCTTGTGGTCAAATTCTTTGGCACTCTATTATTGAGAATGAACAACGTGTAACACTCCTCCCAATGGATCTCGACAAACCACGGTTGAGAATTGCTGAGGACAAAACAAAGTGCTAACTCTTTATCCATCTGAAACTCACCACAGCCTTGGCCCAACTGCTTTCCAGCCTTCTTATAAACACCACGTTGACCTACACAAGCCCTTGACCTCTACCTACCTAGAGGAGCCTACTTACTATCCTTATAGATGTCGTGTGTATCTCATCTTCATGACTAATGGCAGTGCAGAGACAAAAGTAGAACCAGAGCTCAGCCGTGGAATAAATCACTTAAACAATTTCAGCCGGGCTTGGTGGCTTATGCCTGTAATCCCAGCACTTTGGGAGGCTGAGGCAGGTGGATCACGAGGTTAAGAGATGGAGGCCATCCTGGCCAACATGACAAGACCCCATCTCTACTAAAAATACAAAAATTAGCTGGGCGTGGTGGTGCATGTTTGTAGTCCCAGCTCCTCGGGAGGCTGAGGCGGGAGAATTGCTTGAACCCGGGAGGCAGAGGTTGCAGTGAGCCGAGATCACGCCACTGCACTCCAGCCTGGCGACAGAGCAAGACTCCGTCTCAAACAAACAAACAAGCAAACAAACAAAGCAAAACAAAAAAATTCCCACAGTGGACTGGGTGCAGTGGTTCACACCTGTAATCCCAGCACCTGGGGATGCCGAGGCCGGCGGATCACCTGAGGTCAGGAGTTCGAGACCAGCCTGGCCAACATGGCAAAACCCCCTCTCTACTAAAAATAAAAAAGTTAGCTGGGCATGGTGGCGTACGTCTGTAGTCCCAGCTACTCGGGAAGCTGAGACAGGAGAATCACCTGAACCCAGGAGGCAGAGGTTGCAGTGAGCCAAGATCGAGAGCCTCTGCATTCTAGCCTGGGTGACAGAGTGAGACTCTGTCTCAAAAGAAAGAAGAAAAATGAATTTCCATGGTGTCTAGCATAATATACTGAACAAATTATTTGTATTTAAATAACTGCTTTGTAAATAGTATTACAGCCATCAAGTATATAGAATTGTTCTCTTTGATAATTTTTTTGGTAATCCTTGCAGCATAAAATAATTTGTGATAAATCATGGCTTTTTAATTGAAGTAATGCAAGAAAATCTCCATCTCCTGTAATGAGTTACAATCAAAGTGATTCTGGAAAAAATGGATATTTCGTTGCAATTTAGCCTACAAAAATAGGGAAAGAGTTGGAAAGAAACTAGTGTAGGCTTAATCATTGTGCATTAAATTTTGTCCCCTTGGGATTCAAAACAAATCACTTAAGAAAAAAGATAAATAAGAAGTGGGAAGTCATGGGCCTGATTCAAGACCACTTTGAAAGCCCGGTTCTTACTGAGAAATTCATGTTTTGAAATAATTATTAATACAATTATTTGTCTTATTTGCTAACTGTTATGATTTTTAAAAAGGAAATGAAAGTCAGCCTAAATAGAAGGTGCCTACATATGGCAAGAGCCCCTCACCTTCCAGGTCCTCTCCTTCCCTACCTTTGAGAGTGAGGGAGTCTTGCAGCAAATGAAAAATCAAAGTTCAGTTTTGATGGCCAGAAGTAAGAAGGCACTTCCTCTGTTTTATAGGTGTTCCATTCTGAGGAATATTAGGATCTACTATCACTCTCCTAGGAAGCCAGGAAGGGGTGCCTTGAGGCTCTGGCACCTCAAGTAGTAGAGGGAGTAGGGTCAGTATTGGGGTGGGCGGGGAAAGGGTAGAGTAATAAGAAGAGGAAGAAACAAGACAGAGGGGACGTTATGTGTCCATCTGAGATGCTCTCCATATGCACTGAAAGGCACCCCGATGGAGACAGGCAAGAAATATTTTGAACCTTTTTCTAGACTCTTGGTGATGGACTCTAGGTTTGAATGGGTACTTTCTGCTAACACATGCACACCTTTCCAGATGTTGTGGCCAGTTACAGCCAGAAGGTCACTGGGAAGCAGAGTGACAGTGTCATCACCATGACATAGGATCCAATTCAATATGTATTTACCTAGTACATACCATGCACCAGGCAGTGGGAATCTAACCGAGAAAGGAAAGAATAATCATTGAGCTTTTGCAGCACTAAAGAGATGCTGTTATACCAGATCTACACATCACAAGACTCAAGGCCATTACTCTCCTGGTCACAACGGCAGTGTTAACATGTGTCTGTGATTATTTGATGAATGCTCGTCAGGCTCTAAGCTCTGTGGGATCAGAAAGTGATGTGTCTCTTTTTCATCTTCACCATTGTGTCTCAGGGCTAAGCATAGTTTCTAGCACTTGGCAGCCATCCAATAGATACTGTTGGCTGAATGAATGTTACAGATGCGTTAGCGCTTTGTGGAAGTTATTAGCCCGTTTTACTGGTGAGGAAACAGTCGCAGAATACCCACAAATATTTCAAAGATCACACACAAATAACAGTCCTTAATACTAATAGCCCCTAAATAATAATGCTGCCGGAGAGAGAATTCCAAAACCGCTCAGCCGAATCCACAGTTCGGGCTCTTCTACCATGTCGGGCTCCTTCCCCTGGGTTGGAAGGGCTCAGGCTGGGGCGGGGTGGGGGAGACAGACAGGAGCCCCTGTGCTGGGTAAGTACCAGTATCTGCGAAGGAGGCACGAACCAGATGAGGCAAAGGTCGTGTCCCCCGCAACTCCGCTGAAATCCTGCCCACCGAGAGGAAGCACAATTATGAGTGAATGGGCTTGTGCGTCCTGATGAGAATCCAAAATCGAGAGGAAGGTGGAAAGAGCCAGGACGCGCTGGGAGGGGATGAAGCTGACGGGAGAAGAAAGGGCTGGGAAGAGGAGGGGTGTTCGGGGTTCTTCTTCTCGTCGTGTCTGCTGCGATGAGACACGATCCTGGGTCCCAACTGCAGGTGTCAAGGCGATTCAGTAAATGACACATGGCAGCCCCGGAGGGTTCGTTCACCTGCACAGGTGGGGCGTCACCGTGGCCTAATCAAATAACTTCTCCCCAATTTGAGGTGGGGCGGGGGAGAGAACTATTTTTGTGGGAAAGCGGTTTAGTAAATAAGGTATATTGGGGCTCTAGAGAGAATTGCAGTGCCACCACCATGGCTATGATCTCCGTCAGGCACCATTTCAACACCTCTCCAAATCAACCATCCCTACAACAGGATTTATTTTCCAATGAGCGAAATCCCCGCCCGCCAACTCCAAGGCGCTTGGATGCGAGCTCTGTGGGAAACAGCAGCGACGAGCAGAGGCTATTTTGGGTGTGGGAACGAGGAGGGAGGAGGGGCGGCGCCGCCAGGCTGGGCGCGGGTGCGCGGGGAAAGCCTCCAGCTCGGGCTGCCACGGCAACCGCGTCCAGGCAACGCGCCCGGAAGCGGCTCCGGCGGCGCGCGGCGGCTCGCGCCCCCCGGGAGCCGCGAACCCGGCCGGGCCGCGCGCCGGGCCAGGCGGCAGGCGCGCGCTGATTGGACGGCGCTCCCCGCGGCGCGGGCCCGCAGCCGGGCGCCCTGCTCAGCCAGCGCCAGCGGCCGCCGCACCCAGCCGCGCCGGCGAGGACATGGGCAGCCGCGGCGCGCCCACCCCCCGCGCCGGTGAGTGCCGCGCTCTGGGAACCCCGGCCGGGCGGCCTCTGGGGCTGGGCGGCGGGAGCTCTCTGGGACGGCCGGTGACCTTGGGGCAGCCTCTCAGGAGATAGGCGTGGGGTAGAGAGAGCTGCGCGTGGCCCATGTGACATGCCGCGGGCGAGAGGGTTAACTGCATGTGACGCGAAGGGCTGAAGTTGGGCACAGAGCGCAACTGGCGTTGCATTTTCGCGGGGGCTGCATGCTAGCGAACCAACCGACGCCCGGAGGGACTGTTTGGGGGAGCTGGGGTGGTGCACGGATTGCCAGGGGTAAAGGCGAGTCAGCCGACCCACTACTCAGAGTGAGTGACCTTGGGTAGGTTAACCATCTGCTCTTCCGCCCCTTCGCTTTTTCTCATCTTTCAAACGAGAGGCTAGGGGGTCTTTGCAGTTCCAGAATGCTGTTGTGCCATCCTACTGCGAGCTGAGAAAGAGCCCTAAAGTACGGTTCTGCAGGTACCGGAGATGCAAAGCTTAACCATGTTTATTCTAGGAGGGGTTTCCATTAATTGGCTCCTAAAGTGGTAAGAAATGTTATCGTTGTCTGGAAGATTATGGAGCAAGCAGTCGGTGGTCCGGAGAATGGCTTCTTAAGATGCACAGGTTAAAACCTCTTTGGTGCCCTAAAGACATGAACAAAATCAGGATTAATGCTCCTAAGTTCTTCTTTCCTGTAGTTAATCTAATAGGAAACTTTGTATTTGAACAGGTAAAATCAAAACCCAATCGTGGCAGGCAGCAGCAAATTAAGTGAGTCATTTCTTCAATGTGCACGAGGTTTATGTGTGTGTGTGCGCGCGTGTGTGTGTGTGCGTGTGTGCGCGTGCGCTCTCGTCCTCAGCTCAAAGTCTGCGTACGGCAGTGTTGGAAATTATTTCATAGGAGTAACCAGAAATAATGCTAGAATGATTCGAATCCACAAAAGTGCAGCTCTCTCAGAAGCAAGGGCAAACATTTGCAACTTGCTTTTAAAATAAGAGGTTTGTAGAGTAAATATATTCTTTATTGAGAACCATCCCCAGATTTGCACATTGTATCTGCCTTCTGGGCCCTGTCACTGAATGCGCGTGTGTGTATGTGTGTGTGTGTGTGTTGGGGGGGGCGGGTTCCTTGGCACTTATAATATTTTTAGCGTTGACTGGTACTAAAAAGGACACTTAGGCCCCCTTCCATATCCACTGTCTATAAACTTCCCTCTTCCACGGAGGGGAATGGAGGACGTACCCTCTCACAGGTACCCCTGGTTGCCCCTTCTGACTTTCTACTTAAAGCTACCCTTGATTTTCATTCGAATCTGATTTCATCTGTATAAGAACGTGGGTTGGGAAGACACAGTTTCCAATGCTAATGAATAAGCTTCTGCAAGCTTGTTTACCTGAGGGCTTAATAACCTTTAATGTGTTACATGTTAGAAATCTGATAGCATACGGATAGAAAAATACTTAGTGTCCAGGAATTCAACCATGAAGCCCTACCAACCATTTAATGAGCCACACTACATGGTGCTTGGAAACGTTATTAGCGCATTATTCAGCCTCCTCTCTCTGCAGGCCACTAGGCTGTGTCACTCCGACCTGGCTTTAAATGTCTTGTTTCTTGTATCCTGCAGCCACACTCTTGCATTTTCATTTTTTATGTAGCTGAACCCACCTTCTCTCCCGAGCACCAGAGCCTGAGTGAACAACTTGCCGCAGAAGAGCCTTCTCTAGTGTCCTCCACCGTCTCACCAGAGTAGGGATGCTCTTCCGCTTCTCCTTAGTGCTGCCTCCAAACCAATGCACCATCACCAACCAAGTCTCCTCTCGGAAGGTAGTGCTATCTGCTTGTGCCCCTACCCTCCTTCTTATCTTCTGGTCCAGTGCTTCCCAAACCTGGGGGCTCCTCAGAATCACCTGGGACATTTTGAAAAACTTGGTCTTTAGACTCTCTCAGATATACCAAATTAGAATCATTGGGGGCTGGGGCAGGGTGGGGGAGTAAGACCTAAAAATCCCTACTTTAAAAACAAACCCCAAAAGGAGGAGCAGCAGGAGACGATGAAGAGAAGGAACAGAACTCTCTGGGCAATTCTGATGTACACCCAGGTACAGTGGGGATCTCTTCACTTGATGCCCCAAAAAAGGGATAAACAAACAAAAAACGTGAGCAGCCAGCTTCATTCTCTTCTCTGCTTTGTCTCTTGCCAGTGACTTTGGGTTTTGTGTTGAAGCTCTCTTAATTCTTTGACCTTGAAGTTCCTCAACATCTATCCCAGTAGCCTCAGTTTCCACTTTGCTTCAACTAACATCTTGGACTTGTTCAGTCTTGAACAAGACTAAACCTTTGAGATCTTGAACTCGGACTTCAGCCTACTTAGCTGATACTACCCACATACTGCTCTGGATTTTAACCATCGCTGAGGACCCTGGTCCCTTAAGCACTTGCTGTTCCAATCCTTCAGCCCCTCTGTGACTCTGTTTCTCCACTTGGGGCATGTAAGTTGCTGGCCATTTCCATTCTGTCTGGGATCCCAGAATCCTTTGTTTCAATGTGTTGGGCTTCTTATATTTCAGTCCTCAATCCAAAATCACCCCCGCTTGCCTGCTTATTCTTCTCCCAGCCTGCCACATTATCTAGGAGGAAGTCACAAAGACCTTTGGACAGGTTCCATTGAAAATTTACGTTGGCTCTAATTTCACCAGATAAATTCCCACTTTACCTTCCTCAAGGCCCCCAAGCATCTTTCTCTTCCTCTCTTTGTCCTTCTTTATTTCGTCTTTCTCAAAGGAAGAAAATGTCTACAAGTCCCTTCCCCAAGGTTAATCCACATGCAATCCACACTCTTCATTCTCTGGACTTGATTCCTTCCTTCTCACCTCTTTTGGGAACTGGCTGCATTTGTTATTCCTCTTCTCCAGTGTCTTTGGTCCTTCCCTACTCTGCCCCAACCCTTACTCCACCATATGGGTCATCCTTCCCATAAGAAACTCTGGTGGGGTCCTCGCTCTGTCCAGTAGAATTTTCTGCGGTGAGAAAAATATTTTATATCTGCACTGTTCCGTATGGTAGTCACTGCCCACATGTGGCTCTTAAGCACACGAAGTGTGGCTAGTATGACTGAGGAACCAAGTTTTCCATTTTAGTAAATTCTAAACTAACTTAAATCCAATTGAAGTAGTCACATAGGGCCAATGGCTATCGTATGGGGTAGCACTGTTTTTGACCCTGCTACTCTGTTGAACTGTCCTCAGGTTCTCTTCTTTGTCCACTCACCTATTCTGGTTTCACCCTCATCTTTCTGTTGAAACTGCTTCCTCAGAGGGCTCTGGCATAGGTGTCCTGGCTGCAGATCTGAGGCCTTTGCCCTGGCTTTCCCTTCCTTGGTCCCTGCCCTGCGTCTCCTGGCAGCAGTCAGCCCTTTGCGCCTCTGTATCTCCCTGTCTCCATGACACTGGTTGTCCAGGCCCACTCGAACCTCATTTGTTTCCTTTTTCTTCCTGGCATGTAGACACGGGGATGCTGTGAGATCCTGTCCTTGGTCTTTCCTTTCCTTTTCCTCCTCCCTTCCCCCTGCCCCAGCCTCACCTCTGAGCCCGCAGTAGTATTTAAAGAGCACTGGGCACTTTCCCCGCGCCTCACTGGGCGCCCTCGCCCACTTGTACTACTTCCTCTAATCCTCACTCCAACTCTGTGAGGCAGAGACTCTGATTACTCCCGTTATGTAGGTGCAGAAATTGAAATGGAGGGAGATTTGAATAACTTAAAGAAAACACTGCTTTCAAGGAGCAGACCTGGGAAAGGGACTCCACCAGTCTGACCTTAGAGCCCCACTTTTAACCCTGTTTACCCAGGGCCCCCAGGTACTTCAAATCTATATTTTGGGCCCTGAGCTGTTGCCCACATTTCACTCAGAATGTAATACTCAGAAGCCTGACTGCTTTGTCTCTACCTTGTCTTCCTGGCTTCTGTAATCATTTTTCCCCTTTTTAAACCTTTTACTTTGAATAATTCAAATTTATAGAAAAGTTGCAATAACTGGCCAGGTACAGTGGCTCATGCTTGTAATCCCAGCACTTTGGGAGGCCAAGGCGGGTGTATCACCTGAGGTCAGGAGTTCCAGACCAGCCTGGCTAACATATAGTGAAACCCCATCTCTACTAAAAAAATACAAAAATTAGCTGGGCATGGTGGTGAGCGCCTGTAATCCCAGCTACTCAGGAGGCTGAGGCAGGAGAATTGCTTGAACCCAGAAGGTGGAGGTTGCAGTGAGCTGAGATCGCGCCACTGCACTCCAGCCTGGGCGACAGAGCGAGACTCCGTCTCTCAAAAAAAAAAAAAAAAAAAAAAGAAAAGAAAAGAAAAAGAAAAGTCGCAATAATTAAAATAATTCCCAACATACCTTTCAACCAAATTCTCTAAATATTAATTTTTACCACACTTGTTTTACCTTTCTCGCTCTATCCTATTCTCTCATTCTCTCTCTGTGTGTCTGTGTATCTGTGTGTTTATTCACACACATATGTATGAACACACATATGTATACACACACACAAGTGCATATGTTGTCATTTTCCCTGAACCATTTTAGAGTGAGTTGTAGACATGATACACCTTTGTCCACCTAAATACTCGTGTATATTTCCTTTTAAAAAGGACATTTTCTTGTATAAGTGCCAAAATCAGAAAATTAGCATTAAGAGCTATTATCTAATCAACAGGCCTTATTCATGTATCATCTATTGACCTAATAATGTCCTTCATGGCAAAAGAGGAGAAAAAAAGATCTTTATTGTTTTATTTTGTTTTTGAAATGGAGTCTTGCTCGGTTGCCCAGGGCGGAACGCAATGGCACAATCTCGGCTCACTGCAGCCTCCGCCTCCCTGGTTCAAGCAATTCTCCTGCCTCAGCCTCCCGAGTAGCTGGGATTACAGGCACCCACCATCATGCCTGGCTAACTTTTGTAATTTTGTAGAGACAGTGTTTCACCACGTTGGCCAGGCTGGTCTTGAACTCCTGACCTCAGGTGATCTGCCTGCCTTGGCCTCCCAAAATGCTGGGATTATGGGTATGAGCCACTGCACCTGGCCAAAAAGATCTTTTAAAAAAAAGATGTTTTCTGGTCCAGGATCCAGTCCAGGATGTGTTACATTCCTTGTCATGCCTCTTTCATTTCCTCTAATCTGGGACCGTTTCCCAGTCATTCTGTCTCTCGTGAACCTTGACACGTTTGAAGGGTGCAGGTCAGTTATGTAGTAGAATGCCCTGTAGCTTGGCCTTGTCTGATGTTTCTCATGAGTAGTGGAGTGTGTCCCTTTCAGTGCATTCCTTGATGACGTTAGTGCCATCATCCTCTTCTCTGTAACCAGAGCTTGAACACCTGGGGTTATTCTGACTTTCTGTTCCTTGCACTCCCACATCCAGACAGTCATTGAGTCAAGTTGAGGTGTCCCCTGCACAGTCTCCCTCCATTCGTCCTTTCCTTTCTGTGCCTACTGTCTCTCTCCTGTTTGGGGCAGTTATGGAGTGAAGGCCTGTGCACACTGGCCTCAATCGACTGTTCCAGCCTAATTGGCCGCTGCTTAGCAACAGGAACCCAAGGGTCCCATAGTCCTCACCAATCAGCATTTCCTCTGCTTTGCCCCGTCTCCACCCCTTCTCATGCTGCTCTGAATTCACATCATTTACCCCTTTGAATATCAGACTCAAATGCCTGCTCCTCAAGTGCTTTTCCTGATGGCCCAGTTCAAACTGATCCTGCCTTCTGCCCAGTGGCACTGACCAGCCCCTCCATTCTTGCACGGTGGCTTGCTAGTGTTATTTCCCTGCATAATGGGAGTTCCTGCAGCGCAGGGGCTGTGTCTTGTTCAGCACTGTAGAGGCTCAATGAATATTTGTTGACTGGACTAAATTATTTGATGAAATCATTAAGCAAGTGCACAGAATAACCGTGGAGCTGTCTGCTAGCACGTGGTGTGCGATGGTGGATGTGAGACCCATGCCTTACCCGAAGAGTCAGGTGGGTGTTGGCTCAAAATAGGATCTTTTTAGTAAAACCGTGGATAATTTGAGAAGGCATTTTCATGTTGTAAGTGGAAAAAATGATTCTTCCCTGATGACATCTTAACGTCGTGTGTATGTGTCAAGACAAAGAAAGAGCATATTTGATTTTTCAAAAAAAGAGTAGAGAAACTAACATAGCATATTAAAAATGGCCCATCTAGTTCTTCACACGCCAAATGAGCAGCTGAATGTGAGAGGAGTAGTTTCTCCAGCTCCCTTCCTCCCTGGGAGACCTGGAGCCACCTGCCTCCTCTGGCTGTCTGGCCTCCTCTCTCTCCTCTGCTGTCCTTCAGCACTGCCTCCCCACTCTACTCACTGTTTCTCTCCTCCCGTATTTCACTCTTTCTGTCTGTTACTCTCTCTTAGTAACTCTTCTACTGTCCTCCCTCTCCCTATTGACTGTTTTATTTTATTTTTTGACTTATTGGATGTGGTTTTATGTTCCATGAGTTTTTCCATATAAAAGCAGGTGATTTTTGCAAAAAGAGAAAACCCAATTGCTTTTTATGCCTTGGTGGTCTTTTGTCGACTCCTTCCATAGCTCAGTGGTTCTTGTTATTTTAAAAATGTAGCTATCAGTGATAATAAAATGGTTTATCGGAAGGAACATAATTACCTCTTTCTGGTCCACCAGGAAAATTACTAGGAATGTGCTGGTTGATAAATATCAAAAAGCCTAAAATTTTCAGTTGCTACCAAGGGAACATTGGTACTTGAGGTTGAAAGTCAGATTTCAGTGTGGTGAAAACTCAGATTTCCGGGTGGCGAGCTGCTGAGCTTACTGGGAACTTCAGTCTTCCTCCCTGAAGGTGTCTGCGTTTGCTGACTGGTTGTCACCCCCTGCCCCACTTCAGAACGCGTTTGTGAAGAAGACATTCTCTCTGGATGAAGCAACTACAGAAGTGCAGGCAAGACATTGTGCTGCCGTCGCTGAGTGTGGCTTAAATAAAAAGCATGTTTATGTGGGAGAGAATGTGTGGGGGTTGCTTTCGCATTATGGAATTCTTAAAATTGTTGAACCGGGAAGATGTTATTCAGAAACCCCTGGTGGCTTCAGCTTGCTTTTTGTGTATTTCAGGTTTCTTTTTTCCCCCATTTTTAATTATCTCTGGAAAAACTCAAGAGTCCTCCCCTGCTCCTAAAATAGTTATAAAATTAATGTGCTGTACTCAAGTCGTTACTCCACGTAAAAGAGTAAAAGACTCCCATATTAAGCAGAGAAGTCCAGCCTCCTCTCTCTGAGTGTGTGAAAAAGGGCATAGACTGGAGACTGGATCTTTCTTCTAAGCCTAAATTCTTAGCTTTTCAGCCAGCGATTTATAGATGGTAGAACCAAAAGTCACCACCAGCATTCTGTCTGTATGAGAGCACACAGAATCGTGCTTTCCCCTGCTAGTTTAGTAGGTAGAGAGTTTACATGGGCTTTTAATAATATTTTTTCTCTTCTAGCTGTTGCACTTGGCAGGTTCCTTTTTTAACATTTGGTAATGTATCTTTTCTAATGCTAGAAAGAAAAGTTGCCAAATATTGCTGTTGATCATAATAAAACACCCTAAAAGTAATGACTTCTTTTTGGGTGTGAGTGCCCGGGCCCACTGCAGGGTGACCTCCAGCCTTCCGCCGAGCTCACAGCTGGAAGGGCACCTTCAGTCAGCAATCGATATGTCATTTGGGTAGAGCAACTCAACAATGAAAACAGTGGGTCTTCCCAAATTAGAAAAACAAAAAGGTGAATGAACAAATATGTATGAGTGTCCGTGAAGAGGCGTCGTGTTAGGCTTCGTGGAGATTACAGGTTCATGTAGGATGTGGTTTCCGCTGCCCTACGGCAGCTCAGCTGGGGAGACATAATCCAGAAAGGTTCAAATAACAATAGAAGATTTAAATAGCATTTCAAAATAGCTGTTATTAATAGAGGAGAACAAAAACCAATCTGTTTTTGCAAGGGTTCTCCTAAAAATGTTAACATCATTCTAAGCTGTGGAGAGTGGATTGAACATCAGAGACCAGTCATTGGGTTCTAGAGGTCTGTCTGTAAATCTGTCTGGATCTGACAGAGGCCATGTGTGTATTGCAGATTGGCCGCCTCCCTTCAGTTATGCAGAAATCTCTGCACTGGCTGGAAGAGCACTGTCAAATGTTGTAAGCATTCTAAAGTTCACCTTTGTGGGTCAGAAACACATCACCCCTCACCCTTCTACCTCCAACAGAATTCCCTTTATGAATGTGATAGAATGGAGGGGAAAGAATGCAAGTCTTGCTAAGTGGACTCAAGGCCATTTTCACAAAGAGCACTGAAAATATCTGCTCTGGGACCCCATGGAGGGACTTGCAGTTTTCCTGGAACCTCGAGTTTTTGGAATACTGTGCTGGCATCACTCCAGAATCACTGGACCTGTACAACATGCTGATTCCCTGATGCACAGGCGATCCAGGCTTCATTCCCAGCTTTGATGAGAGCACCAGCCTCAAGCCTTGTTCTGTGCCCACAAGGAAATGAAAGTAAAAATTGATAGCAAACTTCTTTTAACTAAACCATAGTCTTTAAAGCCCAGAATCAGGCTTGTTTCTTGGTTTTGGTAGCTGTAAATGAGCAATTTATGCTTTTTGTTGTTATTGTCATTCACTGGTTCATTCTTTTCTTCAAGAAGGTTTTATTTAAATTTGTGTAATTGTGAAAATAGCACACTTGTTAAAGTATTTTGAAAATAAGGAAAAGCAGAATAAAAATGTACCCAGTGCCACTATTTACATTTCAGTTTATTTCTTTCCACTGTTTTAAAAGATATGACTATACTAATACTTCTAGTCCTAGAATCCTTGCCTCACCCTCTCCAAGATGGTTGTAGGATTTCTGGGTTGCTGAGGTAATGTACAGTTGAAAAAATGTCAAGATGTGTCAGGTAAGCTATATCTGCTGTTGGCCTAAGGACAGATATTTTGGTGTAAGGATGCCTAATGTCTTAGAGACCGTGTAAGACCTCGATGACTTACCCAGCTTTCCCCAGATCGGCCTCACAACCATAATGCCATGTGCGTTCCTCAATGTGCTAGCCCAGTATATTTCTTCCAAGGACTGCTCAGCTGTTCTAAAAAATTCTGGTCAGGGGTGGTGAGAGATGAGCTGCCTATGAAGGAGACAGAGTGTGCTTATTTGCACTGTTTTCATTTCCTTTGCACATAATTTGGAGGCACTTCCTCAATTGGGACAGTGTGGTTAATTTGTGGAAAGCTCCTGCTATTAGCATTGGTCTTTCCTTTGGCCTTGTCAATCTAGATACATTGGCTTGGGAAATTAGGCATGCTGACCTCAGTTGCACAGCCCTCTTCCTCCTTCTTTTACCAAAGCACATGATTTAGCCAGATAACAACTATCCACACCACAGAGATAATTCCAGCAATTTGGCAGGGGGAAAGTTGGTAGGAGGATGAGTGAAGGGAGGGGAGGGGAAAACAGCATTAAAGGTAGCCTCAAGACCATGGAGGCATCTAGGCATGAAGGGAGGAGGCCTCAGATACAGGAGCGAAGGAAGGCAGATAATTGGTGGCCTGGGCACTCAGCAGGGCAGTGGTTGCCTTCTCCTTGACTTTGAGTCTCCTGCCTCATCCATCTTTGCTGGCCCATGGTCAAGCAGTCTTCTCACTGTGGGGAGAAAGGGAAGAGGGAGGAGCAAGAGGAGTAGGATGTGGTAATGGTGGCAGTGGTAGTGGTAGTAGATAACTTCAACATTTGCAGGGTTGGCTGGGAGTGGTGGCTCAGGCCTGTAATCCCAGCATTTTGGGAGTCCTAGGTGGGCAGATCATGTGAGGTCAGGCTTTTGAGACCACCATGGACAACATGGCGAAACCCCGCCTCTACTAAAAATACAAAAATTAGCTGTGTGTGGTGGCATGCACCTGTAATCCCAGATACTCAGGAGGCTGAGGCAGGAGAATCACTTGAACCCGGGAGGTAGATGTTGCAGTGGGTGGAGATTGTGCCACAGCACTCCAGCCTGGGCCACTGAGTGAGACTCTGCCTGAAAAAAAAGAAATTGCAGTGTCCTTTAAACTCATGAGTCAAAATGTTTGCACCATCTAAACTGTGGTGCCTTGGAGCAAAGTGCTGGCTTCCAGGCCCTGGTTGTAGTTCTAAATAATGTGTACTATTGTGCATTGTAGAATGTTTAGTAAGATAGATAGATAGGTAGATAGATAGATAGATAAAGCATACTATAAATCCACCTTGGTGGGTTTTTTTTTTCTTTTTTACCTTAACATTATATAGCAAGGACATAAATACATAAATATATTCTTAGCTGTTATTTTTTGTTTTTTAGTTTTTTTAGAGACAAGATCTAGCTAGCTCTGTTGCCCAAGCTGGAGTGCAGTGTCATGCAGTGTTGAACTCCTGGGCTCAAGCAATCCTGTTGCCTTAGGCTCCTGAGTATCTTGGACTACAGCTGTTCGCCACCATGCCTGGCTAATTTATTTTTTATTGTTATTTTGTTGTAGAGACGGGGGCATTGCTATGTTGCACAGGCTGGTCTTGAACTCCTGGCCTGAAATGATCATCCTACTTCAGCCTCTAAAAATGTTGGGATTACAGACATGTAATCCATCATGCCTGGCCAGCTATTGATATTCTTTTGAGTGGATGTGCTGTGTTCTAACTAACTGCTCTTCTATTGTTGGACATTTATCCAATAGCCATTTATAGAAATGTTGCTATCTAGTTAAGATCACATAGTATTAAGTATGGATAAAATGCTTTAAGAGTAGAGATTTCATGGAGATTAGTTACTTTTGCCATGGAATTCCAATTTCATGGTCCTAGAATGCTTAGGGCAAGAGTGAGTTCTGTACATGCCCTGGAGAGTCTAACAATTTGACTCCCCTTTGAACTCTTGGTTTACATATTTTTTTTAAGTGGGGGCAAGAAGAAGTAATTTATTTCTTTTAAATTGATACAGTGAAAAATTAAGTTTAAGAAGTAAAAGATATGTTTAGTCAAAGCCCCAAGTATTTTACCTATTCCTCTCTATTTCTCACTTAGAAAGAAATATGACCCTGATTTGGTATTTGTCATTTCCACATTCATCTTGAGATGTTACAGATTTGGCATATTATTTGGCATGTTTTAAACCTTTAAAAAATGACATTGTAGGCCGGGCACGGTGGCTCACGCCTGTAATCCCAGCACTTTGGGAGGCCAAGGCGGGCGGATCACGAGGTCAGGAGATCGAGACCATCCTGGCTAACACAGTGAAACCCCGTCTCTACTAAAAAACACAAAAAATTAGCCGGGCGTGGTGGCGGGCGCCTGTAGTCCCAGCTACGCGGGAGGCTGAGGCAGGAGAATGGCGTGAACCCGGGAAGCGGAGCTTGCAGTGAGCCGAGATCGCGCCACTGCACTCCAGCCTGGGCGACAGAGCGAGACTCTGTCTCAAAAAAAAAAAAAAAAAAAAAAAAAAAAAATGACATTGTATAGTGTTCTTATCCTTCTTCAGCTTACTTTTTTCACTTAATATATTTGTGAGATTCATTCACATTGGGACTTGTAATTATAATTCATTTCTTTTTCTCTTTCTTTCCTTTTTTTTTGTGAGACAAAATCTCACGCTGTTGCCCAGGCTGGAATGCAGTGATGAGGTCACTGCTCACTGCAGCCTTGACCTCCCCAGGATCAGGTGATCCTCCCACCTCAGCCTCCTTGGTAGCTGGGACAATAGGTGTGTGCCACCACACCCAGCTAATTTTTCTTTCTTTCTTTTTTTTTTTTTTTTAATGTAAATGGGGTTGCCATGTTGCCCAGGCCCAGTCCTGGGTTCAAGCCATCTGCCGCCTCGGCCTCCCAAAGGGCTGGGATTACAGGCCTGAGCCACTGCACCTCGCTGCTAATTCATTTATTTTCAATACTATTTGTTCTTTCATTGCATGAATATATCATAGTTTATTCTTCCATTTGCCTAATGATGGGCGTTCATTCCCCACTCCTCACTTTTTTGCTATTAGAAAGAATGCTACCTTAAGTATTCTTGCAAATGTCTTCTTAAGAGCACATTTGGAAAGTTTTTGAGGATTTTTTAATAGTAGAATTATTAGGTCATTAGGTTTGTGCATCTTCAGCTTTACTAGATATTCAACATTGCTTTCTAAAGTGGTAGTATCAATTCACACTCCCATCTTGTGCTCCTGTTGTTCCATATATATTCTTGTCAATACTTGATCTTTTCATACTTGATTTTTGCCAGTCTGATGTGATGAAATGGTATCTCTGGGGGATTTTATCTCTTATGGCAAATTAGATTTATTTTATAATTTGCTTCCATTGTCCAGAACAGAGCCAATGTTGCATATATTAAGAACAACAACAACAAAACTTATTCAAGTTCTTACCCTTCAATATTCTTTTAAGATTTGCCAAGCAAGACAGCCACTTGGAAATCCATTTAGACTTAAAACTTAGATTATAAAGTAAATATTCTATTTCCAGTGAACAGAATTACACCCTATGTAGTTTGGTATTAGAACCCCAGCTGACTCCAACTGCCCACTGAGTACACGTGACTGTCAGTTGGCTGGTCTCTGGATGCTGTATTCTCTTGGTTAGAAGCAAGTCACAGGTCCCACCCACACTCAAAGGGAGAGGACCATGCAAGGTGTGAACACCAAGAGACAAGGATGGTGTTGTGGGGGCACCCTATGAGTCTGTCCACCACAGCAGGGACCATGTTTTGAT
Organism: Homo sapiens; assembly: GCF_000001405.40. NCBI lineage: Eukaryota > Metazoa > Chordata > Mammalia > Primates > Hominidae > Homo > Homo sapiens. The sequence continues at coordinate 59,451,076 of NC_000015.10, forward strand.
CATCATGTTTCAGCATCATGGGTTCCAGTGTCATGGGTTTAGATCAGCATTGTTAGGGTGATCAGAGATTATCAGGGGGCTGACTTACCTAGTCTGGTTCCCATCAGAGGTGAAATTCCAATATATTAATTCACACCAAGAAAAGTAGCTGGCAGATAGACTTGGGCTTGTGTTTGCCGATTCCTGTGTACTCTCCTTTTATGCACAGCTATATGGGAAGCTAAAAGATGTGGTTGGTGAGTATGGACTCAGGGCAAGGAGTGAATAGGATTATCTTTACGGCTAATGTCACTGGACCATGGGAGCCTAATGCATCCCCCTCTATTATAGAGCTTTTCCTGCTGCCCTGGATTCCTAGGTCCTTGAAAACACCAATAATTTTTTTTTTTTTTTTGAGATGAGTCTCACTCTATCCAGCCCAGGCTAGAAGGCAGTGGTGTGATCTGGGCTCACTGCAACTTCTGTCTTCTGGGTTCAAGTGATTCTTCTGCCTGAGCCTTCCGAGTAGCTGCGATAACAGGTGTGGACCATCACGCTCAGCTAATTTTTGTATTTTCAGTAGAGATGCAGTTTCCTCATGTTGGTCAGGCTGGTGTTGAACTCCTGACCTCAAATGATCCGTCCACCTCGGCCTCCCAAAGTGCTGGGATTATAGGCATGAGCCACCACATCTGGTCACCAATACATTTTGTCTCTTCAAGCTCTGCTTTTAGTAGACATGCTGTGTATACCATCCTCCTTTCTGGTTGCACATTCATTCTCAAGCCAGAATATAATTCAGTTGATTATATTCAACAATATGAAATTACTTCAATTCAGTTATCTCTCCTGGACATTCACTCACCCAGCAAACATTTACTGATTAGCTCTGATGTGCCAAGTGCTTGGGATATAGCTGTGGACAACACAGGTCCTCATGGAGCATGCAGCATAGAGCCAAAGATGGATATTGAACTAGTATGATGAGTGTTTGCCGAATTTCAGTAATGAGTGTCAGCAGTGTCTTGGATCATTTTTGTGGATCAGCTGTTCCCATCTCTTCCTGATTCTTCAGATTTCGTTGTCAAAGTCTCATCTTAACTTGAATTTTGCAGTGTTCCCATTGGCTTTCTACACTACCTGCATCATTTTGTAGAACAAAGGAAAGGAAAATAAGATACCAAAAAGCTGAACTGATCCATGATTATAAACGCTATTTCAGTGAAAATGTCCATCATTAAGGGGCTGGCTAACAATTATGGGAGATCCATTCAGTGGACTATCACACAGGCATTAAAGATGGTGATGTAGGCTGAGCGTAGTGGCTCACGCCTGTAATTCCAGCACTTTGGGAGGCCAAGGTGGGAGGATTACTTGAGGCTGGGAGTTTGAGGCCAGCCTGGGCAATATAGTAAGACCTCATCTCTGTAAAAAATTGAAAAATTAGCCACGTATGGTGGTAAGTGCCTGTGGTCCCGGCTAATCTGGAGGCTGAGGCAGGAGGATTGCTTGAGCCTAGGAATTGGAGGCTGCAGTGAGCTATGACCAAGCCACTGTATTCTAACCTGGGTGACAGAATGAGACAGTGTCTCACACAAAAAAATTTTTAATGGTGATGTATATCTTTATATATTGACGTGGAATCATGCTCATGATGTAGTGTCAATTCGAAAATGCAGCATACACATAGTCTATGAAGTATTATTATATTATATTATTTATTTAGAAACAGGATCTCACTCTGTCACCTGAGCTGGAGTACAGTGGCATGATCTCAGGTCACTGCAGCTTCCAACTTACCAGGCTCAGGTGGTCCTCCTACCTTAGCCTCCTAAGTAGCTGGGACTGCAGGCATACACCAACATGCCTGGCTAATTTTTGTATTTTTTGTAGAGATAGGATTTTGCTGTGTTGCCCAGGCTGGTCTTGAACTCCTGGGCTCAAGTGATCCTCCTGCCTCGGCCTCCCAAAGTGCTGGGATCATAGGCATGAGCCACCGCTCCTGGCTGAAAGTTTTATTTTAAAAAATAGATATGTATTCTATCAGATGTTCATAAAGGGACATTAGCCAGGGAAGGGAAAGGAACCAACCCTTACTGGAAGCTTATCCAGTGTGCTAAGGCCAGACACTGTTCTGGATATTCCATAGCCTCCTGTGGCTAATGCCTGGTGATGCAGAGGCTGAGGTTCTAGGTCCAAATCTCTGCTCTACTGCTTCTTGGCCATGTGATGTTGGGCCAGTTGCTGAACATTTCTAAGTCTCTGTTTCCTCTGGTTCAATGTTGATAATAAGAGTATAATACTTTACAAATGATTGTGAGGATGAATTAAACTAATGCACATAAATGTGCTTCATGAGTACCGGCCCTTCTCAAGTAAGCAGTTACTCGTTACGTTACGTGTGAGCAGCTGTTAGTTATGTGACCCCCAACTCAACCAACTAAGGTGGGCCCGCTGAGATCATACAGCTAGTGGGGAAGCCAGGATTGAAGCAAGAGCCTTTCTTATCCTACCACCATGTTTTCTATGAGAGAAAAATATGTTGGACTGTAGCTGTGCAAAGGGAGAGTGAGAGAAAGAGGGATGAGAGAGACAGTAGAAGAAGGAAAACAGGCAGTAAAAATGGGAAGTTAAGAGAAAGGGCAAAGGAAAATGAAGAGGACTCAATGGTGGGGAAAGCAAAAAAAAAAAATTTGGAAGAGAGGAGGCAGGGAGAAGGTAAGGGAGAAGAGCTGGAAGAGGGTAGGGAGGGAGGCAAGAGGAGAGAGAGGAATGAGAAGTGCTAGGTGAATCTCGATACCTCTCCTGCTACTCCAGCCAGATCCCATCTCTGGGCTGCCTGAATTCCCAGTCTAGTCACCAGGGCCTTGGGCCTGCATGCACCACTGTGACTCCCCATCTCCTCTGACTCCTGCCTGCCTGGGAGGCCCTTGCCTTCTGCCATCCCACAACTTCCTATCACTCCTCAGGGCCTGGGGATCAAGTCCAAAGGCCTGAGGGTGCTGTTGGAGGTGAGTTAGAGAACAACATCCAGCTGTCTTTCCAGACAAACCTTCCACTGTTCCTGCCCTCTATCCTTTCACTCTGTTTTTAGCTATAAGGAAATAGGGTTTTTTGTTTTACCATCATATTACAACCACTTTATTCATAAATGCTTTGCCTATTTTTTATTCTGATGGTTGGGCATAATGTATCAATCCTATATTTTAATAGTGAAATGAAAAATTAACTGTTTTTACATGATTGGTATTCAACTCTTTAGTAAAAATTATCATTTTAATTTATTAAATTCATTTACCATTTTACATTAAAATGGTATGGCAGGTTTTTCTACTCAGTGTCACATCACTTATAAAACTATAATAATTGGTTGGCATTAATGTCTTCTTTTTCATTAAAATTTTAAAATATTCATCTCTATGTATATCTACTTCCTTTTTTGTTTCTCCCTTCACAGAATCCTCATAATCACAAATAATCATTTTGATTTAGATAATAGCATTTCACTTTACTCTTCTGTGAACTTCTGAATTCTATTTATATATTGCATATTTTGGGCATTTGGATTATTTTTCTTTTTTCTTTTTTTGAGACAGGGTCTTACTCTGTCACCCAGGCTAGAGTGCAGTGGTGCAGTCATGGCTCACTGCAGCCTTGACCTCCCAGGCTCAGGTGATTTTCCCACCTTAGCCTCCCGGGTAGCTGGGACTACAGATGCATGCCACCATGCCCAGCTAATTTTTTTTATTTTTTTTTACTTTTTGTAGAGACGGGGTTTTGCTTTGTTGCCCAGGCTGGTCTCAAACTCCTAGGCTCAAGAAATCCTCCCACCTTAGCCTCCCAGGTAGGACTACAGGTGTGTGCCTCCACACCTGGCTAATTTTTTTTTGTTTGTATTTTTTGTAGAGATGGGGTTTTGCCATGTTGCCCAGGCTGGTCCCAAACTCCTGGGCTCACCTTAGCCTCCCAGGTTGCTGAGACTACAGGTGTGTGCCACCACACCTGGCTAACTTTTTTTTTTTTTTTTGTAGAGATGGCATTTCACCATATTGCCCAGGCTGGTCTCAAACTCCTGAGCTCAAGCCATCCACTTACCTCAACCTCCCAAAGTGCTGAGATTACAGGCCACAGTGCCTGGCCCCAGAGTTTATTTTTTCTTACTTCTTTCCATTCTTTTCTTCTTGCTTTACCTACCTGTCCCTTCCCCCAACTTCCCCCAATTTTAAAACTTTATAAAGTGGAGATTGTTTAATATATTGTTTAATATAGTGGAATCACTGCACAATCAAAACAGCATGAAACCCAGACCTGTGTGATAAGGTTGTAGACAGACCTGTGGTATCAGTGATCAGATTTATAAACGTACAGGAGATGATAACCTCAGGCAGGTAAGCCAGAATTAACAACGGGAAGATCTGGAAACAATGCTTGAGATGTTATTTAATCCTGTGACTTATTCATTATCAATCTTTATTCATCTGCAATATAGATTCCACGTTCTGGCAAAGAATCGTGATGCTAACAAACCAAGCGACCTGCCAGATATGCAGATCCTCACCACATTCATAAAGGGCACCCATTCTGAATAATGTGTCTTGTGAGCTCATGCCTTATGAAATTTCTTGTCATAGAGCTGCATAGCGCTTAGGAGGGTTTGCTTCTGAAAAGCCATCTCCGATAATCAGTGGTGTGGCTTGACTTTTGTGGCTCTGTTCAGGTAGATGAAATGGCCTTCAGAGAAGGGGATGCCAAAGTCCCCATTCTTTCAGATACTTATTGAGTGTCTAATATTTGGGATTCAGTCTTGGTAAATAATTATACTTTTTAACTAAAGTATATTGTCTTATATCTTTATTGCTGCAGTTTCTGATCTGGAAGTGCTGGGCATTCACTCATTCATTAACAAACATATATGGATACTTCTAGGTCAGCCCTGTGTTTATTAAGATTTGAAACATGCCTGTAAGGAGCGTGTCATTTAGTAGGGGAGCTAGACTATTAAACAACTAAAAAGAATAGAGCACAATAAATAGTATACAAACAGATAAAGAGCTGGAGAAATGCAAGAGAGAGAGCCACTTTATAGACTGGAGGGGCTAGTGGGGCTTTAAAGAGTGCATGAATTTTCTAGGCTGGCAGGGGTGGGAAGGGCATTTCCCATAGAGCGCACGCACAGAGGTGTGATGGCAGGAGTGTGCAGGACATATCCAAGGACGGTGGTGGATGGGGTGGCGGGGGCGGGGGTTCCCGGTGACTGGAGCAGGTGATTGTGGTAGGGAGTGGCCAAATATGAGGGCGGAAGAACAGGTTAGGCAGGCCAGAGCATGTTCAGAAGAAAGGAAGTAGAGGTTGGAGTGTTGAAGAGAAGCTGTGGAACAATCTCTCCATCCCCTATTTTGGGAAAGCCTACTCATTCTCATCAGTTCTTCCTGACCTAGCTGCTACCCAGGAAAAATCGACCCCTCTCCTGTTTTCCCTCCCCATGTGCTTTTTTTCACAGGGTTAGCCACTTAACCCATTGTTTTTGTTTGTTTGTATTTGAGACAGAGTCTCCTCTATTGCCCAGGCTGGAGTGCAGTGGCGCTATCATGGCTCACTGTAGCCTCAGCCTCCCTGGGCTCAGGTGATCCTCCTGAGTAGCCTCCAGAGTAGCTTGGACTACAGGTGTGCATCAATACGCCTGGCTAATTTTTGTATTTTTTGTAGAGATGGGATTTCGCCATGTTGCCCAGCTGGCCTCGAAATTCTGGGCTTGAACTCCTGGGCTCAAGCAATCCTCCAACTTTGGCCTCCCAAAGTGCTGGGATTACAGGCATGAGCCACAACCCATTGTTTTCTGGTTGGTTTAGATGACTTCTGCTGAGGGAAGGGATTTTAGTTTTTCCTAGTTAGGTTACTTAATTACCTAATAGATGCCAAATACATGTTTCTTAAGTTAGGCTATTCTGTAGATTAATATCTCAACTGAGATGTCTTACAACTTTAAAACTGTAAAGATTCTATGATTCTAAATAACAGCATTTCCCACACTGGCCTGATTTTATTTACGGTAGTCCCCCCTTATCGATGGTTTCACTTTCCACATTATCCAAGGTCAACCATGGTCAAAAATATTAAATAAAAAATTCTAGAAATAAACAATTCATAAGTTTTAAATTGTGTGTTGTTCTGAAATAGTGTGATGAAATCTTGTGCGATCCTGCTCCCTCCTGCCCAGAACGGGAATCATCCTCTTGTCCAGCATATCCACACCATGTATACCTGGCCCTGTGAGTCACTTAATAGCCATCTCTGTTATCAGATTGACTGTTGGGGTATTGCAGTGCTTGTGACCAAGTAACCCTTATTTTACTTCATAATAGCCCCAAAGTGCAAGAGCACTGTGCCTAATTTATGAATTAAACTTAATCATGAGTATGTATGTGTAGAAAAGAATAGTATATATAGGCTTCGGTTTCAGGCATCCACTGGGGGTCTTGGAATGTACCCCTGACAGATGAGGGAGGGCTACTGTAGTCTATATGGCAGAAATGCTTCTCTTTGACACTGAAGAACTCTTTGGGCACCATAGCTTGTTTGGCATGAATGACTTTTTTTTCCTTAAATGTAATTTGTTTAAAGTTCTTTGTCTAAGAAAATGAAATGTGCACATTTTGAAACTCCAAAAATAAAACACTAGAGAGATGACGCCAAAACAGTGATTTCAATCAGAAATGCTTTCTGAATCCAGCATCTAAATGAGAATTAATTATGGAATCAGATCATAGTTAGTAGGCATTCATTATTTTAAGGCAATTGATAGCAGTATTGAGGAACCTAAATAATAAAGTATTTTAAACATCCTCTAGTGTTTTTCACATTTCTAATGAGTTGTGGGGACCAAATGTTCCTTATATGCAAGATGAAATATGAATGATTGTATCTTATTATAAAGTTTTCAAGTTCTAATGAGGAATATCTTTCTCACTCCCTTGGTGGATAGATATCTTCCCACAAATCAGATCACATTGATCATGTGCTGTTTTATTTGAGATTAATTTAGAAATAAGTGCTCTTCATTTACCATGGAATTAGTAGTAAAAGTTTTCTGAGATCAAATTTACTGAGGTAGTTTCCTGCAAAATTCTACAGAGAAGTATAAGATTGGATAAGCCTATTAAACACTCTAGTTTCTGTTAAAAGTGGTTTCTCAAGCTTGAGATGCAGATTTGGAGTGAGGAAACTTCAGGAAACTCCATTGTACAGTCCCTGTTGGTCTGTCTTGCAAGGCTTAGCAATATTAATTTCAGAAGAGCTTTGATTTTGCTTGATTGCTTTTCTTCTTATTTGGAAACATATGCTGTTTATTTCATGTATAAGATACAAAACATTTAATAATATAACTTATCAGTGTTTCAACATAATTTATGATCCACTTAGCAACTTAATAATAAGCTTTTGAGGTTAAGTTCTAGATATAAACTGTTAAATAATTTAGTGCTTATTTTTTCAACAGATGTGAATTATTAAAAAGAAAATGGCCCAACGGAGCACTGTATTTCCTTCTCGTGTCACCAAGGAAAGGTATAATATATGGAAAATATGCATCTAAGGTATACTTTTCCTTTCCACTCATCCCATGGGGGCTGCTAGTGGGTGTGATAGTTACAAATCAAAGCTTGGGCTGTTACATTATCGGAGAATGGTTTTGTTCAAGGGCAAGAGAAACACTATTGTGTCCTCTAGCTTTCAATTTATAGGATACTGTGGACCACTCAGTGACCCCAAGAAGTAGAGATTTCACAGTAGTCCTACAGTAGACTTGAATTTCCTGTTGAGAGTGAAATATAACTCCGGGGGCTTCAGGCTAACATCCCTGTTAAGCTTTTTAAATCAGAAGTTGCAGATTAGGGGCCTATCGGCCAAAATTGGCTCATGAAGTACATTGCTTGGCCTAGCATGTTCTTAAATACTTTTTTTGGAGACAGGGTCTCACTCTGTTCCCCAGGCTAGAGTGCAGTGGCACAGTCACAGCTCACTGCAGCCTTGACCTCCTGGGCTTAGGTGATCTCCCACCTAGCCTCCTGAGTAGCTGGGACTATAGTTATGTGCCACCATGCCCAGCTAATTTTTAAATAATTTTTTTTGTAGAGATAGGGTCTCGTTGTGTTGCCCAGGCTGATCTTAAACTCCTGGGCTCAAGCAGTCCTCCCACCTCAGCCACCCAAAGTGTTGGGATTACAGGTGTGAGCCACTGTGCTGGCCTTAAATACTTTTTAAATGAATCGTTAACATTTTAAAATCAAGCGATTTCACATACAAGTCGGGATTTGCTAGCTTTTCTTGAGAAATATCAGATCATCTGGAAAAAGGGACCTGAAATCCCTGATGGTCACTCATGGGTGGAGCAGAACTGTGGCTCCCTTTAGCTGGGAAATGCCCTTTCCAGATCTCTAAATCCCTGACACTCCCTATTGCCTCATATGTAGTATGCTTCACTCATTTATGTCGCCTGCCTGACCCACGTAGGCATTGAGTTTGTAACCACTGTTTCAGAGAGGGAGGAGGAGGAGAGCATGTTAGGAGACTTTGTTAATGCACTTGATCTTGATAACATAGATTATATTGGGGAGACATCTCGGTGTACCCAACTCTGCCAGCCTCTTGCTCTTGGAAGTCATGGAGACCGCTTCTAAAACACTGAAGTCTGTGGGCATGATTATTTAAAGATCTTTCCCGGCTTGTGAAGAAAACTTTTTTAGGCAGAAATCCTGCCTCAAACCCTATTTAGCTTGTAGTTATAGATAATTTGTATTTCCAGACTTCTCTGGGAAGTTTTGAATCTGGCTTTAAACATTATTTTTTCCCAATTAACAACCCTCATGGTTCCCTTCTGCAGGCGAGTGAGAACCATGCCCCGACACAGCCAGTCCCTGACCATGGCACCATACTCATCTGTAAGCCTCGTGGAGCAGCTGGAAGACAGGATCCTCTGCCATGAGAAAACCACCGCCGCCCTCGTAGAGCACGCCTTTCGGATTAAAGATGACATTGTCAACAGTTTGCAGAAAATGCAAAACAAAGGGGGAGGTGACCGCTTGGCCAGGCTTTTCTTGGAGGAGCATATCAGAAACATAACTGCCATAGTGAAGCAACTTAATCGGGATATCGAGGTAAGGTTTGTGAAAGTCAGGTGGCCTATGTCCCTTTCCACAGAATTGCTCCATGTCAGGAGGTCACCCACATCTAACTCCTACCTCCCAGGCAGTACTGCATTTAGAACAAAGCTGTCTGTCTTGTCTATTCTTAATGATCGCCAAGGAGACAGCTTGCAGAAATATCCTAATTAAATTTATTCCAGTGTTTGATAACAGTTACTGTTAGTGTTATGTTTAATCTAAATTTACCTTGCTGATTATTAAATGATTTTATTTTGTTTGGCTCTTAATGAAGAGAGAGAAGAACTAGTCGAATAGTTTCACTCTATAATCTTTCATATCTTTGAAGACAGCTATTAAGTCAATTACTAAGGTCAGACTCTGTTGCTTCAGATTAAATGTTTCTAGGTCATAATGATTATATGTAATACAGTTTATTACTCAAACAATTTAGGCATTTGGATTGCTCCTCAGACTCCCCTTTTTACTGCTGTAGTTTTCTTTGAAATGAGACCAATAAAAGGCCAATATTGTCTATTTTTAGAATTGGTAGATTTACTGCTATTTATTGAGCAATCACAGGGACCACACAGTTTAGTTCAGAAAGCTTCAGATCATTTAGGGCTTGGGTTTCCCTCACTACGCAATGTTCATATCTTTCACATGTAATGACTGAATATATGAATACTAATAGATATATGGCTAGATTAAGGAAAACTTTTGCTTCCTGTGATGGAGATTATATCTGAATTATGCTTCCTAAAATTAAACCTCATTTCTTTTTTTTCCATTGTCAGATTTGTATGTATGTATTTATTTTAACCGCTTTATTGAGATATAATGTAAATGTCACAAAAAGTGTAAAATTAAATGATTTTTAGTAAATTTATAAAATTGTGCAACCTCAACACAATTCAATTTTAGGACACTGCCATCACCTTCCCAAAATTCACATAAGCCTGTTTGCAGTCAATTCCTACTTCTACCCCAGCCCAGGCAACCACTCATCTACTTTCTATCTCTAGAAATTGGTCTTTTCCAGACATTTCATATAAATGGAAACCTTACAATATGAGGTCTTTCGCATCTGGCTTCTTTCTTTCCTTTTCTTTCTTTTTGTTTGTTTGTTTGTTTGTTTGTTTTGAATGCAGTTGTGCAATCATGGCTCACTGAAGCCTTGACCTCTCAGGCTCAACCGATCCTCCTGCATCGGCGTCCCAAGTAGCTGGGACTACAGGTGTGCACAATCATGCCCAGCTAATTTTTGTATTTTTAATACTACAAGGTCCATCTATACTATAGTATTTTTTGTAGAGACATCGTCTCACTATGTTGCCCAGACAGGGCTTGAACTCCTGGGCTCAAGCAATCTGTCTGCCTCAGCCTCCCAAAGTGCTGGGATTACAGATGTGAGCCACTGTGCCCAGCCTGGCCTCTCTCATTTAGCATAATCTTTCTGCGGTTCAGACATATCCTAGCATGTATCATATTCCTTTTTATGTCTGAGTAATATTCTATTTTCTGGATATACCACATTCTGTTTAACCATTCATGAACTGATGGGCATTTGGTTTGTTTCCAGTTCTTAGCTTTTATGAGTAAAGCTGCTATGAACATTTGTGACAGGTCTTTGATGTGAAAATATGTCTTTATTTCTCTTGGGTAAATTACTAGGAGTAGAATTGCTGGGTCTTATAGTGAGCTTATGTTTAACTTTTTAAAACATAGCTGGCAGGGCGCGGTGGCTCATGCCTGTAATCCCAGCTCTTAAGGAGGCCGAGGCAGGTGGATCACAAGGTCAGGAGATTGAGACCATCCTGGCTAACACAGTGAAACCCCATCTCTACTAAAAACACAAAAAATTAGCTGGGCGAGGTAGCGGGTGCCTGTAGTCCCAGCTACTCGGGAGGTTGAGGCAGGAGAATGGCGTGAACCTGGGAGCTGCAGCTTGCAGTGAGCCAAGACCATGCCACTGCCCTCCAGCCTGGGCGACAGAGCGAGACTGCATCTCAAAAAAAAAAAAAAAAAACATAGCCAAATAATTTTCCAAAGTGGCTATAACATTTTACAATCCCACAAGCAATGTATGAAGGTCCCAGTTTCTCTACCCCCTCAGCAATACTTGGCATTATCTTTTTTTATTATAGTCATTCTAATGGATGTGTAGTGGTATCTCATTGTGGTTTTAATTTGTATTTTCCTAATGACTAATGATCTTGAACACCTTTTCATATGCTTATTGATCATTTGTATGTCTTTGTTGGTGAAATGTCTATGTAAGTCTTCTACCCATTTTATTAAAGTTAGATTTTCTTCATTGTGGGGAAAAAAGCTACCATTTTAACCATTTTAAGTGTATAATCTAATGACATTAAGTACATTCACAATGTTGGGCAATCATTATTACTGTCTATTTCCAAAAGATTTCCATCATCCCAAAGTGAGACTTTGTTCCCATTAAAAAGTAACTCCCCACTCCACTTTCCCCTCAGCCCCTGGTGACCTCTATTCTATTTTCTGTCCTTATGAATTTGCTTATTCTAGCTACTTCATATAAGTGGAATCAGACAATAATTTGTACTTTTGTGTCTGGCTTTTTTCACTTAGCATAATGTTTTCAAGGTCCATCCATAATGTAGCATGTATCAGAATTCATTTTTATATTGGGTTATTTGTCATATTATTGATAACTTATGAAAGTTTTTATGTAGTTTAGATACAAGTCCCTTATCAGATATGTGATCTACAAATATTTTCTCCCACTCTGTGGCTTATATTTTCGTTTTCCTAATAGTGTCTTTTGAAGTGTGAACATTTTTAGTTTTATTGAAGTCTAATATCAATTTTTTTCTTCAATGGTTTATTCTTTTTGTGTTGCATCTTTACAACTATTTGCTTATTAATTCAAGGTCACAAAGATTTTCTCCTATGTTTAATTCAAGATTCTCAGTTTATACACTTAGGTCTGTGAACCATTTTGAGGTAATTTTTGTATATGGTGTGAGGTAAGGGTCTAAGTTAATTTTTTTTTCATCTCGCTATCTTAGGAAAATCTATCCTTTTCCCATTTGTCCTTTTGTTGAAAATCAATTGAACATAAAATATAACGGTTTATTTCTGGATTCCACTGTTCTGTATGATTTTCTTAATGTCAATGCCACATTGTCTTGATTTCTAGTTTTAGAGTATATTTTTGAAATAAGGTAATGTAAGTTCTCCAACTTGCAACTAATGTAAGTTCTTTTTAAAAGGTAGTTTTGGACTAGTCTATGTCCTTTGCATTTTCGTTTAAATTTTAGGATTAGCTTATCAGTTTATATTAAACAGTGACTTTGATAGAGATTGCTTTGCATGTATAGATTTTAAAAAGGCTGGGTGCAGTGGCTCACACCTGTAATCCCAGCACTTTGGGAGGCAGAGGTAGGAGAATCACTTGAACACAGGAATTTGAGACCAGCCTGAGCAACATAGTGAGACCCTATCTTTCTCTAAAAATAACAATAATAATAATAATAATAAAAAGAAATAATGTATAGATCCATTTGGGGAGAGTTGCCATCTTAATTACTGTGTCTGATTGTTCAAGGAACCAACTTTTGGTTTTATTAATTTTGTCAGTTTTTTTTGTTTTTGTTATTAATTTAAAAATTTTAAAATTGACAGACAATAATTATACATATTCTTGGGGTACCTAGTGATGTTTCAATACATCTAATATGCAGTGACCAGATCAAGGTAATTTTGTGTCGTTTAACAAGTTGCTATATCTCCTTCCCTTCCCCCTACCCATCCCATCCTCTAGTATTCTCTATTCTAATTTTTACTTCTTTGAGATCAACTTTTTTTAGCTTTCACATATGAGTAAGAACATGCAGTGTTTAACTTTCTGTTCCTGGCTTATTTCACATAACATAATGTCCTGCTGTTCTATCCGTGTTGTTGCAAAAGACAGAATTTTGTTCTTTTTTATGGCTGATAGTATTCCATTGTGTATATACACCACATTGTCTTTATCCATTCATCCATTGTTGGACACCTAGGTTTGATTCCATATCTTGGCTATTATGAATAGTGCTGCAATAAACATGGGGGTGAAGATGTCTCTTCAATATACTGATTTCCTTTCCTTTGGATAAATTCCCAGTAGTGGGATTGCTGGATCATATGGTAGTTCTATTTGTAGTTTTTTGAGGAACCTCCATACTTTTCTCCATAGTGGCTGTACTAGTTTACATTCCCGCCAACAGTGTATAAGAGCTCCCTTTTCTCTGTATCCTTGCCAGCATGAGTTACTTTTTGTGTTTTGGTAATAGCAGTTATAACTGGAGTGAGATGATACCTCATTGTGATTTTGATTTGCATTTCCCTGATAATTAGTGATATTGGGCCTTTTTTCATACATTTGTTTGCCATTTGTATGTCTGCTTTTGAGAAATATTTGTTCAAATCATTTACCCATTTAAAAAATTGGATATTTTTTGCTATTGAGTTGTTTGAGTTCCTTCTGTATTCTGGATATTAATCCCCTATTGGATGAGTAGTTTGCAGGTATTTTTCTCCCATCCTGTAGATTGTCTTTTCACTTTGTGGATTGCTTCCTTTATTGTGCAGAAGCGTTTTTGTTTGATATAATCCATTTGTTTATTTTTGCTTTTGTTGTCTGTGCTTTTGAGGTCTTATTAATAAAATCTTCTCCTAGACCAGTGTCCTGAAGTGTTTCCCCTATGTTTTCTTCTAGTAGTTTTATCATGTTGGGCCTTACATTTAGGTCTTTTGTCCATTTGGAGTTTATTTTTGTATTGGGTGAGAGGTGGGGGCCTAGTTTAATTCTTTTGCATATGGATGTCCAGCTTTCCCAGCACCATTTATTGAAGATTTGTCTTTCCCTCAATGAGTATTCTTGGCACCTTTGTCCAAAATCAGATGGCTGTAGATACGTGGATTAATTTCTAGGTTCTCTTTTCTGTTCCATTGTTCTATGTGTCTATTTTTATGCCAGTACCATGCTGTTTTGGTTACTACAGCTATGTAGTATATTTTGAGGTCTGGTAGTGTGATGCCTCTGGCTTTGTTCTTATTTATTTATTTACTTATTTATTGAGATACAGTCTCACTCTTTTGCCCAGGCTAGAGTGCAGTGGCGTGATATTGGCTCACGGCAACCTCAGCCTCCCAGGTTCAAGTGTTTCTCCTGCCTCAGCCTCCTGAGTAGCTGAGATTACAGGCACATGTCATCATGCCAGGCTAATTTTTGTATTTTTAGTAGAGACAGGGTTTCACCATGTTGGCTAGGCTGGTCTCCAACTCCTGACCTCAGGTGATCCGCCCATCTCGGCCTCCCAAAGTGCTGGGATTACGGGCATGAGCCATTGCGCCTGGCCCTAGTTTTGTTCTTGCCCAGGGTTGCTTTGTCTATTCGCGGTCTTTTGTGGTTCCATACAAATTTTAGGGTTTTTGGTTGAGTGCAGAGAACATCCTTTTTGTTTTCTTTCCTTTTCTTTTCTTTTTTCTTTTTAAATTATACTGTAAGTTTTAGGGTACATGCGCACAACGTGCAGGTTTGATACATAGTTATACATGTGCCATGTTGGTTTGCTGCACCCATCAACTCATCATTTACATTAGATATTTCTCCTAATGCTATCCCGCCCCCAGCCCCCCGTCCGCTGACAGACCCCGGTGTGTGATGTTCCCTGCCATGTGTCCAAGTGATCTCATTGTTCAGTTCCCACCTGTGAATGAGAACATGCGGTGTTTGGTTTTCTGTCCTTGTGATAGTTTGCTGAGAAAGTTTGCTGAGAATGATGGTTTCCAGCCTGATCCGTGTCCCTGCAAAGGACATGAACTCATCCTTTTTTATAGCTGCATAGTATTTCATGGTGTATATGTGCCACATTTTCTTAATCCAGTCTATCACTGATGGACATTTGGGTTGGTTCCAAGTCTTTGCTATTCTGAATAGTGCTGCAATAAACATACATGTGCATGATTTATAGTAGTATGATTTGCAATCCTTTGGGTATATACCCAGTAATGGGATTGCTGGGTCAAATGGTAATTCTAGTTCTAGATCCCTGAGGAATCGCCACACTGTCTTCCACAATGGTTAAACTAATTTACACTCCCACCAACAGTGTAAAAGCGTTCCTATTTCTCCACATCCTTGCTAGCATCTGTTGTTTCCTGACTTTTTAATGATTGCCATTCTAACTGGCGTGAGATGGTATCTCTTTGCGGTTTTGATTTGCACTTCTGTGATGACCAGTGATGATGAGCATTTTTTCATGTGTCTGTTGGCTGCATAGACGTCTTCTTTTGAGATGTGTCTGTTCATTTCCTTTGCCCACTTTTTGATGGGGTTGTTTGTTTTTTTCTTGTAAATTTGTTTGAGTTCTTTGTAGATTCTGGATGTTAGCCCTTTGTCAGATGGGTAGATTGCAAAAATTTTCTCCCATTCTGTAGGTTGCCTGTTCACTCTGATGGTAGTTTCTTTTGCTGTGCAGAAGCTCTTTAGTTTAATTAGATCCCATTTGTCTATTTTGGCTTTTATTGCCATTGCTTTTGGTGTTTTAGGCATGAAGTCCTTGCCCATGCCTATGTCCTGAATGGTACTGCCTAGGTTTCTTCTAGGGTTTTTAGGGTTTTTAGGTCTAACATTTAAGTCTTTAATCCATCTTGAATTAGTTTTTGTATAAGGTGTAAGGAAGGGATCCAGTTTCAGCTTTCTGCATATGGCTAGCCAGTTTTCCCAGCACCATTTATTAAATAGGGCGTCCTTTCCCCATTTCTTGTTTTTGTCAGGTTTGTCAAAGATCAGATGGTTGTAGATGTGTGGTATTATTTCTGAGGCCTCTGTTCTGTTCCATTGGTCTATATGTCTGTTTTAGTACCAGTACCATGCCGTTTTGGTTACTGTAGCCTTGTAGGATAGTTTGAAGTCAGGTAGCATGATGCTTCCAGCTTTGTTCTTTTTGCTTAGGATTGTCTTGGCAATTCAGGCTCTTTTTTGGTTCCATATGAACTTTAAAGCAGTTTTTTTCAATTCTGTGAAGAAAGTCATTGGTAGCTTGATGGGGATGGCATTGAATCTATAAATTACTTTGAGCAGTATGGCCATTTTCACGATATTGATTCTTCCTATCCATGAGCATGGAATATTCTTCCATTTGTTTGTGTCCTCTTTCATTTTGTTGAGCAGTGGTTTGTAGTTCTTCCTTGAAGAGGTCCTTCACATCCCTTGTAAGTTGGATTCCTAGGTATTTTATTCTCTTTGTAGCAATTGTGAATGGGAGTTCACTCATGATTTGGCTCTCTGTTTGTCTGTTAATGGTGTATAGGAATGCTTGTGATTTTTGCACATTGATTTTGTATCCTGAGACTTTCCTGAAGTTGCTTATCAGCTTAAGAAGATTTTGGGCTGAGATGATGGGGTTTTCTAAATATACAATCATGTCATCTGCAAACAGGGACAATTTGACTTCCTCATTTTCTAATTGAACACCCTTTATTTATTTCTTTTGCCTGATTGCCCTGGCCAGAACTTCCAACACCATGTTGAACAGGAATGGTGAGAGAGAGCATCCTTGTTTTGTGCCGGTTTTCAAAGGAAATCCTTCCAGTTTTGCCCATTCAGTATGATATTGGCTGTGGGTTTGTCATAAAATAGCTCTTATTATTTTGAGATACGTTCCATCAATACCTAGTCAAATGAGAGTTTTTAGCACGACGGGCTGTTGAATTTTGTCAAAGGCCTTTTCTGCATCTATTGAGATAATCATGTGGGTTTTGTCATTGGTTCTGTTTGTGTGATGGATTATGATTATTGATTTGCATATGTTGAACCAACCTTGCATCCCAGGGATGAAGCCAACTTGATCTTGGTGGATAAGCTTTTTGATGTGCTGCTGGATTCGGTTTGCCAGTATTTTATTGAGGATTTTCACATTGAGTTCATCAGGGATATTGGCCTAAAAGTCTCTTTTTTTGTTGTGTCTCTGCCAGGCTTTGGTATCAGGAAGATGCTGGCCTCATAAAGTGAGTTAGGGAGGATTCCCTCTTTTTCTACTGATTGGAATAGTTTCAGAAGGAATGGTACCAGCTCCTCTTTGTACCTCTGGTAGAATTCGGCTGTGAATCCGTCTGGTCCTGGACTTTTTTTGACTGGTGGCCTATTTATTATTGCCTCAATTTTAGAGCCTGTTACTGGTCTATTCAGAGATTCAACTTCTTCCTGGTTTAGTCTTGGGAGGGTGTGTGTGTCCAGGAATTTATCCATTTCTTCTAGATTTTCTAGTTTATTTGTGTAGAGGTGTTTATAGTATTCTCTGATAGTAGTTTGTATTTCTGTGCGATCAGTGGTGATATCCCCTTTACCATTTTTTATTGCATCTATTTGATTCTTCTCTCTTTTCTTCTTTATTAGTCTTGCTAGCAGTCTATCAATTTTGTTGATGTTTAAAAAAAAAAACCCAGCTCCTGGATTCATTGATTTTTTTGAAGGGTTTTTTGTTTCTCTGTCTCTTTCAGTTCTGCTTTGAGCTTAGTTATTTCTTGCCTTATGCTAGCTTTTGAATGTGTTTGCTCTTGCTTCTCTAGTTCTTTTAATTGTGTTGTTAGGGTGTCAAATTTAGATCTTTCCTGCTTTCTCTTGTGGGCATTTAGTGCTATAAATTTCTGTCTACACAATGCTTTAAATGTGTCCCAGAGATTCTGGTACGTTGTGTCTTTGTTCTCATTGGTTTCAACATCTTTATTTCTGCCTTCATTTTGTTATGTACCCAGTAGTCATTCAGGAGCAAGTTGTTCAGTTTACATGTAGTTGTGCAGTTTTGAATGAGTATCTTAATCCTGAGTTCTGATTTGATTGCACTGTGGTCTGAGAGACAGTTTGTTGTGATTTCTGTTCTTTTACATTTTCTGAGGAGTGCTTTACTTCCAATTATGTGGTCAATTTTAGAATAAGTGTGATGTGGTGCTGAGAAGAATGTATATTCTGTTGATTTGGGGTGGAGAGTTCTGTAGATGTCTATTAGGTCTGCCTGTTGCAGAGCTGAGTTCAGGTCCTGGATATCCTTGTTAACCTTGTGTCTCACTGATCTGTCTAATATTGACAGTGGGGTGTTAAAGTCTCCCATTATTATTGTATGGGAGTCTAAGTCTCTTTGTAGGTCTCTAAGGACTTGCTTTATGAATCTGGGTGCTCCTGTATTGGGTGCATATATATTTAGCATAGTTAGCTCTTCTTGTTGAATTGATCTCTTTACCATTATATAATGGCCTTCTTTGTCTCTTTTGATCTTTGTTGGTTTAAAGTCTGTTTTATCAGAGACTAGGAATGCAACCCCTGCTTTTTTTTTTTTTGCTTTCCATTTGCTTGGTAGATCTTCCTCCATCCCTTTATTTTGAGCCTGTGTGTGTCTTTGCACATGAGATGGGTCTCCTGAATACAGCACACTGATGGGTCTTGACTCTTTATCCAATTTGCCAGTCTGTGTCTTTTAATTGGGGCATTTAGCCCACTTACATTTAAGGTTAAGATTATTATGTGTGAATTTGATCCTGTCACTATGATGTTCACTGGTTATTTTGCCCGTTAGTTGATGCAGTTTCTTCACAGCATCAATGGTCTTTACAATTTGGCATGTTTTTGCAGTGGCTGGTACCGGTTGTTCCTTTCCATGTTTAGTGCTTCCTTCAGGAGCTCTTGTAAGGCAGACCTGGTGGTGACAAAATCTCTCAGCATTTGCTTGTCTGTAAAGGATTTTATTTCTCCTTCCCTTATGAAGCTGGATATGAAATTCTGGGTGGAAAAAATTCTTTTCTTTAAGAATGTTGATTATTGGCCCCCACTCTCTTCTGGCTTATAGGGTTTCTGCCGAGAGATCTGCTGTTAGTCTGATGGACTTACCTTTATGGGTAACTCGACCTTTCTGTCTGGCTGCCGTTAACACTTTTTCCTTCATTTCAACCTTGTGAATCTGACAATTATGTGTCTTGGGGTTGCTCTTCTCTAGGAGTATCTTTGTGGTGTTCTCTGTATTTCCTGAATTTGAATGTTGGCCTGGCTAGGTTGGGGAAATTCTCCTGGATGATATCCTGAAGAGTGTTTTCCAACTTGGTTCCATTCTCCCCATCACTTTCAGGTACAACAATCCAATGTAGATTTGGTCTTTTCACATAGTCCCATATTTCTTGGAGGCTTTACTAATTTCTTTTTACTCTTTTTTCTCTAACCTTGTCTTCTTCCTTTATTTCATTAATTTTGTCTTCAATCACTGATACCCTTTCTTCCACTTGATTGAATCGGCTATTGAAGCTTGTGCATGCATCACGAAGTTCTCGTGCCATGGTTTTCAGCTCCATCAGGTCATTTAAGGTCTTCTCTACACTGTTTATTCCAGTTAGCCATTCATCTAATCTTTTTTCAAGATTTTTAGCTTCCTTGCAATGGGTTAGAACATGCTCCTTTAGCTCAGAGAACTTTGTTATTACTGACCTTCTGAAGCCTACTTCTGTCAACTCATCAAGGTCATTCTCCATCCAGCTTTGTTGAAATCACCCGTCTTCTGCATTGATCATGCTGGGAGCTGCAGACCAGAGCTGTTCCTATTTGGCCATATTGGAACACCCTCCTTTTTTTTCTTTTTTTGAGACAGGGTCTGTCTGTCACCTAGGCTGGTATAGTGCAGTGGCTCTATTACAGCTCACTGCAGCCTCAACCTCCTGGGCTCAGGTGATTCTTCCATCTCAGCCTCCTGAGTAGCTGGAACTACAGGTGCATGCCACCACATCCAGCTAATTTTTTGTAGAGACAAGGTTTTGCCATGTTGCCCAGGTTGGTCTTGAACTTCTGGGCTCAAGTGATCCTCCTGCCTCAGCTTCTCAAAGTGGTAGGATTACAGACATGAGTCACCACACTTGGCTGAGAACATACTTTGTATATTTTTAACCTCTTTACATTTTTTGAGACTTGTTTGGTGGCCTTCTGTATTCTTACTGATTTTCTTTCTTGTTCTATTAGTTATTGAAATATCCAACTCTTATTGCTGAATTGTCTGTTTCTTCTTCCAGTTTTGTCAGTTTTTGCTTCCTGTATTTGGGCACTGTTGTTAGGCTCATATACATTTATAATTGCATATATCTACCTGATGCATTGACCCTTTTGCCATAGAAAGTCTCTCTGTGTCTCTTGTAATGTTTCTTCTCTTAAAGTCTGTTTTGTCTGGTATCAGTACAGGTATTCCATCTCCTTTGTGACTACTGTTTGCATAATTCATGTTCTTTTTTTTCTGGAGAGACAAAACCTCTGTTACCCAGGCTGGAGTGCAGTGGTGCAATCATAACTCACTGCAGCGTCAAACTCCTGGGCTCAAGTGATCCTCCCACTTCAGCCTCTAAGTAGCTGGGACTACAGACACATGCTACCATGCCCTGCTAATTTTTCTTATTTTTTTTTTTTGTAGAGATGAGGTCTTGCTTTGTTGCCCAGCCTCTGCCTCTGCCTCCCAAAGTGCTGGGATTATAGGTATGAGCCACTGTACCTGGTCTCCTTTTTTTGATAATTCTCACCAAGCTTGTGCCTCTTGGCTCTGGCCTACATACATAGTTATCAAATTTCACTGTTCTTTGAGATTCTCACATGTTTACTAAGGACAAGGATTCACTCAGAATTATATCCTAATTGAAGTGCATTTGTCTTCAGGGTTCTAAGAGTTCTAGTGGATACTTCTTATGATGGTTAAAGAAAATGACTGTGTATTTGTTAGTAAGACAGTGCAATGGGTCTGTGTTGCTTTGGTGCCTTATGGTATCCATTCCAGATTTCTTTTGGTCACAGCAATTTGATTTCTTTTTGGATTTACCTTTCTTTCATTGAATACAAACTGGGATGGCTAATAATCAGGTTGCCTTATCCCCTTTTTAGCTAAAGGGGGTTGGGGCCCATAACTCAGGCTAGAGCACTGAGACCCTCCCTTTCTGGAATTTAAAACCTGAGCAGGCTGGGCTGGGCGCGGTGGCTCATACCTGTAATCCCAGTGCTTTGGGAGGCCGAGGTGGGAGGAATCGTTGAACCTCGGAGGTTGCTGCAGTGAGCCGTAGTCATGCCGGGGTACTCCAGCATGGGTAACAGAGGGAGATGCTACATTCAAAACTAAAACCAAACCAAACCAAACCAAAACATAACGAAAACCTGAGCAGGCTAATTCAAAGACTGGAAATGGCCATAGTACCTTCCTTGCAGCCACTTTGCCTGCGGGATACTGGCTAGTAGTTCCTGCTGCTTGGACCTCAGGAAATACTCTTTGTGTCTTCTTCTCAACCTGCATAACCCAGCTTCCCTGTTGATTATGTGTTCCTTTCCCCATTCCTTTTTTTTTTTTTTAAATGTTTTCTGGAGACGGGGTCTGGCTGTGCAGTGGTATGATCATAGCTCACTGTAGCCTCTAACTCCTGGGTTCAGGTGATCCTCCCACCTCAGCCTCCTGAGGAGCTGAGACTACAGGCACAGGCCACCATGCCCAGCTAATTATTTTATTTTTTGTAGAGACGGGAGTCTTGGTATGTTGTCCAATCATTTCCATTAACCCCCTTAAGTTAGTCAGGTCCAATTACCTGCAACTAAAGAAGTGCAATGACCTCAGAGGAACGTAGAAAGTTTACAAAATTGCTGTAAATAATATACTTGTCTTTGGATGCTGGTATCTATATTAAGAATGATCTTTTCAGTTTTATTTTTGGGTGCTGAGTCAGTTTTATCCCAGACGCTAAAAACTAAGCAACCCTAAGTTGACAACTGTACAAAATTGAAGAACCCCAACTCGAACATTTCAATTTTGAAAGGGATTTCAGATTTATCAAGAGACTGATAGCTCTGCTGCACCTAAATCTAACGACAGGTAAAATCCAAGTGATGGGGATCAATAAGAATTCTCAGGTTCCCATCCCCTCAACCACTGGCAAAGAAGTACAGTAGGCCCCTTTATCTGTGGCTTCACTCTCCGCAATTTCAGTTATCTGTGGCCAACCATGATCTGGAAATATTAAATGGAAAAATCCATAAATAAGCAATTGATAAGTTTTAAATTGTGTGCCATTCTGAGTAGCATGATGAAATCTTTCACCACCCGGCCTGGGTGGGACGTGAATCACTACTTTGTCCACACTGTATATGCTACCTGCCCGTTAGTCACTTAGTAGATGTCTTGATTATCAGATCAAAAAAACATAGTATATGTAGGGTTTGGTACTATCTGCAGTGTCAGGCATCCACAGGAAGTCTTGGAACGTGTCCCCTGCAGATAAGAGGGTGCCAGGGTATGTTACAAAAAATACAAACTTTTCCCATGTTTCACATTAGAAAATACTGTTACTTCCCCATTCTTAGAATACCCAGCACTTTCCTGTGGGAACTCAGCTCTGTTCCCTTTGCTTACGGGGGTGGGGGAAGACTAGAGATGGGAGTCAGTCTATTCTGACATTACCGTCCCCTCCAGGTAAAAGCACAGTATAACTCTACCCTTAAGAAATCCTGGTCTTAATTTTTTCTGTCAACGTAAGAGGTGATAGTGTTTTAGCTGCAACTGTCGGATCCAGGGAATAATTTCCTATTTGGTAGCTGCCACGTACTACTCCAGTGGCCAGAACCACTTTATTTTATTTTATTTTTTTAGAGACAAGGTCTTGCTATGTTGCCCAGGCTGGTCTTGAACTCCTGGGCCCAAGCAGTCCTCTCACCTTGGCCTCCCAAAGTGTTGGGATTACAGGCATAAGCTACAGTGCCCAGCCAGAACCATTTTAAATACATAATTTCCAACTTCAGCTGGGCCACTGATGCTATTTAACAGTTCCTTCATTTTAGGAAGCCCTCCTTGCCAGTTCCTCTCATGCCCCCAGTTTCCTTTCCCTCAGTGTATCCTGGACACTGAACTCGTGCCACTCTTACTATAGCATTTATTGAATAGGACTAACATTGTTACTTTACAAGCCTCTCAAAAAGAGAGGAACCTTGTCTTCCTCATCTTTGCATTGTCTAGTACAATATTTGGAGCAAAATGCGGTGAATGCTGTCATAGTATATTTGTGTTGCTATAACAAAATACCTGAGATTGGGTAATTTATAAAGAACAGAAATTTATTTCTCACAGTTCTGGAGGCTGGGAAGTCCAAGCCCAAGGCACTGGCATTTGGCATCTGGTGAGGGTCTTCTTGCTGCATGCTTACATGGCAGAAGGTGGAAGGGCAAGAATGATGAATCCTGTGTCCTCACATTGCAAAAGGATTGAACAGAGTGGACCTCCTCCCATAAACCCTTTTTATAAGGGCCCCAGTCCATTCAGGGTGGAGCCCTCATGACTTAATCACCTCCTGAAATACCACGCCTCTTAATACCACCACAATGGGGATTAAGTTCAACATAATTTTTGGAGGGGGTGCCATCATTCAAACCTCAGCAAATACTTATTAAGTGAATAAATGCCCAATACAGAGTGAAGCCAGTTGTAGATATGCTGGTAGCAAAAAGGACTAGAAGAGACTATGAGGTTATCAATGCAAAGAACATCCTTTTCAGATAGGCTGAGTGAAGTGGCCTGAGGTATCAAGGCCAGTTAGTGGCAGTGCTGAGAATAAACCCATGTGGCAAAACTCCAAAAATATGCTCTTTTCTCTTTTCTACTTTACCTCTTAGAAGCTCTTCTAGAACCTGATCTTCTATAATCGACTCTCAAATGTGACAGGCTGTGCTATTCAGCCATTCTTTGCTTTCTGAGTTTCAGGAAGAACTTGTTTATGAAACTAGATAATTCTAGCTTTAGTTCTCACTGAGTTCTCCCCTGACCCATCCTTGCTTTGATGAGAGATCACTTGAATTGCTTCAATAATCAGCTGTATCAAAAAATCTGCCTAAGGAATCTGAAGTCATCAATTGTTTAGGCTTTTGATAATTATTTTTTCCAAAACCTTTTTTTTTTTTGAGACAAGGTCTCACTCCCTCACCCAGGCTGGAGTGCAGTCGTGTGATCTCAGCTCACTGCAACCTCCGCCTCCCAGGTTCAAGTGATTCTCATGCCTCAGCCTCCCAAGTAGCTGGAATTTCAGGCACACCACCACACCCGGCTGATTTTTGTATTTTTGTAGAGACAGGGTTTCACCATGTTGGCCAGGCTGGTCTTGAGCTCCTGTCCTCAAGTGACCAACCAGTTATGTATGGCCTCCCAAAGTGCTGGAATTATAGGCATGAGCCACCATGCCTGGCCTAAACATGTTTCTTTAAGATGATTTTTGAAAAATTTACAATGCAGTGAGAAAGTAATTTCAATTTTGCTGTTTTCCCAACGTCCGAAACACATTTTATGTAATGGTTATTCTTGCCTTAACCAGACAGCACTCTTTTATATTTACATGTATTTTTGGAGTGTGCAATTTTGCAAGTGATGATTTCCGTGATAGACAGGGAAAACTGAGTAAAATCTAAATTTGGCAAAAAATTTAGTTTGTATTTGAGTGTTTACTTTTTTTGTAACTGGTAGTAACTATATATAATGACAAAGTAACAACAAGGAAGTTTAAAAATTTAAGACTCCAATGTGAAACACTAATTATATTGATTTATATGTATTATGAACTTAAGCATGTCTACCTAAACATGTTAGGATGCTTGATGACAGATCAGAATTGCTGTCTTATAGCCAAACTTCATTAAAATGAAATCATGATTGTCTTAGTTTAGGCTGCTATGACAAATTACCATAGACTGGGTAGCTTAAACAACAGAAATTTCTTTTTCATGATTCTGGAGACTGGGAAGTCCAAGATCAAAATGCTGGTAGATCCAGTGTCTGGTGAGACCCTGCTGCCTGAATTGTAGATGGTCGTCTTTTCGTATCCTTGCATGGCAGAAAGTAGAGAGCAGAAGCAAGACCTTCTTTTAAGGTACTAATCCCATTCGTGAAGATTCTACCCTCATGACCTAATCACCTCTTATAGGCCCCACCTCCTAATACCATCACATCAAGGGTTAGGAGTTTAACCTACAATTTTTTTTTTTTTTTTAGACTGGGTCTTGCTCTGTCATTCAGGCTGGAATGCAGTGGTATGATCATGGCTCACTGCAGCCTCAACCTCCTGGGCTCAAGTAATCCTCCTGCCTTGGTCTTCCGAAGTGCTGGGATTACAGGCATGAGCCACCACGCTTGGTGAACATATGAATTTTTGGAGGACACAAACATTCAGTCCGTAACAATGATGTAGAGTAAATTTAAAAAGTACTAAAAGGAAGTCTTCATTTATAAGTAATATAAAAATTGGCACCAGGCACGGTGGCTCACGCCTGTAATCCCATCACTTTGGGTGTGGGATCCACAAGGTGGGTGGATCACTTGAGGTCAGGAGTTCGAGACCAGCCTGGCCAACATGATGAAACCCCATCTCTCCTAAAAATATATATAAAAATTAGCTGGGCCTGATGGCATGTGCCTGTAATCCCAGCTACTTGGGAGGCTGAGGAAGGAGAATTGTTTGAACCTGGGAGGTGGAGGTTGCAGTGAGCCAGGATCATGCCACTGCACTCCAGCCTGGCTGACAGAGCAAGACTCCATCTCTAAATAAATAAATAAATTGGGAGAGTGGGCATAATATAAAACTGATACTTGGCCGGGCGTGGTGGCTCACACCTGT
Organism: Homo sapiens; assembly: GCF_000001405.40. Taxonomy (NCBI): domain Eukaryota; kingdom Metazoa; phylum Chordata; class Mammalia; order Primates; family Hominidae; genus Homo; species Homo sapiens. The sequence goes on from NC_000015.10 coordinate 59,476,866, forward strand.
AATCCCAGCACTTTGGGAGACCAAGGTGGGCAGATCATGAGATCAGGAGTTCAAGACCAGCCTGGCCAACATGGTGAAACCCCATCTCTACTAAAAATACAAAAATTAGCTGGGTGTGGTGGCAGGTGCCTGTAACCCCAGCTACTTGGGAGGCTGAGGCAGGAGAATCACTTGAACCCAGGAGGCGGAGGTTACAGTCAGCCGAGATCGTGCCACTGCCCTCCAGCCTGGGCAACAGAGTGAGACTCTGACTCAAAAAAAAAAAAAGCAAAAACAAACAGAAAACAAAACAAAGAACAAAATAACCTCATACTTGTAGTATCAGTTTTAAAACAGAGGTGTGAAGATATTTAAATTGTATTTCAATGATGTAAAAGGTGTATTTTTTATTTATAGATTCTTGAAGAATATCTTCTGTAAATTGCCTGAGTTTTTATTATTATTATTATTGCTGGTTTATAGCTGTTTTTCAGTTCACGCAGTAAAATTTTACTGGGTTATTTGATTTTTGAGAATCATCCCTGCAGGTGATTTTATATTACAAAAGTAAAGCTGAAGCCATTCTTAAGATGTGAAACTTACTGCTAGACCCTGATAGAACTAGTCAAATCGAGATATATTAACACTGTATCTTGGCAAATTTGCCTAGATAAGTCTTTATGATTTTCTGTCATGTGACTCTGAACAGTTATACACTGGAAAAAAAGTAAAATATGTTTTCAAACCATTACCCTATGTGATCCTCAAGAGCTAGAACAGAGTCTTAATATTTCTATTTTCAACACCTACCAATGTCTAAGACATAGTAGGAGCTCAATAAATGTTTCATAATCAAGAGCTCTGGGTCTCCTTGCCCCTTCCAGAACCCTATAATTATTGCTTATATTCTTTCAGCAGATACCAGTGTCAAAACAGATGACTCTTGTATACTAATACACAGTAAGTGCTTGATAAATGTTGAATGGAAGAATTTATTGTTTTAATACATCTCCATCCACAGTGTCTGTTAGCGGTTTGCCTTGTGATATGGAGAAGCTTATCAATTATTTATTCCTCAGAAACTTTCCACCAATGATCATCATCATTATAAATTTAGAGGAAGTAATATAGTCAACTATGAATTATACATGTCTGGGTTATCCATACTGTCTTTGGTTTAAGCCGTTATCGGTCCCTGGAAGCCGAGCCCTGGTGAGCAGTCCGTGGTCCTTTTATTGGTGGTAAGCTTTCCTTTCCATGCCAGTTTGATGGCTGGGGGTAGTAGTTTGGACCCCCATGTCTTTTTATGGCTTTAGCTGTGTCTCTGGCCTTTGGGAACCATGCAGTGGGGTCTGCCACCTGGCTGGTTAGAATCTGCGGACCTACTTTAGTTCCCATGTGCTCAACTTCATGATGTCCTTCTGGCTTGGAATGTTGGCTTTAACCTAGTTGGGTTATGGGAAACTGTATCAAGCCCTCATCTAATTGAATATATCATACGTAGTTTGCTAGTTTAATAATTTGCAAAAGGACTACTGGAGTTTTTGAACTTGAGCGATGAGTGCAGCATTGGGCTTTACTAACATGGGAAAGCAGGGGCGTAGACAGTGATGTTAACATGTAGTCGGACTAACATACAGGACCTTGGTTCAGTGTGCTTCCAGTACTGCCAATGAGGAAAGAGTTTTGGCTACTGGACTTCATGCATTTTACTGAAAAAGGGAATTTCAGCCTGCAGCTCTGTGATCTGGTTCTATTGAAACAGGTATATCAGCGGAGGGGTTTTGGTGATTATCATCCAAATTCATTTTGTTTTCATTCTACCCACTAGATGTGGCGTGTTGTATGCCTTGACTTCGGGGGAGAAGACAGTAAATTGAATGGAATTCGAATATTTATTCAGTTCTGTTGACAGAGGTTTTTCAATGTAAATGAATAAATTAGTGTTCTGGTGTCTGCTCTGTCTCCAGTACATTTTAGCTTGTCTGAGTCCTCTTTGAGGACCTGATCATGTCTGGGAACCAGAGATTGATAACAGCTCAAATCAAAGGGATTGATAACAGCTTAAACCAAAGACAGGATGGACAGCTAGAGATAGTCTCTAAGCCTTCAACTCAGAAGACCAGATCCTAGAACATGGAGCTAAATTAATTGATAAATCACTCACTAATCCACTAACCCACTAACAGCCAGGCATTGTTAGAGGCACTGGAGCTGCAGTAATGGCCCAAGCACACAGGCCTCTGATCTTCGCCCTGCTGCACACTTTAGTGGGGTGTACAGGCAGTCAATGCTAAGTAACCAAGGTGATGTTAGCTGATGTCAAGTGCTCTGATGAGAGGATGTGATGGAGAGTGACTGTGTGGCTGTCTTAGAAAGGATGGTGGCCGGGCGCGGTGGCTCATGCCTGTAATCCCAGCACTTTTGGGAGGCCGAGGCGTGCAGATCACGAGGTCAGGAGTTCAAGACCAGACTGACCAATATGGTGATACCCTGTCTCTACTAAAAATACAAAAATTAGCCGGGTGTGGTGGCACGTGCCTGTACTCCCAGCTGCTTGGGAGGCTGAGGCAGGAGAATTGCTTGAACCCGGGAGGCGGAGGTTGCAGTGAGCTGAGATTGTGCCATTGCACTCCAGCCTGGGTGACAGAGTGAGACTCTGTCTCAAAAATAAGAAAAAAAAAAAAAAAAAAAAAAAGGATGGTAAGGGAATAAGGTGACGTGTGAATTGAGAATGGAATGACATATGGGGCCAGGCAAGCCAAGGTGGTGGTGTTGAGGGAGGAGACACCCAGGGGGATCACTCCAGAGCGAGGGCAGTTCAAGTTCCAAGGCCATAAGTAGGAAGAGGCGTGGCACGTTTAAGAAGCAGAAAGGGGACCAGTGGATGGAGTGCTGTGAGCTGGGGGAAGGGCAGCCCGTGAGACTTGAAGGTTGTGATAAGAAGTTTGGAGTCTGGAAATGGGAAGCCATTATTTAGTGTTCAGCCAAGGAATTTAAATAATCCACTCACACTCTTGTTGCTGGGGCTACATTAGTGAATAAAACACAGATAAAAGCCCTTGTCCTTGTGGATATAGACTGATTTATGTTTGAAAAAGATCACGCTGGCTACTTCGTGGAGAAGGATTTTAGGGGAGCAAGAATTGAAGCAGGGAGTCAAGTTAGGGGACTACTTCAAGGTTCAGGGAGAGGCATGGCATGGTGGAGATGGGGAGAAGATGGATTCTGGAGTGATTTTGGAGATAGAGCTGACAGGACTTCCTGCCTATTGGAGGGAGAGACTTCTATCAAATGGTGGAAATGCCAAGAAGGCAATTTGATATATGAGGCTGGAACTGTGGTAAAAAGCCCTGTAGGGGAATACTACCTTATAATTCGCTGCTCTGCTGTAGTTGGGCCTTTCTCTAGGTGATTTGAAATTATACTTCCTCATTTCCAAACCCTTCCCAATCTAGGAAGAGTTGGAGAAGGAGGAACATGGAGAGCTGTTTCTTTCCTGGTTCCTGGCAACGCTGGCCTGTCTGGGGGGCTTAGATGTCCCAGGGGATTGGTTGTCATCACCTTTGCATAAACTGCATTATACAGCACATTGAGGCTCCCACAGAAGTCCCTATTCCAAGCCGTTTTGGGAAGGGAGGTTTTTTAAAGATAGGCCGTATCTTTGAAAAAATAAATGAGGACTTGGGACATCACTTTTTCAAGGTGGCTAGCTTCTGCTCCGTGCTTGTGTGAAGCATGTTTATTGTGTGCACCTGGACAATGCACTTTCCACCCTTTAGTTTTTCTTGCTGCAAGAAAAGCAAGAAAGCTCCCTGAGGGTATGCCTGATGCTCAGCACACAGTAGGTGTGCAAAAACAAGTTTCTTGAATTGAATTGAAAATAATGGAGAAGCAATGCCATATATAACGATATAATCTTTTTAAAAATAAATGCATCATGATGATATATTGTTCCAAAATGACAAATTCAGGAACATTATTGACTTTACAAAGGAATTACTTTTCTAAGTTTTCATTCTAGAATGTATTTAAGTAATAAGCCGTCTAACACCTTCTGTTTTCATATTACTTTCTAGTAACATGAATACTTTGTTAATGTCAGGTAGGATTCTTTCCTGTATTCTTCAAAGCACTTCTTTCTTAAATTTTTATTCATTTGTTTTTTGAGACAGGGTCTTGCTCTGTTGCTCAGGCTGGAGTGCAGTTGTGGGAACATGGCTCACTGCAGCCTCTGCCTCCCAGGTTCAAGCAATCCTCTTGCCTCAGCCTCCCGAATAGCTAGGACCAGGGGTGTGCACCACAACTCTTGGCTAATTAAAAAAAAAATGTGTGTAGAGACAGGGTTTCACCATGTTGCCCAGGCTAGTCTCAAACTCCTGGGCTCAGGCAATCCTCCTGCCTCGGTCTCCCAGAGTGCTGGGATTACAGGAGTGAGCCATCGCACCCGACCCCAGAGCGGTTCTAATACAATACCTTATTAATCTGCATAAGAATTTGGAGAGTTAAATGGGCTTTTTTAAATTTCTAAGCATTTTTTAAAGCACATTTTTTTTTCTGGCTATAAAAGTAATGTATGTCCATTGTTGGACATACAAAAAAAAAGAATAAACCATAATTCCACCCTAGAGATAAGCAAAACTTTCACATTCTAGTATTTTATATGCCTCTTAATACACAGCTGGAATCATGCTCCATATTTATTTTCTATGCTTTCTTTTTGCTTAGTATTAAGTTGTACACACTTTCCCTTGTTGCTAAAAACCCTTTATGAACATCTTAGTGTTTCCATAATAATGTACCTTGTGAAATACTTGACATGTGTATCACACTCTGAAGACATCTTTATGCATACATTTTTCTTATTATTTCATTTAATATTAATTCCAAGAACTAGAGTTACTGGGTCAAAGGTTATGAACATTATGAATATATATTTTTTGGCATTGGTCTCCAGGAAAGTTGTATTGGGAAGGGCCAGCTGTGCCTTTTTTATTTCTATTTTTTAGGCAAGCAGAAGATGCTGAAACCTTTTTGATTTTTGATATATTTTTAATATTATAGATTTAAAATATTTGCTTCTTTAATAAGTGAAAATGCTATTTTTGAGGTTTAAAAAATAGACTTTATTTTTTAGAGCATTTTTTGGTTCATAGCAAAATTGAGCAGAAAGTATACTCTCTGCTCCCACACATGCGCAGCCTCTCCCACTATCAACATCCCACACCAGAGTGGTATGCTATAATAGTATGATTTGTACTTCTTATTTCTTTGCTTTACTAGAAAGGTTGAACCTTTTAAAAAATGTGTGTTTTTTTAAGCCCCTTTTTTTGTGAATTGCTTTCCATTTTCATTGCTTAGAGATTGAAAAACAACTCAGATGAAATAAGATTGGTTATAGCCTTTGTCATTTCTGAAGTGTCTATTTTGTTTTGTTTTTTGAGATGGGGTTTTGCTCTTGTCATCCAGGCTGGAGGACAATGGTGTGATCTTGGCTCACTACGATCTCCACTACCTGGGTCCAAGCAATTCTCCTGCCTCAGCCTCCTGAGTAGCTGGGATTACAGGTGCCCGCCACCATGCCTGGCTAATTTTTGTATTTTTAGTAGAGACGGGGTTTCACCATGTTGGCCAGGCTGGTCTTGAACTCCTGACCTCAGGTGATCCACCTGCCTTGACCTCCCAAAGTGCTGGGATTATGGGCGTGAGCCACCATGCCCAGCTCTATAGTGTCTAATACAGTGTATTAGGCGCTGGGCTCGTTCTCTAGCTTTGGTTTTCTGGAGATGGGGTCCAAGAATTTGCATGCGTAACAAGCCATCTGGGTGAGACTTATGTATCCCAAAGATATTTGAGAACCACTGGTCTTATGCCTTACTATAGGCAAAGGTTTGCACCACTACATACAAAAAGAATAAGTGTTACTTTCTATTGACTCTAACTAATAGGTGTTACTTCCTATTAAGAGAGAGTGCACCGGAGCTTGCCAGCGCCTTCTCATCAGTGGGAGAGTGCCAGAACCACATTAGTCAGATGCGAAGTTGTCTTGCAAGAATGTATTCATATGACTCACATTTTGTCATTCACAGGTGATTGTAACTAGTTTGTGTTCCTCTTCATAGAGCAGGTTCATTGAGAAAAAGCTGGAAGCTACAGAAATAATAGATAGGTCTTGCAATTCTAAATTCTTTCTGGTGAATTTTTTTTTTTTTTGACGGAGTCTTGCTCTGTTGCCCAGGCTGGAGTGCAGTGGCACAATCTCGGTTCACTGCAACCTCTGCCTCCTGGGTTCAAGCAATTCTTCTGCCTCAGCCTCCTGAGTAGCTGGGACTACAGGTGCGTGCCATCACGCCTGACTAATTTTTGTATTTTTAGTAGAGACGGGGGTTTCACCATTTTGGCCAGGCTGGTCTCGAACTCCTGATCTTGTGATCCACCCGCCTCGGCCTCCCAAAGTGCTGGGATTACAGGTGTGAGCTACTGTGGCCGCCCAGTGAAATTTTCCTTTTTACTGTCAGTGCCTCAAGCAGGTTTCCACTGAGGGAAACACAGAATATTTACATTCCTAATTTCTTTTTTTTTACTAAGAAGTTTGAAAATCCTGAAAAAAATACACAAGTATTTTCTTTATGTATGTTATACTTCAAAAAAGAAAAGAAAATAGAGTTAAGAAGAGGGAGCACAAAAACAAATTATGTAAGCATAATTACATCTCTACTTGGGCTTTCCTATTCATTTCCAAATGGGCCTGCAAATTGTCAGTACATCAGAAACCATCAAAATTTCTAGAAATAAGTAGTAACAAGCAGATACCCAGGAATGTAATCTCAAGAAACCCTTGGATTGGTGCAGAAGGCAAGAGAAGATGGTGGTTTAGTGTGCCTGTCTCTAGTCTGTTCCCAATCCAGGTGCTACCTTCCTGAACAGTTGGGATAGGCAGGCAGGAAAGCCTGGGGAGCCAGCAGGATCCCATGGTTAGGAGTCTCAGGAGGAGGGTCCAGGCTCACTGCTTCGCACCCTATAACTAAGCCAGTCTCCTGCCCCATGGAGGGGTGGACAGGTTGTAGGGGCGGGCTCGTTCCCCACTGCCTCTCAGCTGGGAGAGCTGAGGGAATAGGATGTAAAGAGGCATCCTCCTGGTACCTCACCTGGAGACAGGCCCTGTGCTTCCCACTGGCTGCACCACCCGTCCACAAGCCCCTTCCACTACTCTCAAGACTACCTACTTAAGGCACTCCAGTGAGTAGAGAGAGCAAAGTCACATAGCATCTAATGGGGCCCTGCAGCCACAAGGAGGAAGAATAAGTACTGCCCTTAAAACAGGTGCAGATGAAATAGAAAACAGGTAGGCCTTGAATAAAAAATAATTCCTACATTTAAGGAGATCCAAGTGTCACATAAAATTTCTTCTTGAACTTAAATTTCTAAAAGTCAGTAGATGGACAGGAGGGCAGAGGAAGATGGCAGAATAGAAGCCTCCACCAATTGTCCTCCCCACATGAACACCAAATTTAACAACTGTCTACAAAATAAAGCACCTTCATGAGAACCAAAAAGCAGGTAAGCGATCACAGTACCTGATTTTAACATCATATCACTGAAAGAGGCACTGAAGAGGGTAGGAAGGACAGTCTTGAATCACCAACACCACCCCTCCACCATTCCCTGTCAGCGGACCACATGGCCCGGAGAGAGAATCTGTGTGCTTTGAGGAGGGAGAGTGCAGTGTTTATGGGACATTGTTTTGGAATGCAGGGCAGCCAACCAGCAGTGATAAGCAAGTAGTGTGCCATGGGCCTTGGGTAAGACTCAGACATTCTGGCTTTAAGGGTGCCTCTGCACTTTCACAGCCGTGGTGGCTGTGAGGAGAGATTTCTTCTGCTTGAGAAAAGCAGAGGGAAAAGTAAAGGGGACTTTGTCTTTAGCTTAGGTACCAGCTTGGCCACAGTGGAGAGGAGCACCAAGAAGTCTTTTGGGGTCCCTGACTCCAGGCCTTGGCTCTTGGACTCTTGGATCTCTAGATGTACCCTGGGCTAAAGGCGGGCCCGCTGCTCTGAAGGGTGAGTCCCAGGCCTGACAGGATTCACCACAAACTGAATAAAGAGCCCTTGGGCCTTAGGTGAACAATGGCAGTAGCATGGCTTTATTCCCTTTGGGCATGTGGTAGACGTAGGGAGACTCCTCACCCTGGGGAAAGTGGAGGGAAGAGTGGGAAGGACTTTGGTGGTTTCGGCACTAGCTCAGCCACAGTAGAATAGAGTACCAGGTAGATTTCTAAGGTTTCTGATTCTAGGCCCAGGCACCTGGACAGCCTCTCTGGACCTGCGTGGAGCCTGGGGGAACTCATTGCCCTTAGGGGAAGGACACAAGCCTGGCTGGCTTCACCACTTGCTGATTGTAGAGCCCTAGGGCCTTGAGTGAACATACGGGTAGCCATGTAGTGATTACAGCAGGACTTGAGCAAGATTCGGTGCTGTGCTGGCTTCAGGTCAGACCCATCAGAGTCCCAATGGTGGTGGGTACAGAGGTGCTTGTGCCCCACTTCCCAGCTCCAGGTAGCTCAGCACAAAGAAAGAAAGACTTTGCTTGTTTGGGAGAAAGTAAGGGAAGGGAAGGAGAGTCTCTGCCTGGTAATCCAGAGAAATCTTCTGGATTTTATCCAAGACCACCAAGGTAGTACTTCTACAAGTATGCAAGAACTACAGTGTTATTGGGCTTGGGGTACCCCCTAATGCAGATATGGTTGCAGTGACCGAAAACTTAGATTACTTAACACCCAAGTCCCTTTGAATATCTGGAAAGCCTTCGCAAGAAGAATGGGTACAAACATTGACTAACATCCACAAGCATCAAGACCATCTAGGAAAACATGACCTCACCAAATTAACTAAATAAGACACCAGAAGTCAATCCCAGAGAGACAAAGATATGTGACCTTTTAGACAGAGAATTCAAAATAGCTGTTTTGAGGAAACTCAAAGAAATTCAAGATAACACCGAGAAGGAATTCAGAATCCTATCAGATAAATTTAACAAAGAAATTGAAATAACTGGCCAGGTGCAGCGGCTCATGCCTGTAATCCCAGCACTTTGGGAGGCCAAGGCGGGTGGATCACCTGAGGTCAGAAGTTCGAGACCAGCCTGGCCAACATGATGAAACCCCATCTGTACTAAAAATACGGAAATTAGCCAGGTGTGGTGGTGGGTGCCTGTAATCCCAGCTACTCAGGAGGCTGAGGCAGGAGAATCGCTTGAACCCAGGAGGCAGAGGTTGCAGTAAACCAAGATCATGCCACTGCACTCCATCCTGGGCAACAAGAGCAACACTCTGAAGAAAGAAAGAAAGGAAAGAAAGGAAGGGAAATAATTAAAAAGAAGCAGAAATTCTGGAGTGGAAAAATGCTAGTGACATACTGAAGAATGCATCAGTCTGTTAGCAGAATTGATCAAACAGAAGAAAGAATTAATGAGCTTGAAGACAGGCTATTTGAAAATACACAGAGGAGACAAAAAAAGAATGAAAAAAATGATGCACACCTACGAGATCTAGAAAGTAGCTTCAAAAGGACAAATCTAAAAGTTATTGGTTTTTAAGAGGAGGTAGAGAGAGAAATAGTGGTAGAAAGTTTATCAAAAGGGATAACAGAGAACTTCCCAAACAAAAGATATCAAAATTCAAGTACAAGAAATCAAAATTCAAGCACAAGAAGGTTATAGAACACCAAGTAGATTTAACTCAAAGAAGACCACCTCATGGCATTTAATAACAAAACTCCCAGAGGTCAAGGATAAAGAAGGGATCCTAAAGGCAACAAGACAAAAGAAACAAATAACATACAATGGAGCTCCAATAAGTTTGGCAACAGACTTGTGGCATGACGTCTTTAAAGTGCTGAAGGAAAAAAAAACTTAGCATAAAACCTACCATAGTGTATCTGTTGAAACTATACTTCAAACTTGAAGGAGAAATAAAGACTTTCCCAGACAAACAAAAGCTGAGGGATTTATCAACACCAGGCCTGTCCTACAAGAAATGCTAAAAGGAGTTCTTCAACATTCAAGAAAAGAATGTTAATGAGCAATAAGAAATCATCTGAAGGTACAAAACTCACTGGTAATAGTAAGTACACAGAAAAACGCAGAATATTATAATACTGTAATTGTGGTATGTAAACTATTCCTTATCTTAAATAGAAAGATGAAAAGATGAACCAATCAAAAATAATAACTTTTCCAGACATAGACAGTACAATAAGATATGAATAGAAACAACAAAAAGTTAAAAAGTGTGGAGATGATGTTAAAGTATAGAGTTAGCAGCACTCCTGAATATATATATATATTTTATATATATATTATATATATATCTTATATGTATATTATATATATATTATATATATATTAGTATAGAGTTTTTTATTAGTTTTCTTTTTGCTTGTTTGTTTGTTTATAAGTGCCTACATCAAAAAAGAAGAAACCTTCAAATAAACGATCTAAGGATATGTCTTAAAGAATCAGAAAAGCAAGAGCAAACCAAACCCAAAGTTAGTAGAAGAAAGGAAATAATGAAGATCAGAGCAGACATAAGTGAAATGAGAACAATTTAAAAAAATCAATGAAACAAAAAGTTGGGTTTTTGAAAAGATAAACAAATTGACAAACTTTAGCTAGACTAAGAAAAAAACAGAAAAGACCCAACTAAATAAAATCAGAGATGAAAAAGGAGACCTTACAACCCATATCACAGAAATTCAAAGGATCATTAGAGGCTACTAGGAGCAACTATATGCCAAAAAACTAGAAAACCTAGAAGAAATGGATAAATTCTTAGACACATACAACCTACCACAATTGAATAATGAAGAAATCCAAAACCTGAACAAACCAGTAACAAGTAACGAGATTGAAGCCATAATAAAAACCTCCTAGCAAAGAAAAGCCCTGGACCCAATGGCTTCTCTGCTAAATTTTACCACATTTAAAGAGAATTAATAGCAATCATACTGTAACTATTCTGAAAAGTAGAAGAGGAGGAAATACTTCCAAACTCATTCTATGAGGCCAGTATTACCTTGGTACCAAAATTAAAGATGCAAAACAAAAACAAAAACAACAACAAAAAAACAAAAAACCTACAGGCCAATATCCCTGTTGAACACTGATGCAAAAACCCTCAACAAAATACTGGGAAACTGAATTCAGCAACATGTTAAAAAGATCATTCATCATTAACAAGTGGGATTCATTCCAGGGATGCAAAGATGGTTCAACATATGCAAATCAATCAGTGTGATACATCATATCAACAAAATGAAAGACAAAAAGCATATGATCATATCAACCGATGCTGAAAAAGCATTGGATAAAATTCAACATCCCTTCATGAGAAAAACCCTCAAAAAACTAGGTATACAAGGAACACATCTCAACATAATAAAAGCCATATATGACAGACCCACAGTTAGTAATATACTAAATGGAGAAGACAGGAAAGCCTTTATCTAAGATCTGGAACACAAAAAGGATGCCCACTTTTACTGCTGTTATTCCACATAGTACTAGATGTCCTAGCTAGAGCAATCAGACAAAAGAAAGAAAGAAAGGGCATCCAAATTGGAAAGGAAGAAGACAAATTATTCTTGTTTGCAGATGATATGATCTTATATTTGGAAAAGCCTAAAGACTCCACCAAAAAACTATTAGTACTGATAAACAAATTCAATAAAATTTCAGGATACAAAATCAACATACAGAAATTAGTGGCATTTCTATATGCCAATGGGGAACAATCTGAAGAAGAAATCAAGAAAGTAATCTCATTTCCAATTGCTGTAAATAAAATTAAATACTGGCCAGGTGCTGTGGCTCACGCCTATAATCCCAGCACTTTGGGAGGCCAAGGTGGGCAGATTACTTGAGCTCAGGAATTTGAGACCAGCCTGGGTAACATGGCGAAACCCTGTCTCTACCAAAAATACGATAAAATAGCTGAGCGTGCTGCTGTGTGCCTCGGGAGGCTGAGCTGGGAAGATTGCTTGTGCCTTGGGGGCAGAGGTTGCAATGAGCCAAGATTGTGCCACTGCTTTCCAGCCTGGGTTCAGCGCAAGACCCTGTCTCAATAATTAAATAAATAAATATAGGCTGGGTGCGGTGGCTCACGCCTGTAATCCCAGCACTTTGGGAGGCTGAGGCAGGCGGATCACGAGGTCAGGAGATCGAGACCATACTGGCTAACACGGAGAAACCCCATCTCTACTAAAAATACAAAAAATTAGCCGGGCATAGTGGCGGGCGCCTGTAGTCCCAGCTACTCGGGAGGCTGAGGCAGGAGAATGGCATGAACCTGGGAGGCGGAGGTTGCAGTGAGCCGAGATTGCGCCACTGCACTCTAGCCGGGACAACAGAGCGAGACTCCATCTCAAATACATACATACATACATACATACATACATACATACATACATACATATATACATACATACATACATACCTGTGAATTAACCAAAGAAGTGAAAGATCTCTACAATGAAAACTATAAAACATTGATGTGAGAAATTGGAGAAGACTCATAAAAATGGAAAGATATTCCATGTTCGTGGTTTGGAATACATAATATTGTTAAAATGTCTGTACTACCTGAAGCAATCTACAAATTCAATGCAATCCCTATCAAAATACCAATGACATTCTTCACAGAAATAGAAAAAAAAAATCCTAAAGTTCACATGGAACCACAAAATACCAAAATAGCCAAAACTATCCTGAGCAAAAGAACAAAACTGGAGAGGTCACATTACCTGACTTGCAATTATACTACAGAGCTACAGTAACCAAAACAGCATGGCACTGGCATAAAAATAGACACATAGACCAATGGAGCAGAATAGAGAACCCAGAAACAAATCCATACATCTACAGTAAAATCCTTTTTGAAAAAGGAGCCATGATCATGCAATGGGGAAATGACAGTCTGTTCAATAAGTGGTGCTGGGAAAACTGAATATCCATATGCAGAAGCATGAAATTAGACCCCTATTTCATACCATGTACAGAAAATCAAATCAAAATGGATTAAAGATTAGAGAGGAGCAGAAAAGATAACTGTTGGGTACTGGGCTTAATGTACAGAATCTGTACAACAACACATTAAACCCAGTATACAATAGTTGTGTTTAATTATCTCACAGAAATAATCTGTACAACAAACATCCATGGCACGAGTTTACCTATGTAAAAAACCTTCACATGTACCCTGAACCAAAAATAAAAGTTGAAAAAAAAAAAACTTAAATCTAAGACCTCAAACTATGAAACAACTAAAAGAAAACATTGGATAAACTCTCTAGGACATTGGAGTGGGCAAAGATTTCTTGAGAAATACCCCTCAAGCACAGGCAACCAAAGCAAAAATGGACAAATGGGATCAAATTAAGTTAAAAAGCTTCTGCACATCAAAAGAAGAACAAAGTGGAGGGAGAACGTAGTTGCAAACTCTCCATCTGACAAGGGATTGATCACCAGAATATATAAGGAGCTCAAACAACTCTATAAGAAAAAAATCTAATAATCTGTTTAAAAAATGGGCAAAAGATCTGAATACACATTTCTCAAAAGAAGACATAGAAATGGCAAACACAGGTATATGAAAAGGTGCTCAACATCATTGATCATCAGAGAAATGCAAATCAAAACTACATGAGATATTGGCTGAGTGCAGCGGCTCACACCTGTAATCCCAGCACTTTGGGAGGCCGAGGTGGGTGGATTACTTGAAGCCAGGGGTTTCAGACCAGCCTGGTCAACACGGTGAAACTCCATCTCTACTAAAAATACAAAAAAAATTTAGCCTGGCATGGTGATGCATGCCTGTAATCCCAGCTACTTGGGAGGCTGAGGCATGAGAATCGCTTGAATCCAGGAGGTGGAGGTTGCAGTGAGCCGATATCATGCCACTACACTCCAGCCTGGGTGACAGTGAGACTTAGTCTCAAAAAGCAAACAAACAAAACTACAATGAGATATCATCTCACCCCAGTTAAAATGGCTTTTATCCAAAAGACAGGCAATATCAAATGCTGGCAAGGATATGGAGAAAAGGGAGCACTCATACAGTGTTGGCGGGAATGTAAATTAGTACAACCACTGTGGAGAACACTTTGGAGGTACCTCACAAAACTAAAACAGAGCTACCATATGATTCAGCAATCCCACTGCTAGGTATATACCTACAAGAAAGGAAATCAGTATATGGAAGAGATATCTGCACTCCCGTGTTTATTGCAGCACTATCCACAATAGCCAAGATTTGGAAGCTACCCAAGTGTCCATCAACAGGCAAATGGATAAAGAAGTGTGGTACAGATACACAATGGAGTGTATTCAGCCGTAAGAAAGAATGAGGTTCTGTCATTTGCAAAAACATGGATAGAACGAGAGGTCATTATGTTAAGTGAAATGAAATAAGCCAGGCACAGAAAGATAAGCTTCGCATGTTCTCACTCACTTGTGGGAGCTAAAAATTAAAACAATTGAACTCACGGAGATAGAGAGTAGAATGATGGTTACCAGAGGCTGAGAAGGATAGTGGGGGGTGGGGTGGAAATGTGGATGATTAATGGGCATTAAAAAATAGTTAGAATTAATAAGATCTAGTATTTGATAGCACAACAGGGTGACTGTAGTCAATAATAATTTAATTGTACATGTAAACATAACTAAAAGAGTATAATTGGGTTGTTTGTAATAGAAACAGTAAATACTTGAGGTGAGGGATACCTCATTCACCCTGATGTGATTATTACACATTGCATGCCTGTATCAAAATAGCCCATGGCTCAAACCTGTAATCCCAGCACTTTGGGAGGCCAAGGTGTGCGTGTCACCTGATGTCAGGAATTCAAGACCAGCCTGGCCAACATGGCGAAACCCCATCTCTACTAACACAAACTCCGTCTCTATTAAAAATGCAAAACTTAGCCAGGTGTGATGGCACATGCCTGTAATCCCAGCTGCTCGGGAAGCTGAGGCAGGAGAATTGCTTGAACCTGGGAGGCAGAAGTTGCAGTGAGCTGAGATTGTGCCACTGCACTCCAGCCTGGGCAACAGAGCAAGACTCCATCTCAAAAAAAAAAGAAAAAAGAAAAAAGAAAAAGAAAGTGGCTTCATTACTAAGGAAGAAATACTAAAACCAAAGGAACTTAGTTTTTAATGGTAAATAAAGGGACTTGCTCTGGGAGGAGCCTCTAAGGTCTCTCTCTGTCTAGGCCCCCTAGTTCTCTGTTTAAGTGTGCCTTAGGTGACTGTTGAAAAGGAGTCTCTTATGAAAGACTGAGTTAAACATTCTTATTTTTGCCAAAAGTATAAAATGCTTTTGTGGAAGCACGTGAATTCTTAGATGACTCCCTTAGTGTTTTTTATGTTGCCCAGGTACTCCAGGAGCAGATTCGTGCCCGGGACAACATTAGCTATGGAACTAATTCTGCCTTAAAGACCCTGGAGATGCGCCAGCTCTCCGGTTTGGGAGATCTTCGAGGAAGAGTGGCAAGGTAGGTGTTCAAATGTTGGGGTCTCTGCTCATCAAAAACCATTTTCTATAAACTCCATTATAGTGGGGAATATATTAATGAAGCCCCAAAGCAAATGGCTTGCATTCCTTTAGTACATTCCCTCCCTGCTTTGGCCATAAAATCCAGTGGTAGGAGTTAAACCTGGTTGTGAGGGTGCCATGGGTTTCTTTTGTTACGCAATTGGTGTTGTCTTCCTGGGAAGAAATGATGGGAGAACTCACTCAGCTGACCTTGTAATTTGATAGGGTAAATACTAAGTTTATCGAATCCGAAAATATAAAGTTGAGATAGTTTGTATGTCATTTTGGAAATTTAATTTTTCCTGTTATTCATTTTTATTTTATTTTCGGAAAGTATTGGTCTGGGAAAGATTGGAAACTTAGAAAAAAGATCTTTCTTCTCAGTATGAAAAGTGCTATTTTCTCAAAGTGTGCTGCATGGACCAGCAGCCTCAACAGCACCTGGGACCTTGTTAGAAATGTACTGTCTCCAGCCCACCCTGCAACTACTGAGTTAGAATCTGCATTTTAACAAGATCCCTGAATTCATATGCATGGGAAAGTCCGGGAAGCACTGTACCAGGACTGTGTCTAGGGCTATTTTTATCTGGCTGGGACAAATTTGTCCGAAGTATTTATGGGCCTCTTCTGCCCTCTGCTGGGCCTAAGAGCCAAGCACATTAATGCATATCAGCACCGGAGCTGAGGAGCAAATGGCACTTCCCGTCAGCCTGAGGTGGCAATGAGGGTGGTCTGCATGGAGTCGGGTGGAAGAAAGAACAAGGACCTCCTGCATGCAAGGCCTCTGGAGCAGGGAGGAGTAGTATTAGGGTGTCTTTGTGCAGACAACGTGTCGAGGGCCTTGAATGCTGGACATGTGTGTTTGAGTCTGCTGGGTAAAGATCTGTCTATAATAGCAGAGGGCTGCATGGATTGGATGGGGAACAGGTTGATCACTCTCCTTCTGTGATTTTCTGTCCTCATCAGGATGAACTCCAGTCTCCTTAGTGTGATCCTTGGTGATGACACCCTGTTGACTCCCTCTTCTCTCTCTACCCTTGCACTGTACCTTTCAGCAGTGATCAACTTTTTTGTTAGTCCCTGAATAAACCATGCTCTTCTATTGCTCCACCTTTGTACATGCTGTTCTCGTACCTAGCATGCCTTTCCTCCTCCTTTTCTTTTCTTTTTATTTTTGAGACAATTCTCACTCTGTCTGCCAGGCTGGAGAGCGGTGGCACAATCTCGGCTCACTGCAACCTCCGCCTCCTGGATTCAAGCGATTCTCCTGCCTCAGCCTCCCGAGTAGCTGAGACTACAGGCACTCGCCACCACGGCCAGCTAAGTTTTGTATTTTTAGTAGAGATGAGGTTTTACCATGTTGGCCAGGCTGGCTTCTAACTCCTGACCTCAGGTGATCCGCCCACCTCGGCCTCCAAGAGTGCTGGGATTACAGGTGTGAGCCACCGCGCCCGGCCTCCTCCTTCTTTTCTAACTTCTTTTCAGTCTTTAAAGTTCAGCTGAAGTGTCACCCCCTCTGGGAGTCTTCCCTGACACCCCCACTCCATAGAGCTCTCCTAGCACTCACTGCTCTATTGAGTCTCTCCAATGTCTTCCTCACTCTGCTACCTTTACTATGTTGAAGGGGGATTCCAGATATGTTACCTGTCTATAGCTAAGTGCCTGGAACGGTCTCTGGAAAACAGTAGATACTCAACATTCATCATCAATTTGGATGAAGAAATGACCTGGAAACTCACTATAATAGGACTGGAAAACCTTGACTCCTTGTTTATGCATTTCGGCTTAAAAGAAATCCCAGCTCTGTGATACCTCTCAGAACAGCAGGGAGTTAGAAGAACTTGCGAGCTATAGGACAGAGTAGGGACTTTAGGAGGACTCTGAGGATCTTCGTAGCCGCTTGAGTTGCGGATGAAGATCAAGTGGGAGAATACATGTGAGAGGCTTGGTGCCCTGCATGCGATGAAAAGGGCCTGCAACCAGTGGTGGCTTTATCATCTCAGGGGCAAGAGCAGTGGCATTGTCCTTATGATGCTGGTTCTAATACAAAGTAGAAAAATTATTTTGAAATACTTTCAGGAATCTTATATTCTTCAGTTTCTTATCAACTTCTCTACTCAACTTGTTGCTTCCCTGTAACAAAAACTTTCACTCTAAAGGCATCAAAAGTGTTTGTTATGAGTACTAAATATTTTTGCTTTGTTTTTTTGGCTATATTAGAATGCTGATGAGACTTGATTGTTGAAATGAATTCATGTGAAATAAAAATTCTTTGGAAAAGTTTCTTGGCTTTCTTGTGTTGATTATGTAATTGTATTGGAGGGGTATGAACATTTTAAGTGGTATTCTTAAGACACTAGGTTGCTATATTATTTCATATTTAATTTTATAGTTTTTATGTGTCCATTGGTGATGTAATTAGTAGCAAATGGGCCTTGATTTTTTTCCCCTGTAAATCCAGCTCAGAAGGGCAAAGGCAAGTTCTCCATAAAGATGAGATACACATTTAGCTCATGTGGCATACCGTGTTCTAAACAGGACTTGATCAGACCTGAAGGCCCGATACATAGCCTCCTTTCTCTCTCCTCTCTCTCTCTGAACACCTTTAGTGAGATCTAACTATATAAGTCACCTACTTAAAGCACACAATTCAGTGATTTTTAGTGTATTCACACAGTCATGTAGTCATCACCACAATCGATTTCAGAACGTTTTTATCATCCAAAAAGAAACCCCATACCTGTTAGCTGTCACTCCCCATTTTTCCCCAGCCTCCCCAGTTCCCCAGTCCATGGCAGGCCTACATTCTCTGTCTGATGGATTTCCCTCTTCTGAGCATTTCGAGTGAATGTGTTCCCTTGATTCTGGCTTCTGACACTTAGCATCATGTTTTCAGGGTTCATCCATGTTGTAGCATGTATCAGCACTACATTCCTTGTTATGGCTGCATAGTACCTCATTGTGTACTGCATTTTAAAAACCTGTTCATCAGTTGAACGTTGGGGTTGTTTCCACTTTTGACTATTTTAAATAATGCTGCTGTGAACATTTGTCTATTTGTTTTTGTGTGCTCATAGGTTTTCATTTCTCTTGGATATGTACCTAGAATGAAAAAGCTGAGTAACATGATAACTCTATATTCAACTTTTGAGGAACAGCGCAGCTAGACTGTTTGCCGAAGTGGCCGCCACTTTACATTGCCCCCAGCAGTGTCTGAGGGCTCCGATTCCTTCACATCCTCACTAACAGTTGTTTTCTATCTTTTCGATTATAGCCATCCCAGTGGGTTTGAAGAGGTATCTCATTGTGGTTTTGATTGCATCCCCCTGAGGACTAATGGTGTTGAACATCATTTAATGTGCTTGCTCGTCATTGGCATATCTTCTTTAGGAAAATATTTATTCAGATTCCTTGCCCATTTTTAAATTGGGTAATTGTCTTTCTATTATTGAGCTGTAGGAGTTTTAAAAATTATATATTCTAGATATAATTCCCTTATCAGATATCTGATTTGAAAAATTACTGTCCCATTCTAAGGGATGTCTTTTCATTTTCTCATGTCTTTTGAAACTTAAAAATTTTTAATCTTGCTTATATCTAACATCTATCTTTTCTTCAGTTGCTAGTGTTTGGGGTGTCATATTTAAGAAACTCTTGCCTAATCCAGGTCACAAAGATTTATGCCTATATTTTCTTTTTAAGTTTTATAGTTTCAGCTCTTACATTTAGGCCTGTGATCCATTTTTAGTTAATTTTTTTGTATATAGTATAAGGTAAGGTTCCACATTTATTATTTTCCTTGTAGATATCTATTTATCCCAGCATAATTTGTTGAAAAGTCTATTCTTTCCCCCATCAAATGGTCTTGGCACCCTAGTTGAAAAATCACTTGGCGGCCGGGAGCGGTGGCTCACGCCTGTAATCCCAGTGCATTGGGAGGCCGAGGCGGGCAGATCAGGAGGTCAGGAGTTCAAGACCAGCCTGACCAATATGGTGAAACCCCGTCTCTACTAAAAATACAAAAATTTGCCAGGTGTGGCGGCCTGCGCCTGTAGTCCCAGCTACTCAGGAGGCTGAAGCAGGAGAATCACTTGAACCTGGGAGGCGGAGGTTGTAGTGAGCCAAGATCTCGCCACTGCACTCCAGCCTGGGCAACATAGCAAGACTCTATCTCAAAAAAAAAAGAAAGAAAATCACTTGGCAAATAGGTGTATAGATTTATTTGTAGACTCTCAATTCTATTCCATTGATTCTCAATTATTTTCTTATGCTGGTACCACACTGTCTTGATTGCTATAGCTTTGTGGTACATTTTGAAATTGAGAAGTGTGAGTCCTCCAACTTCATCCTTTTTTTTCAAGATTGTGTTAGCTGTTTTAGGTCCATTGTATTTCCTTATGAAATTTAGGATCAGGCCAGGTGCAGTGGCTCACGCTTGTAGTCCCAGCACTTTGGGAGGCCAAGGCGGGTGGATCTCCTGAGGTCAGGTATTTGAGATCAGCCTGGCCAACATGGTGAAATCCCATCTCTACCAAAAAGACAAAAATTAGCTGGGTGTGGTAGCGCACACCTGTAATCTCAGCTCCTGGGGAGGCTGAGGCAGGAGAATCGCTTGAACCTAGAGGTTGCAGTGAGCCGGGATTGTGCCACTGCACTCCAGCCTGGGTGACAGAGCAAAACTTTGTCTCAAATTTAAAAAAGAAGAAGAAGAAGAAGAAGAAGAAATTTAGGATCAGGCTAGGCATGGCGGCTCACGCCTGTAATCCCAGCACTTTGGGAGGCTGAGGTGGGCAGATCACGAGATCAGGAGTTTGAGACCAGCCTGGCCAACATGGTGAAATCCCATCTCTACTAAAAATACAAAAATTAGCCAGGTGTGGTAGTGGCCACCTGTAATCCCAGCTACTCGGGTGGCTGAGGCAGGATAATCGCTTGAACCTGAGAGGCGGAGGCTGCAGTGAGCCGAGGTTGTGCCACTGCACTCCAGCCTGGGCAACAGAGCAAGACTCTGTCTCAAAAAAAAAAAAATTTAAGATCAGTTTGTCAATTTCTGCAAAGAAACCAGTTGGAATATTGATAGGGACTGTGTTGAATCTGTAGATCCGTTTGGGGAATATTGCCATTTTAAAAATATTAAGTCTTTCAGTGGGTTCAGTGTCTCATGCCTGTAATCCCAGGGATTTGGGAGGCCAAGGTAGGAGGATTGCTTGAGGCCAGGAGTTTGAGGCCAGGAGTTTGAGGCCAGGAGTTTGAGACCATGTTTGGCAACATAGCAAGACTGTATATCTATGAAAAAATGAATATAAGTTAGCTGGGCATGGTGGCACATGCCTGTAGTTGCAGGGAGCTATGATCATATCACTGCACTTCAACCAGGGTGACAGAGCAAGACCCTGTTTCAAAAAAAATAAACAAATAAGCCTTTATTTAAAAAAAATTTTTTTAGAAACATTGTCTTCCTTTGTTGCCCACACTGGAGTGCAGTGGCATGATCACAATTCCCTGCAGTTTGAACTCTTGGGCTCAAGCAATCCTCCCACCTCAGCTTCCTGAGTAGCTGGGACTACAGGCATGTGCCACCACATCTGACTAATTTTTTTCATTTTTTGTAGAGACAGGGTCTCTCCCAGGCTGGTCTTGAATTCCTGGTTTCAAGTGATCCTCTCACTTTGGCCTCCCAAAGTGTTGGGATTACAGGTGTTAGTCACCATGCCTGGCCCCAAAATTCAGTATTTGGATCCACAAATGTGGATATCTTTCCATTTATTTTGGTCATCTTTAATATCTTTCAACACTATTTTGGAGTTTTAAAAGTATAAATTTCACACTTCTTTAAATTTATTCCTAAGTATTTTATTCTTTTTGATGCTATTGTAAATAGCAAATCATTTTGGTTTTTTATTGCCACTTAGATAAGTACAGTAGATTTTGTATATTGGTCTTGTGTCCTGCAACCCTGCTGAACTCATTAATTACTTCTAATAATTTCTAGTGGATGTTTAAAAGGATTTTCTACATACAGATCATGCCATCTGCAAATAAAGATAGTTTTACTTTTTACTTTCCAATCAGGATTTCATTTCATTTTCTTGCCTAATTGCCCTGACTAGAACCTCGAGTACGATGTTGAATAAATGTGGTGAGAGCAGATACTCTTGTCTTGTTTTTTTATTTTAGGAGAAAGCATCCATACTTTCATTATTTAGTAGGTGTTAGGTGTGGATTTTTGTTTTTTCCTTTGGAGACAGAGTCTTGCTCTGTCGCCCAAGCTACAGTGAAGAGGTGCGATCTTGGCTCACTGCCCCCTCCGCCCCTCCAGGTTCAAGTGATTCTCCTGCCTCAGCCTCCCGAGTAGCCGGGATTACAGGTGCCTGCCACCATGCCCAGCTAATTTTTGTATTTCTGTTAGAGATGGGGATTCGCCATATTGGCCAGGCTGGTCTCGAACTCCTGACCTCAAGTGATCCACCTGCCTCGGCCTTAGGATCACTTGATTACAAAGTGTTAGGATTACAGGTGTGAGCCACCGCACCCAGCCCAAATGTGGATTTTTTTGTATATGCTCTTTATTAGGTTGAGAAAGATTTTCTTTTCCTAGTTTCCTAGTTTGTTGGCTGTTTTTATCATGAAGGGGATTGGATTTTATCAAATGCTTTTTTTCCACCTATTGAGATGATCGTGTGGGGTTTGACCTTTTTTCAATTGATAAGGTTTATTACACTAATTGCTTTTCTGATGTTAAAGCAAATTTGCATTCTTGAAATAAATCTCACTTGGTCATGATATATAATCCTTTTTTTATATTGCAGGATCAGTTTGCTAGTATTTTGTTGAAATGACACCATCTGTTGTCATTTCCTTACCCCCAATACAGCTTTGCTCATCCACCTCCTTTGTGCTATTATCAAATACGTTAAATTTGTAATGTAATGTACATTGTTCTATGTATGTAACAATACAATTGTATGCATATTATTTTAAACAATTGCTTTTTTAATCAATTATGACAGGAGAGAAAATATTCATTTATATTGCTCGTTATAATTACATAATTACCTTTACCCACGCTCTGTGTTTTTTCATGAGGATTCAAATTACTAACTGGGGCACTTGCTTTTAGCCTGACAGACTTCGTTTGGTATTTCTTCTAGCGTGGTTCTTCTAACAATGAATTCTCTCATTTTTTGTTTTTCTGGGATGTCTTTATTTTGCCTTATTTTTTTGAAAAGTAGTAAGATTCTTGGTTGGATGTAAGATTCTTGGTTGACAGCTTATTTTCTTTTAGCGCCATGAATATGTCATCTACTGCCTTGTGGTCTCAATTATTTCTGATGAAAAATTAGCTATTAATATTATTCTAGTTCCCTTGTATGTGAGGAATTTTTTTTTCTTGCTGCTTTCAAATATTTCTATGTCTTTTTCATTTTCATTTTTTTTTTTTTTTGAGACAGATACCCTGTCGCCCAGGCTGAAGTGCAGTGGCATGATCTCAGCTCACTGCAACCTCTGCCTCCCAGGTTCAAGCGAGTCTCATGCCTCAGCCCCCTGTGTAGCTGGGATTACAGGCGTGCACCACCACACCTGGCTAATTTATGTATTGTTGGTCGAGACAGGGTTTCACCATGTTGGCCAGGCTGGTCTCAAACTCCTGGCCTCAAGTGATCTGCCCGCCTCAGCTTCCCAAAGTGCTGGGATTACAGGCGTGAGCCACCATGCCCGGCCATGATGTGTCTGGTATGGATCTCTTGGTGTTTGCCCTACTTGGAGTTTGTTGAACTACTTGTTTGTATCAATTAATGTTTTTCATAACATTTTGGAAGTTTTCAGCCATTATTTTTTGAATATTTTTTATGCTCTTTTCTCTTCTCTTTCTCTCTCTTTCCTTTGAGTTGGAGTCTTACTCTTCACCCAGGCTAGAGTGAAGTGGCAAGATCATGGCTCATTGTAATCTCAAACTGCTGGGCTCAAGCGACCCCCCAACTTTAGTCTCCTGAGTAGCTGGGACTGTAGGCATGCATCACCATGCCCAGCTAAGTATTTTTATTTTTATTTTTAGAGACAGGGTCTCACTGTGTTGCCCAGGCTGGTCTCAAAGTCCTGGCCTCAAGCAATTCTCCTGCCTCAGCCTCCCGAGTTGCTGGGATTACAGGTGTAAGCCACCATGCCTGGCATCTTCTCTCCTATTATTCTCATTATGCATATGTTGGTGCATTTACTGGTGTCTCATTTTTTTTTTTGGAGACTCTCTTCATTTTTCTTTCTTTCTTTTTTTCATCTCTGTTCATCAGACTGCATAATCTCTAGCCACCTATTTTCAAGTTCACTAGTCTTTGTTCTACCTATTCACGTTTTCTGTTGAGCCCCTCTATCAATTTTTTGTTCCAGTATTTCCATTAGGTTCTTCTTTTTCTTTTATAATTTCTATAGCTTTATTAATATTTTTTATTTGAAGAAACATTGTTATTATACATTCCTTTACTTTTAAAATTGTGGTTTCAATCATCCTATGTTTGCTCATTCTATATTTATATTAGCTATTTGAAGTTTTCTTTTTTAAAATCTGACATCTATGTCCTCTTACAGGCAGTTGGTTTACCTGTTTTTTTCCGCCTGAGTATAGTTCACATTTTCCTGGCCATTTTAGATAATATATTGTAGCAACTCTGGATACAAGCCCTCTAAGCTTGTTTTTGAGGTTGTTTGCATGTTTATTTGTTTAGCGACTTGAATGGACTCTTTTAGTGATGTCTGTTTATCCTGTAATATGAAGCCTCTGATGTCACTCCTCAGTACAGTTTGGGAAATGGGCACAATTATTTGCAATGACAGTGGTTTTGGAAGGGCTCTGTTTGACTGTCTCTTTCCCTGATATTTTATTAGGTTATCTTCCTCTGTTGATATCACACCCAAATCTTAGGCTCCACTAATTGCTAGCATATTGCTATACTATTTTTGACAATGCCCTGGGACATAAATTGTCGTATAGTCTGATGGTACTATAATTAAATAACTGCCAGCTATAAAGGGCTTAATGATACATATATATATAATAATTATGTATATATACAAAAATTACAATAATATGGAAAATGAGCAACCAAATTGATGTTTTAAATGTCATTGGGTTTGGTATGTTATGCTACTATGTCATATGCTGACAGAGAAGTTCTGCATCAGCGTGTGGCCCAAGTCATACCCTTTAGACGTTTGGGACTCTCTAGATGGACTTCTGACCACCAGTGATTAGGTAAGCCTAGCAATAGAGTCACTCTGCCACCTGATGGCCACAACCTGGAATTGTATCTGGGAGGTAACAGCTGTCTAAAGACCCAAAAAGGGAAAATTTGGAATGAGTACATTATTGTTCATCATGATGTAAAGCATTAAGGACGAATAGGAAAACTGGTTAGATTCATTGCAAATTCTTGTTTAACTAAAGCTGTTGAGCCATATGCGCAGTTATATTAGAGCCCTGAGGCTGTCTTTTATGAGTTTTTTTTAAGACAGGAATGATGTCTTTGATTTAACGCTAGATGAAATAGCAATATTCCTTTCCTTCTTTTATCTTAAATATATTTTTATTTTGAAATAATTTTAAATTTATAAAAAATTACAAAACTCACCAATTGTTAACAATATGTCACATTTACTGTATTATTCTTTCATGCATGTAATTTTTTTCTGAAACATTTTAGAGTAAGAACATTATTTTTATTTTTTATTTTTTTCTTTTTCTTTTTCTTTTTTTATTTTATTTTATTATTATTATACTTTAAGTTTTAGGGTACATGTGCACAATGTGCAGGTTAGTTACATATGTATACATGTGCCATGCTGGTGTGCTGCACCCATTAACTCGTCATTTAGCATTAGGTATATCTCCTAAAGCTATCCCTTCCCGCTCCCCCCCCAACAACAGTCCCCAGAGTGTGATGTTCCCCTTCCTGTGTCCATGTGTTCTCATTGTTCAATTCCCACCTATGAGTGAGAATATGCGGTGTTTGGTATTTTGAAGAACATTATTTTTAACATAAAAAAACCAGAGTTGACTTCACTGTGTGTGTGTGTGTGTGTGTGTGTGTGTGTGTGTGTGTGTGTTTTGAGACAGAGTTTCGCTCTGTTGCCTATGCTGGAGTGCAATGGCGCGATCTCGGCTCACTGCAATCTCTGCCTCCTGGGTTCAAGCGATTCTCCTGCTTCAGCCTCCCGAGTAGCTGGGATTACAGGCGCCTACCACCACGCCCGGCTAATTTTTGTATTTTTTATTTTTTAGTAGAGACGGGGTTTTACCATGTAGGCCAGGCTGGTCTCGAATTCCTGACCCCAGGTAATCCGCCCACCTCGCCTTCCAAAGTGCTGGGATTACAGGCGTGAGCCACCGCGCCAGCCGTGTTTTCTAATGGGAGTCTTTGGTATCTTACCTTGTGCTCTTCTCTGTGTCCCCTGCCCAGCCTGCTTCTTTTTTTACAAAAGTACACGAGGGATGTGTGCTGGTAGGAAAGAATCAGAAATGCAATTAAATATACAAAATAAAAATGAAGCCTGGCCAGGAGTGGTGGCAGCACTTTGGGAGGCCGAGGTGGGTGGA
Organism: Homo sapiens; assembly: GCF_000001405.40. Lineage (NCBI taxonomy): Eukaryota > Metazoa > Chordata > Mammalia > Primates > Hominidae > Homo > Homo sapiens. The sequence goes on from NC_000015.10 coordinate 59,503,019, forward strand.
TTACCTGAGGTCAGGAGTTCTGAGACCAGCCTCGCCAACATGGTGAAAACCAGTGTCTACTAAAAATACTAAAATTAGCTGGGCCTGGTAGTGGGTGCCTGTAATCCCAGCCACTCAGGAGGCTGAGGCAGGACAATCGCTTGAGCCCGGGAGGTTGCAGTGAGCTGAGATCGTGCCACTGCACTCCAGCCTGGGCAACAGAGTGAGACTGTCTCAAAAAAAAAAAAAAAAAAAAAAAAGCCTTACCACCTCTTGGCTCTGTTTTACTCCTTAGAGGTAACTAATGTTAACAGTCTGTTGTCTGTCCTTTCAGACTTTTCTCATAAGTAATAATAAGATAATAGTTTATTATATACAATGGTAGAATGGTTTGTAGTCTAATAAGTTTCTTTACAGTGTGATTTTAACTTTACAAAGTATTATATATACTATTCTGCAACATAAGTTTTTCCACATAACATGTGGACACTTCCAGTATGCACATAGATCTAGCATGCTTTTTAATTGGATATGGAGTATTCTGCTACATCTATGTACTATAAGTCAATGTATTTAGCCACTATTTTTTTTTTTTGACAGAGTCTCACTGTGTCACCCAGGCTGGAGTGCAATGGCGCAGTCTCAGCTCACTGCAACCTCCGCCTCCCAGGCTCAAGCGATTCTTGTGCCTCAGCCTCCTGAGTAGCTGGGATTACATGCGTGCACCACCACACCCAGCTAATTTTTGTATTTTTAGTAGAGATGGGGTTTTCCCATGTTGGCCGGGCTGGTCTCAAACTCCTGGCCTCAAGTGATCCACCTGCCTCGGCCTCCTAAAGTGCTGGGATTACAGGTGTGAGCCACTGTGCCCAGCCCTAGCCACTGTTGTATTAATAGAAATTTATGTTATAGTACTTGTGTTTCCAAGTGAGACACAGCATTGAAGCCAAGTGATAGCTAGTGAAAGCTTCAGAATACTTTTGAGACTTTTCAAACTACATTTTAAAACACAGTCTGTCCCTCAAACGGCTTTGTAAAGTTGATGAAACTGGTCTGATGTAGTGATACCTGATAGTGTTTATCTAGGAAGCTTATGTTTGGACTGGAAAATAATGTCTTTTAAAAAAACTATTATATTTTTTATTTCATAGTATTTTAAAAACCTCAGCTTTCCCCAAATATGATTTCAATAATATTTTGCTAAAAAATTATGAACTCAAAATAAAAAATCAGGGTCTACATTTGGCATTATTTTTAATCATCATTGACATGGGAATGATTTGTGAGGATTAATGAAATAATATATGTCAAGTATCTAGTACAGTACCTAGTACATAGTAAATATTTCCTTATATTCATTCATTCACAAATATTTATTAAGCCTCTACCATATGCAAGGCAATAAATAAAACTAGGGTTTTAGGTGATGAAAGAGGCATATATAATGTCTCCTTGCATGCAGTTTACATTCTAGAACAGTTGTTGCAAAGTAAGAGTCTATAAGAAAGTTGGAATAATTGAGCTGGTAGCTTACTTTCTTTAGAGTCAATAATAAGTTTACCACAATTTTATCCATTTACTCACTATTGTTTTTTGCACCCTACTCCTTCTTTGTGGGTGTTCTTTTCTCTTTACTGAAGTACATTCATTAGTAACTTTTTCAGTATTGGCTTGTGGGTGATATTTTTCTAATCTTTGCATGTTAGAAAAAGTCTTTATTTTGTACTTATTCTTGGATGATAGGTTATTTACCCTCAATACTTAGAAGATGTTTCTCCATTATCTTCTGATATCTGTTGTCTCCTATATCTATTGTGGGCTGTCAGTCTTATTGTCAGTTTTTGGTAGCTTTGGGTAGGTTACTTCTCTTTAGTCTGTAGCTTTTAAGATTTTATATTTATCATTGGTTATCTGAATTTCCCCATGCTTTATGTATTTTTACTTATCCCAGTTTGTAGTCATTGAACATCTTAAAATTCATGTCTTTCTTCAATTTTAGAAAATTGTTGGCATTCACACCTCAAATATTGCTTCTTTGCCATTATCTCTATTTCCTTCTGTTGGAACTCCTCCTTGACTTATGTTAACATCCCTCTATTTGACTTCCATGTTTCTTAACTATTTTTTCATGTTTTTAATCTCTGTCCACTACATTCTGAGTGAGTTCCTTGCTACTATCATTGAAGCCACTGATTCTATCTTCAACTATGTCTAGTCTAGAATTAAGACAAGGGCTGGGCGCGGTGGCACACATCTGTAATCCCAGCACTTTGGGAGGCTGAGGCGGGTGGATTGCCTGAGGTCAGGAGTTTGAGACCAGCCCGGCCAACATGGTGAAACCTCATGTTTACTAAAAATACAAAAATTAGCCAGGCATGGTGATGTGTACCTGTAATCCCAGCTACTCAGGAGGCTGAGGCAGGAGAACGGCTTGAACCCAGGAGGCAGAGGTTGCAGTGAGCCGAGATCACGCCACTGCACTCCAGCCTGGGTGACAGAGTTAGACTCTGTCTCGAAAAAAAAAAAAAAATCACAGAAAGGCGTCATTGATCATCTTAGCCACCTATAGCATGGAAGTAAGTGATTTGCTGGATGGTGTCTGCCTGGAAGTGGATGTACACCTCACATCTGCAGTTCACCCCTGTGTCTGCCCACCACTGACAGGGGAGAATAAAGGGTTCTCCTCTTCTACCTTCTGAGTCTTGTATAAATGACTCTCACTGTCAGAATCTAACTCCGAACCCTTCTGGCAATGACGTCTGGGAAGTATAGTTTGGGGCTTCAGTCCCTACGAGACAAAGAGCATTTACAAGGAGCAAAAATGTTGTGTCACTTAAGAATGATCCATTTATGTAAACTCTTTTCCTTGTCACTAATCCTCCAGTTTTTTTCCTAAGTCTCTAACCATTAGCCACTTTCCTTGAATGTCTGGCCATCTCTTATTCCAGGCAAAATGAATCTCCCAATATATTGTTAGAAATTCTGTCTTCCTAACAATCTTTAGGGCTACTCCTAAGTGGACTTAGAAGCATCAGCAGTCTTATTCCAGAAGGTGTCAGCATACTGGGTGTGACCATCTGTAAGCCAGGCCTGACTTTCTCCCTCAGTCCACCTGGTCATCAAGAACTCTTCTAGAAGCCACAGATTTTTTTGTTTGTTTGTTTTGTTTTGTTTTGTATTATCGTTTTATCTTTTTGTAGACACAGGGTCTTGCTATGTTGCCCAGGCTGGCCTTGAACTCCTGGGCTCAAGCAATTCTCCTGCCTCAACCTCAGCCTCCCAAGCAGCAGGAGGGAGAAGATGAAGAAGTCATAGGCATGGATTGAAGGAGAGTTGGTGCAGTAGCAGGAATAGATGCCATGGTGGGAGTCTGTGCTCTTGTAACTTACTTGTGCCTTTTGAACCTGCTTGAACCCTTCCCCTTGAAGATGGAGTGCTGTTCTAGGCCCACCTTCTAGTGTGGTATTCATGATGGATTGCTCCGATTGCAGAGTCACCTAATGGCATTCTGTCTCTACTGAGCCCAGTAGCAAGCCAGCAGCTTCTTCTCAACAGAGGAATATTGTCTCAGAACAGAGCATTAGTTAGCTCTAAACTCTTATGGGTCCATTCTGTGACTCTCCTATTAGGACTCGACAGAGGCCCCACACAGCTCATCTGCCACACATACTTTGAGTACCATTGGATCTGCCAAGTTGCAAGGCCCACAGGGCAGCAGCTTTTACTACAGCTTGAACTGGCTGCAAAGCCTTCCCCTGCTCTACACCCTACTCATACTATACAGCCTTACGAGTGATTCAGTCAAAGTTTAGAAGTAATATTTTCTAACATGGTAGAAGTTTCCTCCCAAATCCAAGGAGGCCCCCAACTTCGAAAGGCAGGGGTGGTACTGAAGAGTGACAGACCACATCCAGCACACTAGCTATGCTCTTTGTATTGGCCTCTCGCTGCACATACAGTGTTGTACTCATGATCGTTGGAAAGACTTTATTTCTTTGGTGGTTACATCTCTAGCCTTATTAAGCAACATCCCTGTGGTTTACCTTAAAAACCATAATGAGGCCAGCTCTTGGAATTCATTTGAACCTCTGTTCAAAAGAATGATGGATAGTGCACTTTCTTTGAGTGGGTTTTGCATTTCAGAGTGTATAAGGAAGCTTTTGCGCATTGTTTTTAAACTTTAATAAGAATCAGCTTTGTTCTTTGTCTGGACAGATGTGATGCCAGCATAGCTAGACTTTCTGCAGAGCACAAAACGACCTATGAGGGGCTCCAGCACTTGAACAAAGAACAGCAGGCTGCCAAACTTATCTTGGAAACGAAAATCAAAGATGCAGAGGGACAGGTACGACCTGTTTCAGGTAGCTTTTAGAAGCGGGTAATTTGTTCTTAGCTAAGAATAACATGGTGTTGATTATTTCTTACAGGAGAAACCAGCTGGGGCATCTAGCATGGGTTTATGCCAATCATAAGCATCTTTTCTTTGATTCTTCCTTTCCTATTTCACTAGAGTGGCCCTTCATGTGTCTGGCAACCAAACCACCAAAATTGTTTGGTATAGTCCTAATTCTACTCCCCACCACCACATTCCTAGAACAACTAATACATTCCAGAAATTCTAAATGACACCTTGAAAGCTATCTCTTGCACAAGTAAGTGATCAAGCATCCTTTACATGCCACTCGTCCCAATTTTTGATTCAGGAAATAATGTATTCCCTGGGACTCATTGTATGTACTACCTCATCACATAGTCTGTATGTGGGACAAAATTAGGCAAAGCTAGAGCATAGGCAGGCTAATGAATATGAGAGTATTTGACCTCAAACGTCACAGATTAATTTCACAAAGCAAAACTTTTGGCATTTCAGTTTGTTTTTTGGCCACTTAAAAGTTTCCCTTTGCCATCATAGGGCGTGTCTTCTAGGACTTTTTCTACAATATCTGCCTTATTTGCTATTGTTCGTTTAAAGAGACTATTCCAGTAAAATAGGAGCATCTGGTTAACTTACTGGATTAAATACATTTATACCTTAATCATCTCCAATAAGAATATAAAGCTACTTATGTGAAAAATACAGATATTATAAAACTATGAAAAAGAATAAAAAGACAATCCAATAATAATTTCTTTTTTGAAGAATGAGTGAGAATGGAATTACTACACCAGAGAAGAGATGTTAAGGAAATCATAAGCTTCTTTATAGCCAGGCCAAGTCAAATATGTACAGATATCCATCAAAAGAGACATTCTTTCTCTTTCTTCTGGATCTGACAAATACCATGAATCTTTAAGTAAGGAACATGGAACATTCTAATTTTTGCAGAAAAGGCAGAAATTTCACACAGGACTGGTTTTTGTTAAATTGCAGTAAAGACAAGGGACATGGGTAGGTGGTGTGAGAAAGGAACAGGAGGGAGATAGTCTACAAGTTATATTGACTGGTGACCTGACTTGTTATGGAGGTAAATCTGAGACCTTGATGGATTTTGTAAACAATAAAAATTCTATTTTCTATGACGAGCCGTTAAACTGATGGTAGAAATTCCAAGGTAAGGTTGACTATCATGACAGCTGGTAGAAGTTGCGGTCTTGGGTAGGAATTGGGCTTGCTCCTCAGAGAATTATGTGTAAAATTAAGTGCTTAGTGCAGGATGAATATTTTGGCAGTGCTACTGGTCTTGATTTTCGATGGGTATATAAGAAAGAAAATGGAGGTGGAAAGATGAGGTAGACTTATAAATGAATTTATCAAATTAGATAGAATCTTAATGCCATTGACTACAATATGGCTTACTAAATGTTTTCTGAAGTTGCATCTGAAGACGTTAGATGTGATATTTATAAGCAAGATTTCTTTTCCAGATTTCTCAGCTTTTGAACAGAGTGGACTTGTCAATATCAGAGCAGAGCACCAAACTGAAGATGTCTCACAGAGACAGTAACCACCAGCTTCAGCTTTTGGACACTAAGTAAGCAATCAATTTATTAAAAAAATAAAACTTAAAGTTCTTTATGAGTTTATGCAATACTATGATTTTTTTCCTCTTGGTTTTTATTTATTGCACAAATTGAAAACAATAATGGAAGTTAAAAAGAAAAGTTTCCTTGTATCATGTTGCCACTTTTCCTTCATAATTATTGTTTTTTGTGTTTGGATAATTATCCACCTATTCATTCAACAAGTGTATATTGAGTATTCATTGGCCTAGGGGCTGAGGATCTGGGTAATGAACACAAACCAGACTCTGTTCTTATCCTTGTGGAGTTTAGTCTGGGGAGCTGATGACCATTAATCAATGACATAAATGAGCATCTACTATATTATTGCTAATGGTGGTAAGTGCGTTGAAGGTTCGGTTCATGGTTGTGTAGGCTGAATAATGGTCCTCTAAACATCTTCATGTCCTAATCCCTGGAAGTTGCGAATATATTACCTTATATGGCAAAAGGGGACTTTGCAGATGTGATTAAGTTATGGATTTTAAAATGGGTTTTATCTGATAAGCCTGATGTGATCACTAGAGTCCTTATAAGAGGGAGGCAATAGGGTCACAGTCAAGAGAGAAGGCCATGTGACAATGGAAGCGAGACTGCAGTGATGCACTTTGAGGACGGGGCAAAGAATTCCAAGCCAAGGAACACATGAGGCCACTAGAATGAGTGAGAGGCCTGGTTGTGGGGCCTTCCTGAGGAAGGGATGTTTGAGGTGAGAGCTGAAGAGTGAATGGGGCTTTGCTCTGTAAAGAGTAGGATGAGAATATATGAGGTTGAATAGCCTGTCGTGGGAGGAATGTGACATGCAAGAAACTGAAAGATGGCGAGGGTGACTGGAACAGGGAGTGAGGGTGAAGCAGTGGGGCATGAGGCTGCAGGGGAGGTGGGCCAGCTCGCAGTTGTGATTTTTTGTGACAGCAATAGACACAAATAGAAGGAGACAGAGTGAGAAGGCCCAACCTATGCCTAATGAGAATCTTATGAGAGATAATAGAGGGAATAGAGGAGAAGCAGTATCAAAAGAGAGAATGGCAGACAAGCATACAGAATTGATGAAAGAGAAATCTCAAACTTAGAAAACCAAATACATGGTGGGTGCAGTGGCTCATGCCTATAATCTCAGCACTCTGGGAGGCCAAGGCAGATGGATCACCTGAGGGCAGGAGTTTCAGACCAACCTGGCTAACATGGTGAAACCCTGTCTCTACTAAAAATACAAAAATTAGCCAGGCATGGTGGCACAGGCCTGTAATCCCAGCTACTCGGGAGGGTGAGACATGAGCATTGCTTGAACCAAGGAGGCAGAGGTTGCAGCAGTGAGCCGAGATCACACCACTGCACTCCAGCCTGGGCAATAGAATAGGACTCTGTCTCAAAAAAAAAAAAAAAGAAAGCCAACTACATTCCAGTAGAATAAGTAAAAAGCCAAGTCTAGACACATCAGTTTGGTGCTCTAAAACTACAGAACACCAAATAAATATAGAAAGATCTTAAAGCAGAGAGAGAAATTAGACCAATGCTGATTTCTCAGCCATATTAAGGGTGAGAAGGTGGTCTGGTACCTTCAGATACTGAGAGTCTGATTGTCAGCCAGTGGAAAAATAAAGATGTTTCAGACAAATAAGAACTCAAAGTTAGCTGGATATGGTTGTGCATGCCTATAGTCCCAGCTACTCAGGAGGCTGAGGCAAGAGAATTGCTTGAGTCCAGGAGGTTGAGGCTGTAGTGAGCTATGATTGAGCCACTGCACTCCAGCCTAAGTGACAGAATGAGACCCTGTCTCAAAAAAAAAAAAAAAAAAAAAAAAAAAAAAGAACTCAAAGTGTACTAATAAAACTACACTAATGGAATTTTAAAAAGACAGCCTTCATGGCTGGATGTGGTGGTTCGCGCCCATAATCCCAGCACTTTGGAAGGTTGAGGCGGGCAGATCACCTGAGGTCAGGAATTCAAGACCAGCCTGGCCAACATGGTGAAATCCTGTCTCTATTAAAAATACGAAAGTAGCTGGAAATCACCTGAACCCAGGAGGTGGAGGTTGCAATGAGCCGAAATCATGCCACTGCACTCCAGCCTGGGCAACAGAGCGAGACTCCATCTCAAAAAAAGAAAACGAAGAAGAAACAAAGAAAATAATACAAAAAGAAGGTCCAAAATATAAGAAGAAAGGATGAGCAAAGAATATGATGAACATTGGGCAAATCTAAACAAACAGTAATATTAAAGTCAGATTTGCAGAGGATCAAAACACAACTAAAATATAGGTCAATGACAACATCTAAATGAGGAGGAAGATTTCTGAAATTATTCTTAGGAGTTTTTCAGGATCAAATTAGAAACATTGAATAACTTTAGACTTTGATAAATTAAATGTGTGTATTAAAATTTCCATTCTAAAAGAATAAAATTGGTATAATTTCCAAACATTAGAAGAAATCCAAAGGACACGGGTTCACATCAGATATGTGAAAGTGTTAGCAAGGATGTGGGGAACAGGACCTCTTTATAGCGCTGAGTAAAATGTGAAGTAGTACAACCACTCTAGAAAACAGTCTGGTGTTTTCTGGAAAAGTTGGACGTGTTCAGACCCTAGAGAAATTCTCCCAAATGTGAACCAGGAGCTATGTATCAGTATTTTTGTAACAGCATTATTATTTATTTTATTTATTTATTTTGAGATGGAGTCTTGCTGTGTCGCCAGGCTGGAGCGCAGTGTGCTTGATCTCGGCTCACTGCAACCTCCACCTCCCGGGTTCAGCGATTCTCCTGCCTCAGCCTCCCGAGTAGCTGGGACTACAGGCACGTGCCACCATGCCCAGCTAATTTTTGTATTTTTGGTAGAGATGGGGTTTCACCATGTTAGCCAGGATGGTCTCAATCTCCTGACCTCGTGATCTGCCCACCTCGGCCTCCCAAAGTGCTGGGATTACAGGCGTAAGCCACTGCACCCGGCCCATAACAGCATTATTTTTAATAGCAAAGATGGATAAAAACAAACCAAAACAAATGTCCATCAACAGAAGACTGGATAAGCTGTGGTATATTCATAAAATTGAATATTATTCAACAATGAAAATGAATTCACTACAGCTATACAAATCAGCATGAATGAATCTCACAGACATATGTTGAGTGAAAAATGAGTAGAAAACTCACACTTTAGTACGTTCCATTTGTATAAAATTTAAAAATATGCAATGCTGGCCAGGCGAGGGGGCTAACGCCTGTAATCCCAGCACTGTGGGAGGCCAAGGCAGGCAGATCACTTGAGTTTGGGAGACTAGCCTGGCCAACATGGTGAAACCCTGTCTGTACAAAAATACAAAAATTAGCTGGGCATGGTGGTGCGCGCCTGTAGTCCCAGCTATTCAAGAGGCTGAGGCCGGAGAATCACTTGAACCTGAGAGGCAGAGGTTGCAGTGAGCCAAAATCACACCACTGTACTCCAGCCTGGGCGACAGAGCGAAACTCCATCTCAAAAAAAAAAAAAAAAAAAAAAAAAAGCAATGCTGAAAAATATGCTGTTTTAAGATCCAAACCAATAGAATAAAATGATGAAGAACAATAAGTTCCAGTTAATGGTTACTTCTTGGGTTGTGGGGTGATCGCAAAGTACACTTGGGTCTTCTAAGGTCCTGGCAGTGTTCCATGTCTTACCTGGCAGGGGTTCACGGTTGTGTACTTAGGGTACAGGCTAGCTTCCATGCTGGCTCTCACATAACAGTGCGGAGATCAGTGGTCCAGAGGAGACAGGCAGCAGTCGCAACTCAGTGTGGTTTTTCCAAGGCTCCAGTCCTCGTCCCTTCCCAGTCACCTGGGACAGGGAGAGAGTCCAGGGCAGAAGCTTTGTTTTTAAAGATAGGACTGGAAAGGCGTGCTTATGACTTTGATGCATCATGAGGCTATATCTCGCTGCAAGGGATCCTGGGAAATGTGGTCTCTGGCTAGGCAGCCATGTACCCAGTTAACATTTGAGGGCTTCTTAATAAGGAAGAAGAAGAGAACAGATATTGCAGGACAAGTGGTAGCTCTACTACAATGGGTGTTCATGTTATCACTATTTAAGTCACATGTCTACATCACATACATTCTTCTGTATTTTATTACATATTATAATAAAAACTGGAAAGAAGTAATTAAGAGGGAGGTAGCAGGTATGGACAGTTATAAGGAATTTGGGAAGGGAGAGGAATGGAAGGATGGGAGGGTTTTATTTTTTTCTTTCAATTTTTCTTTTGATTTACATTAGGAAATATCCATAGAGGACAAGGGCAATTTGGGGAACGTTAGAGAGAAAGGGAGCCAGGTTCTAGTCCCAAGAGATAAAAGGGACTAGGAGGAAGAGCCTGGGGAAGAAGGGGACCCTAGAAGAGGAGATGAGAGACACTGTGTCCTCTGAGCCAGGAGTATCGTGGACCCTCGGAACTGCCGGGGTCTGTGGCTGGCCCAGCTCTGTGTCGCTGTGTCACCTCAGTGCCTGTGCCGCGTACTCCTCGTGGGTAGGAAGCACAATCAGATGGTTTATCTGTTGTATTCTCCCGCCTTACCAGCTTCCCATGTTAGTGCTAAGTGCAATTCTAAGAAAAGGAAAATATGTAATTCTGATTGAGCCTAGTTTAATGTTGGCATATATACCAGAAATATGATAGTTGGAAATTGATATTGTATGATGTCATTAAAAAAAATTGTTAGAACCAGAAATACCATTTGACCCAGCAATCCCATTACTGGGCATATACCCAAAGGAATATACATCATTCAGTTACAAAGATACATGCATACGTATGTTCACTGCAGCAGTGTTCACAATAGCAAAGATATGGAATCAACCGAAATGTCCATCAATGATAGACTAGATAAAGAAAATATGGTACTTATATAGCATGGAATACTGTGCAACCATAAAAAGGAATGAGATCATGCCCTTTGCAGGGACATGGATGGATCTGGAAGCCATTATCCTCAGCAAAGTAACACAGGAACAGAAAACCAAACACCACATGTTCTTACTTATAAGTGGGAGCTGAACAATGAGAACATGTGGACACAGGGAGGGGACCAACACATACTGGGGCTTGGGGGCATGGGGGGGGCAAGGGAGAGCATCAGGAAAAATAGCTAATAGATGCAGGGCTTAATACCTAGGTGATGGGTTGACAGATGCAGCAAACCACCATGGCACATGTTTACCTGTGTAACAAATCTGTATATCCTCAACATGTACCCTGGAACTTAAAATAAAAAAAATAAAAAATAAACTGTTTTACATCTAACTTGCAATTTTTTTTTTTTAGATTTAAAGGTACAGTTGAGGAACTCAGTAACCAGATATTATCTGCACGGAGTTGGTTGCAACAGGAACAAGAACGGATAGAAAAAGAGCTTTTACAGAAAATTGATCAGCTTTCCTTGATTGTTAAGGAAAACAGTGTAGGTATTGATGTTTAGCAAAAATTTAGTAAAGTTATTCAGTGGGGGCCTACACTGTTTGAATAATAATACCTAGTAATTTATCACTGATTTAGCTGTTCAATTGTTTCTTGCCTTAAAATCCATTTCCATAGTTCCATATTGATGCTTTGTATTCTTCATAAAGACATAGAACACTCTGACTTGTTTTGGTTAACAAAGACTAAGTAGAAAATTTCAGTACTTTCAGTTAAGATGAAGTTAAGCTAAAACCTTAATGATCCAAATTGTTCATCTTCGTTTCTACATAAAACTAAGAATCACCAACTTCATTCTTGTTTGTTTTAATTTCTTGATCTGGGTTTGCTTTTTTGCCTGGTGTTGAATAGATTTCTGTCTCCAGATCACACCATTCTACTGTAGCTACATGTGAGATACCACAGTGCAACATGTAAACAGAATCCACCATTTTTTTCCCCATTTTCCTTCTCCTTCATCCCAGTCTCTCACAGAGCTAAGGTTTGTAGAACTGCTCAAAAACGATATCAAGAAAGTCTTGTGCCGGGCACTGTGGCTCACTCCTGTAATCCCAGCACTTTGGGAGGCTGAGGCGGGAGGATCGCTTGAGCCCAGGAGTTCGAGACCAGCCTGGGAAACATGGTGAAACCCCATCTCTACAAAAAACACAAAAATTAGCTGAGCATGGTGACACACGCTTGTAGTCCCAGCTACTCAGGAGGCTGAGCCTGAATCCACCTTGAGCCCAGGAAGGTCAAAACTGCAGTGAGGTATGACTGCACGCTGCACTCCAGCCTGGGCGACAGAGTGAGACTCTATCTCAAAAAAAGAAAAAAAAGTCTTGCATATGTAGTATTCAAAATTGTTATGCTCCCAAACCAGTACCTGGCAAGCAAAGTTTCATTGGTTTTCATTGTTTAGCATGACATCTCTGTCTCCCTTCCCTTTTCTTGTACTGTTTCCTCTTGTTGGATATTGATGATTGAGCTGAAATGACTGGTGCAGTACATCTCTGACTCTGCTCTCTCCAGATGTGGAGCTGTTGAATTGCAGACTCTGCATTGAGCACCATCAAGAGAGGAGTATCATGCCATAACCCACTTACAGCTTGGAGTTTGCAGTCTTGGCCTCCAAGCTCACTGGCAGACACAGATTCCCATAAAAACCAAGCATGTGGAAAGGCAAAAGGAAAGGAAAGACTTAATTTTCATATATGATTTTATATATATTTAAAATATTAAATATGTTCTTTTAAGTATTTCCCCATATTTCCATCACATCTACTAATTGGCTTACTTGGATTTATACTAATACATTTGTACTAATAATTCTTGGTCTTTGGATCACTGTTTATATATGGATTGGTTTAATAGCTAACAGTAAACCCCAGGATAATAGTGGCTTTCATGAAATAGAAACTTATTTTTTATTTCGCATAATGGAAGTCTGGGTATAGGTAATGCAGGACTGGTATGATAGCTTCTCAGTCCTCAGTGACCCAGGATCCTTCCAGTTTAACTTTTTGCCAACCCTAGAGTGATCCATATCTTCATAATTCAATATAGCTGCTAGAGCTCCAGCCATTCTGGCTGAATTCCAGAAAGGGAAGGACGAAGGAAGAAGTAAGGAGATACATCAGCTGTCTTTTAACTTTTCCTGGAAGCTGCCATATACACTTGTACTTACATCTCATTGAATGTAGTGGTTTTTTTTTTTTTTTTTTGAGACAGAGTCTCACTCTGTTACCCAGGCTGGAGTGGAATGGCGAGATCTTGGCTCACTGCAACCTCGCCTCCCCTGTTCAAGTGATTCTCCTGCCTCAGCCTCCTATGTAGCTGGGATTACAGGCACCCACCACCATCCATCCCTGGCTAATTTTTGTATTTTTAATAAAGACAGGGTTTCACCATGTTGGCCAGGCTTGTCTCGAACTCCTGACCTCAAGTGATCTGCCTGCCTCGGCCTCCCAAAGTGCTGGAATTACAGGCGTGAGCCACCGCACCCAGCCTGAAAATGTAGTCTTTGTTTTGAATGACCTTGTACCCAGCCGAAAATCATGGATCTGTTAAGGAAGAAAGGGAGAACGGATATTATGGTGGGCAACAAGCAGCTGTTGCAAATCTGTTTCTTGCAGATTGTTGTTAAACGATATTATGGCTGATGTGAATGCAATGCAGATTTCTTTTTGGAGTGATTAAGTGCAGTTCTTATCATGGATCTCAGGGAGCCAGTGAAAGGGATATGGAGAAGAAGCTCAGCCAGATGTCAGCCAGGCTTGACAAAATAGAAGAGGGTCAAAAGAAGACTTTTGATGGTCAGAGAACAAGGCAAGAAGAGGAGAAGATGCACGGGCGAATCACCAAGCTGGAGTTACAGATGAACCAGAACATCAAGGAAATGAAAGCAGAAGTTAATGCTGGTAGGCCAAAACCAGAACAGCTCACGTGCTTTATTTTCTGTTTGTTCTAAAACCTATTAATTAGTATCCCCTGCAACTACCTATGAACCTGGCTAATGGTAATAACCGTGAAATATCCTTAGTTGATTTTCTGAGTAGCTGTGCTGTATTTTCTAAGTAGCTACAATGCTGTTTGAATTTCAGCTATATAAAGAGCCACCGTGAGAGACAGGCAAACAGAACTGAAATTGCTTAGCCTGCAACTGAGGTACATTTTCTTCAGCACCATCGGCCAATTCTTTTCTGTTCATAGCCAAGGTTAACATGTCTCAGAAGGAAGCACATATCTTTGAGGGGGTTTTGAGGGCTTATTTTATAGTGCTAGCAGTACAGTACCACCCTGGCAAAGAATGATTTTCCTCTACTGGCAGGTCAGCAGGGCGCATTAATTCACACTTGCTTAGAGGAGAACATTAGCACTGATTTCAAGTTCTGAGTGCTGTCATATATGGGAGGGATTAGATTTACGCTCTGAACTCAGGAATACAGAACTGTGACCACTAAGTGGAAGGTACCCGAAGACAGATTTTAACTCAATATGAGGCAGAAGTACCTTGAAGTTAATGAGTCCTAAAAGACTGATGGCTTTCGGAGCTTGAGAGCTCTTTGTTACAGAAAATATTCAAGTAGAGGCTGGTTGATTGTGGTCAGGAAGAAGACGTTCCTGTAGTGTGAGAAGTGGAACTAAATTCTCTCCTAGCTTCTTCCAGTTGTATGATTCCATGAATTTTCTTCTATGAAATTGTTCTGTTTTGGCCACATGGAAATAAAAGTGCTAGTTATCCCTAGAATAATTTTGTTATTACCACCAAATGTTTATTATTTTATTTATAGGAGCTACAATTAAATATATGAATTGGAGAACTTGTAAAGATAAAAATGAATTTTCTTTCTTAGTCTTTGGACTATTAAAATATGGTATTTGAATATTTCATCAATGTTTAACCTCGCATCATTCCCTGAAGGAATGTATTGTTATTTAACATACCATTGAGGATGTTAATATTTAGCACCTAATATGAAAAGCATCTGAGCCTTTTAAAAAATAAAGCCATTTTCTTTATTACAAAGACAATATATTTCTTCTTTCTTCCTTTTTTTTTTTTGTTTTGGAGACAGAATCTTGCTCTGTTGCCAGCCTGGAGTGCAGTGGCGTGATCTTGGCTCACTGCAACCTCTGCCTTCAGGGTACAAGCGATTCTCCTGCCTCAGCCTCCTGAGTAGCTGGGATTACAGGCGCCTGACATCACGGCCGGCTAATTTTTTTTTTTTTTTTTTAATAGAAACAAGGTTTCACCATGTTGGCCAGGCTAGTCTTGAACCCCCAACCTCAAATGATCCTCCCGCCTCGGCCTGCTGAAGTGCTGGGATTACAGGCAAGAGCCACCAGGCCTAGCCTCATGATGCCTTTTTACCCCTTTATTATTTCCATTTTTTTGGAAATTAAAAAAAATGACAGAATGAGACAGAGGCTCACTCTGTTGCCTAGGCCGGGGTGAAGTGGTGTGATCGTAGCTCACTACAGCCTCCTGGGCTCAGGTGAGCCCCCTGCCTCGACCTCCTGAGCAGCTAGGACTATGGGCATGTGCCACCATGCCCAGCTCATTTTTTTATTTAAAAAATTTTTTTAGAGATGGGTCCTCAGTATGTTGCCCAGACTGGTCTGGAACTCCTGGCCTCAAGCAGTCCTCTTGCCTTGACCTGCCAAAGCTCTGGAATTACAGGTGTGAGCCGCTGCCTGGTTGCCCTTTTATTATTTCAGTGTATATATCCTAAGAACAAGGATATTCTCTTATAAATAACTTTAATACAATGTATCATCAATGAAATATTTTTTAATATTCAATTTTCAACGTGCCATTATTTCCTTTATAGCAACCCTTTTCCAGTCTAGTGTCTTTTTTTTTCTAATTACATGTTTTTTAAATAAAAAAAATTGTTGTGTATATTTAAGGTATACAACAAGATGTTTATATTTTGATATATATATACATAGTGAAATAGTTACTGTATTCAAGCAGGTTAACATATGTATCATCTCACAGGTATTTGTGTGTGTGTGTCTGTGTGTGTGTGTGTGTGTGTGTGTGTGTGTGTGGCAAGAACACCTGAAAATGTACTCTTTTAGCAAAAATCCCAAATACAATACAATATTATTGACTGCAGTCCTCATGCTATACATTAGACATCTGGTCTTGTTCATTCTCCATATCAGCAATTTGTATCTTTTGACCTGCATCTCCCCATTTCCTCCTCTTCCGCCCCACCTTTGGCAACCACCATTTTATTCTCTATGTTTTTGACTTTCTTTCTTTTCTTTTTTTTTTTAGACAGAGTCTTGCTCTGTCGCCCAGGCTGGAGTGCAGTGGTGCAGTCTCGGCTGACTGCGACCTATTCTTCGCAAGTTCAAGTGATTCTCATACCTCAGCCCCGCGGGTAGCTGGGATTGTAGATGTGCACCACCAGGCCCAGCTAATTTTTGTATTTTTAGTAGAGATGGAGTTTCATGGTGTTGGCCAGGCTGGTCTCAAACTACTGACCTCAAGTAATCCACCCGCCTCGGCCTGCCTTCCTCCCTCCCTCCCTCCCTCCTTTCCTTCCTTCCTTCCTTCCTCCCTCCTTCTCTCTTTCTCTCTTTCTTTCCTTTCTTTCTCTTTCTTTTCTTTCTTCCTTTCTTTCCTTTCCCTTCCCTTCCCTTCCCTTCCTTTCCCTTCCCCTCCCCTCCCCTTCCCTTCTTCCTTCCTTTTCTTTTTTTAGATTCCACATATGAGATCGTGCAGTATTTTTCTTTCTGTATCTGTCTTATTTCACTTAGCATAATGTCCTCCATTTTTATCCATTTGTGACAAATGGCAGGCTCTCCTTTTTTGTAAAGCTGAATAATATTCATCATTTGTATATATACACAATTTCTTTATTCACTAATTTTTTGATGGACACACTTCAGTTGTTTCCATATCTTGGCTATTGTAAATAATGGTGCAGTGAACAGGGGAGTGCAGATATCTTTATGAGGCAGTAATTTAATTTCTTTTGGGAATATACCCAGTAGTGAGATTGCTGGGTCGTATGGTAGTTCTATTTTAAATTTCTTTAGTAACCTCTATACCAAGCTTGTCCAACCCACATCCCGCAGGCCACATGCGACCCAGGATGGCTTTGAATGCAGCCTAACCCAAATTCGTAAACTTTCTTAAAACATTATGAGATTTTTTTGTGATTTTTTTTTTTAAATCACTCATCAGCTATCATTAGTGTTAGTGTATTTGTATTGCCCAAGACAATTCTTTCAGTGTGGCCCAAGGAAGCTGAAAGTTTGGATACCCCTGCCCTATACTGTTTTCCACTATGGCTGCCCCATCCTGCATTCCCACCAACAGTGTACAAGTGTTCCCCTTTCTTCACACCCTCGCTAATGCTTGTACTCGTTTGTCTTTTTGATAATAGCCATCCTAACAGGTGTGAGGTGATAACTCATTGTGGTTTTAATTTGTATTTTTCCTATAATTAGTGATGTTGGCCCTTCAGGTTCTAATCCAGAATTACACATCGTATTTAGTTGTCATGTTTCTTTATTTAGTCTCTATTAATCTGGATCAGTTTCTCAGTGATGTTGACCTTTTTAAAGAATACCAGCCAGCCAGCATTTTGTAGACTATCCCTAGTTTAGATTTGTTTGCTTCATTTTTTTTTTTTTTTTTTTGAGACGAGTCTTGCTCTGTCGCCGAGGCTGGAGTGCAGTAGCACAATCTCAGCTCACTGCAACGTCCGCTTCCTGGGTTCAAGCAATTCTCCCTGCCTCAGCCTCCCGAGTAGCTGGGACTACAGGTGTGCGCCACCATACCCAGCTAATTTTTGTATTTTTAGTAGAGACAGGGTTTCGCCGTGTTGGCCAGGCTGGCTCGAACTCCTGACCTCAGGTGATCCATCCGCCTTGGCCTCCCAAAGTGCTGGGATTACTGGCATGAGCCACCGTACCAGGCCTGTTTGCTTCATCTTGATATAATTTAGGTTGTGTATTTTGGTATTCTTTAAAAATGTCAAGAAGTGATGTTGTGCCCTGCTCAGGGTATCTTTTCAGAAGTTACGTGATGTTGTTTCTCCCAGTATGGGTGACGTGAGATTTGATCACTTGGTTAAAGGGGTATATGACAGTCTTCTCCATTGTAATAGTTCCTTTTTCCTTTTTGTAATTAAAAAGTAATCTCTAGGGAGAAACTAGAAACTCACCTGTTCCCCATCATACTTTCATCCCAGAGGTTTTAGCATCTATTAATAATTTTTGCCTGAATCAACCATTACTAGATACTATAGAATTTGATACAGCATTTTAAAAAAATTGTTAACTGTTGTGAAATTTACCTCTCCTTCAAGGGTTTACAGCCGTCTATGAAAGCATAGGATCCCTCAGGCAAGTTCTCGAGGCCAAGATGAAGCTGGACAGGGACCAGCTACAGAAGCAAATCCAGCTGATGCAGAAGCCAGAGACCCCCATGTGAAGGGAGCTGGGACAAGGTCCTAAAAGACAGTTTTGCCAGTGGGGCTAGGAGCCGGATACCTCTGTAGCCAGGCCATCGCTGCATTCAGGATTGTTCCATCCATGGCGTGCATGTGCCAAGAAATGTGTTTTTATGGGTCTAAATGTTTACCTTGAGTCTTGAAAATACTCTTTTGTTAAAAGTATGAAATACAGTTTTTACCAGTTTATTTCACTTCTCTAAATTCAATGGAAATCCCCCGCCCTGGATTTTGAAAGGCTTTTATCTTCTTCATTTTACGAATGGAAAGACGACAATTTTTCTTCAATGCTTGATGCACTAATGAAGACTGTTTACTATTTTGAAAAATGTCATGGGGATTTTTTTTTAATTAAGAAACTAATGAATCATCACAGGAATGTGTTGCTCCTCACCCTAAATTAAGAGAATGTCCCAGTAGATTAGACTTCAACCTTTGAGTCCAATTTGGATTTTATTATCGTTGTCTATGCACTTCTTATATTGGTTATCTTCTTGTAAATCTTCTGTCTTTTGTAAGGGGAAAGGATTTAACATTTAGAATAAACCCCACCATTTATGTAATGGAAATAGTTTAAAAATTGCTAACTGCCATGTGGATTGCAAATTAAATGGAAACTTATTTAGATAACGTAAGGCTCAATATCTGCGTTGACCACCTAGATATTACAGGTTTTAATATTTAAAACTATTTTTGAATTATCCACAACCTGTATAGTGATAGCCATATATTTAATAATGGAATGGTGGTTAACAGTCTATTTACTGCACAATTAATTGTTCACTAATCAAATAGAATGTGGTAATTTTTCAGACTTTATGATCTGTTTCCAAAATTGGCACAAAGTGCTAGGGTTTATATACACTTATCGTAACTGTATTTTTGTGCCTTGGTTTTATCATGTCAATGCACTGTACTCTGTAAAAGTTTTGCAGACAAAATAGAAAGTATGATAATCCGTCAGAAGTATGATGTAAAACTGGAATCCTCTGTATTTTTTAAATGTTCTAAAAATTTTATCGCTGTTAAGGTATTAATCATTCAGTATTACTAATGGAATAGAAATTCATACTTTTGTATGGACAACAATTCAAATTGATATTGCATTTATAGCACTGTAAGAAACTTTCATCTTGAGCAACTTTGTAGATGATGGGTGTTTTATTTTCAATCGCCATATTTGATCAGTCATTGAAAATTGGCCCCAGTGCTGTTTGTTCATCTCTGTATGTAAAAACTGACAGTGAGACACAACGTTCTGAACTGTGAGGGTGTCCCAGGAAAAAGAAAAACAGGAATACTTTAACAATTAAAAAGAAAAAAATGTTTTTTGTTTGCCAAGGACTCAGGAAAATAAAAAGCATTTTCTATTTTTAGGACAAATCACAAATGAAGTGTCTAACTGGCTATTACTGTTTACCCATATAAAATATGCTGCTAAAGTACATATTTTGCTGTCAATGGCTTGACAATTTTTTTTTTCAAATTTGGACATGAGAGGTTATATAGGGACTATATTATCCAACACATATTTTCTTATTTTGCCACAAATTTCCACTTAACAAATAAAAAAAGGCGAATGCTGTTTTGCAATCAGAAAGTGAATTTCTTTTGTGGTAGCGTACACGTGGTTCATGTGGTTCTCCACGTTTAAGCACAAACCACAGCACAGGAAGCCACACCCCCTCCAGCATCTCTGTCTTGTGGGGTCTTTGAGGAGAAGGAATCAGAACATCGACACCTGGGAAGAGGGAGGCGGGGAACACCAGCTGGACTCTGGCCAAGGAGTGATGTAAGCAGGTGACACTTGGCTGTCAGCTGAGCTTCTCAGGTGCTTCTGACATTGCCAGCCCCTTGAGATGAGCCACCGCAGGTGTGCTCACCTTGGCTACATGTTGAAATCATCCAGAGGAGTTGGGAAATCTACTGATGCCCCGCTGTGCCTCCCAGACCGATTAAGTCAGAACCTCTGGGAGGTGGGTCGCAGGCATCAGTGCGTGCCCGAGGCCTCCGCGTGTTTGGGTGTGCAGCCGAGGTGGTGAGCTGTCGAGCCACAGTGCAGTTCTCTTCTCACCAAAGCTCAAATGAGAATCAGCTTCCATGTTCTTTCCTTTACCAGAAATTTGCAATAAAAAGAAAAATAAAATTTTCACATAAATGTGGTGTATGATTTTTAAATTGAAAAGTCTTTCAGTGTTGAGCTGAAGACTTAATTAGGTAAAATGCCATAGGAAATATTTCTGTTTGCTCTCTGTGGAAACGCTTTGATGGTTGAAATAAAGTGCTCAAGTCCTGGCAGCTCCTCTGACGACTGGAATGTCATTGGGAGCTGCTGGTCTGTGGGCTTCGGGGCTGTAGGGCCTTCTCTGCAGCCTTCTTGTCTCTTGGCAGTTCTCGGGTGTGTGCTGTGTGCCTGTGCTGTGTCCCCTGTGTATGTCAACTCTTTTCATTTTAACTAGTTGAGTTCAATACCATTTCCCCATTTTACAGATGAGAAAACAGAGTCACCTAAAGGTTAAGCAACTTGCCCCAAGTCCTATAGCTGATAAATGGGAGCCATGATTCAAGCCAGGCCGCCTACTTCCGCACTCTGGGAGCCTTACCAGCATACCACACTACCTCCGAAGACATTTTGGCTTCCCACATAAGTGACTTGCTAGGCCACTGACATCAGCCATATCTATATGAGCTTGGCCTCCTGCCATCTGACTACCCTCGCTTTTTAATGCCCCGATTCCAAATACGTAATGAGGCAATCTAATTAGCTTGTCAAACGTCTTCCCCTGGCTGTATCAATGTGGAGGCACCAGAGGTGGGGGGCAGTTGGTGCCACAGGACTTGTAGGATCACAGGCATTTCATCCCCTGCACTTGGGCTGTCCTAGGTCGTGGTCCCTGGCTGGCTCTGCACATCGGGAGATGGATTGTGTAGGGGAGTGTAGAGCAGAACAGAGAAGATGGCTCCGTTCAAGTTGTAATTATCCCACTAGGCTTTCAGGGGGAAAAAGAATCACAAAGCACTGTGACATCAGTCCCTTGCTCTGCCACACAGCCCTCCTGACAGGTTGTTTACAACACAGCAGCTTGCTTCCACCAGTACCAGTGAGAGAGAGGGTGAACGGGAAGGAAGCTAGTCTTTTGTAACCTAATCTCAGAAGTGACAAGCCACCACTTCCACTAGTCTCTTCATGAAAAGCAAGTCCAGCACACACACAGCGGGAGGGGATCACACAAGGGGCTGAACACCTGGGGATGGGGTCACTGGGGGACATTTTACCGACTTCCTGCTCCAGCCGGAATCTGGACTCTGAGTCTCAGTCAGGTGGGCCTGCAGTGCAGTGTCTACTCTATAAAAGGATACTGCTGAGGTCCTTTAGCTCTGGATTTATAGGGACGACAAAATAACTTTTTGAGATGAACTGAACCAAAAATGGCCCAAGATGAATTGACAATTTCCAATAGACATGTGAGGGAGCTTAGAAGTGGAGCTCCCTACCCAAAAGAAATGAAAGTGGGGAATCGGGTATGTGTACATGTGGGCATGGTGGCTTACGCCTGTAATCCCAACACTTTGGGAGGCTGAGGTGGGCGGATCACCTGAGGTCAGGAGTTCAAGACCAGCCTGGCCAACATGGTGAAACCCCCATCTCTACAAAAAACACAAAAATTAGCCGGGCGTGGTGGCACATGTCTGTAATCCCAGCTACTCGGGAGGCTGAGGCAGGAGAATTGCCTGAACCTGGGAGGCAGAGGTTGCAGTGAGCCGAGATCACGCCACTGCACTCCAGCCTGGGCAGCAGAGTGAGAGTCTGTCTCAAAAAAAAAAAGAAAAGAAGTGAAAACTCTCAGGCTCCACCAAGACCTACTGAATCAGAGGCTCTGAGACGGACGCACCAAATTGCTTCAAGTCCTGCAGGTGATTGTAATGTAAAATCTGAGGCTTGCTGCACTAATAAGTAGCCACTAATTACATGGATTTTTTTTTAACAGTCAAGAGGTCCTTAATTTTTTGGCACCTATTGTGCCATAAATTCATAGGGAACAGGTTCCAGCAGCTCAGGCCCTCTTCTGTTGGTTCACTAAGTGTGCTTCTCTGCGTAGAGCAGGCTGGTGCTTCAGCGGAACCCAGGTACGTTTCTCTTTGGGTTCCTTCGTTTTCTGATCGTTTTCCTTCCGCGTTTAGGAAACTATCTTGGCTCTTTAAGTACTTCATATGCTCAACATATACAGTAATTCTCTTGGCTAGAATATTGTTTGTTTACAGAAATGCCAATAGCATGCTGGGTAGCACTGTAGACTTCCAGCTTTGCCATGGTAACATTTGTGAGGTATTCCTTTTTGAACAGTACCCATTCCCTTGATGTCTACAACATCTCCCTTCTTGTAGATTCACGTGTGTGTGTCCAAAGGAACAACTCCATGCATTCTAAAAGGCCCAGGGAACAGAGAGCAGGTGCTTCTCCTCATTCCCTTTTTTTTCATCATTTAGGCAAATGATTAGAAGATGGTGGTTCCAGCCAAAAGAAAATATGTGGTCATTGGCCGGGCACAGTGGCTCAGGCCTGTAATCCCAGCACTTTGGGAGGCCGAGGCAGGCGGATCACGAAGTCAGGAGATCGAGACCATCCTGGCTAACACGGTGAAACCCCATCTCTACTAAAAATACAAAAAATTAGCCGGGTGTGGTTGCGGGCGCCTGTAGTCCCAGCTGCTCGGGAGGCTGAGGCAGGAGAATGGCGTGAACCCAGGAGGCGGAAGTTGCAGTGAGCCGAGATTGTGCCATTGCACTCCAGCCTGGGCGACAGAGCGAAACTCCATCTCAAAAAAAAAAAAAAAAAAAAGGAAAAAAAAAAGAAAATATGTGGTCATTTAAATCAATTAAATGTAAATATAAATTCATCAGAATTAGATATGTCTTAACATTTAGTTTCTTAGTTGCACTAGCCACATTTCAAGCGCTCAGTAGCCTCCCATGGTTGGTGCCTACTGTATTGCCTGTGCGAATGTGGAAGAGTTCTGTAACTGCAGAAATTTCTACTGGATGGTCCTCAAAGTGTCCGCAGACCAGCAGCATCTAGAGCAATAGTTACCTCACTCTTTCAACGTACAGCCTGATATAGTTTGGCTGTGTCCCCACCCAAATCTCATCTTGAATTGTAGCTCCCATCATTCCCATGTGTCTTGGGAGGGACCTGGTGGGAGGTAATTGAATCATGGGGGCCGGTTTTTCCCCTGTTGTTCTCGTGATAGGGAATAAGGCTCATGAGATCTGATGGTTTTATAAAGGGGAGTTCCCCTGCACACACACTCTTGGCTGATGCCATGTAAGACGTGACTTTGCTCCTCATGCGCCTTACGCCATGACTGTGAGGCCTCCCCAGCCATGTGGAACTGTGAGTCCATTAAACCTCTTTCCTTTATAAATTACCCAGTCTCAGGTATGTATTTATTAGCAGCATGAGAACAGACTAATACACA